>NC_000001.11:219434587-220059587 GCF_000001405.40 Homo sapiens | reverse complement strand
ATATAAAAGCTAGAAGGCAGCTTAGAGATTATCCAGTCCAAACCCCTCATATGATAGATGGATGAGAGAGCAGATTTTCAGCAAGTTTTACTTTAGTTATCGTCTCTTTTTTTGAACTTTGATCTGCATACAGTTAATTTAATTTAGCCCTTATTTATAGCCTTTTTTTTTTTTTGACACAGGGTCGCTATTGTCTAGGCTGGAATGCAGTGGTGCAATCATGGCTCACTGCACCCTTGAACTCCTGGGCTTGTAGTGAACCGAGGTTGTAGTAACTGAGATTGTGCCATTGCACTCCAGCCTGGGCAAGACTCCATCTCAAAAAAAAAAAAAAAAAAAAAAAAGAAAAGAAAATGCTAAATAAAATTAATATTAATCAGAGAAAAAATAATTTTATATCCTTTAGTTAGTTAAAATTGTTCTGTAGTCTTAAATTTCAAGTGAATTAAAACTTAACCTTTATGGACACTCATTATTTCATCCAGAATTTATTGGCTACTATTGGATAAGGAAGCAAAAGGCACTTAAAAATAACTAGAAAAACCACAATCCAATTAGCCACTAACTTGATTGATTGATTGATGTTTTTCTATAGGCAAGTTAACCGATATCCATGGGAATGTTCTTCAGTACCACAAGGATGTGAAGCATATGAACTCTGCAGGAGTCCTGGCCACACTGAGGAATTATGACTACTATGCAAGCCGAGTTCCAGAATCTATTAAAAATGCACTTGTTCCTTAAAGGAAAGTTTCATTTGGCCGGGCGCGGTGGCTCATGCCTGTAATCCCAGCACTTTGGGAGGCCGAGGCAGGTGGATCACTTGAGCTCAGGAGTTTGAGACCAGCCTGGGCAATATCGTGAGACCCCATCTCTACAAAAATACAAATTAACTGGGCATCCTGTCATGCGCCTGTCATCCCAGCTACTTGAGAGGCTGAAGCAGAAGAATCTCTTGAGCCCGGAAGGCAGAGGTTGCAGTGAGCTGAGATCGTGCCACTGCACTCCAGCCTGAGTGACAGGAGTTAAGCCCTGTCTCAGAAAAAAAAAAAACAAAAACCCAAAAAGTACTTAAAGTTTCATTTACTTAGCTAGGAGAAAGACTTGGTTCTCAAAATAATACATTTTAAGATTAATTGGGTAGAATTAGAGTTCCACCTTTATTCATTGTTGAGCAGTGATTTATATTTAGTTATTATATTTAGGAATAGAAAATAGAATTAAATAATTTAACTTGATTAATCAACCAGACCAATTTTGACGTCTGGAGAACTTATAAACTCAATATGTTATATTTGTTTTCCTGTATTTAGGTGGAGAAATGAGAAAAAGCTTTAGTTCCAATTGACAGTTCAGGTCAATGTTCAATGAACATTCCTATCTTCTAAACCAGATTTCTCTTTTTTTTTCCTGAGACGGAGTCTCGCTCTGTAGCCTAGGCTAGAATGTAGTGGCGTGATCTCGGCTCACTGCAAGCTCCGCCTCCCGGGTTCATGCCATTCTCCTGCCTCAGCCTCCCGAGTAGCTGGGACTGCAGGCACCGCCACCACGCCTGGCTAATTTTTTGTATTTTTAGTAGAGAAGGTGTTTCACCGTGTTAGCCAGGATGGTCTTGATCTCCTGACATCGTGATCTGTCTGCCTCGGACTCCCAAAGTGCTGGGATTACAGGTGTGAGCCACCGCACCTGGCCTAAACCAGATTTCTTTAGGGCACAATTTTTTCTGGAATCTCACTCTTGTTTTTCACAGTAATTTTAAAAACGTTTCTACTCCAATTAAGAATATATATGATGTTATTATATATGCTTATGAAACAGATTTATGAGAAAAGTTTTTTTTAAATAAATTATTTAATCCTAGCTCTTTGTTATTCACCAGCTTTTTAAAAAAGTGTTTGAAAATTATACATTCTCGACTTTGGGGATTAGTTTATTCTTGTGGCATCATTATAAGGCTTAATTGTGGAAAGCTAAGTACTTGCTTCTATTCCTTCCAATGAGAGATTATAACATAAACTATTAAAATTATTCTGCTAATATACCTAGATTTTTATTTTTAGGTCTCTGTCCATTGCTTTTAATTAAAATTATCTGTTTTCAAATCAACAAGTGGTTTAAATTAACAGTTCCCAAACTCAACTGCATATCAGAATCACCTAGGAAGATTCTTTTAAAATGCAGATTCACAGGCCAGGCGCAGTGGCTCATGCCTGTAATCACAGCACTTTGGGAGGCCGAGGCGGGTGGATCGCCTGAGGTCAGGAGTTCGAGACCAGCCTGGCCAACATGGCGAAACCCTGTCTCTCCTAAAAATACGAAAATTAGCCGGGCATGGTGGTGTGTGCCTGTAATCCCAGCTACCAGGGGGCTGAGGCAGGAGGATCACTTGAACCTGGGAGGCAGAGGTTGCAGTGAGCTGAGATCGTGCCACTGCACTCCAGCCTGGGCAACAAAGCGAGACTCTGTCTCAAACAATAAAAATAAAAATTCACAGGGTTTATCCCAACGATTTTGCTTGTGTGTGTGTGTGTGTGTGTGTGTGTGTGTGTGTGTTTATTTACTTATTTATTTATTTATTTTGAGACAGAGTCACTCTCTGTCACCCAGGCCAGAGTGCAGTGGTGCAATCTCGGCTCACTGCAACCTCCACCTCCCGGGCTCAAGCGATTCTCCTGCCTCAGCCTCCTGAGTAGCTGGGACTACAGGCACATGCCACCACCCCTGGCTAATTTTTTGTATTTTTAGTAGAGACGGGGTTTCGCTGTGTTAGCCAGGATGGTCTCGATCTTCTGACCTCATAATCTGCCCACCTTGGCCTCCCAAAGTCCTGGGATTACAAATGTGAGCCACCACGCTCAGCCTGCTTCTGTATATTTTAAGAAATTCAGGGACTGATAATCATTTAACTCTAGGACTCACTAGATAAGGTAATATAGTATTATTTTATAGAAGTGTCATAATCTAGCAGGAAGAGGTCTCTGTGGTCTTGACACCTTTGAGCCCTCCCTCCTGTAAGTCTCTTCTCATTGTCCTGGCTTTCTTTTTTCACCTAGCCACTCCTACTCAGTCTCCTTTATTGCTTTCTCTTTGTCTTCCTTCCCTTAAATGTCACTGTTTACCAAGATTCTGTTCTAGTCTCTCTCCTTTCTTTTTTTTCTTTTTTTGGTAGAGATGGGGTCTTGCTATACAGCCCAGGCTGGTCTTGAACTCCTAGCCTCAAGCAATCCTCCTGCCTCTGTCTCCCAATGTGCTGGGATTATAGGTGTGAGCCACTGCACCTGGACTATGCTTTCTCTCCTTTCTCACCAGAGGATCTAATCCACCTGTGTGACTTTTGTGGCGCTTTTGCTCATTAATCCAAAATCTTTAGCTTAGAACTCTCAAACTCTAGATCTATATACCCCAAAACCTACCTAGATGCCTTACAGAGATGTCTGAATGATTATGTCTAAACAGTTCTTCACTCTTGCCCCGACCCCTCCAGAAATTATTTTACAAACCCATGAGGTGATCTTGATAATTGGCCAAGTTAGAAAATCATCACCTGAATCCACCTGCTTCCCTCTACGAATGGAGTTCTCTATCTGTAAATAGTGGACTAAACCTAATTTTTAAAAAATCTAAGTGTAACAAGAGAATAACTTTATTTTTATTTATTTATATATTTCTTGAGACGGAGTCTCGCTCTGTCGCCAGGCTGGAGTGCAGGGGCGCAATCTTGGCTCACTGCAGCCTCCGCCTCACGGGTTCAAGCGATTCTCCTGCCTCAGCCTCCTGAGTAGCTGGGATTACAGGCATGTGCCACCACGCCCAGGTAATTTTTGTATTTTTAGTAAAGATGGGGTTTCACCATGTTGGCCAGGCTGGTCTCGAACTCCTGACCTCAGGTGATCCGCCTGCCTTGGCCTCCCAAAGTGTTGGGATTATAGGTGTGAGCCACTGCGCCCAGCCCTAAGATAATAACTTTTTTTTTTTTTTTTTTTTTTTTGAGATGGAGTCTCACTCTGTCACCCAGGCTGGAGTGCAATGGCATGATTTCAGCTCACTACAACCTCTGCCTCCCGGGTTCAAGTGGTTCTCCTGCTTCAGCCTCCCGAGTAGCAGGGGCACACCACCACACCTGGCTAATTTTTTGTATCTTTAGTAGAGACAGGGGTTTCACCATGTTGGCCAGGCTGGTCTTGAACTCCTGACCTCAGGTGATCCACCTTCCTCAGCCTCCCAAAGTGCTGGGATTACAGGTGTGAGCCACCACACCCGGCCGAAAATAACTTTGAAGGTATTTTCTTCAGGTTCCTATACGAAAACCCAATTTATGTAAGTGAGATATGTAGGAGTCTAAATCCTCTCTCCATTACTCTTGACTCTACATTAATTACATTAGTTTATACCCTTATACCCCGTTATTTCTTCCCTAGATCCCTGCAGTGTCTTGACTAATCTTTCTGCCTACACTGTAACCCATCTATCTCTCTCTCATCCATTTATCACGTCATCTCCAGAGTGATTTTTTTGTTTTGTTTTGTTTTTGAGACAGGGTCTCGCTCTGTCACCCAGGCTGGAGTGCAGTGGTGTGCTTATAGCTCACTGCAGCCTTGACCTCCTGGGCTTAAGCAATTCTCCTGCCTCAGCCCCCCCAAGTAGCTGAGACTACAGGTTTGCACAGTAACGCCTGGCTAAGCCGGGCGTGGTGTCTCACGCCTGTAATCCCAGCACTTTGGGAGGCTGAGGTGGGTGGATCACTTGAGGTCAGGAGTTCAAGACCAGCCTGACCAATATGGTGAAACCCTGTCTCTCCTAAAAATACAAAAATTAGCCAGGCATGGTGGCACATGCCTGTAATCCCAGCTACTTGGGAGGCTGAGGCAGGAGAATTGCATGAACCCAGGAGATGGAGGTTGCAGTGAGCCAAGATCATGCCACTGCACTCCAACCTGGGTGACAAAGAAAGACTCCATCTCAAAAAAAAAAAAAAAAAAAAAACGCCTGACTCATTTTTGTATATTTTTTGTAGAGATGGGGTTTCACCATGTTGCACAAGCTGGTCTCAAAATCCTGGTCTCAAGGGATTCGCCCACCTCAGCTTCCCAAAACGCTGTGATTTTACAAGCGTGAGTTACCACACCGGGCCCAAAGTGATTTTTTAAAATCAAATGTAATGCCATTCCCCTTACTCAAAATATTTTATGGCTTTCCTTTGCCTTCAGGATAAAATGCAAACTCCTTATAATGATATATGAAGCTCTTAATGGCTTCTTCCTTCTCCAGCATCAACTCTGACCCTAACCTATACTGTAGCCATGCTCAACCATTTAAAGTTCCCCTAAAACACTATCTTTTCTCTTAGCATGGCCTCCATTCATTGAACAAATATTTATTGAGCACCTACTATGTGTTAGGCACTGAACATAGGTACTGAACATTCTTTCTTTTTTTTTTTTTTGAGACAGAGTTTCATTCTTGTTGCCCAGGCTCACTGCAACTTCTGCCTCCCAGGTTCAAGCGATTCTCCTGCCTCAGCCTCCCAAGTAGCTGGGATTACAGGTGCCCGCCACAACGCCTGGCTAATTTTTTGAATTTTTAGTAGAGTTGGGGTTTCACCATGTTGGCCAGGCTGGTCTCGAACTCCTGACCTCAGGTGATCCACCCGCCTCGGCCTCCCAAAGTGCTGGGATTACAGGTGTGATCCACCTTGCCCAGCCAGGTACTGAACATTCAACAGTGGATGTAACAGTGACCATAAGTCTGTTCCTTTGTTGAGCATGTGTTCTTGTGAAACAAGACAGATAATAAGTAAATAAAATTTTAGATTGTGGTAAATGCTATAAATGAAATCAGGAAGATGAGCTAGAAAGCAACTGGGGTAGGGTTGGAGGGTTGAAAGAGGATCTTCTGTACATAAAAATAGGAGTATGTTTTCCGTGGAGATGATGTCTGGTCAGGCACACTAAGAGCTGAGATTTCTAGTGTATATAGCAAGCAAACAACATCTCTGAGAAGACAAAGAAAAAGAACTTAAAGGAAGCCACAGTGGCTGAAGTAAAATGAACAAGGGGCAGAGTGTTATAAAATGAGGTTGGGATAGATCCTGAGGCAGAACTTGGGTATTAAAAATTATAAAAAAGAAATGAGATTGGGGATGCAGGTAGGGGTCAAGTCATCTACATCCTTAAACATTTTTAAAAAATATTTCAAGGATTGAGGGGAAATGGGAAGTGACTGCCAAAGGGTACAAAGTTTCTTTAGGGGATGATAAAATGTTCTAGAAGTAATTGTGGTGATGATTGAACTCTGAATTATACACTTTAAATAGGTGAATTTTATGGTATGTGAATTATATCTCAATGACGCTGTTAGAAAAAATAAAATGAGGCCAGGCATGGTGGCTCACGCCTGTAATCCCAGCACTTTGGGAGGCCAAGGCAGGTGGATCACCTGAGGTCAGGAGTTCAAGACCAGCCTGGCCAACATGGTGAAATCCTGTCTCTACTAAAATACAAAAATTAGCTGGGCGTGGTGCTATGTGCCTTTAATCCCAGCTACTAAGAAGGCTGAGGCAGGAGAATCGCTTGAACCCGGGAGGCGGAGGTTGCAGTGTGCTGGGATTGCGCCACTGCACTCCAGCCTGGGCGACAGAGTGAGACTCCATCTCAAAAAAAAAGAAAAAGAAAAAAGAAAATGGTCGTATGTGTCTAGTGCCTACCACACTGTATAGCATAGCTCTGTATCTTCTTCTCCAGGCTTATCTCATCCATTTTAATAACTACTCACACCTTCAGCAAAACATTTCAACTGAGCCCCAGATTTTATTATATTATTATACAAATATATTACAAATATTATACAAATATATACAAATTATATATTATACAAATTATACAAATATAATACAAATATTATACAAATCTGCAATTTGTAAAGGATATTTTCACCTACATATCTTACAGACATCTCAAAAAATCAGTCTAGAACCAAATAATTTGCCAACTCTGTTTCCTCTCTTGTCTTCCCTCCTTTGATAATGACATAACCATCCACCCATTTATCCAGCTGAAATCTAGGAATAAACCTAGGCAAATTTGCTTCTCGGCCGGGTGCAGTGTAATCCCAGCAATTTGGGAGGCTGAGGATGGCAGATCACTTGAGGCCAAGAGTTTGAGACCAGCTTGGCCAACATGGCGAAACCCCATCTCTACCAAAAATACAGAAAAATTAGCTGGATGTGGTGGCACACGCCTGTACTCCCAGCTACTTGGGAGGCTGAGGGATGAGAAGTGCTTGAACCTGGGAGGTGGAGGTTGCAGCGAGCTGAGATTGTGCCTCTGCACTTCAGCCTGGGTGACAGAGGGAGACTGTATCAAAAAGAAAAAAAATTAAAAAATTGCTTCTTTCACCATCACCTCCCCAAACATCTCGTCTGTCATTACTGATTTTACCTCCTAAATATATCTGAAACTTGTTCTCTATTCTCAGATCTTATTCCACTGCCTTAGTTCAGGCCATCATCTTTTATTTTCTCTCATATGGACTGTTGTAATAACATCTTAACTGGTTTCCCTAATGCCAGTTCTGCGCACTCCAAGTCATCTCCTATATTATTGTCGAAGTCATCCTTGTAAAATATGATCCTAATCACATCTCCTGCTCCTGCCTAAAACTTTTCACCGACTTTCTATCATAAGATAAAATCTTGCTCCTCAGCATGATATATAGAACTCTTCCTAATTTAGTCTGCCTACATTCCAGCCTTTTAGTCCCTTACTTCCAAAAGATTTTATATTCTGGCAATAACGAACTGGTCAGAGTTTTCCAAGTACACACAGCTTCATGACTTCAGGTTTTAGCTCATATTCTTCTTTTACCCCCTTTTTTCCCCCACTCCTTAAATATACTTTTTTTGAGGGGGGGGACAGGGTCTTGCTCTGTTGCCAAGGATTGAATACAATGGCATGATCATAGCTCACTGCAACCTTAAACTCCTCAAGTGGACTCAAGTGACCCTCCTGCCTCAATCTCCCACGTAGCTGGGACTACAGGCATAAACCACCACACCCAACTAATTTTTTTTTTTTCTTTGTGGAGACAGGGCCTTGCTATGTTACCTAGGCTGATCTCAAACTTCTGGCCTCAAGTGATCCTCCCACCTCGGTTTCCCACAGTGCTAGGATTACAGGTGTAATTACAGGCATACAGGATTACAGGTATATTACTGTGCCCAGCCAAATATGCCATCTTTTAGCCAAAGCTTTCCTTTACCATTCTGTCTTTCCTTCCTCACTCAACATGGATAATCATCTTCCATCTTCTGAGCTATCTTTGTACTTTCTGCAAAGTTTATTATTTTTACTCTCATTTCAATTTTTTTTTTTTTTTAGACAGAGTCTCACATCTCACTCTGTCACCCAGGCTGGAGTGTAGTGATGCGATATCGGCTCACTGCAACCTCTGCCTCCTGGGCTCAAGCAATTCTCCTGCCTCAGCCTCCAGAGTAGCTGGGATTACAGGCATGTGCCACCAAGCCCAGCTAATTTTTGTATTTTTTGTAGAGATGGGGTTTCACCATATTAGCCAGGCTGGTCTCAAACTCCTGACCTCAAGTGACCCACCCGCCTCAGCCTTCCAAAGTGCTGGGATTACAGGTGTGAGTTACTGCACCCCGGCCCCAAAATGTTTTTAATATGAACATATTTCTATTGCTACATATATCTCACTGTGTAGCAATTTTTATTTACCTTGTGTTTTTGTTTTGTTTTGTTTTGTTTTTTAGACACAGTCTTGCTCTGTTGCCCAGGCTGGAGTGCAGTGGCGCAATCTCAGCTCACTGCAACCTCCACCTCCTGAGTTCAAGCGATTCTCCTGCCTCAGCCTCCCCAGTAGCTGGAATTACAGGTGTGTGCCACCATGCCCGCCAGGCTAATTTTTCTATTTTTAGTAGAGACAGGATTTCACCATGTTGGCCAGGCTGGTCTCCAACTCCCAACCTCAGGTGATCCACCCACCTCGGCCTCCCAAAGTCTGTAGCCTTCTTGGTCAGGCACGGTGGCTCATGCCTGTAATCCCACTACTTTGAGCAGTTGAGGGAGGAGTATTGCTTGAGTCCAGGAGTTCAAGACCAACCTGGGCAACACAGACCCCATACCTACAGAAAATAAAAAATTAGCTAGGCATGGTGAGCATGCCTGTAGTTCTAGCTACTTGGGGGGCTGAGGTGGGAAGATCGCTTGAGCCCAGGAGATTGAGACTGCAGTGAGCTATAATCGTGCCACTGGACTACAGCCTGCTCTGTCTAAAAAAAAAAAAAAAAAAGTTTGGGCGTGGTGGTTCACACCTGTAATCCCAGCACAGAATCCCAGCACTTTGGGAGGCTGAGGCAGGTAGAACACCTGAGGTTGGGAGTTTGAGACCAGCCTGGGCAACATGGTGAAATCCCGTCTCTACTAAAAATACAAAAATTAGCTGGGCATGGTGGCACACACCTGTAATCCCAGCTACTCAGGAGGCAAAGGCAAGAGAATTGCTTGAACCAGGGAGGCGGAGGTTGCAGTGAGCCCAGATCATGCCAGTGCACTCTAGCCTGGGCAACAAAATGAGACTCTATCTCAAAAAAAAAAAAAAGGCTTCTTGAGGACAGGGACTTCACCTTTCATCTCTGTATCTCCTGTTTATGTACACAATAATAAGGAGTGAAAATCCAATACCCATTCTTGATTTTAAAAAGAATCCAGGGCTGGGCACGGTGGCTCAGGCCTGTAATCCCAGCACTTTGGAGGCCGAGGCGGGCAGACCACCTCAGGTCAGGAGTTCGAGATAAGCCTAGCCAACATGATGAAACCCCATCTCTGCTAAAAATACAAAAATTAGCTGGGCGTGGTGGCAGGTGCCTGTAATCCCAGCTACTTTGGAGGCTGAGGCAGGAGAATCACTTGAACCCAGGTGTCGGAGGCTACAGTGAGCCAATATCATGCCGTTGCACTCTAGCCTGGGCAACGAGAGCGAAACTCTGTCTCAAAAAGAAAAAAAAAAACCCTGTTAACCTAAGAATATATAAGAAACCAGCGGCAAACACTATTCTTTTTTTATTTTTATTTTCAGGGAAAGGGTCTTGTTCTGTCATCCAGGCTATAGTGCGGTGGCGCGATCATAGCTCACTGTACCTTCAAACTCCTGGTCTCAGGTGATCCTCCCATCTGGGCCTGCCAAAGTGCTGACATTACCAGCAAGAGCCATTGCAGCCAACCTAGCAGACACTATTCTTTTTTTTTTTTTTTTGAGACAAAGTTTTGCTCTTATTGCCCAGGCTGGAGTGCAATGGTGCCATCTAGGCTCACTGCAACCTCTGCCTCCTGGGTTCCAGTGATTCTCCTGCCTCAGACTGCCAAGTAGCTGGGACTACAGGCATGCACCACTACTCCAGGCTAATTTTGTATTTTTAGTAAAATGACGCGGTTTCACCATATTCACCAGGCTAGTCTCGAACTCCGGACCTCAGGTGTTCTGCCTACCTCAGCCTCCCAAAGTGTTGGGATTACAGGTATGAGCCATTACACCTGGCTTACAGACACTATTCTTTAACATTTTTTTTTTTGAGACGGACTTTTTGCTCTTGTTGCCCCGGGCTGGAGTACAGTGGCATGATCTCTGCTCACTGCAACCTCCAGCTCCCAGGTTCATGCGATTCTCCTGCCTCAGCCTCCTGAGTAGCTGGGATTACAGGCATGCACCACCACGCCCAGCTAATTTTGTATTTTTAGTAGAGACAGGGTTTCACCATGTTGATCAGGCTGGTCTCGAAGTCCTCTACTTAGGTGATCCACCCACCTCGGCCTCCCAAGTGCTGGGATTACGGGTGCGAGCCACCGTGCCCGGCCACAGACACTATTCTTGATAATGCAACATTAGCGGCATTCCCACTAAAGTCAGGAACAAAGCAAATACTCTCTTATTCGACACTATTATTGCTCCCATTTAACATCATTCTGGAAGTTCTAGCCAATGAAAGAGATAAGATATAGGTCATGTAAATTTTGGATAGGAAGAAAATGATATTTACCTAGAAAATCCAACATAACTAAAAAATGATTGGAACTAGTAAAAGCATCCAACAAGATGGTAACTCTAAGACCTAAGACTTTCTGCTATAAGTCCCACTATCCTGAAAGTAGGCTTCTTTTTTTTTTTTTTTTTTTTTATTGAGATGAAGTTTTGCTCCTGTTACCCAGGCTGGAGTGCAATGGCGTGATGTCAGCTCACCGAAACCTCTGCCTCCCAGGTTCAAGCGATTCTCTGGCGTCAGCCTCCCGAGTAGCTGGGATTACAGGCATGCACCACCACACCCAGCTATTTTTTTGTATTTTTACTAGAGATGGGGTTTCTCCATGTTGGCTTGGCTGGTCTCAAACTCTCGACCTTAGGTGATCCGCCCGCCTCAGCTTCCCAAAGTGCTGGGATTACAGGCATGAGCCACCGCGCCTGGCCTCAAGTCTCATGGGAGATGTAATCTAAGGGGCCCTCCCTAATGAAAACAAGGATGTCTTGGGGAGGTTAAGAAAAAGTGTAGGCGAGGATGTGGTTGAGATGGTTCTTGGAATCCATCCCGGGTCCCCGTACTTTAACACCAGCCCTTGAAATATGGGTGCAGCTCACACACACGAATGTGTGTATACACCTTGGAGTATCTCTGGAGCTCATGCATGCACGTCCGTCACAAAGGATTTGAAAGGGAGAATCAGATGAGACGCTGAAAAAAACACCTGTGGACTCCATGATTGGGGGCGGCATCGGAGGGTTTTTTTGTTTTGTTTTTTAGATCAGGTCTCTCCCTGTGTCGGCCAGGCTGGAGGGTAGTGGCTACTCACAGGCAAGTCCACGGCGAGGCCACTACAGCCTCATCTTCCTGGGCTCAGGCGATCCTGCCTCAGCCTTCTTAATAGCTGAGACTACAGGAGCGCGCCACTGCGCCTATCTGCAGTGATTTTTTGTTTGTTTTGAAACGGGGTCTCAGTCTGTCGCCCAGGCTGGAGTGCAGTGCCGCGATCTCGGCTCACCGCAACCTCCTCCTCCCGGGTTCAAGCGATTCTCCTGCCTCAGCTCCCCAAGTAGCTAGGATTAAAGGTGCGCGCTACCATTCCCGGCTAATTTTTGTACTTTTAGTAGAGACCCCCGTCTCTACAGTTTCACCATGTTGGTGAAGCTGGTCTCCAACTCCTGACCTCGAGATCCGCTCGCCTCCGGCCTCCCAAAGTGCTGGGATTACAGGCCTGAGCCACCGCGCCCGGCCTCTGCTGTGATTTTTTTTTTTTTTCTTTTCGAGAAGGAGTCTCACTCTGTCGCCCAGGCTGGATGCAGTAGCACGATCTCGGCTCACTGCAACCTCCACCTCCCAGGTTCAAGCGATTCTCCTGCCTCAGCCTCCCAAGTAGCTGGGATTACAGGGGCCCACCACCATGCCAGGCTAATTTTTGTATTTTTAGTAGAGATGGGGTTTCACCATGCTGGCCAGACTGGTCTCGAACTCCTGACCTCAGGTGATCCGCCCGCCTACACCTTCTAAAGTGCTGAGATTACAGGCGTGAGCCACCACGCCCGGCCTGCAGTGATTTTTAAAGAGTCTTTTATATTTCCTTTAACCATTATTTTCAACACGCAAATAACTCTTGAAAATACGTTCTTGTTTTGGAAAAAAAAAAACGGGGGGGAATGTATAAAATAAACAACGAGAAAAACTTCTCCCATTCCCAACGTAATCATGGCTATCGTGTGTATGCTTCCAGGACTTTTCTTTTTACATAAAGACAGTGCATGCTTTTGTTTCGTGCTTCACATAAACGCCTATCCCATCTTAAAGATGGTTTTACAACCTGCTGTTTTACGACCTGCTGACTTGACGAAGTGTCGTAAAGTCCCGTCCACTTCAGCGTCTTTCCCACCGCAGCACGAAAGGCCACGCAGGCCGTTCTAACCCTGGCGGCCAAGAGGAGGGGTAGCAGGCTCTGGAACCTGCGGGCGGGGACGAAGACGGCGCGCGACGATGTCGCACCGCGGCGTGCGCGGTGTCGGCAGTAGCTGCGGCGCAGGGGCGGAGCGAAGGCTGCGGCGGCGTCGGGTACGCGCACACGTTGCATCTTCTTCCTTTCGCGGGGTCCTCCGTAGTTCTGGCACGAGCCAGGCGTACTGACAGGTGGACCAGCGGACTGGTGGAGATGGCGACGCTCTCTCTGACCGTGAATTCAGGAGACCCTCCGCTAGGTAAGGGGCCGAGACCAATGACCTGTGTGGGTTGCATCAGCCAGGGAGGGTGCAGGGCGTGGAAGGTCGCTGCGCCCCGGCTTTGCGCAGTGGTGGTCACCATCTGGGATGTTGGACCTGCCCCTCGCCCCAGAATTGTACGTGGAGGAGGCTCCGCACCCCTCGCCCCGTGTCCCCGGCAGGTGCATCTGCTCCTGAAGATGGTTTTCCCGGGCATGGAGGGAGGCGCAGTGTGAGCCCGGGCTAGACAACACGAGACTCCGCTTCGGATCTTTTTCTCAGAGGGATGAACTCCCAGTCAACTCACCTCTCCCTTTTTCCCCCGGAGAGCGAGAGTTGCTCGTGGAAATAAGATTTTAAAACTTAAAATCCAATAGTCGTCGCTTCTCTTTTAGCATTTTTCCCCCAACTCCTTTTCTTACCTCCTTTCCTGTCCTGTCCCTCCTCTCAGGAGAAATCCTCAGTTCACTTGAGTCAAATTTTCCTTACGTTTTATCGAGTTCAGAAGAAATAACCCAGACGAGCATATTAGCATTTAGGATTTCAACTGAGGCTGCATTTATTTTTAATTAAATGTGGTAGGGTAATTGGGGAAAACACCCAGGTACACTGTAGACTGATGCGGTTGCTTTTACTGCACCCTGTGGATGTGTAGTAAATTTCAGAGTAAACATTGGATCTGTCACCTTACTGACACATCTTAAGTTCTGTTTGGAATTATTTTTTCGACATGACCAAGATTATTGTTGGTAGATTGCTTAGAATTTCTGCTTTTTCATTACTTTGGGAAATTACACAGAAGAATTTAAGTAGTTTGCCGATTTTTTTTTTTCTTTTGAGAGTCAGGGTCTTGCTCTATCGTCCAGGCTGGAGTGCAGTGGCGCTTTCAAGGCTCACTGCAGCATCGAACTTCCGGGCTCAGATGATCCTCCCACCTCAGCCTCCTTAGTAGCTGGGACTACAGGCGCGTGCCACCATGCCTGGCTAATTTTGTGTTTGTGTCTTTTTTGGAAAGATGGCGTTTCACTGTGTTGCCCAGGCAGGTCTCAAACTCCTGGGCTCAAGCCATCCTGACTTGGCCTCCCAAAGTACTAGGATTACAGGCGTGAGCCACAGTACCCAGCCTGACCTAATATTTGTTAATGCATATGTATGATAATACACACACAGT
This sequence comes from Homo sapiens, assembly GCF_000001405.40. Lineage (NCBI taxonomy): Eukaryota > Metazoa > Chordata > Mammalia > Primates > Hominidae > Homo > Homo sapiens. The sequence continues at coordinate 220,045,171 of NC_000001.11, read as the reverse complement.
ACTTTCTAATGTTGAAGAAGCCCATACCTTTATATACAGTTGACCACGTGGGGCTGATGAAATTATTCATTATATTCTCAACTTTGGTGATGTTTTAAGGTTGTTGAACAAAAACACAACTTAATAGCCATTTTAAACATTTAAAAGATGGTAATGTTTTGGCATATTGGTTGCAGTAATGGACTAACCGCACAACAAATCAATGAACTCTAAAAGGAATGGGTTTGATTCCTGAGCTGGAAAGGCATTAGAGTGCCTTCATGATTGAGAGCAAAGACATTTGGTTTCTGCAGACCTGAGTCCAATCCTGGCTGCCACTTACTAGTTGTGAAACCTTGACAAGTTCCTTATTTAGCTTCTCCCATAGTTTCCTTGTTTTAAGAAAGGGAGAATAATGTCTTCCAGATAGGATTGGTTGCCAGAGTTAAGTGAGACTATAGTTAAAGCTCCTGATACTGTTTTTTTTTTTTTTTTTTTTTTTTTTTTTTTTGGAGACCGAGCTCATTGCAACCTCTGCCTCCCAGGATCAAGCAATTCTTGTTCTCAGCCACACGAGTAGTTGCGCTTAGAGGTGCGCACCACCATGCCCGCCTAATTTTTGTATTTTTTAGTAGACACAGCATTTTGCCATGTTGGCCAGGCTGGTCTCAAACTCCTGACCTCAAGCAGTCCGCCCGCCTTGGCCTCCCAAAGTGCCAGGACCACAGGTGTGAGCCACCATGCCCAGCCTCCTGATACATTTTTTGTTACTTAGAAAATCACCCTGAAGGTGGCCTGTTTCTGTAGTGTATTACAGAACTCAGAATTCTGCCAGTATTCTGTGAAACTCTTGTCATTTTGAACTGTATGCCAGTTATCAAATATATCATTTTTCTAATTGCTCCTCTCCCTTTTTAATTTTTGATTTAATTATTCCCAGTTTAATTCAATTACATTTTATCTTTAAGTAATATAATTAGATGAAACATTTTAAAATAATAGTTGCATTGCTAGAATTTTCCTATTTTGTATGCATTCATCATGTTATATATTTAATGTTAATTTCAAACTTAAAATAAAGACCTTTTTCCCCCATACCACCCAAGAGCATACTGTAGATATGAGGCTTCAGTATCTCAGCATAACTCCAGTGTACATCCCCAACAAACTTGGAAACTCCAGGTGATCTCACACAAGCACCCAAATCAGGAAATACACTTGGATACAATGCTTCCATCTAATGCACAGACCCCATCCTTGTTCTATCATTATTTGTTACAACCAGACCCTCCATAGTGTTGAGATCAAAATCCCGTATTATGCTTTGTTTGCATCTGATTGTCACCTCTCTCCAGTTTCTTTCAGTCTGGAATGGTTTCCTAGTCTTCCCTTGGCTTTCATAGCTTTGACCTTTCTGAAGATAACAGGCCACTTAACTTGAAGAATATCCTCTGTTTAAGTTGTCTGATATTTCCTGGTGTCTAGATTCAGGCTCTTTGTTTTTGGCAGGAATAGCGTAGTTATTCCTTGTTCTTCATTGCAGCCCATCAGTTGGTGCATGAATTTAATTTTCCCATTACTGATTATTCTAACCTTAATTTTAATGGGCAGATGCATTGGAATCATGTAAATGTTCCACTTTGCATCAGATCTTCACCCACTAGTTTCAGTATCCATTGATACTTCCTGCCTAACTTGATTTTTATGATTTTATGATGTTTGCGAGATAGTGACTTTCCCATTCTACCATTCCTTCTGTATGTATTAGTTGGCATTTTTCTGTGAGGAGAGCTTTCTCTTTTTCCCATTTAAAAAAATCATAGCAAAAATACTCAAGAAGTTACAATTTGTATTATTTTCATTTTCTATTTAAAATTATTTTGTTTTTAAAAATTAGTTTTATTGAATTATAACTTGTATACAATTGTTCACCAATTTTAAGTGATTGACAAATGTGTACAATGTGACAAATGTGACAAGTGTGTAATCTACACCACAGTCATCATGTAGAGTATTTCCATTACTTCAGAAAGTCCTCTCACGCCCCTTTGCAGTCATTCCTTTCCCTACTCCTAGCACCTAATAGCGACTCATCTTCTTTTTGTCACTTTTTTGCTTTTTCTATAATTTCATATACATTGAATCATATTATATATATTCTTATATTCTCATATGTGCCTAGGATAATACTTCTGAAATTCATATATCTTTTTGTCTATGACAGTAGTTTACTTTTGTTGTTGTTGATGTTGTTTTTTGTTTGTTTGTTTTTTGAGATGGAGTCTCACCCTGTCACCAGGCTGGAGTGCAGTGGTGCGATCTTGGCTCACTGAAACCTCTGCCTCCCAGTTTCATGTGATCCTCCTGCCTCAGCCTCCCGAGTAGCTGGGACTATAGGCGCATGCCACCACGCCCAGCTAATTTTTTGTATTTTTAGTAGAGACGGAGTTTCACCATGTTGTCCAGGATGGTCTCGATCTCTTGACCTCATGATCCGCCCCCCTCAGCCTCCCAAAGTGCTGGGATTACAGGCATGAGCCACCACGCCCGGCCAGTAGTTCATTTTTTTATTTGCTGGATAAAATTTCATTGTATGGGTGTGCTAAAATTGATCTCATTTATTTCGATGTCATTACCCTGATTTGCCAGTGGAAGCCCCTCCAACCTGGACTCTGTCCTTTCTTTCTTTTTTCTTTTTTTTTTTTTGGGAGATGGGGTTTCATTCTTGTTGCTCAGGCTGGACTGCAGTGGTACGATCTTGGCTCACTGCAAACCTCCACCTCCCAGGTTCGAGCAATTCTCCTGCCTCAGCCTCCCAAGTAGCTGGGACTACAGGCACATGCCACCACGCCTGGCTAATTTTTTGTATTTTAGCAGAGATGGGGTTTCACCATGTTGTCCAGGCTGGTCTCGAACTCCTGAGCTCAGGCAATCCGCCTGCCTCAGTCTCCCAAAGTACTAGGATTACAGGTATGAGCCATTGCATGTGGCCTTTTTTTTTTTTTTTTTTTGGGGACGGAGTCTTGCTCTGCCACCTAGGCTGGAGTGCAGTGGCGTGATCTCGGCTCACTGCAACCTCCGCCTCCTAGGTTCAAGTGGTCCTCCTGCCTCAGCCTCCCAAGTAGCTGGGACTACAGGCCTGTGCTGCCACGCCCAGCTAATTTTTAGTATTTTTAGTAGAGACTCTATGTCCTTTCGACATATATGTTCTCTATCTTTGAGTACTCCTTTGCTTTCTAACACAATAAGATTTTTCAGGTTTATTTTGCACCTTCCTTGCCACAGCCCTGTTTCCAGTGGAACATGGTGTTTATAAACCAGTATCTGGGTGCTAGTTGTCCATCTTTTTTTTCAGACAGAATTTCACTCTTGTTGCCCAGGCTGGAGTGCAATAGTGCAATCTTGGCTTGCCACAATCTCCGCCTCCCAGGTTCAAGTGATTCTCCTGCCTCAGCCTCCTGAGTAGCTGGGATTACAGGCATGTGCCACCACACCTGGCTAATTTTGTATTTTTAGTGGAGATGGGGTTTCTCCATGTTGGTCAGGCTGGTCTCGAACTCCCGACCTCAGGTGATCCACCCACCTCAGCCTCCCAAAGTGCTGGGATTATAGGCGTGAACCACTGCGCCTGGCCTGTCTATCTTAATCAAATTAAGGGACAGAGGATTAATGAATCAATTAAGTGTCAAGAGGCCATTTTACACTGTTTTAGAGTTTGAGCTGTGGACTACATGAGGCTTGCATTCAGATCCTGACTGCTATATATTTTGTCAAGGACATTAGGCTGGTTATTTAACTCCTTTAAGCGTTACTTTCCTATTCTGTAAAATGGGGATGAAAGTATCTCTCATTTTTTTTTTTTTGAGACAGTTTCGCTGTGTCATTCAGGCAGGAACGCAGTGGTGCAATCAGGGCTCACTGCGGCCATGACTTCCCAGGCTCAAGCAGTCCTGCCACCTCAGCCCCCTGGGTAGCTGGGACCACAGGTGTGTACCACTATGCCTAGCTAATTTTTGTATTTTTTTGTAGAGACGGGGTCTCACTATGTTGCCCAGGCTGGTCTTGAACTTGTGGGTTCAAGCAGTCCTCCCACCTCAGCCTCCCAAAGTGCTGGGATTATAGGCTTGAGATATCATGTCCTTTGAATCTAACTCTACAGGTTACCCCAAAGATGAAAAATTCTAACTGTAAAGCATTTGGCATAGTGACTAAGATATAATAGTCACTCAAATACTATTAACGATAGCTTTTTTCTTTTTTTTTTTTTAGTTTTTTAAAAATCCAAGGTCAACATATTAACAAAAGCTTTTATATAAGGCACTATACTATTTTTTTTTTTTTTAAGACGCAGTTTTGCTCTTGTCACCTAGGCTGGAGTGCAATGGCTCAATCTCGGCTCACCACAACCTCCACCTCCCAGGTTCAAGCGATTCTCCTGCCTCAGCCTCCCGAGTAGCTGGGGTTACAGGCATGCGCCACCATGACCGGCTAATTTTGTATTTTTAGTAGAGACGGGGTTTCTCCATGTCGGTCAGGCTGGTCTTGAACTCCTGTCCTCAGGTGATCCGCCTGCCTTGGCCTCCCAAAGTGCTGGGATTATAGGCATGAGCCACCATGCCTGGCTGGCACTATACTAATTTCTTTTTGTCTCCGAAGGGAGAAGCAGATTAATTTCAGTGTCTCTAACTGAAAGCTGAACAAATTCAAAACCAGTTGGATATGCTAGTGAATGGATTCTGGATTCTGATTTGTTGCTGCTCTGAGACAAAAGACTACATTTTCTGTCTACAGACTACTGAGAAAAAAGTTCACTCCTTGTAGGACTTAATATTGGTTTGTTGACTCATCCTGATTGCTTTATGATTCAAGTTATAAATACTGCATTGCTTTTAAAGATAAAAAATCTTTTCATATTATTTATAGGAGCTTTGCTGGCAGTAGAACACGTGAAAGACGATGTCAGCATTTCCGTTGAAGAAGGGAAAGAGAATATTCTTCATGTTTCTGAGTAAGTGTTTTCATCTTTTTATTTTCAGTACTGATTGGCTTTTTCTTTTTTTTAGAGTTTTTTTAGAGACAGAGTCTCCCTCTTTTGCCCAGGCTGGCATGATCATAGCTCACTGTACCTAGAACTCGTGGACTCAGGATCCTGCCATCCCAGCCTCCCGAGTAGCTAGGACTGCAGGCACATGCCTCCACACCTGGCTAATTAAAAAATGTTTTTTGTAGAGATGGGGTATCACTGTGTTGCCCAGCCCAGTTTCGAACCCCTGGCCTCAAGCCATCCTCCGGCCTCAGCATCCCAAAGCACTAGGGTTAAAGACGTGAGCCACCACGTTTGGCCTCTGAATGGCATTTAAAGAAATATTCGGCATCGCCGGGCGCGGTGGCTCACACCTGTAATCCCGGCACTTTGGGAGGCTGAGGCAGGCGGATCATGAGGTCAGGAGATCGAGACCATCCTGGGTAACACAGTGAAACCCTGTCTCTACTAAAAATACAAAAAATTATCCAGGTGTTGTGGCACATGCTTGTAATCCCAGCTACCTGGGAGGCTGAGGCAGGAGAATTGCTTGAACCTGGGAGGCGGAGGTTGCAGTAAACCGAGAACGCGCCACTGCACTCCAGCCTGGGTGACAGAGTTAGACTCTGTCTCAAAAAAAAAAAAAAAATCAGCATTAAATGTTGTATGCTTGTTTTACTTACTAATTAAGTAGATTGTCCCTAGAAAGAAGTATACTTTTCTTTATTCTAAAAGAATTGAATCTAGAGACTTAAATTTTTCAGCAAACTGATTCCCCATGTAGTCTGTTTAAAAGGAACTAGAGGTCTAGCTTTGAGAGCCCATCTGCAACACCAGCTCCTGAAATGAGGCAGGGTTATTTAATTGGACTGGCCTACTCCCAGAAATGAGTGACTGGTTTAATGGGATCCCTTGGCACCCAGCTGTTGATTTTTTCCTGTACAACCACCAACTCAGCTTTTAACTGAAACTTCTAGGGAAGTTTCAGACAGGGGAATGTTGCTTCAGAAAGCAATACCCCAAAGACTGGCGCTTTGACATGCTGAGAGGCCTTAGAAGCTACCTCAGAATCAGGGTACCTGTAACCTTGTTTCCTTTCACAACCCAACATGCCCACTTCCCCCATCATATAGAGAGGGACTTTCTAGAATTTCCTCATCTGGCCAAGAAAGCATCTTTCCAAAAGAAATGCAGTTGACTTAAGTCCCCTCCTTGTGGATCTCATCAAATAATCTGGAAAGGTCAGTCAATCCCAGCTCAGACAGACTTCACCTGCTCTTCTGAGGGCAGCTTCAAGATATTACCTAGGTGACTTTACACGTGTAATAAGACAGTCTTTGTTCCTGTGCCGCTCTGTTTCTTATCTTCCTTTAATGTTGCTCCCTCACCTCCCTGCGCCCACTTCCTGGTCCATTTATTCTGATGATTTACTTTGCTCAAAAGAATTATCTGCATTCCCTATCTTTCTGCTCCCCTATGAAACAGGGTATGTGGCCAGGCGCAGTGGCTCAAGCCTGTAATCCTAGCACTTTGGGAGGCCGGGCGAGTGGATTGCTTGAGCTCAGCAGTTTGAGACCAGCCTGGGCAACATAGTAAAATCCTGTCTCTACAAAAAAAAGAGGAAAAATTAGCTGGGTGTACTCCCAGCTACTTGGGAGGCTGAGGCAGGATGATCACCTGAGCCCACGAGACGGAGGTTGCAGTAGAGCCAGGATCGCACCACTGCACTCCAGCATGGATGACAGAGGGAGACCCTGTCTCAAAAAAAAAAAAAAAAAAGATAAACTGAGCTGGGTGTGGTGGCTTAGGCCTTTAATCCCAGCACTTTGGGAGGCCAAGGCAGACAGATCACCTGAGGTCAGGAGTTCGAGACCAGCCTGACCAACATGGAGAAACCCCATCTCTACTAAAAATACAAAACTTGCCGGGCATGGTTGTGCATGCCTGTAATCCCAGCTACTCAGGAGGCTGAGGCAGGAGAATCGCTTGAACCCGGGAGGTGGAGGTTGCAGTGAGCTGAGATTGTGCCATTGCACTCTAGCCTGGGCAACAATAGTGAAACTCCATCTCAAAAAAAAAAAAAAAAAGATAAAGCTGAAACACTTTCCCCTGTTGCCACTACATACACACAGTCACCCCATACTCATAAACTTCTGCTCTCTATCTCCCCCTTTCTCCCAGTGTAGTTGTACCATAATTGTCATTTGATTACCATTCTGTATTTACATTATAATGACCGTGTAAGTTTTATTTACTACTGAGCCACATAGTATAATTGCTTTTCATGTAAAACTGTTAGTTTTCCATGGAGTAATTGGTGTTTGTTTGCTTTGTAATTTTCTTCTGAAACTTTCTGATTTCTGAACTTTTCTATGTGACTTCAGGAAGTTTGGAGGAATCTTCCCTTAGGAGTCAGTATTCTCAAATTTTACAATAATATGCTTTAGTTTGGGTCTATTTTTCATCTGTTCTGCTGGGCATTTGGTTGCCTCTTTCATTGTGGAAACTTGGAAATCCTGCTTTTGGAAATTGAAAACATTTTTTCTTTGAAAAATGTTTTTCTCTCTATTTTTGGTTCTTTATGTGGATGTTGGGATTAGTCCTTTATTTTTCTAAGTTGTCACCTCCATTTTCCATCTTTCTATTTTTTTTTTTTTTTTTTTTGGAGATGGAGTCTTGCTGTGTTGCCCAGGCTGGAGTACAGTGGCACAATCCAGGCTCACTGCAACCTCCGCCTCCCAGGTTTAAGCGATTCTCCTGCCTCAGCCTCCTAAGTAGCTGGGATTACAGGCATGTGCCACCATGCCTGGCTAATTTTTGTATTTTTAGTAGAGATGGGATTTCACTATGTTGTCCAGGCTGGTCTGGAACTCCTGACCTCAGGTGATCCGCCCACCTCGGCCTCCCAAAGTGCTGGGATCACAGGCGTGAGCCACCACGCCTGGCCTCTTTATTTTTATTTTTAGAGATGGAGGTCTCAGTATGCTGTCCAGGCTGGAGTGCAATGGATAGTCACAGGTGCAATTATAGCACACTACAGCATCCAACTCCTGGGCTTAGCGATACACCTGCTTCAGCCCCCTGAGTAGCTGGGACTACAGGTGTGTACCAACATGCCTGGCCCATTTTTTTTTTTTCCTTTACTTTCTGGAAAGTTCCTCAACTTCTCAACTTTATTATCCCATTTTTCTATTGAGGTTTTTAATTTTGGCTATTATGTTTTTAGTATCTGAGTGTTCTGTTTTTTTTACATTCTGGATACTCTTTTTTTAGTATCTTGTTTTATGATTGCAGTATTTTTGTTTCATTGCTAAAAATGAATTTATTCTTTTATGAACTTTTATTTTAGGTTCAGTGGTACATGTGCAGGTTTGTTATGTAGATAAACTTGTGTCATGGGGTTTGCTGTACATATTATTTTGTCACCCAGGTACTAAGCCATCCAATAGTTATTTCTTCTGCTCTTCTCCCTCCTCCCAACATCCACCCTCAAGCCCCAGTGTCTGTTGTTCCCTTTTTTGTGTTCATGTGTTCTCGTCGTTAAGCTCCCACTTATAAGTGAGAGAATGCAGTATTTGGTTTTCTGTTCCTGTGTCAGTTTGCTAAATATAATGGCCTCCAGTGCCGTCCATGTTGCTGCAAAAGACATGATCTTTTTTTTTTTTTATGGCTGCATAGTATTCTGTGGTATATATGTACCACATTTTCTTTATCCAGTGTGTCACTGATGGGCATTTAGGTGGATTCCATGTCTTTGTTATTGTGAATAGCGCTGCAGTGAACATTTCCATGCATGTGTCTTTATGGTAGAATGAACTATATTCCTCTGAGTGTATAGCCAGTAATGGGATTGCTGGGTTGAATCGTAGTTCTGTTTTTAGCTCTTTGAGAAAATGCCATACTGCTTTTTACAGTGGTTTGACTAATTTACACTCCCACCAACAGTGTGTGGTTTTTTGTTTTTTGTTGTGAGGTGGAGTCTTGCTCCGCTGCCCAGGCTGGAGTGCAGTGGCACGATCTTGGCTCACTGCAACCTCCACTTCCCGGGTTCAAGCAGTTCTCCTGCCTCAGCCTCCTGAGTAGCTGGGATTATAAGTGCCCACCACCACACCCGGCTAATTTTTATATTTGTAGAAGAGACGGGGTTTCACCATGTTGGCCAGGCTGGTCTCAAGCTCCTGACCTCAAGTGATCTGTCCACCTCGGCCTCCCGAAGTGCCGGGATTACAGGCATGAGCCACCACACCTGGCTTGTGATGGGTTTGGATGAGGTTTGATCTGCCTTCGTAGCCTCTTTATTAGCAATAGATTCTTGGCTCCTTTGCCTTGATTTATTTTATTTATTTATTTTTTTTGAGACAGGGTCTCTCTCTGTCACCCAAGCTGAAGTACAGTGGTGTGATCTCAGCTCACTGTGAGTTCAAGCGATTCTTGTGCCTCAGCCTTCTGAGTAGCTGGGAGCACAGGTGCATGCCACTATGCCTAGCTAATTTTTGTGTTTTTAGTAGAGACGGGGTTTTACCATATTAGCCAGGCTGGTCTCAAACTCCTGACCTCAAGTGATCTGCCCGTCTTGGCCTCCCAAAGTACTGGGATTACAGGTGTGAGTCACCACACTTGGCCAGCCTTGATTTATATTAAATCACTGTTATTCTCAACATCCCAGTTATATTTTCATATTTGCACCTCTGAATAGACATGTAAAGAACAAATTAGCAGACTGGGCGTGGTGGCTCATGCCTCTAATCCCAGCACTTTGGGAGGCTGAGGCAGGTGGATCACCTGAGGTCAGGAACTCGAGACCAGCCTGGCCAACATTGTGAAACCCCGTCTCTACTAAAAATACAAAAAATTAGCCTGTCGTGGTGGCAGCCACCTATAATCACAGCTACTTGGGAGGCTGAGGCAGGAGAATTGCTTGAACCCTGGAGGCAGAGGTTGCAGTGAACCAAGATCACACCATTGCACTCCAGCTTGGGCAACAAGAGTGAAACTGCATCTGAAACAAACAAACAATTAACAGATCTATTTTTTACTATAGTAGAAAATACATGGTAAATATAATAAAGTTTCCATTTTTACATTTCTTCATAAGTCTCATGACTTACTGATTTGCTAGAGCAGCAGTAATATTTTATCTCGTGCTTATATTCTAGAAATGTGATATTCACAGATGTGAATTCTATACTTCGCTACTTGGCTAGAGTTGCAACTACAGCTGGGTTATATGGCTCTAATCTGATGGAACATACTGAGGTAAGCAATGAACATTTTGTTGTGTGTGTTTTGTCTTATGCTTCTGTTTTTTTATGGGAACCTCATCATTTATTGTTGGCTTATGAACTATTCTACTTAAGGATATTAACAGAGTGTTAATTATATAGACCAAGGTACAGAATGCTCATCTTGTTTTTTTGTCACAAAAAAATTCTTTTTTTGTAATTCCTAAGTTTGAACCTTTAGTCCCCTACCAGCTGTACTTTTGGGAGCATTTAGTGCCATCTTGGCCTTCACAGATTCCTAGCATTTCATAGCCAGATGGGGCTGTATAGATCATCTCATCCAACTTTCTTACTTTACGGATAAGGCAGCAGGCCTAGAAAAGTTAAGTTTGAACAGGGTAACACGCATAGTTTGGATCCCATTTTCTTTTCTTTCTAAGTGTATGCCTTGTTTAATTAATTATTTCAGTAGTAAATTAGCTTTATATACAATCATGTGCCTCTTAACAATGGGATGCGTTCTGAGAAATGTGTTATTAGGCAGTTTCATCATTCTGTCAACATCATAGAGTGTACCTACAAAAACCTAAAGGGGATAGCCTACTACCCACCTAGGCTATACAGTGTAGCCTATTCCTTCTAGACTACAAACCTATACTGGCAAGTTACAATACTCAATACAGTAGGTAATTGTAACACAATACGTATTTGTGTATCTAAACATAGACAACATAGATAAAACTATAATCTTATGGGACCATTGTCATATATGCAGTCTGTCATTGACCGAAATGTCATTATGCAGTAGATGACAGTACTGCTTTTTAGATGCTGCTTTTTTTCCTGTTTGTATTCTGCTCTAACCTTCCTAAATCTCATAAAATTCAAAGTACACAGAATGGTTTCTAAGTACTAACTTTTAAATTTTTCAAGTAAATGAATCTGTTTGGCTAGGTACCATCCCTTCGGTTCATTCAGGTTGGCTTATTTCTGCCACCAATTCTCAAATTCTTATTTTCCTGTTCTTTCCTGAAGTGCCCCGCCACACTCCTGTAAAAAAAAAAAAAAGCAGAAAGCATAGCAAAATAAATGTGGCATTTATTTAAGTTCTATTTTAGATTTTAGGCAATCAGAATTTAGTCCACATAATGATAAATTGTATAATTTGAGAAAGGAAAAGCATAGTAAGAGTGTACTGTTGCTCTAGTTAACTAGAATTTTTTTATGGTCTTTCTTTTTATAAGTTGAAATGTTGGAATGCATTTCTTTTCTGTCTTTTATGTTGACAGATTGATCACTGGTTGGAGTTCAGTGCTACAAAATTATCTTCATGTGATTCCTTTACTTCTACAATTAATGAACTCAATCATTGCCTGTCTCTGAGAACATACTTAGTTGGAAACTCCTTGAGTTTAGCAGATTTATGTGTTTGGGCCACCCTAAAAGGTATCAATAATTCTTAATAATCCTCTGTTTTAATCGTTTAATATTTTGCTGGATAAAAATTATATATATTTCTGTGTGTATGCATGTATGTATATGTGTGTGTATATATATGTTTAGACAGTAACTTAGGACTTTATTACAGGGGAATGACCTCCCTGGCTGTTTTATTCCTATCCAGCTACGGGAATTCCCTGTGTTTTTCTGCCGTCCCGTCGTCTGTCTCACAACCCCAACTTCCTTCTTGCCTTTGGAGCTGATCTTATTCCTGATAAAGAAGTCCCCATCCCATTTATGTTAGCACCTCTCCTACTTCAGCTATTATTTTACTCCAGACACTTGTCTCTGACTTGAAAAAAGCCATTATTGCTCAGTGAGTGTGTGACTGGGAGGTTAGGGAGTAGTGGGATGATGTGGAGTTGTGGTTTTTCTTGGAGGTCACTTCCTTCTTCTACAACTAGTTTGGAACAAGTAAGAATATGCTTTTTCCAACTTGGAAAGACAGTTTTTTCAAAAACAACTTTCTTGAGGTATAATTGACATACAGAAAATCACACTTATTTAAAAATGTATATTTTGATAAATTTTGACATATATATGTGTGTGTATATATACATACACACACACACACAGCTGTGGAACTATGGTTACAATCAAGATAATAAATATATCCACCACCCCCAAAAGTTCCTCATGCTGCTTTGTAATCATCCACCCTCACCAGGTCCCAAGAAACCAGCATGCCCAGCTTTGCATATTTTTCGTCTTCAGTTGGTTGTATCTACGGTTATGGAACCCATGGACACAGAGAGCTAACTGTTTTAGAAAACAGTTCAGTGTATATCCAGATATTTAACATTTCATTTTCTTTAGAAGCACAACTTTAAGCCATCTCAATTACTTCAATTAGTCACAACTGGAACTTTGCTTTTGAAGCTGCAGATTTATTGAATAGTTTAAAATTATCTTTGCTCATAGGAAATGCTGCCTGGCAAGAACAGTTGAAACAGAAGAAAGCTCCAGTTCATGTAAAACGTTGGTTTGGCTTTCTTGAAGCCCAGCAGGCCTTCCAGTCAGTAGGTACCAAGTGGGATGTTTCAACAACCAAAGCTCGAGTGGTAAGCCTTTTTTTCTTTTTTTTTAAAAAAAAAAACACTTTGGGAGGCTGAGGCGGGCGGATCACAAGGTCAGGAGATTGAGACCATCCTGAATAACACGGTGAAACCGCATCTCTGCTAAAAATATACAAAAAAAAAAAAAAAATTAGCCGGGCGTGATGGTGGGCGCCTGTAGTCCCAGCTACTCGGGAGGCTGAGGCAGGAGAATGGTGTGAACCTGGGAGGCGGAGCTTGCAGTGAGCCGAGATCGCGCCACTGCACTCCTGCCTGGGCAACAGAGCGAGACTCTATCTCAAAAAAAAAAAGATGACATTTCAGTCTGTCTGAGGCCCTAGGTCTGAAAAGACAATTATTCCTACTCATAAAGTTTATTTTCTTTTAATAAATTTAAAAGGATCTTCTTGCAAGAATCTGACATTTTTAAGTCTTGGTTTCACATTTAATTGTTCATCTATATAAAGCCCTAATCTTTATAATTATATAGCTAAATATTTTGATCATCCAGTGTATGTCCCTTAGGCAATCCAAACTCCATATAAATAAAACCTCATTAATTTTACACCTTTGCAATTTTTTCTTTCTTCTGAATCTCCTGGTTTTTGAACCATTGAGCATCAAGTCCTGGGATTCTGCAGCACTTTTTCATTGGTTCTGTAGGAAAATGTGACATAGTGTACAGTACAAAAGCTCCTTTTCTCTACCAGAGTTGCTCCACTTTGATCTGTTTTACACTTTAGGAATGTGTTGTAAAGTTTTGATTTAATTAAGGTTTTCTAATGTAAAATTTGAAAACTACTGTCTACTTGGATAAAGATAGCCCAGTCCACTCAGTTGTTTTGGCTACAAATCTTTACTCATCCTTCACTGTTTTTCACATTTACTCAACGAGTCCTGTTATGACTTCTCATGTGTGTAGATTTGTTTTCTGTCCATCTTCAGTGCTACTGCACTTTGTTGAGGCCTAATTTTTCCTTGCTTGGTTTAATACCATAATCTCATAACTAAACTTCCTTTTGTCTCATCTTTCTCTAGTTCAGGGTATCACTTTAGAAAACACAAATCCACGGTCCTATTATCCCTGAGGACTGACTCCTCATTGCCTAAAACTTAAAAGCCAAACTTAAAAGGTCCTCTGTGTTTTTGACTTAATCTATTTCGGCTTCCTTCCCTACCCACCCAATATGCATTCCTAACTTTTCATGGACATTGCACTACTTTTTCCTGCCTTTGTGCCTTACCTACTCTGTTATTTATTTACTTAGAATGAATACCCCATATACTTTTTTTTTTTTTTTTGAGACAGAGTTTTGCTCGTCACCCAGGCTGGAGTGCAGTGGCATGATCTCGGCTCACTGCAGCCTCCGTCTCCCAGGTTCAAGCGATTCTCCTGCCTCAGCTTCCTGAGTAGCTGGGACTACAGGTGCACGCCGCCAGGCCCAGCTAATTTTTGCATTTTTAGTAGAGATGGGGTTTCACCATGTTAGCCAGTCTGGTCTCAAACTTCTGACCTCAAGTGATCTGCCATCCTCGGCCTCCCAAAGTGCTGGGATTACAGGCATGAACCACCGTGCCTAGCATCCCATATACTCCATCTGATACATTTCTACTTATCTTCGAGGTCCAGCTTGGTTCTTAACTGCTTTTAAGCTTTTCCTGATAAACCTAGGTATTGCTGATTAATTTCAACTGAGTGCCCTAACAGCACCCTGAACATATCTGTATTACTGGTATTTGGTTTTATTTATATTCTTAACCAGATTTTGTACCCTCAAGTGTAGGGATGATGTTCTAGTCATCATATTTTTCATAACCAGTGTGTGTAGTGCCTGGCACATTTGTTGAATGAGTGTGTTCTTAGACATTTAACCATAAGACTTTTTGTTGTGATGGTGGTTGTGTTTTTCAGGCACCTGAGAAAAAGCAAGATGTTGGGAAATTTGTTGAGCTTCCAGGTGCGGAGATGGGAAAGGTTACCGTCAGATTTCCTCCAGAGGCCAGTGGGTAAGAAAATGTAACTCACATTTATAATTGAATATATTTAGTGGGAAAGCTTTAAAACAGTGATTAAATACTTAAAGTATTAATAGGTTAATAATATAGAAGAACATAAGATTTTAATTGTGAGAGTTAAAATTCTAAACGTTTTAACAGTTTTTATGTTATTAATAGTTAATGTTGATTTAATTTGTAGTTTTAGTTTGTCAACTTAGTAAAAGAGACATTTTAGTTTTATCCTGACAGAACTTTAATTATGTAATTAACAAAATATCCAAAAATAAGAAACCTTAAATTTCATTTTTATTTTTAGATTTTTGGGCTTTCATTTAATTGGATTTGTATTTGTACCCTGAGCAATCCTTTTAATTAGCAGTTGAAGTTATAATAGTATTGGTCTTTAAGTTATTTTTTTTCCCCAAGTGAAGGGGAGTCCTGAAAAGCCTGTTCCTATTCCTTTCTTTCCATTAGGTTTCCCAACCCCTTCATCTCTTGGCACCCATGGAAAGTAGTATTTGAATAGCTCATTAGAGAAAAAGACTGTTCTGTATGGTGATCACCAGGCTGGGGCTGCTTCAGCCCTTGCCCACCATTCCCCAAGGCTGAGAAGGAAGTCTTTGTCTTTGCACACCTGTCATCCTATTTGAAGTATACTGGACAAGCTTTATAATAGCGTCCTTCCAATGATGTTAATATAATAAAATACCTCTTATTAAAGCAGTTAGCCTCACTTAGAAAATTAACCATTAGGAAAATGTTCTGCCATGTTTTGTAATTGAGGTGATTATTTTTTCCAAATTTAAGATTTCCAAATTTAATTTTTTCAGATTTTGTATTCTATCACCATAATGAAGTTCTCACCTTTCTATAGTACACAGTAGAAACTGGAAGATACAGAAACAATTTTCTTTTAGCGATGTATTTAATACTTCTTCACAAACTATTTCATAAGCATCATTAACAGTAAAATTGCTTTTAGAATTTCACATTTTGTCTCTGCTTTTCTATGTTTGCTGATTCAGGAGGTGAAATAAAGGGTAGATAGAAGGAGATGAAACAGAAGTGATGACTGTGGAAAATTCACAGACTTGATCGTTAAATGGTTGATTGGTAATTGACTAAGTGGATTCAGGCATAAATAATACTTACCTTACATGGTTTAATATCTATAGACATCTTGGGTTCCTACCATCTAGTATTCTGCTACTGTGCACTTGGTATGAGAGGTCATGATTGTCCTGTTGGATAGTGACCTTGATCGTCTAAAAGCCACCTTTTTTTGGCAGTGGCCATTTTTAGCTGCGCCACTTGAACATTTGTCTTTTTTAAATCTTTTCATATTTTGCGTCACTGTCACTTCTGGGAATAGTGAGTTCCCCATGTTTGTATATTTACAGTATAATATATATTTACCTGTTGTAAATTATGTCAGAGACTACGCTCATGAGACAGTTTTGGGGTCAGGAATATAAATCAGTATTTAGTTTTTTTTACTATGCATAGTTTTCATCATCTCTTCTTGTACTGTTAAAGAGTTTTTCTTTAATTACTATTTTTTCATTTTTTCTTTTCTGTGTCTTAAATGAAAGGCCAGAAGGCTTGGCTTAGTCTTTTATTCTTATTCTTAGCTAACATATACATAGCACCTATTATGTACAGGTGCTACCACATGCTTTACTTATAGTAACTTATTAATCCCAACAGCCTTCTGAGGAGGCACTGTTGTTATCTCTGTTTTACAAATGGTTTCGGAAACAGATTCATATGTTGTAGTAACTTGCCAAGCTCAAACCTCTACCATCTGGCTCTAGAATCCATATAATTAAAAATTGTACTACATGTATCTGTTAACATATGGCAGAAGCCCAATTCAGCATCAGTTCTAACTCATGCAGCATGATTCTTTTGTGTGTGTGTGTGTGTGCGCGTGTGTGTGTGTTTTAGCGATTCTGATATAGAGTCACTCTTTAACTGATGATTTTAGTTGTCTTGTGACTTATAGTCCTCTTAGCTTTCTTGAGGTTTGGAATTGTTAGACCTGCAGATTTAGAAATAACATTTTTGAAATAATGTTTTGATCTCATCACCTTTCTTAAATTAATTTCTGTATTTTAAAGCCAAGCACATTAACTGTAAAATAATAGGTACTAATTGTTAATCTTTTCTTGACAATGGTTATAACATGTTATTGGGTGCAACGCCCTCAAGTTAAAAGTACACCACAATATTTTTCTTCCTGGGAACTTATGGCCCTTCATTTAGTTTTATTTTTAATAAATTTTTAATTTTAGAATAGTTTTAGATTTACACAAAGTTGCAAAAATAGTACAGAAAGTTTCCATGTACCCTGCACCCAGTTTTTCCTAACATTAACATTTTACATTATTATGGTACATTTGTCACAACTAATGAACTAATATTAATATGTTATTAAACTCCATCCTTTTTTGGGATTTTGTTAGTTTTTCCCTAGTATCTCTTTTCTGATCTAAGATTTCATCTGGGATATCACATACAGCCCTTTTTTTAAAAAATTTTTAATTAATTAATTAATTAATTTTTTGTATTTTTAGTAGAGACAGAGTTCCGCCATGTTGGTCAGCCTGGTCTTGAACTCGCGACCTCAGGTGATCCGCCTGCCTTGGCCTCCCATAGTGTCGGGATTACAGGCATGAGCCACTGCACCCGGCGTACAGCCCTTTATTATATGTATAAAGTTTTGAATAGCCCTAAATATGTTGCATTGTAGTTGTTTGCATTAGTCTTTGTATATAAACCCTCCTTTTTTTTTTTTTTTTTTTTGACATAGCCTCGCACTGTTGTCCAGGCTGGCGTGCAGTGGCGCGATCTTGGCTCACTGCAACCTCCATCTCCCAGGTTCAAGCAATTCTCCTGCCTCATCCTCCCGAGTAGTTGGGATTACAGGCGCCCACCACCACGCCCAGATAATTTTTTTTTTTTTTTGAGATGGAGTCTTGCTCTGTCGCCCGGGCTGGAGTGCAGTGGCACGATCTTGGCTCACTGCAAGCTCCACCTCCCGGGTTCACGCCATTCTCCTGCCTCAGCCTCCCAGGTAGCTGGGACTACAGGTGCCTGCCACCACTCTCGGCTAATTTTTTTGTATTTTTTTTAGTAGAGACGGGGTTTCACTGTGTTAGCCAGGATGGTCTTGATCTCCTGACCTCGTGATCCACCTGCCTCGACCTCCCAAAGTGATGGGATTACAGACGTGAGCCACCGTGCCTGGCCAATTTTTGTATTTTTAGTAGAGACGGGGTTTCACCATGTTGGCCAGGCTGGTGTTGAACTCCTGACCTCGTGATCTGCCCGCCTCCGCCTCCCAAAGTGCTGGGATTACAGGCATGAGCCACTGTGCCCGGCCCAAGCCCTTCTTAAAGTTGAATCATTGATCTGGGATGCTAATGACTTTTAAAAACTTGATTGATTTGAAAATAATGTAAATTCATAAACTTTTATGAATTTTTATATTATTTTATTTTATAAAATAATATAATTTCATAAACTTTTCCCCCTCCCATATGGATATCAACTGAGATCAAACCTGTGTGGGAAACCAGGTAACTATCTTAAAACTGTACAACTGCTGGCCGAGGCAGGCGGGTCACAAGGTCAGGAGATCGAGACCATCCTGGCTAACACAGTGAAACCCCGTCTCTACTAAAAATACAAAAAATTAGCCGGGCATGGTGGCAGGCACCTGTAGTATCAGCTACTTGGGAGGCTGAGGTAGGAGAATGGTGTGAACCTGAGAGGCAGAACTTGCAGTGAGCTGAGATCACGCCACTGCACTCCAGCCTGGGCGACAGAGCGAGAGTCCGTCTCAAAAAAAAAACAAACAAAACAACAACAACAAAAAAAACTGTACCACTGCTGCCATCATTATAATTTGAAACTAATACAAGTTGGTGAAAGCTGATTAAACTTCCTTGCTTCATGCCTTGTCAGCCCAATCAACTGTATTTCAACATAGTGGTGTAACATATTTTCTTTTACTCATGTACTTGATAGAAGGAGGGTGTTGATGTGTGATATTATCAACAGTGTCTCTGATCTGTATTCTTCCTTACAATTGTCAGCTGCTCACAGGAACAGCAGAACAGTGTTTTTGTAGATTCTGATTCATTGAGTGTTGGTGCTGATGAGACCTTTGGGATTATTTAGTTAAAATTCTTTTATTTTTAATCTCCGTGACATGAGTTTACCTATATAACAAAACTTCACATGTACCCCTGAACCTAAAATAGAAGTTAAAAAATTAAAGTTAAAAAATAATCTTTTGGCTGGGTGCGGTGGCTCACGCCTGTAATCCCAGCACTTTGGGAGGCCAAGGCAGGCGGATCACGAGGTCAAGAGATCGAGACCATCCTGGCCAACATGGTGAAACCTCGTTTCTACTAAAAATACAAAAATTAGCTGGGCATGGTGGCGCGTGCCTGTAGTCCCAGCTATTTGGGGGGCTGAGGCAGGAGAATCGCTTGAACCCAGGAGGTGGAGGTTGCAGTGAGCTGAGAACGTGCCACTGCACTCCAGCCTGGGCGACAGAGCGAGATTCCGTCTCAAAAAAAAAAAAAAAAACTTTTATTTTGGCATCTGAGAAAACCAAAGCCTAGAGAAGTAAAGCGGCTTTTACTAATTGTCATGTGCTCTTTTCATTTAGTCATCACAGTGACAGTCTCAGAAGAGCTTCTCTCCAGTGGCATAGGTGGGCACCCAGTTCTCAGTAGTAGTAGGTCTTATTAAAGACAAACAGTGGAAGGTAGCGTTGGAAACAATTTTGAAGCAGCTTTACTTTAATTAAATGATCATTCTTTTTGATAAAAAGAAAAAGGAGAATCTCCTTAAGGTTGCAATGTTTGTAAATACCTTGTCCCCTCTGTGAGATTTTACATTTGAAGTTGTTTCTTATAATTGTTTTATATATGGTATAGTCTTTTTTTTTTTTCCTGTCAGGGTCAGATTTTCTATCACAGTACTTTTTGTTAGAAAATAAAATATGACTTGGGTACCAATTAGAAGGACTTTTGTTTAGTTCTCATCTCCTCAAAAAGGTTAAGTTTAAGTATTTAGTTAAAACATGTTAATGAGTTTCTTTGTGAAATGTTTTTGTTTTAGTTACTTACACATTGGGCATGCAAAAGCTGCTCTTCTGAACCAGCACTACCAGGTTAACTTTAAAGGGAAACTGATCATGAGATTTGATGACACAAATCCTGAAAAAGAAAAGGAAGATTTTGAGAAGGTAATTAAAAGTGTAGTGATGACCCTTTGCCAGAAAAGTGAATTAAAGTTACAGGATTACCTAATACCTTCATGGTATGAAAATAAATTTTGTTCTCATAGCTGCTTTTTTCCCTATCTATATATTCCATATCTGAGACCTAAGCCAAGAAATGTCGAGCTCCCATACCAAAAAACTTAAGAGTTATTTTTCCTTTCCCCAGTTATAGAGTTTACCTGAATGATATGTTTTCCTATAATACCAATTTATTAAATGGTCACTGGAGGCAGGTTTTTTGGTCATATAATCTTAAGTTTATGAATGAAATAAACACTAAGTAGGTATTGGAAAATGTGAAGGTTTCCTAGCCTCTTATCTTTATTCAGAAGTATGGCAGTGTATTCAAAGAGAGGGCAAATGATTGTCAGTTCTCCCAGTAATGACCAGCTTTTCCAAAGTAAATGGAAAACTCCATCGTGAGATCAGCTTTCTCAGCTGGAAATTTGGAGGCTAATATAATGAGTATCTATCTGTTTTTTCTTTTTTGATCTAATATCATGTAACTTCCACAACCATTTTCAGGCTAAATAAGACTGATGGTCTATGTTACATTTGCTTAAATGCAGTATCAAGGGTTGAAAATGCACGAAAAAATGCAAAAGATATACTGATGGTTATTTTGGTTTCTTACTACAGGTTATCTTGGAAGATGTTGCAATGTTGCATATCAAACCAGATCAATTTACTTATACTTCGGATCATTTTGAAACTATAATGAAGTATGCAGAGAAGCTAATTCAAGAAGGGAAGGCTTATGTGGATGATACTCCTGCTGAACAGATGAAAGCAGAACGTGAGCAGAGGATAGACTCTAAACATAGAAAAAACCGTAAGCCACATTGTTTTATATTTTAATTGATATTCTTATATTGTGCTTCTTTAGTAGAACGTGATTTCTTTTTTGTGAAAGCTGCTAGTTTTTTTGTTTGTTTGTTTGTTTTGAGAAGGAGTCTCGCTCTGTTGCCTGGGCTGGAGTACAATGGCGCGATCTCGGCTCACTGCAACCTCCGCCTCCCAGGTTCAAGTGATTCTTCTGCCTCAGCCTCCCAAGTAGCTGGGATGACAGGCGTGCACCACCACACCTTGCTAATTTTTGTATTTTTAGTAGAGACGGGGTTTCACCATATTGGCCAAGCTGGTCTCGAATTCCTGACCTTGTGATCTGCCTGCCTTGGCCTCCCAAAGTGCCGGGATTACAGGCATGAGCCACCGTATCTGGCAAAAGCTGCTAGTTTAAATACATTTGGGTATATGACTCATTTGTCTTAGAAATCTTTTTTCTTCCTCTATCTTTATGTTCTTGTTATTTTATTAACATCACAACTGCATGTGAATATGCCCTTAGTATCTCACTTATTATGTGTAGTCTTTTGCATTGTATTCATTCAATTTGAAGGATTCCTTCTGCAACATTTTACAGTTTTCTTACTTTAAATACTTAGCCTTTCTATAATACAATGTTTGATGATAATGTTGTCACCCAAGTCTTCCTTTTGGCATGTGGGTAAATATGAATATAATATATAGTACAAGCTCAGTACTAACCTGTATCTCTGAAATATCACTTGACTGAAGAGCATATCTTTCTTATTCATGGCTTCTCTCCTGAACTTCTAAATTGGGTGATTTTCATTCTGTAATTATGTTGTCAGAACTTCACTATAATTAAACCTGGAGTGCCACATTTGGGAAGTATTAGTAAATTAAAATAGTTATAATGAGTCTTTTTTATTTTGAAAAGGTTTTCTACATTTTCAGAGGTGGCTAACCAATGGACTTTTAGACCTATCTTGATTATTTGAGGGCAAGTGTCTTACATTTCTAGTAGCTTCCACAGAAAATTATTGTTTAACAGTTTGTATGCATACAGGGCAGGTTTTTGCTAGATATTGTGATATAGAGGGAGCCATAGCCACTTGGAATGTAGAGTCCTTTTTTCTGGTATTAAACTCTTTTCTTTCCTGTGTCACTGTTTTCTATCACCTCTTATTTTCTTGGATCCAAGAGTATCCTGCTTCTCATTGGGATGATGAAGGGGCTTTCAGGGAGCCCATGAGCTCAGACTCTCAACCTGAGCTGTGTTCTTTAGATAGGCACGGTCTGTAGTGCCAATGCCTGTGGGACCTTAGGGCCGGACCAAACCATTCTGTCCCTTAGGCATGAGGTGGCAAAATAAGAATGCTTCTGCTTTAAAGGCAGAATGTTAAATTTCAGGGAGATGAGAAGAGAAGGGGCTGGCCCGTTGTGCCATGATGGGAAGGGAAACACTAGGTGAGCGGAGCCTTCAGGCCTTGTACTTTTTCTTATGCTTAATTGATACCACATGAGTGGAATGTATTGATGTTACCTTTTCTAAAACGTATTTGTATTTGCTAAATGTATTGTGAAACTTCTTTAATTAAAAAATGACGCATTTGCTCTTGGTACTGGATACTGGAAATATTACAGTGTTTTTAAACTAACACAGGGTGGTTATAAAACAAGAACATGAAAATTTATATCAAATTATAGCACTATGAGAATAATTTGAATTTAACCAGATTAGTGAACCGTAATGTAATTATCATTTTATAGCTATTGAGAAGAATCTACAAATGTGGGAAGAAATGAAAAAAGGGAGCCAGTTTGGTCAGTCCTGTTGTTTGCGAGCAAAAATTGACATGAGTAGTAACAATGGATGCATGAGAGATCCAACCCTTTATCGCTGCAAAATTCAACCACATCCAAGAACTGGAAATAAATACAAGTAAGTATATCTCCTTCAATATGCTAGGTAGCCATCTGTGCTTTTGTTTTGATCTTCTTTAAACATGGAGTACAAGCAAAATAGTCAAGAAACCTGGCCTTTTGTTCATCCATGGGTTCACTGGCTGGTGGCCTTCTGTAAAGGCATGTAGCCTTTCACGGGCCGTTTACTCACCTGTCAATTAAGGTTCTACCACATTATTTCTAAGATCACTTCCATCTATGAAAGTCCTGAGTCTGCCTAGAGTTGCTTTTTTTGTATTGATTAGGTATACTGTGATGTACATCTTTAGGTGAAGATACTTTGCTTCCTGTAATAAACTTTGAGTCTACTTTGCACAAATTGATTCCTAAAAGTAATAGTATTGAAAACTTCCAGAAATATGAACAATACAGGAGAGTAACATGTGTTTAGATTAGTTTTCAATGTGGATTTGTAGGTTAACGAATCTTTGTTTTAAATGGACCTTTTCCAAAAAAAAAAACCCTACTTTATAAAATAAATCATAAAAAATATTTTTTAATACTTTGAAGAAGCGTACTACACATAAATGCTGAATTAAAATTTCTGAAGAGAATGGTAAATGTAAATGATTACTTGGTTAGCTGATGTGACTTACTTTAAACTCATGGGTGCTGACATGTCTGTCCATATATAGACAAATACACATGTGATTATATGTGCATACATATCATTTTTCTCAGGATTACTCCTTGTTTTACTAAGCAAATCCTTTCAATACATTTGGAAAAGTGACTTTGGATACACATTTTCAGTGTCAAATAATTGCAAAGCATAATGCAGTAGCATCTTAATCAAGTTGTATCTTAAAAGTTAGAATGTATAATGGCTGGGCACAGTGGCTCATGCCTGTAATGCCAACACTTTGGGAGTCTGAGGCAGGAAGCTCTCTTGAGGCTAGGAGTTTGAAACCAGCGTGGGAAACATAGCAAGAACCTGTCTCTACCAAAAAATAAATTAAAAAAAAAAACTAGCCAGGTATGGTGGCACGCTTCAGTAGTTCTAGCTGCTTGGAAGACTGAGGCAAGAAGATTGCTTCAGTCCAGGAGTTCAAGGTTACAGTGAGTTGTGATCATGCCACTTCACTCCAGCCTGAGCAACAGAGTGAAACCCTGTCTCTAGACAAACAAAAAGGAAAGCATTGGTTGGGTGTAGTGGCTCATGCCTGTAATACCAGCACTTTGGGAGGCCTTGGTGGGTGGATCACTTGAGGCCAGGAGTTTGAGACCAGCCTGGCCAACATAGTGAAACCCCATCTCTACTTTAAAACAAATACAAAAATTAGCGGGGCATGGTGGCGCATGCCTGTAATCCCATCTATACCTGGGAGGCTGAGAATCACTTGAACCCAGGAGGCGGAGGTTGCACTGAGCTGAGATCGCACCGGTGCACTCTAGCCTGGGTAAAAGAGCGAGACTGTCTCCAAAAAAAAAGAAAGAAAGCATAATGCACTAATATATATATATATATATATATATATATATATATATATATATATATAAATTCAAATTGATACTGCATGTAAATTGTATACATTATCTTAGTCAGAAACTGTTTTTTAGACTATTTCATCTTAAATGTAATTTTGACCTAATGATTTTCTGGTCTTCTGTCGGTTTTTTTTTTTTACACAGTGAATGGAGCACTGTTTTTGAGTGTGTTTGAGTACTTTTAAGACTTTTAGGGATTTACTTGAGTAAGGGATTACTCAGAACAGAGTGAGACTCCGTCTCAAAAAAAAAGATGTTCAAAAGCTAAATTTCCTTAAAATTATTACATGTATTATTTATTGCTTCCTACTATGTTATACATTGGCCATTACAGAAATATTATGATTATACAATTTGCCAAGCCAATACCTAATTTTGTATTAGATTGCAAATTTGCTTTTTTGTTTGACTGCTAAGTTGACAACTGACTCATTGTTCTCAAAGGCTGATAATGTTTTGATACACTTTGAGTATTAAGTCATAAAACCTTTTGGTTTTTAAGAATCTCTTAACTTGTAAAGAATTACATTTTAAATTAGTATTGTTGTTTATAATGCTTAATCTAAGAGGGAAAGGGTAAAATGTTTTGTTTATTTTATTTTCTTTTTTTCTAGTGTTTATCCAACATATGATTTTGCCTGCCCCATAGTTGACAGCATCGAAGGTGTTACACATGCCCTGAGAACAACAGAATACCATGACAGAGATGAGCAGTTTTACTGGATTATTGAAGCTTTAGGCATAAGAAAACCATATATTTGGGAATATAGTCGGCTAAATCTCAACAACACAGTGCTATCCAAAAGAAAACTCACATGGTTTGTCAATGAAGGACTAGTAGATGGATGGTATGTTTAATGTTACTTAGAATTGACAAGAAGTAAGGACATAGTAGATCAGTGATTTTTAAACTGCTTGAGAGATAGGGAAGGTGATTGGGAGGAGGGGGAATGGGTAGGCCTATAGAATTCCTGATTCTTATCTTCTTCTCAGCCAGTGCATTAGGGCTTCCCCTTCTTGTTTTAATGCCACAAATAATGGAGTGCCCACTGGGGATCATGGAATGAAAAACACACATGAGGGCACATCCTCTGCAGGTCTTAGCATTTAATAGAAGAACAGTTTTGACTTTCTGGTTCTTGGTATATTTGGTTACTGATCTCTACTCTCTGCTGAGGCTGAGGTTTTTCTTTTTGGCTAGGTCCCAAGAAGGTTAAAATACCCTTGAATCGAAGTGAAGATGTAAAAGTTTATCTTGAGCTCCATGAAAAGGGTATTACTGCATACTTACTGAGGTTTGCAGATCCCTGCAGAATATTAATTTCCTACATATATTTTTGTTTTATTCCAAAGGGCTTTATAAAGTATATTCATATGTGAATGACAGGATACCATCTTTTTTCTGATTCTCATGGTCCTATGTGGAATAGGGACCTTGAAAATGTTTGATAAATAAAAATGTATGAATGCATGGGATTTCCATATTTGAAAATGTCACCATTGTGTCTTTTTTTTCAAATGTGCTTCTACTGTTTCCAGTAGTGCATTTATTTTACTGCAGTATTTGACAGGTCAGCAGTTATCCTGTTCCTTGAATTTGGGCTCACTAGTATTGCATACTACCTAATTAGTATAACTAGCTCTTAGACAAATGTTTAACAAGCTGAATATGATTTATTATTGATTAAGTATCTTCTACTCTCCACATCTACACATTACAAAATTTCCTTGGTACTTAAAATTTACATATTTCCAGGGATGACCCAAGATTTCCTACGGTTCGTGGTGTACTGAGAAGAGGGATGACAGTTGAAGGACTGAAACAGTTTATTGCTGCTCAGGTGCGTTACAGTTTCTTTTCCAGCTTGTCTGTTTGAAATTTCAGGTACTTCTATTACTGTCCCTTTACTCTTTATTATCTCTGTTGTTCTTTCTATTCCTTGTTTGTGCCTTATGATCCAAGGGCAGATTTTTTTTTTTTTTTTAAAACAAACTTTTTTTTTTTTAAAGTTTATCACTGCTTATAATAGTGAAAAATTGAAAATGTCCTAAACTCCTAAGCTAGATTTGGAGAAAGGCAGCTGAAGTATTTTTAGCAGTGAATTATATGACTTGACTGTGAGCAGTCTGTAGACTGAACCTTTACAGTGAACTGTTAAGGGTAACCAAATTAGTTTGTATACACTGAGTTTTATATTTCACTAGAAGTAAACTTGAAAGTATTTATCGAGTTTTTTTTTTTTTTCTAAACATGCTTAGCATGAAATAAAGGCAAAGTTCTAATTAATACTGCTTGCCCTTAAAATCATGTTGTTATTGTTTTTTAGGGCTCCTCACGTTCAGTCGTGAACATGGAGTGGGACAAAATCTGGGCGTTTAACAAAAAGGTATGTATGTTAACTCTCTGCCTTCTTTTCTCATGCTTAAGTCCCAAATAATGTACAAGTAGAAGTCATTACTGTGCTCATGGTAGAGAAAAGTTTGTGAAGAATATTAACATTTTGCAGACTTTCAGGAAAATGGAATGTTTTCCTTTTTTAAATACACGAAGAGCATTAATTAAGCCTATTAACTATTCCAAATAAGTAACAATGATTGAAACAAACAAACTTGGAATTATGGGGAACAGTAATATTTTTTTCCTTAAATTTTTTATGAACACTCTGCATTTCATTTTTCTGCTTTCAAGCTGCGAGCTCTCTGTAAGAAGGTATTACTTAATGCTTTTATTTGCCTTAAACATAGCTTTTAGCATATTACATGTTAAAACCTGAGATGTTATATGGCTTTGAAGCACAATCACATTTATATAAAAGACTTGCTTATACAAACGCATTGAAAATGCATTATTCCTAGTGTTAAAAACCATGTCCTCTGGTTTTCTTAGTGCCAAGGGGAATATTGGGATAACTCTATTCTACCCCATTCCCTTGTGTGCTGAGAGGACATAGAATTCTAAAAGTATGTATTTCATTGAGTTGTATTAAAGTTTCATTAATTACAGTTCCTTTGTCTTACTGAATCCAGCTTTTTTTTTTTTAACTGTTTCTTAACTGAAAGTCAAATGAGGAACATTGCCTATTGACATTGTTAATTACTAATTGGAAAGCAGATGCTTGGACACTATAATAAGGCAAATCATTCAAATGCCATGTTTTAAATTATGGTTTCTGTGATTGTGTTCTGTAAATTCTTATTTGGGATTGCTGCTTGATGGTGCTGATGTCTTGCCTCAAGATATAGTTGCTTGTTTCGCATGTGTCTTGAATTTGTTTTATTTTGGTCTTTCGTGTTTAGTTTTTGATACATAAAGGAATTGTTAATTGGTTCTTGCTGTTGCTGCAGTTACTAATAATAAATATGAGTAGAATTTGCTGGCAAAGTTAACACTGGTGTACTTTTCATTAACAATACAATTTTTACTGATTTTAAGTTTTAATAAAGTTAAACATGGACACTTCAGATATCTGAAATATATTTTACTATAGTCAAATAGTTCTGTAGGGTCTGTTAAGATGAACAACACATTCCTCTCTCTATCTACTTTCATAGTCTCCCTGGAGAAAGCACTTTCATCTCTTCTAGATAGTTCTTTTGGTATTTATTACTTATATTTCTTTTTTTTGAGATAGAGTCTTGCTGTCGCCCACGGTGGAGTGCAATGGCACAGTCTAGGCTCACTGCAACCTCTGCCTCCCGGGTTCAAGCGATTCTCCTGCCTCAGCCTCTTGAGTAGCTGGGACTACAGGCATGTGCCACCATGCCTGGCTAATTTTTGTATTTTTAGTAGAGATGGGGTTTTACTGTGTTCGCCAGGCTGGTCTCAAACCCCTGAACTTGTGATCCGCCCACCTCTGCCTCCCAAAGTGCTGTGATTACAGGCGTGAGCCACTGTGTCCGGCCTGTTGCTTATATTGCTGAATGAAATATATGTGTTACTACTTTTTTAGCTATGTTTAGACATATTAGTTGACTTCCCGTGATGGAAGATAAATAATTTGACCTTTTACTTTTTCTCCTAACTTTTTGGTTTGCTTGTAGTTGATTGTCTTGCTTTGTCTCTCCCTCTCATTTGCTTATTTTTTGTTTTTGTTTTTGTTTTTCTGTTAAAAAAAAAAAAAAAAGCCAGGTTCTCATGCCTCTACTCCCAGCAGTTCAGAAGGCCAAGGTAGGAGGATCGCCTGAGCCTGGGATTTTGAGACCAGCCTAGACAACATAGTGATACCCCATCTCTCCAAAAAAAAAAAAAAAAAAAAAATTAGCTAGGCCTGGTCGTGCATGCTTGTAGTTCTAGCTACTTGGGAGGCTGAGGTGGGAGGATCACTTGAGCCCAGGAGGTCAAGGCCGCAGTGAGTCCTGATCACACCACTGCAATCCAGCCTGGGTGACAGGGTGAGACTCTGTCTCAAAAGAAAAAAAAAAGAAAATTAATTTTTTTTTTTTCCTCTCCCCACCCCTGCGTACTCTTTTTTTCTTTTTTCTTTTTCTTTTTGTAGCGGAATCTCACCCTGTTACTTAGGCTGGAGTGCAATGGCACAATCTGGGCTCACTGCAACCTCCACCTCCCGGGTTCAAATGATTCTCCTGCCTTAGCCTCCCGAGTAGCTGGGATTACAGGCACCCACCACCACACCCAGCTAATTTTTGTATTTTTAGTGGAGACGGGGTTTTGCCATGTTGGCCAGGCTGGTCTCGAACTCCCGACCTCGTGATCCGCCCACCTCAGCCTCCCGGAGTTCTGGGATTACAGGTGTGAGCCACCAAGCCCCCCTGCATACTTTTCTGTCTCCACAAGATGTGCAAATTTCCCACCAAGATATTCAGATGCCTTAGGTATACTTTCAGTTTCATTTTGGAGACATTTGCCAGAGCCTTCTGTGCTGCTCTGTAACCTGATTTGGATTCATGGCCCATTGGTTTCTGAAGCATAGCTATCTTCCTAGGTCTCTTCAGCATCTTCCTAGGGATTCCCTTTGCTTTTATTCTGTAATGGACATTACAGAACATTGCCCCATTCTTGGATCTTCTTTTTTTTTTTTTTATATTACCTTCTTGCTTTCCTGAAGGTAATACGTCATTCTTTGGAGACTCAGTCCAGCTCCCTGACAAGGGGAGGATGGGATGAAGAAAATTTTGAAACCTTGTATCTGACCTGTGTTTTTAGTCTGAAATTTCATGATGATAGGCCATGGTGAGGGTCTGTTTTCATCCGCATCATTGGAAGAACATGTGACTTCCAGTCTAGAAACTCATTCCTTCAGTTCTGGGAAATTTTCTTGAATTCTCTCCCTTTCCCTTTCCCTTTCCCTTTCCATCTTTTATTTTCTTTCTCTTGTCTTGTCTTTTCTCTTTTGTTTTGTTTTATTTTTTTCTGAGACGGAGTCTCACTCTGTCGCCCAGGCTGGAATGCAGTGGCACGATCTCGGCTCACTGCAACCTCTGCTGCCTGGGTTCAAGCAATTCTATTGCCTCAGCCTCCTGAGTAGCTGGGATTACAGGCTTCTGCCACTGCACCTGGCTAAGTTTTGTAGCTTTAGTAGAGGCAGGGTTTCATCATCTTGGCCAAGCTGGTCTTGAACTCCTGACCTCTTGATCCACCCGCCTCAGCCTCCCAAAGTGCTGGGATTACAGGTGTGTGCCACTGTGCCCGGCTTTGAATTCTTTTTCTTTCTTCTCTATTGTGTATTTCTTCTCCTGGAACTCTTCTTGGGAAGATGTTGGGCCTCTTGGACTGGTACTCTTGTTTCGTGTTCTGTCTTATTTTCCTTCTTGTCTTTTAGTTTATCACAGATCTACTTAATTTTTATCTTCCCACCTTTCTGTTGAATTTTATTTATGCTACTATAGTTCCAGTGTTTCTCTTGTTCTCTGAATTTTCAAAATAACTCTCTATTCTTGTTTCATGGTATTAATAGTAGGGTTTTCTGCAGAGTAGTGTCTCTTCTCCCCAATTTGTTTATTTTGGTTTCTTTCACGTTAAAGATATTTCTCAGATGTCTGGTTAGAGCCTTGGTTATCTGCTTATGTTTAATGTGGGGAAATAAAGAGTGATTGGAAGCCTGAAGAATGAGAGTTGGGCTTTCAACTGAGCTTCACTGTACAATGATCTGGCTGGGCTAGTTTGTTGGAGAAATTCCATGTCAGTAATTTTATATCTTTTCTCAAGGATTAGGCAGTTTTCCCAGAGGGGCTTCATTGAATCGCCTTCCTGAAGTGTGAAGACCTGGCTGCCAGGCTTTGGAGCCAAATGGGGGAAGACTGCTGAGGGTTTTATAAATCTACTATCATACATTCACTTATTCCCATTGTCTCTCGTGCAGTACCCTTTCCTTTGGCTCTTTCTGGTATCTGCCAGAATCTAGATACCCTCTTATTCACAGAGTAAACTTCCAGTCTTTTGTCAAGGTAGGGGAGAGGCAGTTGCCTGGTTATATGGAGTGGGGAGGGGATGCTTCTATGTTTTTCAGCTTCCAGAATTTTGTTGCTGTTATCTTTTTTGTTTTTTTTTGAGATGGAGTCTCGCTCTGTCACCCAGGCTACCGTGCAGTGGCGTGATCTCGGCTCACTGCAACCTCTGCCTCCTGGGTTCAAGCAATTCTCCTGCTTCAGCCTCCCGAGTAGCTGGGATTACATGTGCCTGCCACCACGCCCAGCTAATTTTTGTATTTTTAGTATAGACAGGGTTTCACCATGTTGGCCAGGCTGGTCCCGAACTCCTGACCTCAGGTGATCCGCCCACTTCGGCCTACCAAAGTGCTGGGATTACAGGCGTGAGCCACTGTGCCCAGCCTTCTCTTCTTTTATTATATTAATCCTTCTGGATTTGTTCCTTTAAACAAAACAAAACCTTTCATTTCTTTTAAGTTGGGGGTTGGGAAAGAGTGAAAGTTGATGAGTATTTTCAGTCTGCCTTTTTTCTCCTAAATCCTGTGAGATCTTTAATCATTAAACACCGTCTTTAAAACATAGCATTGTTTTTAGTCAACTGGTAGTAAAAAGGAAATCATTGTGATCATTACTTTTTGTTTCTATTGCTGGCCTTCATGATGTCTTCATACACTGAAACCCATTCCCTTCAACTCTTGAGGTACATACCCCTCTTATTTAGAGTTCATGGCACTCTCAATCTCTAATTACTGCTTTGTTGTTTTCTAGCTTGCTCTGTCTTTCTTCTCAAGCTCTGCAGGTAAGATTTAAGTGAAGCATCAGTGAACTAAATTTAGCGCCGTGGAGTTGTGAAGTAAGTGTTACTGGCAGAGCTGAATCATCATTCTTTGGACATTCTCCTACTCTTCACTAACTTAGCATTTTTTTTTTCAAAGCAGGTTCTGTTTTAAAAAAAATAAGCTAGATTTATTTGCATGATTCTTTGGAGAAAGAGCCTTATTTTAGGAGTGAATTGTACGTGGTAAAGAAAAGAAGGGAGAAATGGATGAAGGGGAAAGAGATGTGGGGTGATTAGTTATCTCAATATCCCTTCGACAATACCGTGATCCTTGTTTTCTCAGCCTGAGTTTTCATCTTGATAGGAAACTAGTACTTTATTTTTCTGTATCATAGTTAAATGGAATATATCTATAAATAGTTTTTTCCTTGATAGTGGTAGGAGACATTTCAAGAGCTTACTTTGCATTAACCTCACTAGTTTTCTTCTAGCTTTTATTTAAGTGTTAAGATTTTAACTTTTCAGTCAAGGCAGAAGAGTCACAGGTTTAAGATGTTCATTTTAGAGCTGTTGTCAATCTCTATGAACCCTTATTGACTGCTTTAGTTTTAAAATGTATGTATTTCAGTAGTATAATATAATTTTTCCCAACTCTCATCTCAACCCCTTGCATCTGTTCTCAGCTAATAAAGTATGTAGAGACTTCTCTCCCCACTCCACAAATCAGGAGACTTCCTTCCAGTGAAAGTTTTCTTGAAAATTAAACCCCAATAAATAAAACAAAAACATAGCTGTTCTGGTTGAAGTATGTGAAGGGGATCTGGAGGCCCTCTGGTCCTTCCCCCTTCACTTAGTGCTACCAGAATTAAACCCCAATAAATAAAACAAAAACTTAGCTGTTCTGGTTGAAGTATATGAAGGGGATCTGGAGGCCCTCTGGTCCTTCCACCTCCACTTAGTGCTACCAGGGCACCTCTTTGAAATATTTAGGACTCTTTGGAGTAATTTGAAAACCACTGATCCAGAGACTTTTAGAATTGCATATTTTTAGAGCTAAAAATACCTTTTAAGTCTTTGAATCCAAGTTTCCCAAATATGCCTGATCCTAACCATCCTATGGAATGCTTGTTAAAAATTAGATTTCTGAAATTTACTTCAGACCAAGTTGTCTCAGAATCTGTGCTAACAACTGCCCCAAGTGGTGATTAAAATTAGTCAAGTATAGGAAACATCCTGCTCCTTTTGGCAGCGGAGGAAACAGCTGCAATGAACTAAGTTTCTTAGGCGGGGTTGTCTAGTTTTAGTTTTTTTAAAGAAATTATGTCTTACTGACTTAAATACTGAACTGAGTAGTCAGTCACGAATTAAATCTTTGATTATTCCAGCCCAGTAGAAGCTGAAAGGAGAAATCCTTAGCTAGTAAGAATGAACTTTAAGCCTCAAGGAAGGAATGAAACAGTAAACTTGAAAAAGGCTGGTACTGATTTAGTATTAGCATGAAATATAAGCAGATGAGGATTAGCAGATGAGGAGAAGTTAAATAGCTTTTCAAACTTTGCGTGAATGACCTCTCTGAGGATGGCTTCCTCTCTGAGTTCATTCAGAATTTCCACGATATCATTCTTTTTAGAAGCTGAAAACTACCTTCAACACTGACAAAAAAAACCAACCCAATAATGGCAACAATGGAAAAATAAAAACAAATTTAATTATACCACTGTTTTCTGCATTCTTCTAATGAGAAAAAATAACTTCCATTACTTAGCTGTTTGACTCTGCTTTCATCTACATTTTTCTCACATGTGCTTTATATATAGTGTCTAAACATTGCTCTTGTGATTGGTCATCATGACTAATTTTACACTGAACAGTGAAGTGAGAAAAATACATCAGCTCCAGAAGGGGATGCTACTGATGATTTGGAAGTAGAATAGGTTAGAGCATAATGTGTATGACCATTTATTGAGGCAATCTGCAAATATTTATTGATTACCTATATGAGACAGACCCTAGCTAGGTACTGGGAATATACTGAGAATATACTGGTCTATATATACTGGCCTCTACATATAGCATGTAAACCAGTAGAAATGTCATTTATACTTTTAATCTATAGAATTGCCTTATTATAGTGACCGAATGCTATTCTGCTTTTGATGGTGATGTGTTACCCTAACACTGATTAAAGAAAACAATACTGAAACAAAAATATCCATATTCTCTTAAAATGGGCTTGTCCAAACTATAAAATTGAATATCACATTTACCTTTAGGATTAAGATATAACCCCACTGGAAAACTTTTCCTTGCCTTCTAATACCAGATTTTAAAATTATTTTCAAAATAACTCTAATATTATGCTTTAATTGGTTTCTTTTCACCTGCCAGTAGCTATTCTTGTGAAAGAAGTCTAAATCCTTCATGTAGTCTTGGTTTACAGTTGTTCTCTTTTTTCTGCTTAATGGTAAATATCAGAAAAGAGTTAACAGTTGAAAAAAAATTAGTAAATGCAGTAACAAGAAAGCCAGTTAGTATTCCTGTGCTATTATTTATTTTGCTTATGGCGCTCTATAAGATATCGCAGTGTTTTAACATGAGGATGTATTTGTTGCAGGTTATTGACCCAGTGGCTCCACGATATGTTGCATTACTGAAGAAAGAAGTGATCCCAGTGAATGTACCTGAAGCTCAGGAGGAGATGAAAGAAGTAGCCAAACACCCAAAGGTCACTCTTACAGTTTCACCAATGTGTTTCTCTCTGTTAAAAGAAGGAGCAGGAAATAAAAAGGAAAATGTGCTTTCATGGCAGTGGCATGATTTTGAGATGATTTTCTTTCTTTCTTTCTTTTTTTTTTTTTTTTTGAGACGTAGTCTTGCTATGTCTCCAGGCTGGAGTGCAGTGGGGCGATCTCGGCTCACTGCAACCCCTGCCTCCCGGGTTCACGCCATTCTCCTGCCTCAGCCTCCTGAGTAGCTGGAATTACAGGTGCCCCCCACTACGCCTAGCTAATTTTCGTATTTTTAGTGGAGATGGGGTTTCACCATGTTGGCCAGGTTGGTCTCAATCTCCTGACCTCGTGATCTGCCTGCGTCGGCCTCCCAAAGTGCTGGAATTACAGGCGTGAGCCACTGCGCCAGGCTGAGATGATTTTCTATTCAACATTGTCAGGATTTGATACTAATCGAAGTAAATCTTTTTTGGATTTTTTGCCTTAAAAAAGTTTATTTTAGTAACAATCCATAG
Source organism: Homo sapiens (assembly GCF_000001405.40). Classification (NCBI taxonomy): domain Eukaryota; kingdom Metazoa; phylum Chordata; class Mammalia; order Primates; family Hominidae; genus Homo; species Homo sapiens. The sequence goes on along the minus strand of NC_000001.11, from coordinate 220,010,426 downwards.
TACATCACACAGAACTGTTATGCTCAGTTGGTGCTTATTTTTTATTGTGTAGAGTTAGCATATTAGTGTGTAATAAGAATTTATCTCTTCCTAGAGTAATCCTGAAAGATGAGTTATAATTCAAGCTCCTATCTTTATATGGAATCTGAAGTGCATTCTCTATTAACTAGGGTATTCCCTGTCACCTTTGTCTTTAAGCCAAAACATTAGACCTACTACTGTTGAATCACAGCTTGACTTCAGAGTCTCTTACACTGTCATTTCCTCTGTTTGGAAAGTATAAGTGAAGGGTCCATCTAAATTCTGAATAGAATTTTTTTTTTTTTTTTTTTTGAGACAGTTGCGCTTTGTGGCCCAGGTTGGAGTGCAGTGGCATGATTCTGGCTCACTGCAACTTCTGCCTCCCGGCTTCAAGTGATTCTCATGCCTTAGCCTCCTGAGTAGCTTGGATTACAGATGTGCGCCACTACACCCAGCAATGTTTGTATTTTTAGTAGAGATGGGGTTTTGCCATGTTGGCGGCCAGGCTGGTCTTGAACTCCTGGCCTCAAATGATCTGCTTGCCTCATCCTCCCAAAATACTGGGATTATAGGCATGAGCCACTGTGCCCAGCCCTGAATAGAAATCTTAAATACAAGTACCATAGAGTACTTTTTTGTTAAGCTGTGGTCATCCCAGATCCTTATGACTGCTTAGTTGACAATTTTGAAGCAAAACAAGATTTTTTTTTTTTCTTAATTTTGAAATGGGCCTTGCTCTGGTGCTCAGGCTGGAGTGCAGTGGCCTGATCTCAGCTCACTGCATCCTCTATCTTGGTCTCAAGTGATCCTTCCACCTCAGCATCCTGAATACCTGGGACTACAGGTTCATGCCACCATATCTGGCTCATTTTTGTACTTTTTTGTAGAGACAGGTTTAGACCATGTTGCCAAGGCTGGTATTTATAGAGGCAGGGTTTCACCATGTTGCCCAGGCTGGTAAAAGAGTTGTTTTATTTCAGCTTTACAAGTTGTCTATAAATAACTTTATTATATACTGAAAATTACGTTCACAGACTAACGCATATACTAGTAGCCAAGCTTATAACTGTGTTCGTAGACTAACTCACATATAAGATGATGTGCATTGCAAAGAGCTATACATATTCTAAATTGTAGCTTTATATGATTGTCTTCCCATGTATGTCATTATCTACTTTTTAATTTTAAAGATTTGAATCCTAATAAGATTTGGGGTGCGCGTTTAGTTGATTGGTTTGGCTTTGTCTTTCTTTATATCTGATTGTTTTGACCAGGTAAGTAGTAGTATCTGACCTGCCATATCACCTACCATACAGTTAGTATAAATCTGAAGCATATTGAATATTTTAAAATTTGAATCTTGAGAATAAAAGTTTTGAAGGGTGCTTATTTTTTAAAATGACAGTTGTGGTCTGATAGTTTAGATTAAATTGCTAGGTTGGTGGCTTATGCCTGTAATCCTAGCACTTTGAGAGGTGGAGGTGGGAAGATCATTTGAGGCCAGGAGTTCAAGACCAGCCTGGTCAACATAGCAAGACTCTGTCTCTACGAAAAATAAAAAAATTAACCAGGCATTATGGTTCATGCTTATAATCTCAGAGGTAGGTGGATCACTTGAGCTCAGGAGTTCAAGGCTGCAGCGAGCTGTGACTATACCACTGCACTCCAGCCTGGGTGACTGATCAAAGCCCTACCTCAAATAAAATTTAAAAAATTAAATTACTAAGTACTGCTCATTGTTAAAAATAAGAACTAATTGTTAAGGAAGCACACTCTTAAATTGTGACTGGATTACTCAGTTTGCTCTGTGGAATTTTCATTATAACATTTCCGTCGCAAAGTATTTTTTATTTAGCCTGTCAGTATTCTATTCTGAGCTTAGTATGTTATCTGTTGTTAAAACATACTGATTTTTCTGAAATGCATTGGTGAGTTCATTGAACAGTTGTTAAACACATGCTGGTTAATGTTTATTTCAAAAGATCTTCTTACTTTTTTTTTTTAATTCTGCCAAATAAAAACTGAAATTATGGCGTTCTTTTTATTCTCCGCATCTCTTTTTCTTTCCATATCATACACACTAGAAAGGCAGAAAATTTACTTATCTATATCTATATAGATAATACTTTCTTTAAAGTTTGTCTTCTAAAATCTGAAAGGTCCATAATTTCCTGCTAAGGTGGCATCTGTTGTCCTATAATGTCCCATAGCCACTGCTCAAGAATGACTTATTTTCTCCTTTGCTGCAGAAGCAGTGAGATTCTTTTATCTTTTTTTTTTTTTTTTTTTTTTTTTTTTGGTGACGGAGTCTCGCTCTGTTGCCCAGGCTGGAGTGCCGTGATGCAATCTCGGCTCACTGCAGCCTCTGCCTCCCAGGTTCAAGTGATTCTCCTGCCTCAGCCTCCCAAGTAGCTGGGACTACAGGTGCATGCCACCACGCCCAGTTAACTTTCTGTATTTTTAGTAGAGACGGGGTTTCACCGTGTTAGCCAGGATGATCTCGATCTCCTGACCTCGTGATCTGCTCACCTCAGCTGGGATTACAGGCGTAAGCCACCATGCCCAGCGAAGCAGTGGCCACCCAAAGTGCTGGGATTACAGGTGTGAGCCACCATGCCCGGCGAAGCAGTGGGATTCTAAGGATAGGAAACAGATTCTAGTTGAAGAGATACTAAATGATAAAGTATACTGTCTTAGCTGTGAAATCAATGAGTCTTGTAGGCTGGAAGTAATCTTAGGGGCAAGCTACCTCATCTAATTCCATTAACATTAGTGGTCAGGTTGCTGATCTGATGTCACAGAGCTGGAATTCAAACTATTGATTTCTATTGAGGCCGAGTATGTATTGTTTAAATGCTAAGAACAGAATTGGGAATATGTTTATGTTAAAATACATAGATGGAGAAAGAGTAAAGCATTTTCTTCCTAATACAGCAATGAACTGCTAACAGTTTAGTAACACAGAAGACTTTTGTATGGTTAAAGAATAGAATGAATGTATAAATTTGCATACTGGGTTCAATAAGTTGTTGTTTCAACAGACACTCTGCTTTTCTTTATCAATCAGAATCCTGAGGTTGGCTTGAAGCCTGTGTGGTATAGTCCCAAAGTTTTCATTGAAGGTGCTGATGCAGAGACTTTTTCGGAGGGTGAGATGGTTACATTTATAAATTGGGGCAACCTCAACATTACAAAAATACACAAGTAAGAACTTTTTGTTTGTTTTCAAATAAACATAGGAGAAAAGTATTTTATTTGTGTTTACTTATTAAACATTACCAAATTCAGACCCATACATGTTGCTGACTAGTAAATCTGCCCAGACATAGCTACTGCAAATTCTGGACACAAGTTAAATTTTTTTCCATATATCTTTCAGTTTACTAACAGGCTATCAAGATGTCTTTTATTTGTGGTGTTGAAAATTACTACATCTGGATATAAAAAATAGTTGTAATGCTTTAATGAGAAATTACATGATAAAAAGGGACTCTATACAGTTGCATGACATGGGGATCTTTTAGACAGAATTTATATGTATAACATAATCTTTTTACTAAAATTTACTTTAAAACTGATTGGTTAATAATTAATTTGACTTTCTAGTTACTATAGTGTGCTACACTTAGGAATATGATCTTCAGATTCTATAAATGAAACATAGTATGCTTAAGACTGATTTATGCAAACTCTGAAATCTTAATTGCGTAGTTATTACATATGATTGCAAGTAACTGCCAAATGTTTTTAAACATAGTAATTCAAATTTTATAATGCTTGATGCAGGTGACTTTAAGTTAATAAATATATACATGTTCCTCATCAATTGTATGTGAATCTGTTCTCTAGTTGATTATTAGTATCTCGATGTCAGTGATTATGTTGTATTTATTAACCAATATATGTCTGGCATGTTAGAAGCTCAAATAAATGTTTGATTTGGAATTTTTCCAAAGAAAATTTCTTATCCATTTATTACAAAATAAAACAATAAATTATTTTATAATAATATAAAATTATTATAGAACAAAATAATGAATTTATGGCAGCTGTGGTTAATATTTCTTTGAATACTTTTAATCTTATATCTAGAAATGCAGATGGAAAAATCATATCTCTTGATGCAAAGTTGAATTTGGAAAACAAAGACTACAAGAAAACCACTAAGGTCACTTGGCTTGCAGAGACTACACATGCTCTTCCTATTCCAGTAATCTGTGTCACTTATGAGCACTTGATCACAAAGCCAGTGCTAGGAAAAGACGAGGACTTTAAGCAGTATGTCAACAAGAACAGTAAGGTAACCTTCCAAAGAAACCATATTTCACCTTTTAAATTTTCCTTTAGAATTAAAAAAATTAATTTTATATATTTCGGATCCTCAGATAAAATGGATAAGATGTGTAGAATTTTATTTAAATCAAATGATGTAAGTTGGCCGAGCATGGTGGCTCATGCCTGTAATCCTAGCTCTTTGGGAAGCCAAGATGGGTGGATCGCTTGAGCTCAGGAGTTCAAGACCAGCCTGGGCAACATGGTGAAACCCCGTCTCTACAAAAAAAAACAAAAAAAAAAACAAAAAAAAAAACGATGTAAGTAATGTTTCCATTTTATAGATGATAGGAAGTGAAACACAGTGAAGTTGAGTAACTTACCTGAGGACAAACAGTAAATAGTAGAGTTGGGATTCAAATCTGACCCTCGTATTTAAGCCTTACGCCAGCATGCCTTTCACCTAAGTCTATTACATGCTTCTTGCATCATATTTCATATTTATAGCAGGGAAATTATTTCTTCTGGAATGCTAATCAAGTTATTTAAAAGGTTTTTTGAGGCCAGTTTATGAATGTTAACTTTTAAAAATGTGATAAATTGAATTGTCATTTAACACTTCACCGTTTCATTGTGTGTCCTCAAGTAGTGAACTTTTTAACATATCTGTTTAAAATGGGAGTATTTTAGTTAGTGGAAACTGCTTGCATTTTAGAGTTATTTTACTACTATGATTTTGAGAAAGTGTACTTTGGTTTATATCATCTTTACAGCATGAAGAGCTAATGCTAGGGGATCCCTGCCTTAAGGATTTGAAAAAAGGAGATATTATACAACTCCAGAGAAGAGGATTCTTCATATGTGATCAACCTTATGAACCTGTTAGGTAAGTAAATGTAACTGAACGTCTAAATGAAAATGCTTAAAGTTGTTATAGTGAGTAATATTTTAGAAATTGAACTTTCACTAAAATAACGTACCTAACAGTTTTCTTTCTCAGTCTCTCAGTTTTATTTTATATTTAACATTTTAGACAAGTAATTTATTTTAACAAGTGATCTTTGAAACAACACGCACATTGAACATTAATAAATTATTCATTTCTGAAATTAAACCTCTTATAATTAACTTTCCTGTAGCCCAAGTATAAAGAACAAAATTTCAGTCTGTATATTACCTATCTTTGGGTGAAAATTATTACCATTATCTTTTTCTTTGTAGTGTATTTTCACTAGATAAATGGTACAAACAGCATACATTTAGAGGGAAGAAATAACCAGTATTTGTATTTTTTTTTTTAACCATGAAGTAATAGGATTATTAGAAGGAGAACTCTATGTAAATTTTTGTCCCTTTTTTTTCTTTTCTGTTTGTCTCTGCTATTTTTTTAAGTGATATCTCTGTAACTGTGTAGTCAAAACGCCTCTCCTGAGATTTAGTCTTGTGAATCTAACTGCTTTAGATATCTGTGAATAGATTCTTTCAAGCATTTCAAACTCAACGTGTTCAAAATTCCAGGATCTAGGTGTCATCTTTGACTTATGCTTCCCCTTCATCCCTTTTTTCACTCAGCAAACTCTGTCGTTTGTGTTGCCCATCTGGTCCATCTCTGTGGATCCACTGCTCTGCCTTATTTCAGGCTATAACATTGCTTCCTTGATTGCCAAAACAGGCTCTCAGGTATCTCCTTGCCTCCAATTTCATCCTTTTTCTGTTCAGTTTTCACATGCCCACCAGTCTGAAAATTTAAGAGTAACAGTTTTATCACATTTCTCTACTGTTAAAAAATCTCTATTAGTAGGGCAGCCACTATGACTTATGCCTATAATCCCAGCACTTTGCAAGGCTGAGGCAAGAGGATTACTTGAGGCCAGGAGTTCAAGACCAGCCTGGGCAACATAGTGAGACCCCATCTCTACAAAAAATTATAAATAAAGAATTAACCAGGCATGGTGGTACACACCTGTAATCCTCACTGCTCAAGCAGGTGAGGCGGCAGGATTGCTTGAGCCCACAAGTTCAAGGTTACAGTGACCTATAATTGCACCACCACACTCCAGCCTTGGTGACAGAGCAAGACTCTCTCAAAAACAAACAAACATTGTTGTTAGTTTCAGAGTAAAGGCTAAACTTTTGAGTTTGATATGCAAGATTTTTCATGTTACGGCGTCTCTTGAGCCATAGGTGTTGGAGTTTTCTCGCCCTGATCCCTTCTTTTTAACATATGTACCAAATTGCCTGGGGCTTTTCAAAAGCACTTGATGCCTTTTCCTGGAATGGCCTTGTGGCTTTTTCGTCATATGAGTAACCTTATTCATTTTAATATCACATTTCCTTTAGTCACATAAGCTCACGCATGCATACAGTGTAGCATAGTGCCTAATAGTTGCTAAGCCCTCCTTAAGTATTTAGTAATGGTGGTGGTACCACCAACTAAAATAACAGAGTAGGTTCTCATTTTATTCTTAGAAAGTTTTTGAACTTTTCAACAAATAGTGCTAGAAGAACTGAATAGCTACACATGAAAGAGTGAAGTTGGGCACTTTCTCATATCATATACAAAAATTAACTCAACATTTATCAAAGACCTAAATGTAAGAGCTAAAAACTATAAAACTCTTAGAAGAAAACGTGAATGTAAATCTTTGTAACCTTGGCAATGCTGTTTTGGATATAACACCTAAATCACAATCAACCAAAGAAAAAAAATAAATTGGACTTCATCAAGATTAACATATATTGTGTTTCAAAGAAAGTGAAAAGATAAGTCACAGAATGGGAGAAAATATTTGCACATATGTCTCTTAAAGGACTTGTATCCAGAAGAGAACCCAATTAACAATGGATTTAAGTAGACATTTCTTCAAGCAGATGTACAAATGTAAGCACATGAAAAGATGCTCAGCATCATTAGTTGTTAGGGAAATTCAGATGAAAATGACAATGAAATATCATTGCATACCACTAGGATGGCTGAAATAAAAAAAGACAATAACAAGGGTTAGAAATGTGGAGAAATTGGAACCCATATGTATTGCTGGTAGGGTTGTAGAATGGTTCAGCCACTTTGGAAAAACAGTTGGATGATTCCTCCAAAAATTAAACACGGAGTTACCATTTGATCCATCAATTCCATTCCTGCGTATTTGCCAAAGAAAAATAACATGTTCACACAAAAATGTGTACATGAATGTTTACAGCTGCATTATTCATAATTGCCAAAAAGTGGCAATAGATTATTGCTAATTACTATACCCTTTGAAATTGAGAAATTCTTATAAATTATTATTTTTTTAAGAGACAGGGTCTCACTCTCACCCAGACTTGAGTGCAGCGGCTTGACCTCCCCAGGCTCAGGTGATCCTCCCACCTCAGTCTCCTGAGTAGCTGGGGCTACAGATATGTGCCACCACACCTATCTAGTTTGTGTATTTTTTGTAGAGACAGGGTTTCACCATGTTTCCCAGGCTAGTCTTGAACTCCTCGGCTCAAGAGATCCACCTGCCATGGCCCCCCGAAGTGCTGGGATTACAGATGTGAGCCACCATACCCACCCTTAAATATTTTAAAATAAATAAATGTTTTACAGAAATTTTTCTGCTTATAAGCAGATTAGGTGTGGTATGTAGACAAATTTTCTTGAAGTCAAGAGTATCATTAACATTCACTAACGCCCTTTCTAGTGGCAGGCATAGCAGATATAATTTTGCCCTGGACATAGTTTGTTCATATGGACGAAAGTTCATAGATTGGAAGTTTGTAATAAGGACTGTCAATTTTTTTTCTTTTTTTTTTTCCATTGAGGCAGAGTTTCTCTCCTGTTGCCCAGGCTGGAGTGCAATGATGCAGTCTCAGCTCATTGCAATCTCCATCTCCTGGGTTCAAGCGATTCTCCTGCCCCAGCCTCCAAAGTAGCTGGGATTACAGGCGCCCGCCACCATACCTGGCTAAATTTTTGTATTTTTTAAGTAGAGACAGGTTTCACCATGTTGGCCAGGCTAGTCTCGAACTCTTGACCTCAGGTAATCCACCTGCCTTGGCCTCCCAAAGTGCTGGGATTAGAGTCATGAGCCACCACGGCTGACCAATTTTTTTTTTTTCTTTGGAGACAGAATCTCACTCTGTCACGCAGGCTGGAGTGCAGTGGTGTGATCTTGGCTCACTGCAACTTCTGTCTCCCAGGTTCAAGTGATTCTCCTGCCTCAGCCTCTGGAGTAGCTGGGACTACAGGCACCCGCCGCCACGCCTGGCTAATTTTTTGTATTTTAGTAGCGATGGGGTTTCACCGTGTTGCCCAGGCTGGTTTTGAACTCCTGAACTCAGGCAATCCACCCGCCTTGGCCTCTCAAAGTGCCAGTATTATAGGGGTGAGCCACTGCGCCCGGCCAAGACTGTCAATTTTTATTTATGCATTTGTTGTTTGTAAAACTATTCTGAAGAGCCTCTGATTTGAATAGTAAGACAATGGACTATTTTATACTTCAAAAAGCATTAACTGGACAGGTGCAGTGGCTCACACCTGTTATCCCAGCACTTTGGGAGGCTGAGGTGGCCGGATCACTTGAGGTTAGGAGTTCAAGACCAGGCTCTACTAAAAATACAAAAATTAGTGTGGTGGCATGTGGCTGGTAATCCCAGCTACTTACAGGCTGAGGCAGGAGAATCACTTGAACGCAGGAGGTGGAAGCTGCAGTGAGCTTAGATCACATCACTACATTCCAGCCTGGGCGACAGAGTGAGACTGTCTCAAAAAGGAAAGAAAAAAAGAAAGAAAAGCATTAACTTAGTGCCATTGAATTTATCTAGGAATTCAGTGTTTATTGCTGTTCAGATAATTTTGTTCAAATAAACTATTTTGTCCCTTTATTTTCTTTTTAGCCCATATAGTTGCAAGGAAGCCCCGTGTGTTTTGATATACATTCCTGATGGGCACACAAAGGAAATGCCAACATCAGGGTCAAAGGAAAAGACCAAAGTAGAAGCCACAAAAAATGAGGTAATGACTTTTACGGATATGTGTATAAAAATAAATGGTCTTTCTATCCCAGGGTTTAGAATATATTTCTTTACAGATGATTATCTTTCTTACTGTGGAGACTGAAGAAGACAGTTAAGTCTTGCTCTTTGCATTTTGTTGTTATCCTTTCATGTAAGATTTTAAAATCTCACTCTCACCCAAGGCTGGAGTGCTGTGGCGCGATCTGGGCTCACTGCAACCTCCGCCTCCCGGGTTCAAGCAATTCTCATGCCTCAGCCTCCTGAGCAGTTGGGATTACAAGCGTGCACCATGACGCCCGGCTAATTTTTGTATTTTTAGTAGAGACAGGCTTTTGCCATGTTGGCCTGGCTGGTCTTGAACTCCTGACCTCAGGTGAAACTCCCACCTCGGCCTCCCAGAGTGCTGGGATTATAGGCATGAGTCACCGTGCCTGGCCAGACCCCTTATACTCTTAAGAATGATTTGCTTATGTGGGTTATATTTATCAGCATTTATCATACTAAAAATTGAGAAGTTTTAAAAGGATTTAATTCATGTAAAAATAATAAATCCAGTTACATGTTAACATACGAAAAGTTTTTATTAAAAAAAATTTTCCAAAATAAAAATTTTAGTTAAAAGAGCGGTATGGTTTTAAATTTTTACAGATCTCTTTAATATCTGACTTAATAGCTTCTAAAAACCTGTACAAACAGTCATGAGAGAATGAGAGCGAAAAAGACAAAATACATCGTAATATAGTGAAAATAGCTGTGACTTTGCAGATCCCCTTTAAAAGGGTTTTATATACCCCTTGGGGTCTGTGGACCACACCTTGAAAATTGCTACTATATATTATTCAATAACTCATGGAGTAAGCATGAGATGGGAAATTTGGTTGCTTTTCCCTCATTGGTTCCAGTTCCCATCTGTGCCTATCATTTTTTACATATCCTAGAAAGATAACTGGTGTTATGCTATAAGTTAGTATGTGTTCTTGAAAAACTTCATGTTCTGCAAAATCACATACCGAAAATAACAGCCGATTTTTCAAGAAAAACAGAGTTGAGGCAAACCACTAAAAACCTATGTATCCCATGTGGTTTCAGTCAGATGGTGGCTGGGTAGCAGTCATCAAAGACTCAACTGGGCTGTATTCTATTTTTATTTTATTTTATTTGAGACAGAGTATTGCTCTGTTGCCCAGGCTGGAGTGCAGTGGTATGATCTTGGCTCAGTGTAACCTCCACCTCCTGGCTTCAAGCGATTTTCTTGCCTCAGCCTCCCAAGTAGCTGGGACTAAAGTCACGCACCACCATGCCCAGCTAATTTTTTTATATTTTTAGTAGAGATGGGGTTTCGCCATGTTGGCCAGACTGGTCTTGAACTCCTTACCTCAGGTGATCTGCCCACCTCGGCCTCCCAAAGTACTGGGATTATAGGCATGATCCACTGCACCTGGCCTGGGCTGGATTCTAAAATTGTTTCCTCACCTGGATGCCAAGTTGATATTGGTGTTGGCTGGGAGCTCAGGTGGAATAGTTGACTGCAATAGCTGCAAGTGGCCTCTCTAGCATGACAGTGGCAGGGTAATAAGACTTCTTAACTATCATTTAAGGCCTCCAAAAGTGAGTGTCCAGTAGATGAGGTGGGAGTAGCATTGCATTTTAGGATTTAGACTTGTAAGTCTCACATAACATCATTTCTGCTGTACTCTGTTGGTCAAATCAGTAACAAGCTTTCTCAGATTCAGGAAAGGGCACAGAGATCCCCCTTCTTGGTGGGAGGAAAGTCAAAAAATTTGTGGACATGCTTTGAAACCTGCACACTTTTGAATAGAAATTCAATATTCAGGTACAGTTGACTGCCACTTATACCCAACTTTGCAGTCAGAGATCCTTTGCAGCTTTAAACCTGAAGGATAATAATGCTTTTCCCTGTGATGTGTAGATCTTTGAGGATATTTTTCTCCAATAGAGGCTGATACTATCAAAATTAAATTCTCATCCAGGGCTTAATGTTATGGTAAAAAATGTTTTTTAAGCATCATCCTCATTAAAGGAAGGCACTTATATGAAAGGTTTTTGGGTTTTTCTTCAGATTGTCAATGTATTTCTAAAGTTTTCTCTTTAATTATGAAAAGCTTGTTCCTGCATGCTTCTTTATTTGACATAAAACTGGAATACACAGGGAAAAAATCACACACAAGGCAGTGTGATTTTTTTTTTTTTTTTTTTGGTGTTACACTCATATGTTCCCCTGTTTACTAACCATGAATGAGATGATTTATGTTGCAAATTAAATGTAGCAGAACAGGCCAGGCGCAGTGGCTTAAGCTTGTAATCCCAGCACTTTGGGAGGCCGAGGTGGACAGATCACGAGGCCAGGAGATTGAGACCATCCTGGCCAACATGGTGAAACCCTGTCTGTACTAAAAATGTAAAAATTAGCTGGGTGTGGTGGTGCAGGCCTGTAATCCCAGCTACTTGGGAGGTTGAGGAACAGTAATCACTTGAACCCGGGAGGCGGAGGTTTCAGTGAGCTGAGATCACACCACTGGACTCCAGCCTGGCGGCAGAGCAAGACACTGTCTCAAAAAAAAAAAAAATGTAGCTGAACAAATATATATTTTTGATATAGGGTGGCTACATGAATTGTATTATTTATTTAATGTATATGCATTTATATATGCATATTAGTGTTTGAGTGTACATATAGAATCTCACTAAAAATAAATATGAGTGATTTAAGGAATTATGGGGAAGGAATTTTGAGCGATGGGTTTTTTTTACTGACATGCCCACTTTGAGAGCCTAACGCCTGTGTAAAATGCAACTCTGATACAGCTTGAGATGCCTGTTAAGTGTCTAGGTAAAGATGTCTTGAAGACATTGAAAATGCTGGGTCTGGGATCAGGACAGAATTCTGGAATAGAGATGAAAATTTTTGGAATTTGTACATAAGACTGTGAATATGGATAAGATTATTCTGAAAAATTAAGTGGCAGATCATTTAAAAGAAAAAAGCTGAAAGAAAGGTATAATGTGAGCTGGGTTTTAATGTTAGAAGGGTTTCAGTAGGGAAGAATGCAGTCTAGGCAGCAGAAAGCATGAATAAAAATAGTATCTTTATTCACTCTTCAGGGTTGATTTTAGTGAACATAGCTCTAGATTTTATACACAAATAGATACCTGTAAATTTATAATTTTACACAAATGAAACTGTTCCACAACAATGAGTTACAATTATATCACAGAGTTTGATGGAGCTCTTGCCTTATCAACAATCTAGATGTATTTCATCTCTAAAAAAATTAATAGTGATACCTAATGCTTATTGATATTCACTTTTTCTCAGCCTTTGTGACTAAGGGCTTTACACAGATTACTTTTTATTTTCCCATCAACTTGATGGGTTAAGTATGGTTATCCCCCTTTTATAGTAAGGAAACAGCTTAAAATAACTCAAAGTTGCACAGTGAGTATGTGGTAGAGCAGTGATTTATTCTCAAACTTGATGGATATGTTATAATTTCTTTAGTCCCCTAATGACAAAGATTTAGGGTATTTTCAGGTTTTTACTATAGTAAAAATGCTTCAGTGAGTATGTAGGTACCTCTATCTTTGTTTACGCCTGTCATTTTTCATTAGGATAAATACTTAGGAGATTATTCATTTAAGCTTTTTAAGGGATTGAAGTTTAAAGTTTCTGTTTTTAATTGGAAACATTATAAAACAATCAGTTTGAAATAATTTTGTGGGAAAACATTTAATATGAATTAATTATTTTACTTTTGGTTTTCTCTCTTGGTAGACCTCTGCTCCTTTTAAGGAAAGACCAACACCTTCTCTGAATAATAATTGTACTACATCTGAGGATTCCTTGGTCCTTTACAATAGAGTGGCTGTTCAAGGAGATGTGGTTCGTGAATTAAAAGCCAAGAAAGCACCAAAGGAAGATGTAGATGCAGCTGTAAAACAGCTTTTGTCTTTGAAAGCTGAATATAAGGAGAAAACTGGCCAGGAATATAAACCTGGAAACCCTCCTGCTGAAATAGGACAGAATATTTCTTCTAATTCCTCAGCAAGTATTCTGGAAAGTAAATCTCTGTATGATGAAGTTGCTGCACAAGGGGAGGTGGTTCGTAAGCTAAAAGCTGAAAAATCCCCTAAGGTCAGTATGTTAGAGAAAGTCAAGACCACATTTTCAGTGTGTGAATTCAAACTGCTTAGAGTAGTCTCATCTTCTTATAAAACATCGACTGCTCATATTTTGATGTAATAATCAACATTGATTGATACCTGCTATGTGCCAAGCTCTGAAAATATATATAAGAAGCTCATAATCTAGTGGAGGGGTGACTTACTGGGGAAGGAAACATACAGACTCAGTGTACTCTTATGTGATGTGACTGTAATCCTTTGTGATATGTATAAGTTGCTATGTAAAGGGTTTGTGTTCTTAAGTGGCAACAAAGGTGGAAACCATTTATAAAGGATATTTAAAATCATCCTGAAGTAGAAGCAGCCATTATGGGGGAACAAAGATCACAACAAGGCACTCTTTAAGTGTGGAACCATGGTTCTCAAGCTTTACTGTGCACCAGAATTACTGGCTTGGTAAAACATGGATTGCTAGGCCCTGCCCTTTGACTTTCTTCTGCAGTAGATTCAGAGCACGTGGAGAATACGCATTTCTAAAATGTTTCTCAGGTGATGCAGATGCTACTGTCCCAGGGACCATGCTTTGAGAACTCCTGGTGTAGAGGACAGTACCAGCAGAGGTAGAGGTCAGCAGGTACAAGGTGTATTCAAGGAATAACAAATGGATTGTCAAGAGGTTTTTGACCTGTGATTATCTCCAGCTTTTCATAGCAGAGCCTTCAAATTATATGACATTTTGACTGAAGTATAAATTATATTCTTGTTTCAGTATGTCCTTAGGCAAAACATTTAGCCAAGTAGGTGTGGCACCTAGTGTGAAATGGGCTTACTTGATGTAGGTAAGAGACAAAGGGAATGGCATCTGTATAGACTGTGAAAGATCGTATTTAATAATGAAGGTATGTAGTTCTCCTCAAACAGCAGCATAGTTTAAGACATGATCAGATAAATAGTACTGCAACGAAAAACAATTCAGCCCCTGATGAGCTGCCAGAAATTGTAGAATTTAGGCTGTGGCACATACACAGAGAGGTATGGTACACCACTAGGCTTGACTTGTGTGGCGGGAAGGGGATTTGTTCTAAAATGTCAGATCTGTTGTCCTGTCAGGGTCCTAGGCTCAGGCTGGAGAATTCAGTAAGTTCTTCACCTTATCAACAAGTTGCTGGCATCTGACATGAAACACTGCCACCTAAGATACTTTGATTCATGAATATTTGACCTCATATTTTGAGGTCTTGCCCCAGGAGTTAATATTTTTCTGTCTCTCCATTGTGAACTGTTGAGAAATCCTTTATTAGGTCAGTGCAAAAGTAATTGCGGTTCTTACCATTACTTTTAATGGCAAAAACCACAGTTACTTTTGCAGCAGCCTAAATAGCCTGTTGAGATCCCGCAGAACCATGATTATCTAAAACAGCTTTGCTTCAAGGAATAAATGCTGCTGGATGTATGAGTTTAGGATATAAATTCCAGATGTTTCTTACCTCATGGGGAGGTTGGGAGCATTTTGCACTGTATCTGTTGGACACTAAATATGTACTCCTTTTTAGGTGTAATTTGGAGGGAAGGGCTTTGGTCTTCAAATTTATTCATTGTATAAGTAGAATATATTGAGATTCTGTGCCAATTTTTGGTCAGCTTAATTATGGGTGGAATAGTAACAGAAGCAACCGTTGTACTTGGAGTGACAGTCAACTATGAATCCATCACCCATCCTTTTGGGTTAATGGGTTACATCATGCTTTCATAAAATATCACTGTTGAGGTTATGAAAAGTCAGCTTAAGGTAAAAAGATCTAAATTTCTTTGGTAATTGGGCAGGTACTTTTATTAGGTATTTTAATACTAATGTGATACTGAAATAAATCTGACTTCAGTTTAGTCTGACTTACATTTATTGAATGCCTACTGTATACCATGTCTGTGTTTCAAAATATAGTAAGTCTTAATATTGTTCATAGGTTCTTGGAAACTGAGACTTTAAGCAAAATGGTGCATAACAACAATAGGCTAATTGAGATAAACAAGAAATTAAGTAGGCCAGGTGCGGTGGCTCATGCCTGTAATCCCAGCACTTTGGGAGGCCGAGGTGGGCAGATCATAAGGTCAGGAGATCGAGACCATCCTTGCTAACACAGTGAAACCCTGTCTCTACTAAAAATGCAAAAAATTAGCTGGGTGTGGTGGCGGGTGCCTGTAGTCCCAGCTACTTGGGAGGCTGAGGCAGGAGAATGGCATGAACCCAGGAGGGAAAGCTTGGAGTGAGCTGAGATATTGTGCCACTGTACTCCAGCCTGGGCAACAGCAAGACTCTATCTCAAAAAAAAAAAAAAAAAAAAAAAAAAAAAAGAAGAAGTTACCACGGCATATTTCTGATCTCAAAAACATCGCATTACACAAACTTCTTGTGTTTTTTTATTGTTGTTGTTGTCTTCATTTTTTCTTTTTCTTTTTTAATATTTTGTCTTTTCTTTTTAAAATTATTATTTTTGCATTACACAGACCTCTAATAAAGACCCAAACACTTCTAATTGAAACAAATGTGAGCTGTATATACATTTAAGAAAGATGAATAAAGACAAGATAATTATTTACCCATTTATTCTAGTTCAGGGTTTTGGGTGGCCAGAGCCCATCCTTGTAGCTCAGGGCTCAAGGCAGGAACCAGCCCTGGATAAGACATCATTCCATTGCAGGGCACACTCACACACACTGACACTCAGACCGGGAGCATTTAGACTCACCAGTTCACCTAATGTGTGCAGCTTTGGGATGTGGAATGAAACTGGAGTTCCCAGAGAAAACTCACACAGACATGGGGAGAATGCACATGCTCCACACAGACAGTGGCTTCGGCTGGGGATCATGTTTTTTTTCTCTAAAACGTTATGATGAAATGACATCAAACAAAACAATGTTATTCAAGGACCTGCTGTACTCCGTATATTTTTTCTCCGAATGCTAATAGTAGTAAATGTTTCTTCTCTTCTAAAGAACGAACCCAGTTACTAGGAATGGAACGCATTTAGCCTGCATCTGGCACTGTGTACTATACACTTTTTAGTCCTCCCAAGAGCCATGTACAAAAATATTCAAAGAATGCTACTTTTTCTATTTGCTTGTTATAGCAACAGAGGAGAAACTGAATATGAAAGTAACTTCCTGAAATTTGCAAAGCCTAGATTAAAATATTGACCGATTCCCATGTTATTTACCTTGAGAGGTGGTGACAGTGGGGTACTCCATTGAAAGCGCTAGAGAGTTATAGTTTTACTAGCTTATCATTATTTAGCAAGTCTGTGCTTGTTTTACATTAATAATTTGCCTAAGCTTCTTAACTATTCAGTTTTCTACAAAGGTGGTTATTTTACTATGTCATGTTAAATGGTAAGGAAGGTGACCAGCTGAAGTTTTAGGTTACCAGCTTCAACTAGACTTTTCTTGCTCTGTTTTTTGTTTTGTTTTTAATCTTCTCTTTCCTGCTTCAGGATCAGATAGATGCTTCTATGAAAGAACTTTTAAGTGTAAAGGCAAAGTATAAGCAAAAAGACGGGCAAGTAATAAAAACTTGAAGTCCATCAAGTCTACCATCTTTTGCTCCTCTTATTCTTTTTCTCCTGCTCAGTAGGTTGCTGCATAAAATAATGGATCAAGTTGGTGTAGTGTGAGGTGCATAACAGAGAATACACCAAAGATATAATAACACTGAATACTAAGTTACTTTAAAAACTAAAGCACTTTAAAACAATTTTTTTTTTTTTGAGACAGGGTCTTGCTCTGTTGCCCAGGCTGGAGTGCAGTGGCTTGATCATGGTTCACTGCAGCCTCGACCTCCCAAGCAATCCTCTCATCTCAGTCTCCTAAGTAGCTGGAAGTACAGGCACATGCCAGTATGCCTGGCTAATTTTTGTATTGCTCATAGAGACGGGGTTTCACTGTGTTAACAAGGCTGGTCTTGAACTTCTATACTCAAGCTGTCCGCCCTCCTTGACCTCTCAAAGTGTTGGGATTACTGATGTGAGCTGCTGGGCCTGGCCGTACGCCTGTTCTTTGTAAATGAATTTTTTTTTTGAGACGGAGTCTTGCTCTGTCACCCAGGCTGGAGTGCAATGGTGAGATCTTGGCGCCTCCGCCTCCTGGGTTCAAGCAATTCTCCTGCCTCAGCCTCCCAAGTAGCTGGGATTACAGGCGCGTGCCACGACACCTGGCTAATTTTGTATTTTGTTTTTAGTAGAGACAGGGTTTTACCATGTTAGGCTGGTCTCGAACTCCTGACCTCAGGTGATCCACCCGCCTCGGCCTCCCAAAGTGCTGGGATTACAGGCGTGAGCCACTACACCCGGCCTGTAAATGAAGTTTTATTGGAATACAGCCACACTCATGGTGTACATATCGTCTATGGCTGCTTTCATGCTACAGTTAGAGTTGAATAGTTGCAACCAAGACTCACATAGTCTAAAATATTTATTATATAGCCCTTTATAGAAAAAGTTTGCTGATCCCTCCATGGAAGAAAGAGTTTTGAGAACCATTGTAGTTAACAGTTGTTTAAAAATCAAGTAACAACAAAATAAAATGATTATTAAATAAAAATAATTCACAATTGTTTTGTCACTAATGTTCTCTCTCTATGCCATACCCAGTCTATGTGGAGGGGAGTTGAATCACCATTTGCTTCTGTAGTTGCAGCATTTTAATTCACGGCACCTTGTATTTTATGTCCCCAATAATTCATCTTGCCAATCTTTGCTCTTTTATTTTTTACACCAATGTTATTGTTTTTTAAAACCCAAACCACAGTTTATCAGGAAAGGACATACATCCCTGTACCCTTTTGTCCATTAAGCAGGTTGTTCTAGGAAGCCGCCACCCTGCACTCTCACCCCAGATAGCTTTAAGATGTCTCAGGCCAAAAGATAAATGTTGCAGGGAAGGAAACAAGAAAAAAGCCTATCTTTTTCTTGATGTTGTTTGTAATTCTTATTTGGGATGTGTGTAGTGAATTCCAGCTATATCTATTTAGTACTTAATGCAAAATTGATTTTGATCTAAACAAATATAAATACATCTTACATCAGATTATGGTTCAGGATACTTCACAAGACTTACATCAGCTTGGGGATCTTCTGGAAAATCTTCAGAATTTGTGTTAATTGATTTGTATCAGAGAAAAATAGCAGGTAAATTGTGATTTAGGTAAACGAATCAGCCCAGTTGATAAGCAGGAGAACAGGTGTTGTGTTCTAATTTAGGTTTGATGTCAGGATCTCGGCTCTACCCTGTGCTGTATTGGCTCCTAGAATCAGGTTTCAGTAATCGGTTATTCCTTACAGGTGTAGGTATTTAAGCTATGCACAACTGGTTAATTATTTTCTTAAAATGCCTCTCTTTGCAACCTGTGAACTTCTAGTTTACTTAGTCTCCTAGCAGACTTTAAAAAATATAATACAAGCATCATCACTCTCTTCCCTCACTCAGTTGGAAGGATTTTCTGTTCTGATTACCTTTCATTCATCCCCCTCCCAACCAAGTGAGAATCTCTGCTTTCAGGAGTCATCATTACCAACGTGTGTAGATATAGTTCTCTTAGATATGCTAGTAAGGAGCAAAGGTGAGTGGTAATAAAATTGGAAAAAACAAGTTTGAAAAAAGTATTTTTTGAAAAAAGTTTTTTCATTTAGAATCGAGATATCCAGGCTATTTTGAAAGGTTCTAGTATTTCAAATGGATAATGTTCCAGGTTTTTTTTTTTTTTTTTTTTTAAGGTCACTCCTTTCCCCATGGAGAAATGTTTCCATCTAGTGGCTGCTGAAAAAATAGCTGTTTGAGTACTCATTCTGAATGTAATCAGAATGTAATAAAAAAAAATTGTCCATTTTCTCCATTTTATTTAACTTTCCAGTTTTTAGTCATAACATTAGCATCACTTTTACTTATTTCCAATTCCCATCTTAAACCTTTACCAAAGTCTTTTGTATAGGTTGTTTCTTTTCTCATTAATCCACATCAGCAATTATTTGCTGAAAACCTTTTCTGTTTGTATTGGTATATGTTAGGTAAGTTTAAAACAGTCTTTGTCCACTAACAACTTAAAATCTACTAGCAATGCTCTCTCAGCTTCTGCTGTTGTATGATATTGTACTAAATCATAGTATACCACCCAATTCCTCTTTGTAAATGCCTTTTGATCCAGAAAACTAGTATATTAAGAGATAATTTGTTCTCCATCCATTTGTTCTTCATTGTGTATTCTAAGAGATAAATTCAAAGTAATAGTCAAACATCTCTTTCGAAAAGCAGTTTTCCTAGCATGTTACTAGGATTAAAATGCACATTTAGATCTTTGTTTTCTGTAATCCTTAGCAAACCGTAGTGGTCAAGATCACAGCCTCTGGAATAAACTCGGGATTCAAATACTAGCTCTACTACTTATTGTGTAACTCTGGGGAAGGAACTTAATCTTTCTAAACTTGACAACTTCTCTAAGGGTTGTTTTGAGAGTTAAATAAGATACCACGTAAAGCACTTAGTGTAGTGTCTGGCACAGACTAAATATACCATAAAATGATAATGATACTTTTCATATTATAATTCAAATTCTCTCAAGAATCTTTAGGTACCTTCTAAATCATCAGGGAAGATTGCATAGTGGTGATTAGTATAATTTTACTCTTTTTGGAAGAATAACCTGAGTAATTTACTTAGTTATCTAGAATATTCCATTTCCTAATGGGAGGGGAAATATATGAATACATAGCTTTATTAAGAGTATCTCATTGAATAACAGAGTGGTTTGCTCACCTTAATTTTCTCCTTTATAACGTTTCAAATTATAATCTTGGCGAACGGGGTTTTTTTTTTTTTTTTCCGTGTGAAAAGTGTGCCATCTGACTTTAAGCTCTAATGAATACCTGCTTATAGTGTAAAATGGAGCTTCTTTCAAATAGTCATCAAATAGTCATTTTTCTAGAAATAGTTGCAGGGAAGTTCCTTCTTTTCCATTTTTATTTTAGCTGGTGGAAATTTCCCTTTTTTCCCCCCTTGATTCTCATATGTCTGATTAACTTGGCCGTTTTTCTTGAGATAAAGTAGTTTCTGCTGTGAAAACTCTTTCCTAAAAACAGAATAAACAAGAGACACAACAGGAGTACAAATCAGACAATCTACTCTCATCTTCTCTTTGTACATTTTCTCTTAATTTTACTACCTTTGTGTGGTACCTGGTATGACACTCTAATAGGCAGAAAACGTTATAAAGTAGCTGGACAAGGAAATGTGCTTTGCTGCCTCATAGATGCAAATTTTGTGAAGGTATACCATTGGTATCCTGCATTCCTCTGATGCCCATTTGAGTATTCTTCATGGCTTCTGCCTGGTTTCATTTAGCTATCTGGAGCATTATTCGAATGTAGCAGTAAAAATTGGATAGGGTGATTTGGAGACACTTTTCCTATCTATTTTGATTGATACCTCCAAGTTCCCAGTGGTACACTGGTTTGTGGTGAGATAGTAGCACCATTTCAGGTAAGGTGTCCAGCTTGGGCCCTTTGCCTGTGTTGCTATCATTCTCTGCTAGAGAGTCACAAGTGTCTCGGTGGGGCTGAGTATATCATTCTTTTTTATTATTATGTTGAAGTATCAGATTAAAATATATAGGTAAGTGTCTAAAAACTTCAACATGCTTTCTCATCTCATTGTCAGTTTTTAAAATTGATATAACTATTCATTAGTTGGACCCAAACTTCCTTTTTTTCCCCAAAGTTGTATTTAATTTCTGTTTAATAAGCTGTGGAAAGTAAGGTTTGTATAGGCAAAGCCATTGATCTGATCTTTGTTCTGATTTTGTAAATTCTGACTTCACTATTTATAGACCTAGGTCTTGACACTGACAGTTTACTTAGATGTTCTATTATTTGTCTGTTTACTTAAGTAAAATAGAAAGTTACACTGTTGTATGTTGAATTGTATTTTTGTTTATTCAGCTTATATATAATTTATGTTTTTAATTTAGCTTTATCACTTATTGTAGGCTGATGATTTAACATAGGTTTCCCCATGATTAACTTATGGGAATGATTTGCTGATAATTAAAGATTTTTAAATGGCATTGAAATTTCCAGAAATTTCCAAAGTTTTATAAATATCTCTTTCTCTCTTTTATTTTAGGCTAAAATAAATGAAGCTGTAGAATGCTTACTGTCCCTGAAGGCTCAGTATAAAGAAAAAACTGGGAAGGAGTACATACCTGGTCAGCCCCCATTATCTCAAAGTTCGGATTCAAGCCCAACCAGAAATTCTGAACCTGCTGGTTTAGAAACACCAGAAGCGAAAGTACTTTTTGACAAAGTAGCTTCTCAAGGGGAAGTAGTTCGGAAACTTAAAACTGAAAAAGCCCCTAAGGTTAGTGTGTTATTTTGTTTATATGCTTTTGTTTTTTATGTTTCAGGGTATTGTCTTTGCCTCAAGTGTTTTGTGCCCCATCAAATCTGGCTAACTTCTACTCATATTTCAGTTCTTAATTCTCTTACCTTGCCTTTTAGAGAAACTTTGTTGATTGTTTCTTACGCCAACTAGATTTGATTGGATGTTTTCATATGACACCGCCCATCACTGACATAGTACTTAAACAGACTGTATTTTAATTGTTAAATTGTTTGTTTCCCTCCAACCTGTAAGATCCAGAATAGTGACCTAGACCCTAGCACAGTGCTCACCCCATTGAAGGCCCTTAATATTTACCTTGTTTTTCATTCTTTCTCCTAAAGCTCTGTCAAACTGAAATAGTAGGTTTTATTTTGAGCTCTTAGTAGTTTGTGCTAGTTCTTTAAGTGTGAATTCTGTTATCTTTTTAGGAGTAGGTTTTTCTGTACAGATTCACATGAGTGGAAGACAGTTGTAGTTTTGAAATTTAACTTTATTAGAACTTGATAACCATTATCTCATCTTTATAATTGTGAAATGTTCAACTTATGTAATTTAATGGCTCTTAACTTAGATTCCTATGGAATACATGTTAGATACCAGTGCTTTCTAGTAGAACTTTCTGCAGTGATGGAAATATGCTATAACAATATTGTCTAATACAGTAGTCATTAGCCACATGTGGCTATTGAGCATTTGAAATGTGATTGTGGTGACTGAGGAAGTGAATTTTTAATTTTATTTACTTTAAATTAAATTCAGCCACATGACTACTATTTGGATAATGCAGTTATAGACTGTGCTGTTTTCCAGTCACAGTTTTGCACAATTCTATCCCTGTTTATCATAATCTTTATAATTTCAATAGTTGGTGTAACACCTACCCCAAACCCCTCTGTCCCCAAACCCCTGTCTTTAATTGTGTTTGCAGATCTACTTTTAAACTTTGGACAGATCCTTTTGTAGTTCCTAAGTGTGATGGTTGGGTTTTCACACTCATATGTGAGATATGCCTCCCTCAAACCTTATCACCACCTGGGCACATTCCCCGTGTGATATTGGCGGAAAAAAGAAAGCTTTGAGCATTGTATTTGTTTAAGTGTGCTTAGACAATGACTTGAGTTAAATACTGTCTTCTCTTTTTCCTCTTTTGTTAAACTAAAGGATCAAGTAGATATAGCTGTTCAAGAACTCCTTCAGCTAAAGGCACAGTACAAGTCTTTGATAGGAGTAGAGTATAAGCCTGTGTCGGCCACTGGAGCTGAGGACAAAGATAAGAAGAAGAAAGAAAAAGAAAATAAATCTGAAAAGCAGAATAAGCCTCAGAAACAAAATGATGGCCAAAGGAAAGACCCTTCTAAAAACCAAGGAGGTGGGCTCTCATCAAGTGGAGCAGGAGAAGGGCAGGGGCCTAAGAAACAGACCAGGTAATGAATCGCAGAAACTTCATTTGAAGCAAAGCAGTGAATTAATTCAATTCTTAATAGTTTTTAAAACAAATTTTGACTGGTTTAACCATCACATTAAGTTAGAGAACGCTAAAGCTACAATGTCAGCAGATAGCATTTATTGATTTTCCATTTAGTTTTAAAAATAGGTAACACGTTTGTTTGGTTCAAGAATCTCAGAATGTAAGAAGTTCCTGTGCATGTTTCCCATCTTTCCGGTTTTCCCCACCACCGTAATCAGTCAGTAGCCACTGTTAACAGTTTCTTCTGTATCTGTTGAGCGATTTTCATTTATTATTCAAGTAAATACAGATACACACACACACACACACACACATACATATTTTCTCTCCTCCTTTTTAAACATGATTGGTAGCCTAATTATACACATTGTTTTGCACCTTAAGCAGATTTTTTTCAGATGAAGATCTTTTGTGGGGACTAAGTGAGAGCTTCATTCTCAATTTAAAAATTGATAGTTTAAATATAAGACAAAACTGACTAAAGACAAAATGGTTGGATAGAGGGCTCTTTAAGGATCTTCCAATCTGTATAAATAATGTACGGTCATACACCACATAATGATGTGTCAGTCAACAGTGGACTACATATATGACATTGGTCCATAAGATTATAATGGAGCATGTATGGAAACCTGATATATGGCACTTGATATTGGCATCGCAGATCAAGTGGGGGAAATTATTGATATTCAGTAATGTTGCTGGGATATTTGGTTTTCCATATAAAAATATATGTATATCATCTAGGTTTGTGTAAGTACAAGCTATGATGTTTGCACAATGATGAAATCACCTAACAGCGTATTTCTGAAAATGTATTCATGTCATTAAGTGACGCATAATTGTAATTTTTTATCTGTTTCCACAATTACAGTGAACTTTGTGATGGGTTTCCCTTAATGGCTTACTTAATAAGAAGAAAAAGCTGTTACTGAGATACTTTGGTTTTACATTTGTTTAGCTGAGTATCAAATTTTGCTGCCTCTTAGCTCTCATGTCATATACACAATGTCTCTTTAAACAAGAGAATGCAACAGTTATTTTTCCTTTTGACTATTAAACTGAATAACCAGAGTTATAGCAGGGTAGAAGAGAATGTAGAACTTCTCACCTTTTACTTTCTTAGTGCCTGTGAAAGTGCTAGGTTTCACAGAGTTATTTTGTTGAGGTATGTCATAGTGAAACAATGGAGAATGCAAATGCAAATACATTAAAATTTTTAGCCAGTAAAACCTTGTTTTTAAACTCCAAAAAGAGACCATCTCTATCCTGAATAATTGTTGATATTTCAAGAAAATGATTATTGTCTGAAATAGTTTTTTTATTGGAGACCTAGTTTATTTTACAAGCATCTATCTCTGCAACTTTTATTCTAGTTAAAAGAAAAACTTGAGGCCAGGCGTGGTGGTTCACACCTGTAATGCCAGCACTTTGGGAGGCTGGGATGGGTGGATCGCTTGAGGTCAGGAGTTTGAGACCAGCCTGGCCAACATGTCAAAGCTCCGCCTCTACTAAAAATACAAAAAAATTAACCAGGAATGGTGGCACACACCTGTAATCCCAGCTACTTGGGTGGGGGAGGGGGGCTGAGGCACGAGAATCGCTTAAACCTGGGAGGTGGAGGTTGCAGTGAGTCTAGATTGCACCAGTGCACTCCAGCCTGGGCGATGGGGTGAGACTGTTTCAAAAAAAGAAAAAGAAAAACTTACATAAATTTGGCTAATATGCACACATCAGTACACACACATATGTGTGTGTATTTATAGCCATTGTTTTTATTACTTTTTAGGTGTTACTTTCAGTGAAACAGTGATCTTACTATAATTTTAACTGGCATAAGATTCTTCTTTTTTAGTGGGAGAATAGGTGTGAACAGGCTGTGTCTCTATTACAAATACATTGCCTTAAAAAGAACCTTGTAAAAGAGATGTCTGCATAGAATCATAGCTTTTGTTACATTTGGCTTTCCTAGATTTTGTGGACAATATCTCTCAACTTTTTAAGAGATGTCTCTGCTGTTTTTGTTTCTTTCTTTTTTTTTTTTTTTTCTTTTGAGACGGAGTTTCACTTTTGTTGCCCAGGCTGGAGTGCAATGGCGCAATCTCGGCTCACTGCAGCCTTTACCTCCCAGGTTCAAGCGATTCATTCTCCTGCCTCAGCCTCCCGAGTAGCTGGGATTACAAGCATGCGCCACCACGCCTGGCTCATTTTGTTTTTAGTAGAGACAGGGTTTCTCCATGTTGGTCAGGCTGGTCTCAAACTCCTGACCTCAGGTGATCTGCCTGCCTTGGCCTCCTAAAGTGGTGGGATTACAGGCGTGAGCCACTGTGCCCAGCATTTCTACTGTTTTTTTAGGTTAAAAACATTATCTTAGGGGCTAGGCATGGTGGCTCATGCCTGTAATCCCAGCACTCTGGGAGGCCAGAACAGGAGGATTGCATGAGGCCAGGAGTTCAAGACTGGCCTGGGCAACATAGCGAGACCCTGCCTCTACCAAAAAATAAAAATAAAAAAATAAGCCAGATGTTGTATGCACCTGTAGTCCTAGCTACTGGGGAGGCTGAGGTGAGAGAATCTCTTGAGCTGAGGAGTCCGAGGTTGCAGTGAGACAGGATCACACCATTGCGCTCCAGCCTGGGTGACAGAGTAAGACCCTGTCTCAAAAACAAAACAAGAAAACAACAACGTTATCTTGGGAATGAATATAGAAGAGTTACAAATACAGAAATAACTCATACTGAAGAAAGACTAATCTATTTTGAACTTTAGAGGTTTATTTTTATTCAACCTAAAGCAGTTGCTGAATGAAGATATTTATCTTTTACTTTTCACATCTGCAGGTTGGGTCTTGAGGCAAAAAAAGAAGAAAATCTTGCTGATTGGTATTCTCAGGTGAGTATGCATTCAGTTGATTTTTATGTTTTAAGTCTGTCAATGGCTGCTTTTTATGTTCAGATTCTAAAATATGGGCACAAAGGCAATAGTAATAATGTTGTATAATGCCTTTAATAATACACAGTGTAGTCATTTAACATGACATTATTTTTCAACATGTTAACATAAAGTCTTGAATTGAAAAGCAGTACCATGAGATAGTGATTGATTTTTTTTTTTTAGGTGAGATAAAGGGATTAATTCAAAGCCACAAAGATATAGTCAATAGCAGAGGCAGGATTGGAATTCAAGTTTTTTTTTTTTTTTTTTGAGACGGGAGTATCAGTCTGTTGCCTAGGCTGGTGTGCAGTGGTGCGATCTTGGCTCACTGCAACCTCCGCCTCCTGGGTTCAAGCAATTCTCCTGCCTCAGCCTCCCGAGTACCTGGGACTACAGGCACACGCTACCACGCCCGGCTAATTTTTGTAGTTTTAGTAGAGACTGGGTTTCACCATATTGGTCAGGCTGGTCTCGAACTCCTGACCTCAAGCAATCCACCCACCTCGGCGTCCCAAAGTCCTGGGATTGCAGGCCTAAGCCACAATGCCCGGTGGAATTCAAGTTTTATGGAGAGTTTGGAACCCTGTTATATGTTGTTTTTCAGTATAGTCAGGTCTGTTTTACTTCCATTATGACCTCCCACATTAAGGGGATGTTATCAACAGTAGAAGCCTCCAGATTTGAATTTTGGTTATCATACTCTTGCCACTTATACTAGAATTTTGGTTCAATGTAAGCTTTAAAGACTATTTTTCTTTTAAAAAGGTCATCACAAAGTCAGAAATGATTGAATACCATGACATAAGTGGCTGTTATATTCTTCGTCCCTGGGCCTATGCCATTTGGGAAGCCATCAAGGACTTTTTTGATGCTGAGATCAAGAAACTTGGTGTTGAAAACTGCTACTTCCCCATGTTTGTGTCTCAAAGTGCATTAGAGAAAGAGAAGACTCATGTTGCTGACTTTGCCCCAGAGGTAAGTGAGCTTGCTTTTTTATTTTTTGCAATGTTCTCTGACAAACTGGAAAATATATTTTCAACTTTTAACAACCAATTTTGAAAAATATAAAGCCATTTTTATTAAAAAGTTCTGTTTCTACCTTTATAGCAAGTAATGATTTTGTTACATTAATTAACTGACTTTTAATATTTAGAAGGTCAGTAAGTGCGTACCTTTCCTCACAGTGAACAGCAGCGACTATTTTAACTTGCCTAAATTGATATAGCAAAAATTAAAACAGAGGAAATTTGCCTGCATTTGTACTGTTGCTCCAAAATGCTATTGAAAAAAAAGTATGAAAAATGATTTTTTCTTACTAGGTTGCTTGGGTTACAAGATCTGGCAAAACCGAGCTGGCAGAACCAATTGCCATTCGTCCTACTAGTGAAACAGGTGAGAATAGGCATTGGAGTGCAAGAGAATGCTCACTGAACGTTAGAGACAGCCTCTAAAGTTGAGTCTCAGCTTTTGCTTTGTGATAGCTATAATCTCTGTTGACGATATAACATTTCATGAATGTTGATGAAGATTGAATGCAAACTTAAGTTGTCTAGAGTTTTATTCTCTAATATTCATTGTAGAGCTCCTTATCATTAAATTATAGGATTTTTAATTTAAATACTCATTTTTATGCTGTAAATTTTTAGGACTTTTCAAGGAGTTTTATTCTTAGAATAATTTTTATTGTTGGAATTGATTATAATATTGCAAATGCAATTTTTATGCCATAATTATTTTTAAATTTTAATAATACATTTAGGTTTGCATTCATGTAGGGTGTTCATAGGTTGCTAAGTACTTTTACGTCATCTCGTGTTATTCTTACAACAGTGTTGTGAGGAAGGCAGGGAAAGTTACTGTGATTTCCATTTTGCAGGTAAAGAAAAGTCTCTGAAAGATTAAATGATTTTTCTGAAATTACGTATGGTAAATGGAAATGCTGTTGGAAAATTTGAGGTTTTGGGCTTTACAGTGTCTTTCAAAGTGATCATTCATCTGTAGAGTTCAGGATTGTCTGTTCTTATTGATATTTCTAGTGATACTTTTGTATAATACATTATTAATATTGTGATACCAGTTTTTTTCTCTCAGACTATTTGGCAAAGTTTTGTTTGTTTTGGTTTACTAATTATAGATCATGAGCAGGCTATTCTAAGACAGGTATCTTCACTTTGCACTTCATTGCAAGAGCTTTCATACTCTGAGTAGATGCATCAGATATAAATTAATTCTGCTTCTCATACATAACTGCTGGATTCAGCAAATTGTTTAGCTTCTATAAACTCAGCTTTCCACGTCTTTAAAACTGAGTTATGATACCTTCTTGTGGGTTGAATGTGAGAATTGAACAGGTCAATGAATGCAGAGAACTTAACATAGAACATGACCTTTATTTGTGTTTTTAAAAACAAAATGTGAAAACCGTCGAAGTACATTAACTGTTATGTGAAGAATGTAAAATCTGTGAAGAATGTAAAATATGATCAAGTTTAGATTTGTATCCTTGAGTAATACACTTCATGAAATAGATAATACTATTCACTTATTATAAACATTGGAAATATATTTACACAAACATACATTTTATTTTTCAAATTTATTTATTACATTTTAATTCCTATTAATTATCTTGCTGGTTTAGCTGTTACATCCCTAAAGGAGAAATAAAGCCTTAAATGACTGTCTCTATTTTCCCGTGTCTTTCAGTAATGTATCCTGCATATGCAAAATGGGTACAGTCACACAGAGACCTGCCCATCAAGCTCAATCAGTGGTGCAATGTGGTGGTAGGTATTCACCCCCTCTTGTATTCTATTATTATTCATGTTCTTTTTTTTTTTTTTTTTAAAGCACATTTTGTTTTTATTTTCAAAGGATTGGGAGTATGGAACTGTTTTTGAAGTATTTAAGATAAATTGTAATTTTTGATTACTTATTATATAAAATGGTAATAAAAATTGGAAAGTGGCTGGGCGTGGCAGCTCATGCTTATAATCCCAGCACTTTGGGAGGTCGAGCCGACAGATCACTTGAGCCCAGGATTTTGAGACCAGCCTGGGCAACATGGCAAAACCACATCTCTACTAAAAATGCAAAAATTAGCCAGCTGCATTGGCGTGCACCTGTAGCCCAGCTACTTGGGAGGCTAAGGTAGAAGGATCATTTGAGCCTGGGAGGCAGAGGTTTCAGTGAGTCATGATTGCACCACTGCACTCCAGCCTGGGGGACAGAGCAAGACCCTGTCTCCAAAAAAAAAAAATTGAAAAGCTCTTTATAATGACTAAATTGTTTTCTTGCCTCTTCCAGCGTTGGGAATTCAAGCATCCTCAGCCTTTCCTACGTACTCGTGAATTTCTTTGGCAGGAAGGGCACAGTGCTTTTGCTACCATGGAAGAGGCAGCGGAAGAGGTATAAAAAGTTATTTTCCATATTAACTATGTTCCATTATTTTTGTTCAGGTTCTGCAATTTTGTTATTTAAAATGTATGTAACACCTGTTAAAAGCAAAATCAAATTAATTCAAATGTTCATGGATTTAAGTAACTGCTTATTGGAATGTTATTATTAAGGAAATAGGCTCTTTTAAATTTTTAGGTGAAAATACTTCTGGACTTTAATGTGTAGAAAAAATTATTTTTCAGGAAATTTGCATTTTGATACTGTATATCTTTCTTAACATTTATTTTCTCTTATATTCTAAACATATATACATTTTAAAAAGTTATTTGACTTCTTTTTACATTGCTTCATTGAATATCTTTCTTAATAAGTTCACACTGGCTGCTTTAACCTTTTCATAAAAAGAGGTTTTTATTGTTCAGATTGCTTTTCCCACACAATTAGTCTTAAGTAGTGCAGTTTTATAGATCTTAATGAATAAATGTACCCTAAATTTGAACACATTTACATTTAAAATGTTACAGGTCTTGCAGATACTTGACTTATATGCTCAGGTATATGAAGAACTCCTGGCAATTCCTGTT
Organism: Homo sapiens; assembly: GCF_000001405.40. NCBI lineage: Eukaryota > Metazoa > Chordata > Mammalia > Primates > Hominidae > Homo > Homo sapiens. The sequence continues at coordinate 219,980,180 of NC_000001.11, read as the reverse complement.
GTTAAAGGAAGAAAGACGGAAAAGGAAAAATTTGCAGGAGGAGACTATACAACTACAATAGAAGCATTTATATCTGCTAGTGGAAGAGCTATCCAGGTATCAAACTGCCACACAGGATTCGTAGGTCACTGTAAGCACAGTCCATGGACAGATCCAATAATTTCTTCTGTCATCACAGAAGTAGACTCTTAAAAAATAAGTGTTTCATGTACTTTCGTATAATAATTTCAAACAAATCTATCCCATTCCTCTGTCTCCATGGTTCGTTAAGTCATAGTATGTATCCTGAATTACTACTAAAATATGAATTCCTTTTTAACTGTTGTAGGTAAAATTACTGCTATAAAAGGGGCTGCCCAGAGCAAAATGCTTGTAAATAGTATTTTTTGACTAATCTTAATCTCTTATTATGGTAATTATGCTTATAATTAAAAACCTTATTTAATGTAAAAAAAGGGAGAAAAAAAGTGTAGTGCCATTTTAAAGCATGTGATCTTATAGTAATCATTTTCAAGGGCATAATAGGTTATTAAAAATGAAGCTTATTTTTCTCTCTCTATTTTAGGGAGGAACATCACATCATTTAGGGCAGAATTTTTCCAAAATGTTTGAAATCGTTTTTGAAGATCCAAAGATACCAGGAGAGAAGCAATTTGCCTATCAAAACTCCTGGGGCCTGACAACTCGAACTATTGGTGTTATGACCATGGTTCATGGGGACAACATGGGTTTAGTATTACCACCCCGTGTAGCATGTGTTCAGGTAAGGAAAATATTCCTGTTTATCACTCATTTTATAAAATACAAGCCATATTTACTAAAGGAAATTTGAAAGGGTGATTTTCTGAATATCATTCAGGCAGATTTCTCTGATAATAAAAACAACGTGGAATGCAGTCTGGACCCTAGTGTTTTGTGACTGTGTGTATTATTTATTTATTGTTTCTTACTCTTTTAATTTTTAAGCTACTTATATAAACATTTTTAGAAGTCATTTTTTAAAAACGGTTTATAGTATGTTAAATGAGCTGGGCATGCAGGCTCACGCCTGTAATCCCAGCACTGTGGGACGCCAAGGCGGGCAGATTGCTTGAGCCCAGGAGTTTGAGACTAAGCCTGGGCAACATGGCAAAATCTAGTCTACAAAAAATTAGCCAGGTGTGGTGGCATGCACTGATAGTCCCAGCTACTTGGGAGGCTGGGGGGGAAAAAAAAATATATATATATATATATACACACACATATGAAAAATAGATTAAGTGAAATATAGTGGGTCAGATGAAAATGCATTTAGCACGGGTAAGTGATTTGCAGGTAATTAGTAGACATTATATATAAGATTAGAAATCACACAGCTGATTCGTGTTAATAATATAGCCACTGGTAGGTTTCGACTTCTGAGAGCTCATTACTTCTATATCTGTTTCTTTGCATACATTTGGGACATTGTGCTGATTCTAGGTGGTGATTATTCCTTGTGGCATTACCAATGCACTTTCTGAAGAAGACAAAGAAGCGCTGATTGCAAAATGCAATGATTATCGAAGGCGATTACTCAGTGTTAACATCCGCGTTAGAGCTGATTTACGAGATAATTATTCTCCAGGTTGGAAATTCAATCACTGGGAGCTCAAGGTAAATTCCTAAGCTTTATCTTTTACCCCCAACATCTGCAATTTGAGTTTAGATTTTCCTCTGCATGTTTTTATAAAACGAGGTTTCTCATTACTTTCCTCTATTTTGATAGTTGTGAGTTTTCTTCTTCTTCACTTAAACTGTTGAGCACTGACACAGTTCATAGCTTTGCAATAGTGATACCTAAATTTAAAATAGTTTTTGTGGAAGCTTATTTTTATTATGTTAGAATAAAAACGATCTCGAGCGCTTGTTTATGATTACCCTCACGTAACTAGTATACTAAAATGTTTATGCCAGGAATTCATAAAATAAATAAGTTATTTACATAGACCACCAGAATAACAGTACATGGACATCACTTAGCTGTGTTTGTTATAGCTAATAGTGAAACATCTGAGATTAATTTTATTCTTGAGTTTTCACACCACATTGTTTCATACCAGTTTGTTGATTTTTATTTTGTTTATTAAAGCCAGTCTAAATTCTGCTTTATTGTTTGTAATATAACTTTCATGTATTGCACATTGTCATTAATAGATTATCTGTGGCCTTAATTCTGATTTATAAACTTACAACATTTTTTTCTTATGCTGAAAGAGGGAATCTTACTGGATCTAGAAATTAGGAATCGAGACTATATAAATTGATATTATAGGTGACAGTATGAGAGAATGTATTGAGATTGCAGCTGCATGCTTTCAAACTATGGAAGCTCAGCAATATTGGGATTTTTAGGTATTTATACATCTAGGGTTCCCAAAGTTGCTAATATTTATCATCTTATTTGTTTCACATTGCCCCTGAGGTAAATTTCCTGTGCTGAGGAATGGTAATTATATTGATAATTGTTTCCCTTTTATGTAATATACCAGCTTCTTTATATGCTTTTCTAAACATGATTTTTTTTCCATGTCATTTCCTTTTTAATTGCACTCCTTTTTGCTTACTTATAAATAGCTATTGTGTGATGCCAGTAGCAGTTTCTCTAAACTAATTTCTACTTAACCTGGGCTATAAAATGTTAAAGGAGAAATTTACTGCTGGCTACTAGCGGGATTAAAAAGAAAAAACCATCCACGTTCATTCCTGAATTCTTTGTACCCTTTCCTCTTTTATTCATTTCTCATCCTTAGACTGACTTGGCTTTGTCTTTGTCACTCTTCTTTTAGTACTCTAGTGAGCCTATACTATGCTGGGGAGGTATTCTTAGTATGAGTTGGGTCTTCTACAGCTTCGTTGTCTGTATTCCTCAGGAAAGAAAATAAAGCACCTAAGTTCTAAACTTGACGCCTCAAGTTAAAGAACATTGAGAAAGAGAGTTCACTATCTAGTGAAGGTATTAGTTATACTTTTTAATGCCATTTTAATTCCATTTAGTCAAAGAATTTCTAAGAAAAAATATTTTAGGAGATCTGGATTTATATTTATTTGACAGCGATTGACCAAAGTGTGTGAGCGATGTGTACGCGCATTTTGAAACTTATTCAGATTAATAAATGAGCTATAATATTGTTTGATTGTGAGGCCAGAACCCAGCAACTCCTGTAATTCTTCTTTGGTACCCCTTCCTATATTATGAAAGTATAAAGGGGAAAATAATCTGAGTGAATTAACTACTTTTCTTTTTACTATGTGGAAAGAGTAAGATAATTCTGTGTTGCTATAGAAACAAAACACGAATCTTTTAAAGTTAAATTTGTAACTAGTTTTAGAAAAAAACTGTCAACAAAATATTTGCCTCCTCCATGATTTGGCTTCAGATTACCTTTCCAACTTTCACTTTTCATTATCCCCTTTCATATGCCGTTTTCTCTCTTCTTCACAGACAGCCTGTTTTTCCACCTCTGTGTCTTTACTTGTGCTATTTCTTCTACCTGGGTTGTAAAATTTTTTTATCATGCAACAGTCACCAACTTATAACAAAGCAAGTCCAATACAAATAATTAAATTTTCCTGCTTGAATCATTTGAAAATAAGATGCTAACCTGATGCTCCATCACCCTGCAAACATACTCTCCTACATAATCACAGCACAAGCAACATAGTACAACCAACATATTCTCCTACATAATACAATACAAGTTAGTATAGTAGTGTTCATACATTACAATAGTCTAATTCTAGACCCCCATTCAGCTTTCAGGAGCTGTCTGACTAGTGTTTCTTTATAGCAGAATGACCTAGTTCAGAATTATGTGTTGCATGTAGTTATTATGTATCTTTAGTCTCTTTCAGTCTGCAGTAATTTCTCAGGTTTTCTTTGATTATCGTGATCTTGACACAGCACATTTTTTATTAGCCTTTCTATTAGCTAATTCATATTTTATGGATCCATGGTTTCCAGTATTAAGCACTGGGTTATAGAATCTGTTACTGACGTTATTTGTTTTGATGCTCAAAGTGTCTTCGGCTTGACCATTAGGATCCCTTAAAGCTGGCTTTTGTGTCCTTTTGGCATTCTCCATCATTCTTTAAGCACTTCCTTGCTGCTTGGCACAAGATGTTGTAGGCTTATCTTGTACTTTTTCTACCCTGGCCCAGGAATTAGCCATATCTCTAAGAAGCTCTGGTTCTTTTGAGTGGAGAATGGTATTTAGTGCTGGGTATGCTCATTGCTTTTGAGCTATCACTTCTCCCGGGCCTTCTCAGTAGATGGAGCTACTGAATATGTATATATATGTAGATATCCATACACACATACAGATATGTGTACACTTTTACCACCATATTTCCATATCTATTTATGTATGTTGAAAACCAAGAGTTTATATCTATACTTTAAATTCCAATAAAAAACCATAGGGTGGACCTGGCGTGGTGGCTCATGCCTATAATCCCAGCACCTTGGGAGGCTGAGGCAGGTGGATCGTCTGAGGTCAGGATTTCGCCACCAGCCTGTCCAACATGGTGAAACCCTGTCTCTGCTAAAAATAGAAAAATTAGATGGGCTTTGTGGTGGGTGCCTGTAGTCCCAGCTACTCAGGAGGCTGAGGCAGGAGAATCGCTTGAACCTGGGAGGCGGAGGTTGCAGTGAGCCCAGATTGCACCATTGCACTCCTGCCTGGGTGACAAGAGCGAAACTCCATCTCAAGAAAAACAACAACAACAAAAACCACCGCAGGATGCATTCTAGTTTTTCTCCATTTTGTGCTTGTAATTCCCTTTTCTGACAATGAAAAGCCTAGCTCAAATTATCCTTAGTACATGAATTTATTAGATTAGTCACCCTGTATGCCACCAATCTCTCGTTGCCATTGCCACCCCCTCCTCTGCGTGAATGGGCTCCTTATCCCTCGTGGGCTCTGTCACTCTATGCAAAGCTGTTCTCATGTGCAGATGCCCTCTTGCCTAACTGAGGCTCAGACACCCTGCTGTGGGCTACCAGTGGCCCTCTCCTTTTTCAGTGTAGGATCCAGTCCTATTGCATTTTGCCATCATGCCTTTTAGTTTTCTTTAATCAGAAGTAGTTCCTCAGACTTTCATTATCATTTATGACATAGGCATTTTTGTAACTATAGGTCAGTTTTTTATAGAATGTTTTTTAATTCGGACGAATAATTTACTTATTAATTTTTACCTTCTCCAGTAACTTTTCTTCTCTCTTCCAGCTGAGGAATATTCTCTCACTGCTAACTTTCTGTATTAATTTTTGTTGTTTATATGTGTGCCTTATTTACCCTACAAAGCATGAAGCTTCTAGAGGACAAGATGTATTTCTTATTCATCTTGTAAATCTCATTGCACTTAGCACTGTATCTTACAAATGCATGTAATACATCCAGTATAATACATTGGATAAATAACTAAAGCAATAAAATAATGTAATATTTAGCATACAACAGTTGGTTCCATTGTGGTTTTTTTTTAAATATCATTTTGTAAAATAAGTCTTCCCTAGGGGTAAATAAGGACTTCTAGAGTAATATTTAAAATTTTTCCTATGGCATTTTTGGGGTGACCACCTGTCATCTAAATTGTATATGGAAGCATGTAACTCAGGAAAATCCCAAGTTAATTTTAGAGGATTATTCATTCAAAAAAATTACTTAAAATCTACTATGTATCAGATAAGGTTCTGGGCCCTAAAAATGTGGTTTTTCCCTAAGCCTTAAGGATTTTAATCCCCTTACGGGATACACATTCACAAGATTGAACATTCCCAAGTCGTAAACTTGCATATAGTCTGTCCTTAAGTTGCTTTGGAAAAACCAAAGAGTATAGGGGAGTGGTTCTTAAACTGTGGTCCTAGGACCAGCAGTGTCAGCATCACTTGGAAACTTGTTAGAAATACAAACTCTTGGCCAAGTACGGTGGCTCACGTCTATAATCCCAGCAATTTGAGAGGCTGAGGCCGGCAGATCAGTTGAGGCCAGGTGTTCGACACCAGCCTGGTCAATGTGGTGAAACCCCATGTCTACTAAAAATACAAAAATTAGCCAGGCATGGTGGTAGGTGCCTGTAATCCCAGCTACTCGGGAGGCTGAGGCATGAGAATCAATTGATCTTGGGAGGCGGAGGTTGTAGTGAGCCAAGATCATGCCACTGCACTCCAGTCTGGTCAACAGTGAGACTCTGTCTTCAAACAAACAAAAAAAAACAAATTCTCAGGTCGCATCCCCAACCTACTCTAATAAAAGACTCTGGAGGCAGGACCCCAAAATCTGTGCTTTAACAATCCTTATAATCATAATGCATGCTAAAGATAAGAGTACCCAGAATGAGGACTTTTCAACCAGAGAATACCACTGTATCAGGAATGAGTCAAAAATGTGTCATGTTACTGATCCCCTCAGTGGCTTGTAGCCTCAAAAAGTCTTCGTTTAACCCCATTCCTATGCAAATACGTTTTCTGGATGCTATTTTGTGAGAAAAGTTGGGAATGCTGGTCTAGAAACTACTCTGTTTCTCCATGAAGAACTTCTGGGGCAGTAGATTTTTTTTTTAGGTTTATGCCTTCTTACTGGAATAGGTTTCTACAGTATCTCAGCAGTATTACCTGTTTTTTTTTTTTCTCTTGTTTTTTTTGGCTTTGCCTTTGTTTTTTGGGTTTTTTATAATTTATGGTAGCTAAAGCCATGAATTACATCTGTATATTCAACTGGAGACATTCATATATCATTTTAACTGCCTTTTTTATCTTATAGGGAGTTCCCATTAGACTTGAAGTTGGGCCACGTGATATGAAGAGCTGTCAGTTTGTAGCCGTCAGACGAGATACTGGAGAAAAGCTGACAGTTGCTGAAAATGAGGCAGAGACTAAACTTCAAGCTATTTTGGAAGACATCCAGGTCACCCTTTTCACAAGGTAGTTTCTTAAAATTGCTTATGTCTCTCTCTCCAGATCTTCCACCACCTTTGAGATCTTTACCAAGGAATTTTTGGGGTTGCCCCAATTGGAAGCAATTGTTCCCTCCCTCTGAACCCCCATGCTACTTAATTTGCCACTCTCTGGGTTTTTTACTTGTATTATGGTTATTTTTCTAAGTGCCACCTGCTTCCTACTAGGTTTGCAACAATGAAGTTTCTGTCCCCTGGACTAATTTGGGTTAATTTAAATCTAGGCTTTTATGAGATATAAATGTGAGGGCTTCAGGCATTGACTGTCATCTGCTGGGTACACATTGGCAGCACCTGGGAAGCTTTAGTAAATACCAGTGCCTTCCTAGAGATACTAATTTAATTGGACTGGAGAGGGCCTGGAAACTATACTGTTAAAAGCTCCCCCAGGGGATTATAATATAGCCAAGGCTGAGAACCTCCTGACTGGGGTTGGGAATGAGGGATAGAGGAAGGCCTTAGGGCCGCCCTCACCTATGGAGAGAGTCATTTAGAATCATAGATCTCAAGGTAGTCAAGGCAGAGGCACCAGAAGATTAGTGGCTTAGCGTGGCACCCTGTTTTCTTTCTCTGCCTACCTGGAGCAGAAAGCAGAGAGGAAAGCCCACTACCACTGAGGATGGAGGTGCAGTTTGGGAGAGGGTAATGCCTGCATCTTATATAAGGGCACTTATATATTGATAAAAGATATATATATATTCCTCTGAATCTGGAAATATTTAAGACCAGGGAGGTTTAAAAAATAACATAGACTCCCATAGGTAATGTGTTAATGCCAGGAAAAGAATGATGGTCATTAGAGATTTAACAGCAGTAACAAAAGTTATGATCACCTGTTGTGTGCTTAACACATTTCCCATGCATTTAAGGCTCACAATAGTGCAATGATAAGGTAACTCTGATATACTGATGGTCACTATGAGTGATAGACTTGAGATTCAAATTGAGTCCTTCTCACTCCCAGGTTGTCTTTTCATTAAATTGTGCTTATGTGTTTCATAAAACTTTGTCATATTTGTGAGAACAATTATGTATTGTTTTCTAATTTTGTTTGGTAGGGCTTCTGAAGACCTTAAGACTCATATGGTTGTGGCTAATACAATGGAAGACTTTCAGAAGATACTAGATTCTGGAAAGGTCAGAGAGTTTGGAAAACTTTTCAGTATAAGAATATTTAAGTAAATTGTATTTTAAGGCTCATTGAATTTATGCATGGTATTAATACCTTTTTAAGCCAATCACATAAAAAGATAGTACATTACTCAACATTTATATGTACGTATAAATATATAATCTAATTATATAGTCTTTGTTTTACATTTATATGTCATATAAATATATAATCTAAATATATAGTCTTTGTTTTATATTTATATATGTCATATATAAATATAGTGTGTGTGTATATGTATATATATATAGTCTTTGTTTTCTACTGGCTTTTCTAAAGCATTACAACATTATACCATTTTGGGGGTAATACTTGTGAACTGATTATGTAAGTTTTTTTTTCCCCATGTTTGATATGCTACTTTCTAAAGAACATTAATTCTGTATGTCTCCTTTTTTCTTTATTGAAAATCTGTGTTATTTCAGTTTCTGGTAAGTTCCTAAAGTAACCATTGTTCTAGCTTTAGAGCTGTCATATGCGGCTGCCTAAAACAAGGTGAAAAGTCAGTTTCTTTCCATTCCCTGACTGTACATACTCAGCTCTCAATTGATTGAACTTTCTGAATAATGAGAAGAAAAGTGTTGCTTATTCTAAGCCTGTTTTTCATAATGAGGGGCTACCTGGCTCCTTAGAACTCCATAGGCTTTCCTAATTAGGTAGTTAATGGCTCTTTAAGATTTAATTGATTTTATATATTGGGTATATGCAGTTGTTTCGAGCTGAAACTTTAAAGTTTCATAAAGAAGAATTTCAGATTTGCAAAGTTATTTAATTATTGGAATGAATCACTTATGGACTTTAGTATTCTGGTATACATGTTTGAATATACAACCAATCCTGTGTCCTCAGGTTACAAGTGAGAAAACCATGGGCCAGTGTCTTAAATGAATACCCCAAACTATACAGAATTTAGATCACTCTTCTGACTAGGTTTAATGCATTTTCCTCTGTATCTTTTTTTGTGTTTTAAATTCATGCTGAGAATGAGCATGAATTTATGTAAAGCTTTAATTTTTATGGTCATAACGTATTAATATGTCTCTTATTTCTTGAGCTGGGAAAATTAATCTCTCTGGCTTTCATTTTACTATTCTGTAAAATGAGTACAAAATAGATAATATCAAAATCCTCTTTAGATCTATAATTCTTCAGTGTTTAGCCTTCTATCCTTATTGGGTTATTGCTTTTGTAATTTTTCACCTTTCTGGTTTCTGTAGTTTTTCACTTGACTCAAACTTCCTGCTTTTTTTTTTTTTTGGTACAGGGTCTTGCTTTGTTGCCCAGGCTGGAGTACAGTGCCGTGATCTCGGCTCACTGCAACCTCTGCCTCCCGAGTTCAAGCGATTCTCCTGCCTCAGCCTTCCACGTGGCTGGGATTACAGGCGCCTGCCATGACACGCAGCTAATTTTTGTATTTTTAGTAGAGATGGGGTTTTGCCATTTTGGCCAGGCTGGTCTTAAACTCTGACCTCAGGTGACCCACCTGCCGTGGCCTCCCAAAGTGCTGGGATTACAGGCGTGAGCCACTGCACCTGGCCTTAAACTTCCTACTTTTAATAGAAGGCTAGACAGTGGGTAGCCATCTGTAGCACTGTGTTTTTTCTTTCACTTTATTTACGATTTTCTGTGGCTGAGAGCAGTTGATGAGAAGCTGCTGAAGAAGCTGGAAGCATGTTGCTGTTACTGCCAATGTCTCTTGGGTCTCCACCTTCATAGATCTCTAGATTTTCAGCTGCTTTACACTGTATTTCTAATATGTGGAGATTATTCACAACTTTGCTATTCCCCTCATTAACTCTCCAGGAATATTTTATAGGGCTACTACATAATTGTTATTGAAGACAAACCTCATTTTGAAGTAGACATGCTTTAAAAATTAGCATTCACAACTGGGAGAAATTTTAATACTTGTTGGCTGGGCCCGGTGGCTCACACCTGTAATCCCAGCACTTTGGGAGGCCGAGGTGGGTGGACTGCTTGAGGCCAGGAGTTTGAGACCAGCCTGGCCAACATGGCGAAACCCCGTCTCTACTAAAATTACACAAATTAGCTGGGCATGGTGGCACACGCCTGTAATTCCAGCTACACTAGGAGGCTGGGGCACGAGAATTGCTTGAACCCAAGAGGCAGAGGTTGCAATGAGCCAAGATAGTGCCACTGTACTCCATCCTGGGTGACAGAGTAAGACTGTGTCTCAAAAAAAAAATTTTTTTTTAATGCTTGTCTAGTCTGACATCCACAATTTATTAAAAGAAAACCCAGAGCTAGAGATTTTCAAACACATGGCAAATTTCAAAATTAAAATAAAATCCTAAGTATCTTGATTCGGCCTTTGTTTTATGTAGTCTAAGAATGAAAAATTGAAAGGTTTTTTTTTTTTTCCTTACACAAAATGATTTTAGGACTTTAAAAATGATCCACTTACCTATATAACATGTTAGGAACATTGTGGCATAAAGTGAAATTTGCGTGATTGTTAATTGTTGCTGTTAACAACACATTAAAAATCAGTTTGCTATTTTTGATGTTCCTTTTCTCCTCCTGATAACTATTTAGATAGGTAGAGCAGGTGTAGTCCAGGTTTGAAATGAGGGAGATATAACTGGAGTTCAACTTCTTTTCAGCCACTGTGTTTTAGCCAGTTTATGGGAGATTTGAGGGTACTGCAAAGATGTCTTTGTTGTGTCTTGATGTGCTGTGAGCGTAGGTTTTGGATAGTGGAAAAACATTCTTTCCTATCTTTTATAACTGAGCAAAGTTCCTAGTAGGTTTGCAAAGGTATCATAGCCTGAAAAAAGGTTGGGAGACCTATCCTTTTTGCTTGCCAGTTTAATATAGAACTCAAATGTTCCTTCTGCAGAATAGAATTGAAGGAGTTATAAATACTGATTACTTTTCCTTTTCTTAATTAGATTGTTCAGATTCCATTCTGTGGGGAAATTGACTGTGAGGACTGGATCAAAAAGACCACTGCCAGGTAAACCTAATTAACTGGCAAAACTTTTGAAAAATTGCAATGGAAAGGAATAGCAATTTGCAGCATAAATGAGTGGAATTCTTATTTGTTATTAATTTCAGGGATCAAGATCTTGAACCTGGTGCTCCATCCATGGGAGCTAAAAGCCTTTGCATCCCCTTCAAACCACTCTGTGAACTGCAGCCTGGAGCCAAATGTGTCTGTGGCAAGAACCCTGCCAAGTACTACACCTTATTTGGTCGCAGCTACTGAGGGATGAACGAAAGCCCCCTCTTCAACTCCTCTCACTTTTTAAAGCATTGATATTAGTATCTTCTCAGATACAGACCGTTTTATGATTTTTTAAAAAGTAAAAGTTCTAAAATGAAGTCACACAGGACAATTATTCTTATGCCTAAGTTAACAGTGGATAAAAGACTTTTCTGTAAACAACTCCAGTAATAAATATCATGAACTAATATGGTTTTTGTATTCATTTGTTTCTGAAAAATGTGCATTATGTACTATGAGGAAATTTCTACAAAGAGATGAAGACAATTGAAAGCCAGATATCTGTTATTGATCTAAGCACTCCCAACATGTCTCAGACCCTGAACCGCCAGTTATACCCTACACTGATAGGTCTCGAAGCACTTTCTTTCCATAGCTCCTAATACAGAATCTGAAATTGTCCTAAATCTTTCTGTTTAAAAAACAAAGCAAACCCACAAATGGAAAAAGCAACAATAATAAAGATTTCCCTTGAACTTCTGTCTTTCTCTAGTTAGTATCAGGTCTTTGAAATAAGGGTTACAGTTTCTGTCTGAAAGAGTGATAAGCCCTCCTCCCTTCTTTAAACTTTCTACTTTTCCTCACCCTTCTGCCCCTACCATAGCACTGTTTTCACTGAGATCATGAAGGGTACTCCTGAGCAAAGCTCATGTTGACTTCTTAGTTTCATGTCTTACCATATCACTCCGGTGCATTTGATACTTTTTAAAAAAAATTATTCCTATGACCTGCCCTCCTACATCTCTGACCCTTTTTAGTTCCATGTCTTTCACTGACTTTTCTTCCTGGGTATGCGTCTTTGACATTGGTTTACTAAACTTCCATATTTGGCCGTCTTCTCATGCCTAATCAGCCTCATCTAATCCCACAGTTTCAAATAGCATTAATAGGCTAATGACTCCAATATTTTTATCTGTATGTCTGAGTTCTAGATCTTTTCCAACTGCATACTCAATTCTCTTGAGTGTCCCATCAGCCATTCAGGTCAACATGTCCCAAAAAGCTCATTTCACTCTTTACCGCCAGACCTCCTCCTATAGTATTTCCTGCCCAGAAGATTAGCATTGCCAAAACGTTCGTCATAACCCAAACCAGAAAACTGAGAGCCCCCCTGGGCTGTCCCTCCAGCACCATCATCCATATTCACTCGGCCAGCAAAACATGTTGCTAGTACCTCTAATTCCTCTTGGGTATTCCCTTTCAAAAACCTGTGGATTGCCTGCAGGCCTTGGTACCTCTTGTGCTGATTACTGCAATGGACTCCAGTCATCTCCAGTCCAGTCCACGTTTTCACAGTGTTGTTTTTCTTTTTCCTAACAGTTTATTAAGAATTTTTTCTTCCCCTTAACATCCCTTTGTAGTTCACCATCACTTAAAAGATAAAATTTAAACTAGCCCATCTAGTTTCCTTTTCAATCCAGCAAAGTCCTTTGCAACCTAACCATTTGGGGTTTCCTGGAAACAACGTGGCTATTTCCTGCCTGTGCCCTTTGCTGGGAAAATGCCTTTCCTCCCTCATTTCTAGTCCACTTGGTCAATCTTTTACCAATATTTCCAGTCCACTTGGTAAATCTCTTCCAAAATGCTTTTACACTTGGTAGTGATAAATACACCAGTAAAGGAAAATGCATCAGAAAGGACTTGCATTTAAAAAAAAAAAAAAAAAAAAAAGGACTTGCATTTTGAGCTGTGCTTTGAAGGATGAGTACAATTTCAATAGGTAGAGGAAGGAGGAAGGACATTCCAGGTAGAGGGAACAAGAGATGGAAAAGAACAAAAGCACACACTGTATGAGAAAGCAAGAACTGTTCTTAACATTGGTAGGAAATTGTCAGTTGAAAGCAGACTAAATAGAGCATGCTTTCAAGACTCACGTCTTGAATATGTGCATTCATATACCTGTTAGTGAAATTGATTTCAATGGACTGAAATATATATAGTCACATTTTTATACTCAGAATCATAATTTTGTATTCATTTATGGCAGTTCAGAATGCTTTGCCTTCTAAGTGTCTACATAAACTGCCTAAGTTCAGTTATAAAATGGAGAAAAGTCTAACAGCTATCTCAGTTACTCTACCTCATAGAGGAAGGCAGTTAAAACAATGCCCAGCACATAATAAATAGCTGTTGTTGGTTATGACCATTATGTAGGGTCAACTGGAAGTTGCTTCTAATATATAATCCTAGTTATAGTAGTTACTTTAGCTGCTAATTGTTTTTCTGCAAACCAACATAAATGCTTTTAGGGGACAAGGCTTTTTTTTTTTAACCAGTCCACGATAAAAGCCCAAAAAGTACATTAGAGATTATTCACATTTTTCCCTGTAGCCACTGGCCATTTTGGAGGAGGTGGCCATCTCTGGTGCAAAGAGAAATCCTTAATATTACGTTTTGAAACTTCAGATGAGTAGCACTAACGACAGAAAAGCTTGAAGTTTGCTGCTTTAAAGGAAGTCACTATTTAAAGAAACTCTACATTAAGTACTTTTGTTAAGCAGGGAATCCTTTACTCAAAATGTACCTCTGGCACATTGGCCTTTTTTCATAAGTTGAGGTTCAGCTAAAGTATCAAAATATTTTCTTGAGTGTGCGCTTTTCAAAAGAGTACATGAACCTGAATGAAATGAACACGATTTTATTTACAGGTGACAGCTGTAAACTAGATGTATGACTGACAGTTTGTGATTATGTGCTTCATGTTTATTGTAGCCAAAAGAAAGCAGGTCAAGGCATATTTACTACTACTCCGTTCACTGGGGCCCGTGTACTACAATACATCTTAGCAATTTCTAGTTCATCCATGAGAGTGTGTTTTTCATTATGCCAGTAAATCACATGAATCCTTAATGAGAATTGGACAATAACGGTTGGCTTGCCAGTGAAGAGGATTTAAGTCTTGATAATAGCAGCATCAGAACATTCATCAAGCAAGCAAGGAGGAAGGCATTTTGACCGGAGAGTGGAGAGATCACCCTATTTACGTCTGACTCTAGTTATTAATATTAGTTATCTGCCATATAACTGTGGTGTTCAGGGGTTGCCAGTACCATCAAAAAGTTGGGGGAAGTAGCTACCACTACCCTGTTATTTTCAAACATAACTTTGGTCCTTTGCTTGTCACTTTTACTATGTCTAGAAAGTGCTAGCCATTTAACAAATTTGAGTGCCTGCTCTGTGCACAGCGCCAGAGGATACACTAGTGAGTAAAGCAAAACATGATTTTTCTTTTTCTTGGCTGTATGTCCTTGCAGTAGTTCTGTTTGAGATGCCAAATTAGGCAATCACTCAGTGGTGGAAAGTGAGATGGGGCACTGAAATTGGGTTGAGTGTTGTCAGTAAGAGGCCATAGTCTGAGTGACCCTGACTAAGAGGGTCTTATCTAATCATGAGATTATCCCTGTCACCAGTGGCAACACACTGAGAACTTTGTAGTTGAGATAATGCCTGGAAAATCACTCTGCCACACCATCAGGCTTCAAATAACAGGTAGAACCATATTCATCTTGTGGTCAGTAGGCAATTTTAAACCAATGTCTTTGTTCAATTTTACTGGAAAATGTATGAGTTTGGAACATCAAAAGTACTGAAATGATATAAAATATTTTATTAATATTTAAAAAGCATCATGTAATAAGGATATTTCAAAATACATTTGAAGTATGTCACCAAAACCAAATTTTGTGATGAAATATCTGTTGATGAGGAGGTTGAGGGATACAAGAGCTGGTGATGATGATAATATCAGTATTACTTTATATGTGGGTAAATATGTAATTGTACCATATTTCCTTCATTCATTCTCTCACTCTTCTAGACAATTATTTCATACCCTTCTCTCCTCAAATACGAATGCTTCCTTTTTTTGACTTTCAGTTGATCATCTTGATTTCTCTTTCACTGAGATGACAGAGGCAATAAAGATAGAACGTTTGGGACCTCCCACCACATCTACCCACCTACTCATGTCCATGCATTTCACTTTCTCTGCTGTTTCAGGTGAACTGTCTGTTCTCAGAGTGGATGCCAACCCCTCCACGTGTGCACTAAATCTCATCCCCTCTTGCCTTCTCAGTCGTGGCACATCAGCAATTCTCCCCTATGTATCATCAGGTTTTCTTTCTCTCCTGGTTCTTTCCATCAGCTTACAAACATGCTGTTATTTTTCCCAACCTAAAAATACCCTTTCTTGACTCCACATCCCTTTCGGTGTAGAGCAAAACTCATTGAAAGGATTATCCACACTTGCCAGCTCCAATTTCTCTTCTCCATTCTCTTGAGCCCCTGTCTCATTTACCCTCAGCACTTCCCTGAAACCACTCTTGTGAAGATCACCCATGGCCTCCATAAGGTGCAATCCCATCGGCATTTCCAGCCCTCATTTTGCTTGCCCTCGTAGCACTTGACTCAGCTGATTCTCCCTCCTCTTTGAAACACATTCTTCCTTGGCCTTCAAAACACTATACTCTTCTATTTTTCCTTTTATCTCTCTAGTCCTTCCTTCTCACCTCTTCATATTTTCTTCTCTTCATATTTTCTTGGTGGCCTCATCCAGTCTCATGGCTTTTAATGTTATAAATTATCAACTCTTGAGTTCACCCTCCCCTGAACTCCAGGGTCATTCAACTCCCAACTAGCTTCCAACTTGGATATCTAATAAATACCCCAAACTTAACATCATTTCCACCCCTCGCCCCATGCTGCTCCTACAACAGTCAACTTCGTCTTACCTTCATCTCAGTTGCAATATCACTCTTCCAGGTCAAAACTCTAGTGCCATCTTTGTTTTTGTTGTTGTTTTGGAGACAGAGTCTTACTCCGTTGCCGCCAGGCTGGAGTGCAGTGGTGTGATCTCGGCTCACTGCAACCTCCATCTTCCGAATTCAATTGATTCTTGTGCCTCAGCCTCCCGAGTAGCTGGGACTACAGGGGTACAACCATGCCCGGCTAATTTTTCCATTTTTTGTAGAGATAGGGGTTTCACCATGTTGCCCAGGCTGGTCTCGAACTCCTGGGTTCAAGTGATCCATCCACCTCGACCTCCCAAAGTGCTGAGATTACAGGCATGAGCTACCGTGCCCAGCCCCTAGTGCTGTCTTGACTATTGCCTCTCTCCTACCTTACGTTTAATTACTCAGCACATGCTGTTGACTTTAATTTCAAAATCTCCTGGATACCAGCCAGCTTCAGGTGTGTGCGACCTGAGCAGTTGCACCGGGCTCTGTGCTTGGTTTAGTGCTCTGCTGTTGCTGTCTTGAAATTATTAATAATTTAAAAAAACTGGAGTGTGGTAAAATACATATAACATAACATTTACTATCGTAACCATTTTTAAGTGTACAGTTCAGTAGTGTTAAGTATATCCACATAGTTGTGCACCCAGTCTCATCTTTTTTTATCCTTGCAAAACCAAAACTCTGTAGCCACTAAACAACTGCCCCATGTCACCTTCCCTTCAGCCCCTGGCAACCATCATTCTCCCTTCCATTTTTGTGAATTTGAACTTGACTGTAGATACCTCATATAAGTGGGCTCATACAACATTCATCTTTTTGTGGCTGGTTTATTCCACCTAGCAAACGTCCTCAAGGTTTATCTATGTTTTAGCATGTATTGGAATTTTCTTCCTTTTAAGGTGGAATAATATGTGCTTGTATGTATGTAGACCCCATTAAAAAAATTCATCTGTTGATGGACACTTGGATTGCTTCTGCTTTTTGGCTATTGTGAATGATGCTATGAACATGGGGTGTACATACCTCTTCAGGGCCCTGCTGTCAAATCTTTTCAAGTTTCTATACCCAGAAGTGGAATTGCTGGATCATATGGCAATTCTATTTTTAAGTTTTAAAGAATTGCTATATTGTTTTCCATAGTGGTTGCACCATTTTATTTATTATTTATTTATTTATTTTAAGAGAAACCACTCAGACTGCATGCATCCTCTCCCTCTTACTCTCTCAGAGGAAGAGAAGAACAATCATCAATGGCAAATAGCAGTTGCAGTGAAGCAATGCCAAGAACCAACTTCACGCTCAGGAGAGAATACTGAACCTCCTCCTTGTGGATTCCAGGGCTGCGCCATTTAAAAACTCTTCTTCTTCCTTTTCTTTGCGGGGTGGGGGGATAAAGTCTTTCTCTGTCACCCAGGCTGGAGTTTACTGGCACAATCATAGCTCACTGCAGCCTCAAACTTTTGGGCTCAAGCAATCCTCCCATCTACTTGTCTCCCAAGTAACTGGGACAACAGGGAGTGTGCCACCATGCCTGGCTAATTTAAAAAATTTTTTTGTAGATGCAGACTCTTGCTATGTTGCCCAGGCTGATCTTGAATTCTGGGCCTCAAGCAATCTTCCCACTTTGGCCTCCCAAAATGTTGGGGTTACAGATGCACACCATCACGCCTGGCTTAAAAATTCTTGATAATTGGCTGGGCATGGTGGCTTACACCTGTAGTCGCAGCACTTTGAGAGGCCAAGGCAGGCAGATCACTTGAGGCCAGGAGTTCCAGACCAGCCTGGGCAACATGGTGGAACCCTGTGTCTGCTAAAAATACAAAAATTAGCTGGGCATGGTGGCTCATGCCTGGAGTCCCAGCTACTTGGCAGGCTGAGGCACAAGAATCACTTGAAACCAGGAGGTAGAGGTTGCAGTGAGCAGAGATCATTCCACTGCACTCCAGACGGGGCGATAGAGCATGACTATCTCAAAAAAATAAAACATTCTTGATAATTTTTGAACAATGGAACCTGCTTTTCCATTTTGCAGTAGAACCCATGAATTATGTAGCCAGTCCTGCCTGGGTGTTTCCACTTTACACCTAGTCTAAACCACAATCTCATCTAGATTATTGCAGTAGCCTCCTAACTGGTCTCTCTGCTTTCATGTGATCTCAAACACATACAGCGATTCCTTTAAAACATATACAGGACCTCCTCATTCTTCTGCTCAGTATTCTCCCATCTCCAGGCCCCACATGATCTGCCCCTGCTCCACACTTCTCTGGCTTTGTCTCCTCTTTCTCATCCTCGCCATTACTCCTCTCCAGCCCTGCTGACCTCTTTGGTGTCCCTTGAATTCCCATGCGCATTGTTCCTTCTGCCCAGAAAGATCTTCCTTCAGATGTCTGTGTGGTTTAGTTTCTTACCTCCTTCAGATCTTTATTCGAAGAACATTTTAGTAAATTCTTCCCTGATCATTTTATTTAAAATTTAAAATTTAAATTTATTTAAAATTTATTTAAAATTCTTCCCTGACCATTTTCTTTAAAATTACAATCCATCCCTATCTCTTTCCCCTGCTTTATGTGTCATCATACTTATCACCATTTAATATTCAATACATTTCATAATTTATTTTGTTAATCATTTATCTCCTCCCATCAATCACTAGAATACAAGCTTCATAAGGGCAGAGATTTTTGCCTGTTTTGTTGGCTGCTGTCTCTCTGGAGCCTAGAACTCTGTCCAGCATGTCGGCACTCAGTAAGTATTTGTGGCATGAATGGATGAAAGAGCTAGTCTTAGAGCAATAATTTTCACAATATGGTTGTATTGGAAGTCTGTCAGAATATTAACTGAATTGGAGATAATTTATGAGATACTATGGAAGCTGTTAGGGCTACTGTCTAAATTATCAGGTTTTAGTCAAAGTCAGACTATTAGCCAGTGTTCTCCAGAGAAACAGAACCAATGAGAATGTGTATGCATGGTACACAGATAGTTTTTTATATATATATATATTTATATATTATATATATTTATATATATTTATATATATATTTATATATATTTATATATATATTTATATATATTTATATATATATTTATATGTATTTATATATATATTTATATATATTTATATATATATTTACATATATATTTATATATATTTATATATTAATATATATATTTATATATTAATATATATTAATATATATATTAATATATATTAATATAGATTTATATATTAATATATATTAATATAGATTTATATATTAATATATATATTTATATATATTTATATATATTTATATATATTTATATATATTTATATATATATTTATATATATATTTATATATTTATATATATTTATATATATTATATATTTCTATATATATTTATATATATTTATATATATTTCTATATTTATATATATTTATATATATTTCTATATATATTTCTATATATTTCTATATATATTTATATATATTTCTATATATATTTCTATATATATTTATATATATTTATATATATTTATATATTTATATATATTTATTTACATATTTATATATATATTTATATATTTATATATATTTATATATTTATTTATATATATTTATATATATTTATATATATTTATATATATTTATATATATATTTATATATATTTATATATATATTTATATATTCATATATATTTATATATATTTATATATTCATATATATTTATATATTTATATATTTATATATATTTATATATATATTTATATATATTTATATATATGTTTATATATATTTATATATATGTTTATATATATATATAAAGAAATGTATTATAAAGAATTATTTCACATGATTAAAAGACTAAGAAGTCCCAAGATTGATGGTGAATCAGTAGGCAAGAGACCCAGGAGAGCCGATGGTGTAGCCCAAATCAAAGACCCACACGCTCAAGACCCAGGAAGAGTCCATGTTTCAGTTTGAGTCTGAAGGCAGGAAAAAACAAACGTCCCAGGCTGAAGGCAGTCAGGCAGGAAGAGCTACCTCTTATTCAGCATTTTTGTTCTCCTCAGGCTTCAACTGATTGGAGGAGGCCCACCCACATTAGTGAGGGCAATCTCCTTCATTCACTCTGCTGATCCAACTGTTAATTTCATCCAGAAACACACTCACAGACAAAGCCAGAAAGTCTTGCATGTCATTGACCAAATGACCAGTCAAGTTGACATACAAAATTAACATCACATCTGGGAGAAATAGAGATTGTAATATCACTCTGTGTTTCTTTAAAATATTGACAGTAGTCAGGCTGCTCACAATAGAGGCCACTGCTGTTTCAGTCATTTTGGAACTGATAGGCCTTTAAGGGCTATGAGTGTTTGACAGATAACATTTTTTAAAAATAAAAACAAAAACTTCCTTGCATCAGTGAAATCATTATTACCTGTCTGTCTTCCTGGAAACTAACTGGAATTATGTCTTCAGCTCTTCCAGTTTAAAGATTTCCTGAATATGAGGAATATTTCTTTTGTCTTATAGAGAATGTTTGGAAGTAGGGTGACCCCTCGAATATTCCCTACTTCACACAGTAAATGACATTCAGAACTGCACACCAGGTGGACAAGATGTAATTGCTTATGTCAAATGACTTGCTTCACCTGAGCTGTTTCTGCACACACGGAGCATGGAAGCTGGAAAGGCCACCGCCACTGATGAGCTTCTACATGACTCAAGGACACAGAAGCTCTTGACGTCTGTAATTAAACACACACATGCACAAACAAAACAGTCTCTCAAGTCCATATCTGAAGCCAGTGTCTTGTATTTCCATAAATCCTGGCTCATGTGACATCTCTTGCTTAATTGCCCTTTAAACTGTTTTATGGCTTTATAGCAACCTATAAAAGGTGATTTCCAAATATGACAAGCGCCGGAGGGCTGAAGGGAAGAGTTACCCAGGAGTTGTAATCACTGAATCTATAGCTGCTTCCCTAGCAGCTCAGCCTTCCCAAGAAAGGGAGAGGAACTGCCAGGGCACCGAGACGCCATGGGGCGATACTCCGGAAGAAGCTTCCGTTTAATCCTCATGTGCGTCGTTAGCATCCTCCTCTTTGTGATGGAACTAGTGATCGCTTACGTTGGCAACTCCCTCTCCTTGGCCTCCGATGCTTTTGCCGTCCTTTCCCACTTTGTGTCCATGATCATAGGTTTTTTTGGTGTAAGGGCCAGTAACATAAAACAGCACAAGAAGAGCACTTACGGCTTTCTTCGGGCAGATGTTGTGGGAGCATTTGGGAACACCATTTTTGCGGTGGCGCTGATGTTCAGCATCCTGGTTGAAGCCATCAAAAGGTACATCAATCCCCAGAAGACAGAGGAGCCGATACTGGTTCTCAGTGCTGGAATTATCGGTCTGTTCTTCAATGTTCTTAACTATGTCATCTTCTTGGACTGCTGTTACTGCGCAGCACCCAAGCCCCAGGGAGACATGGAAGCAGGTAAATAGCTACTCAGAGGGTGGCAGTAAATTTGGTGAGAGTCCTGGCAGGTGCTGTCTGAGGGGGCCTTTGTGGTGCTATCCAAAGGGGCCCGAGTCTTTGGGTCAGCCTTTTGTCCCTGTGATTTTACAATCGACCTTTCTCAGAAGAGTTGCCTTTAGTTTGAGGTTCCTTGTGAGTAGGGTAGCAGCAGTTTGCTTCAATGTTGGGAGGACTTCTCGAATTTTTACTCACAGGGAATGAAAAAGTGTCTTCAGGCACGCAGAGAGGAAGTAAAGGCACTAATCGTAGCCACAGAGAGAGCGATTGGAAAGACGGTGGATGTGGCAGTCTTCTTTAAGTGATTCACTGTTGTTTACCCATATGTGACATGGCTATGTTTGAATTTAAAAAAAAGTTAATGTCTCCATAAAATATGTTTAAAAGTACTGGGCTACATAACCAACTTACAAAGAGCACAGTATCAGACAATCAGGTACGCTGATTAACTGTTAGGAATATATTTGAGGAATGGTATGTAAAATGGCGAGAGAAAAAATAAAGAAGATAGTCCAGTAAATGGGCTAGTTTTTGAAAGGAAAATTTGCACTTATTTATTGCATACGTCTGTTCTGTTTGAGAAACAGGACAATTTACATGTGAATCTTTAGGAGAGACTTAAGTGTGAGTACCAAACTTATTAGATTATCTGTCAAAAGAATGGAATTAAATCTTGGAAGAGAACAATATATCTATAAGATGCTTTTTTTTTAAGATGGAATCATGTTTCTTTAATTTATTGCCACAAGAGGTGTTTGTAAGTATATATGTATCAGAAAGTTCTTACAGAAGAGAAATTTTTAGTGCTTTTATAAAAGAAGTCATATAGCATGAATAGATTCAAATTATGGTTCCAGCACAGGGCAATAGTCAACTTACTTCACCTAGCATGTTTCTCTACCTGTAATATGGAGTTAATAAGGACTGAGAGAAATGCTAAGTAACTTATTTAGTATTTAGTAGGCACTTGATAAATATAAATTATTTTCGAAATCACAATGCAAGCCTTTAAACTACATGGCAATCCGGTATTTAATTCTAATAGCTCATATGAATTTTTAAAAATTTCAAATATTTCCTTATTTGATGCTGAAGAGTTTTCTCTCAGTAGCTGGGCCATTATATAACTGAGTATGGGGACCTCAGAGGCTAAGTTGCATTTTTTATTTGATTCCCTGTCTTTGCTACTATGATAAATTACGTCAGTTGGAGCCGGTCCTTTATCCTACCTCTGTGTCGATTTTCCTGTTGGTAGAACATATGTTATGAGAGTATCTGTAGGATGTGGTAAACATAAAAATAAATTAGAAACTAGAGTCTAGATTTTTATTTGAGTTAATGAATCACTGAATTTGGGCCTCATCTTTTGTAAAGGAAAATTCATTGTTAACTTGAGACCCTATGCTATGGCTACACCAATCATCGTGAAAATTACTACTAGAGCTTCCAGATCATGAAATTCACATATTTCATATAAGACAAATATATATTTTTTATTGCTAGGTATAAATTTAAGGCAAGAGAGATGATTTCAAATGATTAGTGTTGACATTACCATTATATTTTTGATTGTCACATAACAGTTCTGATTTTGCCTTCATTCTTGACATACAACATTTACCTGCACATAACAAAAGCAATTTAGGTAAACGGTCTGACTCTGACCAGTATGAAACTTGGTACACACCATAGTTCTATTTTTATAAAATTGAATTATTACTGGATAGGTCTTAGTTAAGCTTTTGTTTGGGAAGTGGTATTTTCCAATGTGTATGTTCATGCTGAGATAACAAGAGGCTTAAGACAAATGTTTCACTCCAACCATATGGGTTTCTTTTTTTTCTTTTCTTCTTTTTTTTTTTTTTAATTTTTATTTTTAGTAGAGACAGGGTTTCGCCATGTTGGCCAGGCTGGTCTCGAACTCTTGAGCTCAAGTGATCCACCTGCTTGGCCTCCCAAAGCACTGGGATTATAGGTGTGTGCCCCAGTGTCTGGTCCAGCCATATGGGTTTCTGCTGGCTTAATTCTAGAGTATCTAGCTTGTTTTGAAGTATTTGATGCTATATAGTGTTCTAGTTTAAATAAGTGATAGGTACAATACACGTGTGACTCACGCTTTAAGATCCATGTTCTATGTTACCATTATTATTTTGGCAGCTTTTGGTGTTGTTAAATTCTTCTATTAGAAATTTTAGGCTGTGTACAGCAGCTCATGCCTGTAATCCTAGACTTGAGGAGACTGAGGCAGGAGGATCACTTGAGCCCAGAAGTTTGAGGCTGCAGTGAGCTATGATCACACCACTGCACTTCAGCCAGGGTGACAGAGTGAGACCCTGTCACTAAAAAAGAAGAAAAAAGAAAAAGAAAAGAAATTTTAGTGTTTAAACTTGCCAAATTCCTTTAGGACAGCTGTTTGGCTTGTTAGCATTTATGTCTGCAGTTATGTATCACCTTTTCTGAACCATACATTTTGGTATTCTTCCCATCATCTAAATTGGTTTAAAGAAAAGAATAAATATTGCATCAGACGAACGTCATAAATTGACATTAACCTGATATCAATTGGCTCACATTTTAAGAACAAATATGATTAATCCATCCATATTTATAAAAGGAGTTATAAACTATGAGAGGGAAAGACTCTTGATTTCAAAAGATTCAACCTAAACTTAGGATAAAGAATTTCTGTAAGTCTAGAACCCTAGCTTATAGCACATGGCAGTGCCTATAAAACAACTCCTGGTACCGCCTGGCTTCATGATCAGAATCCAGTAATGTATCACTTCTTTTGTGGAATCTCTAACTAGAGATTTTGCTTAACAAGCCTTCAGTCTCCCCCAGGTTTTGTGGATCTTTTACTTGTTCTGCTTATCTATCTGGTGTAGAAATTGAATTCATAATATTTGATGTTTGAGATCATGGAAAGTAAAAAAAATCAAGACCACTAACTTTAAATTAAATATAATAGAACAAACTATATATAGGTAAGACTTTAAATATCCCTGGGATTCATGAAAAAAGTTATACTGGAGAATCAGACATACAGAACCAGAAAATTTTTAAAACCTGCGAGAAAAGAATGTCTGGAAGATTTAGCTGAGATGAGAAAACTTGGAAGTCTTAGATCCAGATCTAGCCGGTGGGAGGTCACCCCTGACTCTAAAAGGTGTGAGGAAGTTCAGGTGATGGTAGAGCCAGTATTTTTGGCTAAAGTGAGAGGCAAAGTGAAAAAAGTAAAAAATACGAGCATTAAGTAAAAGACAAACAAACAAAATAGGGTTAAAGTCCACAATGGTCGATGGCTTTGTGTGTGCATGTGTTTCGGGGAAGGGAGTAGGGGAAAGGTTGAAGGGGTGGAAACAACATGTAGGTCCAGATCGCAGGAGATACTTGTCACGAGCCAGTTTCTTTCTCTAGGCTTAGGGACTCCTTTTGTTAACGTTTATACGTTTTCCTATTCCTTGCTTACTTTATTTGATTTTCCTTGATTTTCTTGTTATCTTTCATGTTTAAGTCTTATTTTTAGTTATTTTTTCAGACCTGAAGTTTCTTTAGAATCAAGCTACTAAAACCCTCCATGCCCTTGCCTTGTACTGTACGAATAACCTTGCTGTACAGTGGCCTTTATTTTAACCTAAAGGTGACCTTGTACAGCTCACTTTTCTAGTAGGATGGCTTCTGCTCTATTTTGCGTCTTTTTCTGTCTGGGATAGACGGGGCCTGCCATTTATATCATGTACAAATGATACATTTATATCAGAAATATCTGTTAATTATTTTAAAGTATTTTTTTCTTAAAAAAATGCCTTTCCTTTGAATTTAAGTTTTTTTTTTTTTTTTTTTTTTTTGAGATGGAGTCTCACTCTGTTGCCCAGGCTAGAGTGCAGTGGTATGATCTTTGGCTCACTGCAACCTCTGCCTCCTCGGTTCAAGCAATTCTCGTGCCTCGGCCTCCCAAGTAACTGGGATTACAGGCGTGCGCCACTATGCCCAGCTAATTTTTGTATTTTTAGTAGAAATGGGGTGTCACCATGTTGGCCAGGCTGGTCTTGAACTCCTGGCCTCAAGTGATCCACCCGCCTCAGCCTCCCAAAGTGCTGGGATTACAGGTGTGAACCACTGTGCCCGGCTAAGTTTTGTTTTGATTCCAAATTGTGCTTGCTTTCTCTCTCTCTCCTTCTGTTTCTCATAATCACGGTTCTGGCATTATGTTTCTCCAACCAACTCGCTAGAGGCAGTGACAGCACAGCATCCAGCAAAGTGTATTGTTGCAGAAGGTTTTAACACACTGCTGATTAGTTGCTCATGCAAGCTTCTAGTTAAGACTCAGTACTATAGCCTGACATGGGCTTTTCACGTGGACAGTCCTGTAGCCGCTGAAACAAGTCAGGTTTCCTTTTGTCATAGAGGAAATTTTATTCAGTGACAAGCAGAGTAGGCAAGGCCAAGAATTTTAGGAGAGGCAAAGGGGAATTTGCTGTCTCTCTACCAGTAGCAAATACTATGGAGTAAATAAAATTTGAGGCCGGGCGCGGTGGCTCACGCCTGTAATCCCAGCACTTTGGGAGGCTGAGGCGGGCAGATCATGAGGTCAGGAGATCGAGACCATCCTGCCTAACACGGTGAAACCCCATCTCTACTAAATATACAAAAAATTAGCCGGGCGTGGTGGCAGGCGCCTGTAGTCCCAGCTACTCGGGAGGCTGAGGCAAGAGAATGGTGTGAACCCAGGAGGTGGAGCTTGCAGTGAGCCGAGATCGGGCCACTGCACTCCAGCCTGGGCAACAGAGCAAGACTCAGTCTCAAAAATAAAATAAAATAAAATAAAATAAAATAAAATAAAATAAAATAAAATAAAATAAAATTTGAGAAGCTGCATAATTGAAGGTAGCTTTTCTTTCTTTCTTTTCTTTTTCTTTTTTTTTTGAGACGGAGTCTCACTCTGTCACCCAGTCTGGAGTGCAGTGGCACAGTCTCGGGCTCACGATAACCTCTGCCTCCCTGGTCCAAGCAATTCTCCTGCTCCTGCCTCAGCCTCCCGAGTAGGTGGGATTACAGGCTTGTGCCACCACACCCGGCTAATTTTTTGTATTTTTAGTAGAGACGGAGTTTCACCGTGTTAGCCAGGATGGTCTCGATCTCCTGACCTCATGATCTGCCCGCCTCGGCCTCCCAAAGTGCTGGGATTACAGGCATGAGCCACCGTGCCCGGCCTGAAGGTGGCTTTTCAAACTAGAAAAGGGAAGGTTTTCTAGGCATAGGTTACCTGAGTTCCCTTTCTAGATCGGAGGCAGAATGGTAATGATTGGGAATTTGTGATAATTATTAAATAATTTAAAGAAACATGATGCTTAATTCCCACCAGCTTTACTTTGCATTTTGTCTATATCTGACAGTAACCATTGTTTTCCAAGCACTGTCACAGCTGTTGATCAATTAACTTCCACATGAGGATTCGGTGATAAGAATGCACACACCACAGATCACAGTATCTGTCCCATGGTAGAGACCTAATAAATTCCCTCACAGCTCTTTTGCTACGTTCCTGACAGCTTACCTAACCTCTTACTTCTCTTGTTGTCCCGTGAAGGGGTCTGGATTAGTTACGGGGAGTAAATAAGAAAGATTAAAGGAAGATAGAAAAATAGGTGCTATTTCACATTTGTGAAACCAAATTCAACTGAAGAAAAAAGAAGTTAAAGAGACCATCTCTTTGTTCTTAGTAATTTTTTTTTCCAATGTGCAGAGGCTGCTATGACTGATATCAGGTAAATTTTAATGAAAAATGAGTTTATATTGACATCTGTGCATTGTCAGTCTTTGTCAGAGTATAGAGAGAATAATTAACAGCATCATATCACATACATTTGAAGAACTGTACAAAATAATTAGCTAGAGAGAATACTTGCTATTTATTTCCATTGTTTAGACAAGGAAAACAGGTTCAGACAAATTCCACAATCATACAGCTAGTTAATAGTAGGGTACAAAGAAATTAAAACTTTGAGTCCAGGCCCTTAATTAAAGACTCTACTCTACTTGGCTCCCCTCAGAGAGGAAAACAGTTATGGACTGTGGAAAGTTATTTGGCAATAATCACAAAAGGGCATATTAAAATGTGCAAATGAACATACCATAAGTTGAATCCTAATTCCAGTAGCTAGATGACCTCCAAAAAGTCACTTAAACTTTCTAAACCTCAGTTTCTTCATCTGTAAATCTGGTAATATCTGTCTCTTAGAGATGTTGCAAGAATGAAATTATATTATTTGTGTAAAGTACTCAACACAGTACTTGGAATACACTGAACACTCAATAAATGGTAACATTGGTGGTGGTGGTGGTGGCTGGTAGTGATTGTCCAAGGGCTGAAGGGAAGAGGAACTAATGAAATATTAGTAAGATCCCTTGGCAGACAAGGTCTCTGCTCTATTTCACATCCACAAACTGGCAGGCCACCTTATCCTTGCCAAGACTCTTATTATTGTTAATCATATATATGGTTACAGCAGATCCATCACTATTTCTACAAACCGTACAAAACATGTGTTGTTTTGATGATGGGTTAGTGGCATCTCTTGTGGGATGAACCAGAAGGAGCATAGACCAGTAACAAAAATATATATTTCAGCTGGGCACAATGTTCATGCCTGTAATCCCAGCACTTTGGGAGGCCAAGACAGGAGGATAGCTTGGACCCAGGAGTTTGAGGTTGCAAAGAGCTATGATAGCATGCCATTACACTCCAACCTGGGTGACAGACCAAGTCCCTGTTTCTTTCCTTTTCTTTTCTTTTCTTTTTTTTTTTGAGATGGAGTCTCACTCTGTCGTCCAGGCTGGAGTGCAGTGGCGCGATCTTGGCTCACTGCAAGCTCCGCCTCCTGGGTTCACGCCATTCTCCTGCCTCAGCCTCCCGAGTAGCTGGGACTACAGGCACCCGCCACCACACCCGGCTAATTTTTTGTATTTTTAGTAGAGACGGGGTTTCACCATGTTAGCCAGGATGGTCTCGATCTCCTGACCTCGTGATCCACACGCCTCGGCCTCCCAAAGTGCTGGGATTACAGGCGTGAGCCACCGCGCCCGGCCCCCAAGTCCCTGTTTCTAAAAGTAAATAAATAACTACACAATAAATTAACTTAAAAAAAGAAAAATACATGTTCTGGAACGTCCTCCCTCATCCACTGGTTCTGACACTGGAAAAGATACTTAAGCACTTTGAGCCTCATCTTAGGTATCATTACACCTATTTTAAAGAATCACTCTACAGCCAGGGGCGGTGGCTCACACCTGTAATCCCAGCACTTTGGGAGGCTGAAGTGGGTGGATTGCTTGAGCCCAGGAGTTTGAGACCAGCCTCGGCAACATAGCGAGGACTCACCTCTACAAAAATAAGAAAAATTAGCCAGATGTGGTGGTGCGTGCCTATAGTTCCAGCTACTTGGGAAGCTGAGGTGGGAGGATCACCTGAGCCTGAGGACAGATGCACCTTCTTATCAAGGCTGCAGTGAGCCATAAGAATCTGTTTTTCTTTTGACAAATAACAACACCTTCATGGTGTGTTTTATTTATTTATTTTTGAGACGGAGTTTTGCTCTTGTCACCTAGGTTGGAGTGCAATGGCATGATCTCAGCTCACTGCAACCTCTACCTCCTAGGTTTAAACCATTCTCCTGCCTCAGCCTTCTGAGTAGCTGGGATTACAGGCGCCCGCCACCACGCCTGGCTAATTTTTGTGTTTTTTAGTAGAGATGGGGTTTCATGTTGGCTAGGCTGGTCTCAAACTCCTGACCTCAGGTGATCCACCTGTCTCGGCCTCCCAAAGTACCGGGATCATGGGCATGAGCCAACACGCCCAGCCTATGTGTTATTTATTTATTTATTTATTTTTAGACAGAGTCTTCCTCTGTTGCCCAGGCTGGAGTGCAGTGGCACGATCTTGGCTCACTGTAAACTCTGCCTCCCGGGTTCACACCATTCTCCTGCCTCAGCCTCCCCAGTAGCTGGGACTACAGGCACCCGCCACCATGCCTGGCTAATTTTTTGTATTTTTAGTAGAGATGGGGTTTCACTGTGTTAGCCAGGATGGTCTCGATCTCCTGACTTCGTGATCCACCCACCTCGGCCTCCCAAAGTGCTGGGATTACAGGCATGAGCCACCGCGCCCAGCCAGATTTTTAAGAAGGCTCTTGTAAATGTTAGCTTCCCCATCTTTCAGTGCTCAAGATGGCATTTTGTAGCAGGCCATTACTTGTACTTTTAAAACTACATATTTTAAACTGCTTTAATGGTAATGCAATGTCAATATGTAGCTCATTGAAATAATGCAAATGTGGCTCATATACTAGACTGTAATTTCCAAGATACAGATGAAGAAACTGAGGCATCAACCGTTTTATGGCTAACCCAAAGTTGATGTTAGAGCTGGACTTTGTATTACTGCACCTCTCTTCTGTCAACAGATAGTTTGCCTCTTGAATATTTTCCTGCAGTCCTGTCTAGTGAATAATGATACTCCCCATTTTCTTTGCTGAGAAGCTTGATTTTTCAGGAAGGTAGGGTGAAAGTAAGCTTATTATTTTGGTTTTCTTATTGGCTAGCTGTTTACAAGATGGAGACATTATATTTCTAATTTTTTGCCTCTTTCTTGTTCTTTTGATGGAGACAATAGTCATTGTGGCTTTTTGAAAACATTGTGTACAACTGTCTCTGATGATTATGAAATACACCAATTTTTCTTTTTTTATTTTTATTTTTATTTTATTTTATTTTATTATTATTATACTTTAAGTTTTAGGGTACATGTGCACAATGTGCAGGTTAGTTACATATGTATACATGTGTCGTGCTGGTGTGCTGCACCCATTAACTCGTCATCTAGCATTAGGTATATCTCCTAAAGCTATCCCTTCCCGCTCCCCCCAACAGTCCCCAGAATGTGATGTTCCCCTTCCTGTGTCCATGTATTCTCATTGTTCAATTCCCACCTATGAGTGAGAATATGCGGTGTTTGGTTTTTTGTTCTTGCGATAGTTTACTGAGAATGATGGTTTCCAATTTCATTCATGTCCCTACAAAGGACATGAACTCATCATTTTTTATGGCTGTATAGTATTCCATGGTGTACATGTGCCACATTTTCTTAATCCAGTCTATCATTGTTGGACATTTGGGTTGGTTCCAAGTCTTTGCTATTGTGAATAGTGCCGCAATAAACATACGTGTGCATGTGTCTTTATAGCAGCATGATTTATAGTCCTTTGGGTATATACCCAGTAATGGGATGGCTGGGTCAAATGGTATTTCTAGTTCTAGATCCCTGAGGAATCACCATGCTGACTTCCACAAGGGTTGAACTAGTTTACAGTCCCACCAACAGTGTAAAAGTGTTCCTATCTCCACATCCTCTCCAGCACCTGTTGTTTCCTGACTTTTTAATGATTGCCATTCTAACTGGTGTGAGATGGTATCTCATTGTGGTTTTGATTTGCATTTCTCTGATGGCCAGTGATGGTGAGCATTTTTTCATGTGTTTTTTGGCTGCATAAATGTCTTCTTTTGAGAAGTGTCTGTTCATGTCCTTCGCCCACTTTTTGATGGGGTTGTTTTTTTCTTGTAAATTTGTTAGAGTTTTTTGTAGATTCTGGATATTAGCCCTTTGTCACATGAGTAGGTTGCGAAAATTTTCTCCCATTTTGTAGGTTGCCTGTTCACTCTGATGGTAGTTTCTTTTGCGGTGCAGAAGCTCTTTAGTTTAATTAGATCCCATTTGTCAATTTTGGCTTTTGTTGCCATTGCTTTTGGTGTTTTAGACATGAAGTCCTTGCTCATGCCTATGTCCTTAATGGTAATGCATAGGTTTTCTTCTAGGGTTTTTGTGGTTTTAGGTCTAACGTTTAAGTCTTTAATCCATCTTGAATTAATTTTTGTATAAGGTGTAAGGAAGGGATCCAGTTTCAGCTTTCTACATATGGCTAGCCAGTTTTCCCAGCACCATTTATTAAATAGGGAATCTTTTCCCCATTGCTTGTTTTTCTCAGGTTTGTCAAAAATCAGATAGTTGTAGATACGTGGCATTATTTCTGAGGGCTCTGTTCTGTTCCATTGATCTATATCTCTGTTTTGGTACCAGTACCATGCTGTTTTGGTTACTGTAGCCTTGTAGTATAGTTTGAAGTCAGGTAATGTGATGCCTCCAGCTTTGTTCTTTTGGCTTAGGATTGACTTGGCGATGCGGGCTCTTTTTTGGTTCCATATGAACTTTAAAGTAGTTTTTTCCAATTCTGTGAAGAAAGTCATTGGTAGCTTGATGGGGATGGCATTGAATCTATAAATTACCTTGGGCAGTATGGCCATTTTCATGATATTGATTCTTCCTACCCATGAGCATGGAATGTTCTTCCATTTGTTTGTATCCTCTTTTATTTCATTGAGCAGTGGTTTGTAGTTCTCCTTGAAGAGATCCTTCACGTCCCTTGTAAGTTGGATTCCTAGGTATTTTATTCTCTTTGAAGCAATTGTGAATGGGAGTTCACTCATGATTTGGCTCTCTGTTTGTCTGTTATTGGTGTATAAGAATGCTTGTGATTTTTGTACATTGATTTTGTATCCTGAAACTTTGCTGAAGTTGCTTATCAGCTTAAGGAGATTTTGGGCTGAGACAATGGGGTTTTTATTTTTATTTATTTATTTTTGAGACGGAGTTTCTCTCTTATTGGTTGCCCAGGCTGGAGTGCAATGGTGTGATCTTGGCTCACTGCAACCTCTGCCCCCCGGGTTCAAGTGATTCTCCTGCCTTGGCCTCCCAAGTAGCTGGGATTACAGGCGTGATTACAGGTGTGAGCCACCACACCTGGCCTCATTGTTTTTTAATGAGAGGCAATAATATCTGGAGATTCCCTGTCCTTAGAATGTTTTCCATAGTCCATGTCCTGATATATACTGTCTGCACCTGAATAGGTGTCTTTAGAGAATTTTGAGGAGGTAATTTTTTTTTGAGACAGGATCTTGCTCTGTCACCCAGGCCAGAGTGCAGTGGCATGACCACAGCTCACAGCAGCCTCAACCTCCCAGGCTCAAGCGATCCTCCCATCTC
Organism: Homo sapiens; assembly: GCF_000001405.40. Classification (NCBI taxonomy): domain Eukaryota; kingdom Metazoa; phylum Chordata; class Mammalia; order Primates; family Hominidae; genus Homo; species Homo sapiens. The sequence continues at coordinate 219,947,433 of NC_000001.11, read as the reverse complement.
AGCCTCTTAAGTAGCCAAGACCACAGGTGCCTGCCAACCATACCCAACCATTATTTTTCATTTTTTTGTAGAGATGGGGGTCTTACCATGTTGCCCAAGCTGATCTCGAACTCCTGCCCTCAAGCAATCCTTCCACCTTGGCCTCGCAAAATCCTAGGATCACAGGCATGAGCCATTGCACCCTGAGGATGTAGTTTTTGATAAAGTATACCTATGCTCTTGTTCTTCATCTGCCATGAGATCTTTAAAAATGTATCAGCTTAATAGGAAATAAAATAAAGATGATCCTTACATCAGGTCAATGGGAGGTAGGGGCTGGCTCCTTACAAAGGAACAGCAGAGAAGTCAGGTTGAAGGGGCAACTGGCTGAATGGACCATCTGTTTTCTGTAGAATTCTTTACCTGAAGAAACTCTCTTAAGGTCATGAAGGAGAGGAAAGAGGAGAACTAGCAACTAGCTCCACACATGCTGACCAGAGCCAGTTGAGCACATTGTTGGGACTTTTGGGGGCCAATAAACAACTTCATTCATAAATCTGGAACTACTTGAGAAATAAGGAATAAAAGTCCAATAGCAATGAAAATAGTAGCTCAGTGTTTTTGGTAAAAGCTGTTTTGGAGAGTGTAGCTTGGATGTCACAATTGGCTTCCTAATACTAATTCTGTGGAGTAAACTCACCTATCCTCTTACAAGCAGAGCACAACAACTGGAAGAGCAGGGGTGGGCCCAGGAACAGAGAGAATGTGCCTTCTCAGTGGGCAGGCAGTTGGAAGGAGGAAGCCCAGGAAGGGCTGAGCCAGGCTTAATCCATTTCTTCAACCTAACCCGCCAGTGAGAGAAGACCCTTCCACCCTCAGAGTGACTACTTACATGGGGACTGGGGAGGGAATGGAGGCTACACTGGTGGTCGTCTCATGGAAACACAAGACAAGAGGAATGGCAGTCTCCCCCAACACTCTCCAGATTTATGTTCCCTTCACTCCTGGCTCCCCTGGAAGGACTAGATGAACAGTTTATCAGGACTGTACTGCTGCATTTCCATAAAGCTTGTGCTCCCAATATCAACCACTGCTTCCTTTGGATTTCATCCTTTGGAACAGGTTTGGCAATTTAGATACCCTCAATGACTGAAAAGGGTTAGAAGAGTAAGTATACTAGTTAAATTAACTCTGAGGCCCCCAAATGTTCAATATTGCTCATTGGCAATTATATAGTGACACAAAGTGATAGTATCAAGATATGCTAACAATTCAATGTCAGCAATATAAAAATGCCCCAAATTTTAGCAATATGAATCCCTTCCTATTATCAAATTATAACAGAAAATTAAATTTCAAAATTAAATATCTTTGAACTTATGTATTAATAGCCAAAGAAATCAAAACCACTGTTTATTAATCTAAAGGCAAGACCAAAGGCAAGTAAAACCACAAAACCCCCAAGCTTCCTCTTTTGGGCACAGTCTCAGTTTGAGTATAGTTTCATGCCTGGTGGAGTTGGAGTTCCTTCAGCAGTTTCAGTCTGGATTGTTTTCCACTAGAATGGATGCCATTCCTTCAGGGCATCCAAAGTTGCATAAGTTTAGCACCAAGACTTTCATGTTCTCCACCTTTTAAAGATCTTCTCTTTGTCTTTGATGTTCTTCAGTTTTGTAATCATATTTCCATATGTGGACTCTTTTTAAAAAATCCCATCTGGGGATTAAATCCAAGCATTTATGTCTTTCATAAATTCCAGAAGATTTTTCAAACATTATCTCTTCTAGTTTTGGCTTTCCCCTGTTCCTTGTACTTTCTCCTTCTGCAATGCTAATTAGATAATATTTGATCTTATTCTGTCCTCCATGTTTTGTAACTTCTTTTTTCACATTTTGCTGTTTTCACATTTTTGTTGTTCTGTGTTGCATTCTACGTGGTTTTTCAGATTTACCTTCATTTATTTCTAGTTTTTGTTTTTTAACTTCGGTTCTCATTAACCTGCCCATTCAATTTTTTAAAATTTTATTTTGAAATCACTTTATATTCTCAGTAAGTTACAAAAATAGTACATAGAAGTCTCATGTACCCTTTGTCAAGTTTTCCCCAATGGAATGATAGTACAATTTCCAAACCAAGAAATTTACATTCATACAATGAGTTATATAATTCTACGAGATTTTTGTCACAAGTGTAGTTCTGTATAACCATCACCAAAATCATCATTACAAAAATATCCCTCATGGTACCCTTTAGTAGTCATAGCCACCCTTCCTACCTTTACACCCTATCTCTATGCTCTGGAAACTAATAATCTGTTTTCCATCTTTATAATATTTTTATTTCAAGAATGTTAAATAAATGGAATCATACATATGTGACCTTTGAAATGGGCTTTTTTTCTTTCAGCATAATGCTCTTAAGATTAATTTGACTTGTTGCATGTATCAGTTGTTGTTTTTTATTGCTGAAAAGGATTCCATGGTATGGATATAGTTAGATATGTGTTTTAGCCACTCTGCCAGTTTTCTGTCTTTTAAGTGGTGTGTTTAGACAATTTACATTTACGCAATTATTGAAGGTTGGGGCTTGAGACTGCTATTTTACTTTTCATTTTCTGTTTGTTCCTTCTATTTTTTATTTCTCTATTTTCCGTTTCCTGGCTTCTGTGAACATTATTTAGAATTTCATTTTGATTTCCCTGTAGTGCTTTTGAGTATGTCTTTATAGAGCTTTGTTAGTAGTTGCTCTAGGTATTAGATTGCACATACATAACTTATCACTGGCTAATGCTGTCAATACTTTGCTAGTTTGAATAAAATGTAGAAACCTTACCTCCCTTTATCTTTTCCTATTTATAATTGTTATAGTTACACAGGTCCCTGAGACTTATTTTATTCTATTTTCTCTCTGTTGTTCAGATAAAATACTTTCTTTCCTCTGTCTTCCCCATTTCTGCTACTGGGCCCATCCATTTAGTGTTTGTTTTGTTTTGTTTTGTTTTGTTTTTGAGACAGAGTCTTGCTCTGTCACCCAGGCTGGACTGCAGTGGCGCGATCTCGGCTCATTGCAAGCTCCGCCTCCCAGGTTCACACCATTCTCCTGCCTCAGCCTCCTGAGTAGCTGGCACTAAAGGTGCCCACCACCATGCCTGGCTAATTTTTTGTATTTTTTAGTAGAGACGGGGTTTTACCGTGTTAGCCAAGATGGTCTCCATCTCCTGACCTCGTGATCTGCCCGCCTTGGCCTCCCAAAGTGCTGGGATTATAGGCGTAAGCTGTCATGCCCCGCCAGTTTTTTTTTTAATTTTAAAATTTTGTATTCACTGCCAAGAGCCCCATTGAAGGTTTTTTTTTTTTGAGATGAGTCTCACTCTGTCACCCAGGCTGGAGTGCAGTGGCATGATCTCGGCTCACTGCAAACTCCACCTCCTGGGTTCACGCCATTCTCCTACCTCAGCTTCCAGAGTAGCTGGGACTACAGGTGCCCACCACCATGCCCTGCTAATTTTTTATATTTTTTAGTAGAGACGGGGTTTCATCATGTTAGCCAGGATGGTCTCAATCTCCTGACCTTGTGATCCACCCACCTCGGCCTCCCAAAGTGCTGGGATTACAGGTGTGAGCCACCGCGCCTGGCCTCCCATTGAGTTTTTATTTCAGTTATTGTAGTTTTCATTTTTAAAGTTTCTATTTCATTCTTCCTTTTATCTTCTATTTCTTTGCTGAGACTTTCCGTATTTTTATTTGTTTCAAATGTATTTGTAATTGCTTGTTGAAGCATTTGTATGATGTCTACTTTAAAACTGCTTGCCAGAAAATTTGTAACATTTTGCTACCTCAATGTCAGTGTCTTTTTTACACTCAGGTTAAAATTTTCCTGGCTTTGCTATGATGGTAGATTTTCTGTTGAATCCTGGACATTCTGAGTTATGAGGCTGTCAATCTTATTAAATTTTCTGTTTGAGCAGGTCTCCTCTGACACTGTGCTGGTGGAAGGGGTGCTGCTTGTTATTTTAAGATGAGAATGGAAGTCCAAGTTTCCCACTTGGCCTCTGTTGACACCCTGAGATAGGGGGTGCTTCATTAGTGCTGAGCAGGTGCGGGAGATCAGGGTCTCCATTATGACTTCACTGATAGCATCCTGACTAGAAGAAGCAGGGGCACCTTCTATTGAGTTTTTAATTTCAACTAATCTACTTTTCATTTATGATGACTTGTTCTTTACTTATACTTTCCAGTCCTTCCTTTATTCCCTTCTATTAAACATACTTTGTTTATATTATGTATCTGGTATTCTCAACATCTGCAATTTTTGCATGTCTGATTCTGTTTATTATTTTTGCTGCTTCTCTCAAGGTGGTTTACCTTCTCACATTTTGTGTATTTCATGATTATTTTTATTTTTATTTTTGAGACAGAGTCTTGCTCTGTCACTGAGGCTAGAGTGCAGTGGCATGATCTCAGCTCATCGAAACCTCTGCCTCCCGGATTCAAGTGATCCTTGTGCCTCAGCATCCCAAGTAGCCGGGATTACAGGCCCTTGCCACCATGCCTGGCAAATTTTTGTATTTTCAGTAGAGATGGGGTTTTATCATGTTGGCCAGACTGATCTCAAACTCCTGACCTCAAGTGATCCTCCCTCTTCAGCCTCCCAGAATGCTGGGATTCAGGCATGAGCCACCTTGCCCAGCCATTTCATGATTTTTGATTGTGAATTAATGTTCAACAAAGCTTTCTCTGAGGGAATTCTTTGAAGAATAGATTGTTGGTACATTTTTCCAAGAAGATTTGCATTTGCTTCTGTCAGGTGCCTGAGGGCATTACCAACTTGTAAATACTTAAAAAATTGTTTGCCTGAGTTATTATTATTACATACGTAGCATGACTTTAGACTGCATTACCACATGAAGACCACATTATAGTTTCAACTTCCCATGGGAGGTAGTTTTCCCTATGTCCACAACCAAGGCTAACAGATTCAAGTTTCCTTGTTGTCGCCTTTGGGGCAGCGGGTTTTTGTTTGTTTATTTGATTGTTCATTTCATTTTGGTTCAACCTTTGATCAAGGAGTCAAACTTTGTAAGGGGATCTCTGGTCCAACTCTCCATCTCGCATCGATCTCAGTTTTGTCTCTTATAACATCCATGATCATGTGGCTGTCAAAACTCAAGGCTAGAGCATTTGTCTTTATTGGACAGATGCTCTTAAGTCAGATTCTGACTTCAACTTACCTTTCTGGATTTTGACTTTTACTTCATTTTTGGCCTTTGAGTACATTTTTTATTTTCTGCCACACTTTCTGAAGATTTCAAAAAGTCTGAAACCTTATCCCAGAGCTAGAACAGTTATAGGAAAATTTAGATTACCAGAATTTAGCACTTACTATAAACCAGGCCATCTTTATTGCTTTTTATGGCCACAGCAGAGACTCAGAAAGGAAAGAAGTCTTCTTGGTTTTTGCCTCTCAAAGATACCAGCCAGTATCTGCCAGACCTGGCCAGGGCCAAGACCTGGGTACTTAGGTCCACTGGCAGAGCTTTCACAACAGGAGATCGATTATGGCACCAAGTTTTCCTATCTGGTAAACACATGGTATCCTTTCCCAGCGAGTGACATTGAAAACATTCTTGCTTGCTTGCAGAGTTTAGATATGTGCAGCAGTGACATCCTGGGCTGCAGATTTTATTTGTGGTACATTTCCAGTCAGCATGTGAAAGAGATGAGAGAGGGAGAAGGGGAGAGGGGGAGAGAGAGAGAGAGAGAGAGAAAGGGAGAAAGGAAGGGAGGAAGGAAAGGAGGGAGGGAGAGAAGGAAGGAAGGAAGGAATGAAAGAAAGAAGGAAGGAAGGAAGGGAAGAAGAGAGGAAGGCAGAGAGGAAGGGAGGGAGGAAGGAAGGAAGGAAGGAAAGAAGGAAGGAAGGAAGGGAAGAAGAGAGGAAGGCAGAGAGGAAGGGAGGGAGGAAGGAAGGAAGGGAAGGAAGGTCCTTAATTCCATTTCCACTTGAAGCCCCTGCTTTGGGCTCTGTCTACACTTGGGCACCATCTATACTCACTGCTGTGACTGCCTGTAGCTCTAGCACTGCTTAGACCTGTGAATCCTGCTTCTAATCCTGCTGCTCCCTCATGCTCACATTCATCTGAAGTTCAGCCTTAGCAAACTCCTGAGCTGAAGCTGTTTTGAAGGCTTCAAATTTGTCTTGTTGTTTCTGCTTTATGCTCCTCCAAACATTATCTTTCCACAGCTTTTGAAGGTTGCAAGCATATCATTCAACTGAATGTCTCATTCTGAAGTTTGGAACGTGCTTCTCGTGTTTTATTTCCTTCTGTGTTCTCCTTCTCCTCTCAGGAAGGCTCAGTTAGGTTGTTAATGGTTTAATCAAGTTCGTAAGCTGGTCTTTTTCCTTCTCTACCTCCTGTAGGCTGGCATTTTCATTGGACTTTCTTCCTTTTACTTTGTCATGGTTTTCTGGGTCAGATATTTATTATTCAAACAGATTTTTTTCTACTCTCAGTGAGAGAAATGAAGTCAGGGTTTTATGGGTCTGCCAAAGGCAACAGTTGTCCAAACAAATCTGATCAACCCTCACCTCTCTGAGTTAGATAGTCTCACTTGAAAGGCATTTTCCAATTAAACCAAAAATCGACCCAGGCCTGGACTCAAACTATTATTGTCCTGCCTAGATCCCATTCAGTAAGTCTCGGCCTTCCTGTGCCTGTCAGGAGAATCCTACCTTTGTCTGTTTTTTAATCTGTTCACTCAGGACATGGGAAAACCCTGCCCCACAATAACTATTTTGTTTTGAAGCTCATCTAATAATACCCTAAATATTCTATGCCAATATCCATTGTCTTCTCCTCTCTTATAGTTCCAAACTTTATAGACCCTTTGTACGGCTTCCCAATCTTTCACATGGTGGTTCTCCCTTCCAGTTACTCTATAACAAACCATCCCAAATGTACTGGCATAAAATAGCAATTGTTTTATGAACCCAGGGGTTCAGTGGGCTAGAATTTGGAAAGCACACAGTGGGAACAGGCTGTGTGCTTCCACGATGTCTGAGGCCTCAGCTGGGAAGACTCAAAGGCTAGGGGTGACTTGATGGCTTGAGGCTGCAGTCACTTGAAGGCTCATTCACTTATAGGTCTGGCATCCGGGCTGGAAGGTCTCAATGTATAGGACTGCTGGCTGGACCACCTACACGTGACTGCTCCTTGCGTCTTGGCTTCCTTGCACTAGGGTGGTCTCAGGACATTGGGTGTGGTGGCTCAGCGTTTCAAGCATGAGTGCTCCATCAAACAAGGTAGAAGCTCCATTGCCTTTTCTGATTCAACCTTCGAGTCTGTGGATTGCAAGCAAGTGACAAGATGGAAGGAGTGTCAAGCACATAGAGTCGGCCTTTGAATGGAAGGCGTATCAAGGTCACCCTGTAGAAGAACATGTGGACTAGGAGAACGTGGAGTAGAGATATGATTATGGCCATCTTTAGAAAAACAATCTGCCCGGTTTGCCCCTTGGCTATGATTCTCATCACTTCCACATGCAAAAGACTCTCACTCCTCCCTAAGATCCCTAAAATCTCAGTCCATGCGGCATGAGCTCCAAGTCCAGGATCTTGTCACCTTGAATGGGTCCATGGTTAAAGAGGCTCTTCTGGGACAATTCCTCAGATACAGCTCCTTGAGTTATCTTCCTCTTGATTTGGAGATCTGTGAAGTAAAGAAAGAAATGGGCCAGGTGTGGTGGCTCACACCTGTAATCCCAGCACTTTGGCTGGCCGAGGTGGGTGGATCATGAAGTCAGGAGTTCAAGACCAGCCTGGCCAAGATGGTGAAACCCCCTCTCTACTAAAAATACAAAAATCAGCTGGGCGCAGTGGCAGGTGCCTGTAATCCCAGCTACTTGGGAGGCTGAGGCAGGAGAATCACTTGAACCTGGGGGGGTGGAGGTTGCAGCGATCCAAGATAATGGCCACTGCACTGCAGCCTGGGCGACAGAGTGAGACTTGGTCTCAAAGAAAAAAAAAGGAAAAAAAAGAAACCCATGACCTGCCCTCCACACACCCAACACATAATGATAGGACAGTCATGGAATAACTGTTGTATTCCCCAATTGCATTTATTTTGGATGGCATTCACAGCTTTGAGAGGGTAGCTTTTAATAGCTGCCTGGATCTGTATCCCACTGATGGTAGAGGTGCATTCCAAATCCCAGGCAACTATCTGAAATATTGCCTTCCTGCTTCTGAAAGATTTATTTGGTTGCTAGTCCCCAGTCTCATCTAATTCATCCCCCTTTTAAGAGTATTTAGATATGTGGGCATTTTTCTTTTTTGTATCTTTCTAGCCCCAAGAAAGCTCTCCAATCCTCTAACTTAGTCTGCCTGTTGTTTCTGAGAGCAAATTACTCTCTCTCATTTTCTTTGCACAGTAATACTGCAGCATGTAATAAAAATTGCTCTTAAAAACTCATGCTCACTAAGGTCTGTTAAAACAGCCCCATAGCTACGACAGCAGCATTCTTCTGTAGCCAATAAGCTGCTGCGACCTGCCAAGGTTGAAATACTGCCTGACTGCCTGACTCACTCTTACTGAAGCATTAAAACCTGGCAGCTGCTTACCACAGGCTCAATCTCCATGGGTTACTTTGGCCTGTAGATACTCATCTTTATCTTTCTCAAGGTTCCTGCCAACTTACCAATATGTTAGGGCTTCAGGGACACATAAATAATACCCATTTCTTACTCTTCTAGGTTTGGAAGCAATTGATAACATAAGATATGGATGACAGTTGAACATAAAATATTAACCTGATTACTGATATTGAAGGATATGGCTTAGACATGTAGTGGCAAAGAGCTTCCTAATCGTCCACCCCAGAATTAAACTTCCTCACCCAGTCCCAGGCCTCCCTCCACAGGGCAAAACCTGCCCCAGTTAGCTTCTCTCATGTAGCAGGATTGCAGGTCCCTGGGGAAGGCAAATTTGAAAAAGAAGTCCCAGAAGAGGATAGCTGAGCATGCTGCACTCTTTCTCCCAAGCTTACTGGACAGAGAAGTGATCCTGCCTCTGGGAAAAGTCAGGGGAGTGGTAGAAAGATGTCTAGAGTGATGGGCCTTTGGAGGCGCCCTCATGGAAATGTGAAGCTTGGGGGAATGCAGTGTTCCCCTAACACAAATCAAAAACTGCACTGGGCAGCTCCATTGTGAACCATGTAGGCCATCTCCAGAGTGACTTATCCTGATGGGAAGAAGCATATTTTGTTCCATCCCTCAACCCCTTCCCCCACTGTTAGCAGATTTGGATATAAGTGCCCCACTCAAAGATGCATGATAATCAGCAAAGATCCAACATGGTAACTACATAGAGATACTACAAAGAAAAAGTTAAAAAAGGAACCAGCAAAAAAGGCAGAAGAAAAAATACATTGAAGAAAAATAATAATTACCCCAGGTGACAGAAGAAATTTTCAGATAAAACAATGAACATGAACTGTCAGAACTCCGGTGGCTAGGGAAAAGATAACAAACATTACAGAAATGAAACTCATATAGGAAGCAGTGAGGCATAAAATAAGCACCACTGAAAACCATCAGTGAGCTAGAAGACAGGGTGGAGAAATTGATTAAGGAATTATTCTAGTTTTTTGAGACTAAGTCTTGCTCTGTCACCCAGGCTGGAGTTCAGTGTCGCGAGCTCAGTTCGCTGCAACCTCCGCCTCCAGGTTCAAGCGATTCTTGTGCTCAGCCTCCCGAGTAGCTGGGATTAAAGGCACACACCAGCACGCCTGACTAATTTTTGTATTTTTGGTAGAGATGGGGTTTTGCCATGTTGGCAGGCTGGTCTTGAACTCCACACCTCAAGTGATCCGCCCGCCTTGGCATCCCAAAATGTTGGGATTACAGGCGTGAGCCACTGTGCCTGGCCTCATCAAGGAATTTAAAGCAACTGGAAGACAGATAATAGATATGGAAAACAAAGAGCAGACATGCAGCATAATATACACACTAGGTGTTTCCTGATGTAGAAAGCAGACAAGTGCCCCATGAAAGAAATTCGAAGATATAATAGAAGATTTTTTTTCTGAACTAAATGATGATAAAAATTTGCATACCAAAAGGGAAAATTGATATGGAATAATTCATACATACATTCTGGAGAAGTTGCTAAATATCAAAAATAAAGAAAGAATCCCACAGGCATCTAGGCAGAAAAAGCCTGAGGACAAATATCAGGCTGTACTCAGATTTTTCCACAGCGACATGCAATGTCAAGATACAATGATGAGATGTCTATACAGTTCTCAGAAATAAAATAAAACACGAACTTATGAATTTCATACCCATCTAATCTAAGTTTTGCTCATTTATGAATGGCAACATAATGACATTAACAAATATATATATGTAGATAACCCAAGAGCTCTTCTTTTTTTAAAAAAAGACTAGATGAAATCCAGTCAACCAAAATGTGAATCAAGATGAGCTCAGAAATTGGAAAGCCATGGTATGAAAAGACTGTTGGTGAGCATCAAATCAATTTGAATATAGAACTGTGGCTAAGCCACTTTCAGAATTACAGGTACACAATAGAATGTAAGTGTTTTGGAAACTGTCAATGAAATATAAGGAAAACCAGGAGGGTGCAGCATTCAAAAGTCAAATTAGGAGCGTAATTGAAGAAGGAAAGCAAAGATTCTCTACCACTGCCTCTCAGCTCTTTCTGCTTCCTCTCCTATTGCAGTTTGAAGGGTATTGGAAAGAAGCAGGGGAAGACAGGATTACCAGGGGCTCCAAGTCACATCCTCATGTTTAATGACCAGACAAGAAATGAAACCTCTCTCCCAGGTTCATTTGAAAAATTCCGAAAGAAGAACTCTGGCCCATCTTGGGTCAAGTGCCCATCTCTTGAACCAAGCATTGTGATCAGGGCATGAGGGACTGTGATTGGTGTACGTGCCTACCTCTGTATCCAAGGGGACAAAGGGAACAGGATATCTTACCACAGGAAAGCAGGGAGGGGTTCAGGGAGGGGTCCAGGCAATCTGAAGCTTAAGCTGACCCATTTAAATACTGGTGGCCACAAATACAGTGCTTGCTTTCTAGAACTCATGTTGGTTGTGGGTCCATGGCTTCATAATTACAGCAATAATGCCTTTTATTTTTCTATATATTTGTACCTTCATTATCTTATTTGATATTCAAATCAACTAGATACACTAAGTAGTATGAGGCTATTCTTTGCATTTTACAGATTAGGAAACTAAGGCTCAGAAATTCTGTAACTGGTCCAAGTTGTACAATAACTTCATGTCAGAGGTCAAGAATCTTAGTTCTCTTCCAGACTTCATTTCAATATTCAAAACAGCCTCTCATTTTGTGATAGTAATAGTGTCTCCCAGTCCAGATACCTTGATTCTCTCTACTTTTCTGCCACATGACTAGCAGGTAGGTCATGATGGCAAAAGAAGGATGTCAATGATAAAACTAGGGGGTTTGGGTTTAGATTTACAAAAGATTTTATTTTAAATATTTTTATATTTGTAACATAGTATTAATCAATGTTTTATATTCATATAATATTTTATTAGTCAATAGCTAATTTGTTTTAAGATAATTAGCTAAGTAGATTATTTGGATTAAGGGGACATACATGATTTTATAAAAAGTAGGATACTCTAGATAACTATGAAGGAGATTCCACAACTGGAAGTCAACAATAGTTTTGGGTATGACAACAGCCAGAAATCAATGGAAGGAGCCAATGTTTGTTGATTATCCACTAAAGGAACTATGCAAGACCCTTTACATAAGCTTTTTCATTTGATTCTCATAACTACTGTCTGAGAGAGTGATACCTCTATATCTAGCTTAGAAATGAAAACATAGAGGCTCAGAAGTTGAGTGACTTGCTCACTTGCGAAGAGCTGACAGAAGCAAGATTGGATTTTAGATGTGCATGGCTCCAAAGCCTATGTTGTCCCACTACATATTCAACCAGTGCACTTGGCAAATAAAGTTAAGGACATTTATTAATATCTTTGGTTTTGACCCTCTCTCCCCTTCACACAAAATTATTTCCACAATTTCTTGGGCAAAAGGCTTTTTTCATGTTCATATAGTCTAAAAATTAAGGCGAAATCTAGCAGTGAAGAAGGTTGCCATCTGTGTTGGATTGTTTCTGATGGCACCAAAGAACACATAGGAAACCTTGTTGTAACTTACAAAATAACACAATTTAACTTACAGTTAAAACAATTAGGTCTAGAATCAACATCAAGGGGTTTTTCTCTATTTCTTGCAACTTGTAGTTCTTTTTGCTTCCATTTGAATTGGAAATAGTCTAAAAGCTGATTTTTCCCCCTCACTGTTCACCCATCAGGAGGATTCAGACCCCAAATGATATCAGTAAATGATGATGAACTCTGAATGAAAAGTGTTTCTTAAACTGCCAGTTCTGCCTTTAACCCTTTCCCCTGTTCTTCCTAGTAGCCATAACCCCTTTCATTTTCGTGTTTTCACTTACCCTTGTCCCCTTGACAAACCCCAAGCACAGGGTTTCTCTATGAGTGCGTCTCTGGGGTTGTCCTTGTGACCTGGAGATGGTAAGAAACACAGAGAGCAGTGCTATAGTGTCAATAATGACAAGATGACCCCAGATACCACAGTTGGCCTCTTTGCTCTCAAATGAATCTAATAGCCCAAGGAAGTATTTCTCCTTTATCAGCAGCCCATTCAAAGTGGTGTTAGCCATTACCCAGCTTTTATCATTCCATATCTCATGGAAAAATAATAGCGTTCACCTCAAGTCAAGAATCTCTTAAATTTAATGCATTCTGAAATACTTCGAGAAAAAAAGGCATCATCCTGGTGTTATATAAAAATTGATGTCATCTTTTTACATCCATGCGATCAACAGATGGTAACTTTGGTTCCTATATTTTGTATATGTGGAACTATTGTCTTTCAAACTATGCTTTTCTTCTTTTTTTTTTTTGAGATGGAGTCTCACTTTTGTTACCCAGGCTGGAGTGCAATGACATGATCTCAGCTCACTGCAACCTCCGCCTCCCAGGTTCAAGCAATTTTCTTGCCTCAGCCTCCTGAGTAGCTGGGATTACAGGCACCCACCACCATGCCCGGCTAATTTTTTTGGTATTTTTTTGTGTGTGTGAGACGGAGTTTTGCTCTGTTGCCCAGGCTAGAGTGCAGTGGCACGATCTCGGCTCACTGCCAGCTCCGCCTCCTGGGTTCACGCCATTCTCCTGCCTCAGCCTCCCGAGTAGCTGGCACTACAGGTGCCCACCACCACGCCTGGCTAAATTTTTGTATTTTTAGTACAGACGAGGTTTCACCGTGTTAGCCAGAATGGTCTCGATCTCCTGACCTCATGATCCACCCGCCTCGGCCTTCCAATGTGCTGGGATTACAGATGTGAGCCACCACACCCGGCCTTTATTTGGCAGTTTTAGTAGAGATGGCATTTCACCAAGTTGGCCAGGCTGGTCTTGAACTCCTGACCTCAGGTGATCCGCCCACCTCGGCCCCACAAAGTGCTGGGATTACAGGCGTTGAGTCACTGCGCCTGGCCTATACTTCTCTTCTAATTGCAGAAACTTAAACATGTTTTATCTTATGTCTTCATAAACTTCACTGCTCCCCAGATGGATCTGTAAACAAATTCTTAAATGTGTATTTTCTCTAAAAGTAATCCTTAGCGAATCCTTTGGTGAAGGAAAATATTCTGCTGTCTCTCTAAACTTGGATTTAAAACTCCAGGTGATGGTTATTTTTTGTTAATATTCACTGAGCCTTTCTTATGAACCTGGCACTATCCCAAGCAATTTATATACCTTTTCCCACTTAAGTCTCATGACAACCTCATGAAGTAGATACTATTATTATCCCTATTTCACAGGTGAGGAAAGAGAAGGTTTAGTAAGGAACGTGTCCCCCAGGTCACAAGAGCAGTTGCAAGTGAGAAGCACAGCCCAGATTTAGTTCCAAATCGGTCCGACTCCAAAGCTCAAATTATTAACTGCAGCGCTACTCTGCCTTTTAAATTTTCTCAAAGTGAGTGCAAAATTAAAATTATTTAGAGTCTGGTATTTTCTCAGTAAGTAGGTGGTATCACGTGATGCTATGCTCGTGCTCCTAACACTTCCTGGGCCAGGGCTATTAGGAGACATACTCTTTCGTTGCAAGAACAAGTGGCATTTTGAAGAAACCATGGAGGTGGCGTTTGGGTGAGGACACTGCAGGCTGATGGGCACAGCTTTACATTCATATTAGAGCTGCTTCGTTCTAGGTGGGCTGCAAATCACAACTCCCTTATAAATATAGCCCACTCAAATTAGTATTGACCACTATCTCATTTTTCTTTCTTCTTTTTTTTTTTTTAGACGGAGTTTTGCTCTTGTTGCCCAGGCTGGAGTACAATGGCAGGATCTCGGCTCACTGCAACCTCTGCCTCCCAGGTGCAAGCGATTCTCCTGCCTCAGCCTCCCGAGTAGCTGGGATTACAGGCGTGCGCCACCACGCCCGGTTAATTTTGTATTTTTAGTAGAGACAGGGTTTCTCCATGTTGGTCAGGCTGATCTCAAACTCCTGGCCTAAGGTGATGCGCCCACCTCAGCCTCCCAAAGTGCTGGGATTACAGGCGTGAGCCACCTCGCCTGGCCTCACTACCTCATTTTTAATCTTTTGCACATCTCATGCCTCCATCACTAAAAAAAAAAAAAAAAAAAAAAAAAAAGAATGGTTACTCAAGTCAAGAATCTCTTAAGTTTAATGGATTCTAAAAAAACTTGGAGGCCCAATATGCATACTTTTGGGGTACAAAAATTACCTTTGTACAAAAGGTTACAGACGTACACATTATATAAATTCACCAATGAGGAGCTGACTTCATCCACAATAAGAATTTGGTGCTTTGGAAAGATGTCCATTCTCTTCTCCAAAGGCAATGTCATCTCTTGTCAAGTAGAACTAAAAACAAAAACAGATGCTTTTACAGTTTCTAAAAAAAAACTAATTGTTAATTTCTGGTCAAATACCAGTATAAAAATAATTTTTAGTGTCATAATCTCTGAATTTGTGAATTGTAGCATATCAAGTTTTGCACCAATACTAACAGAACTTTTAAAAACCATTTCATTTGTTTAGAACAAAAGAAGCATTAAAGGCCAGGAGCAGTGGCTCACGCCCCATCTCCACTAAAAATACAAAAATTAGCTGGGCGTGGTGGCAGGTGCCTATAATCCCAGCTACTTAGGAGGCTGAGTCTGGAGAACTGCTTGAACCTGGGAGGTGGAGTGTGCAATGAGCTGAGATCACGCTATTGCACTCCAGCCTGGGTGACAAGAGTGAGACTCCGTCTCAAAAAAAAAAAAAAAAAGATGATTGAGTTAGTATAATCTGGAAGCAAAGGGTGTAAGCTCTAGAGTTTGATGCCTAGTTCAGAGCTCAAATCTATCAATCATTTACAGCTTGTGTGGTCTTGGGTAAGTTACTTAAAATCTCAGGTTCTATCCTATAAAATAGTACTTATTTTATGGGGCTGTGATGAGGAAGAAATGAGATGATGCTTATAAAACTCTCAGCACAGGGTTGGGCAGAGTAAGAGATCAATAAACAAAAGCTATTTAAACCTCACAATTTGCTGTTAAGTATAAAATGCTGGCCAGGTGTGGTGGCTCACGCCTATAATACCAGCACTTTAGGAGGTCAAGGCGGGCAGATCATTTGAGGCCAGGAGTTCGAGACCAGCTTGGCCAACGTGGTGAAACCCTATCTCTACTAAAAGTACAAAAATTAGCAGGGTGTGGTGGTGCACACTTGTAGTCCCAGCTACTCGGGAGGCTGAGGCAGGAGAATCAGTTGAACCCAGAGGGCAGAGGTTGTGGTGAGCTGAGATTGGGCCACTGCATTTCAGCCTGGGTAACAGAGTAGACTCTGTCTTAAAAAAAATAAAAATAAAATGCAGCCTGTATTTTTATCAATTAACTTTATATATACTGTGTGTGTGTGTGTAGTTTTAGTACAAACATTTTTCTACAGTGCTTTTTATTGACACCATCTGGCAACACTTACCCTTTCTTAAAGTCAGGAATGGGTCCCCCAGGCAGGCTGCCTCTGCCACTTCCAGCTCCTCCAGCTTCCTCAGCCACTGGCTTTATGGTTCCATCCACTGCACTCCTGGGGCAGTGACACAATTCTTATCTGCCTTTGGTTAGGAAAATAATTGGGCAATTTGCTCCAGTGATACATTTCTGCTGATTTCAGGTTTTCTTTCAGTGGTGAATGACAAAGACATGCAATTAGCAAGGAATGCTTTAGTTTGTCAAGTTTAGTTCCACCAGGCTTCCCTCACTTATTTTGACTGTTTTGCTTGCTGTCATATTAAATGTTTCAGAAGCTTTACAGTTTGAAGACAGTCTAAGCCAGAAACAGCAATGGCTACAGTACTCTGATAAATCTCTTTTGTCTATTAGAGTGTCTCATCTGTTGTTCAATAGTAATTCCATCACACATGTGCTGTAGTATTAATACTATTGACAACAATAATAGAACATTTATTGAGTGCTTACTGTGTACCAGGCACTATTTTAAGCATTTTACACATATTAACTCATTTAATCTTCCCTATACTATTATTATTCCCATTTTACACTAGTGAAAAATACCGTAGTCTATATCTTCTTACCTCTACATTATTGATTATTTTTATGTTGATTTTTAGAAAATACTTCCAATGATCAATTTTCTCTAATTCTCAATATAAGGATATTTTCCTGGAGGTGCAAATATTTAATAAGCTCTGAGTTTGGAGGCTTATCTGGTGTAAGGTGGGACTTGGATCAAGGATGCTTTAGCATGGCTGTTATGGACCTCAGAAATACTGAAAGACAAGGTTATGTTTTACAAGGCTAAGGACAATGAATAGGGCTAGAGGTTAGGATGTTCTGTGGTTGGGGGGAGGTGGGGTTGAGACAGGGCCTTGCTATGTCACCCAGGCTGGAGTGCAGTGGCACCACCACGACTCACTGCAGTCTCGACTTCTTGGGTTCAAGCCTTCCTCCCACTTTAGCCTCCTGAATAGCTGGGACCATAGGCACACACGCCTGGCTAATTTTTTTTATTTTTATTTTTTGTAGAGATGGGGTTTCCCTATATTGCCCAGGCTGATCTTGAACTCCTGGGTTCAAGTGATCCTCCCACCTCGGTCTTCCAAAATGTTGAAATTACAGGTGTAAGCCACCACGCCTGACCTGTGTTTTTTTTTTGTTTGTTTGTTTTTTGTTGTTTTTGGAATAAGACATTTGTATTCATTTCTAAGCCAAAACTACATGTGTATTCTTCAGGAATGGTTAAAGTTCAGGGGCTAGGGATGGGGAAGGAGAATAGAGATGACCAGACTGCACCTTCAAATCCTCTATGGGATGAGATAATGAGACAACAAAAGAAACCAACAAAGAAACCTAGGAGCCAGGCCTCTCAAACCTCCACAGCAGGAAGAGACCAGCAGCAGACACCCTTCTTCAAGGGTCCCTTCCTCAGCCTCTTCCAGAGTCCTGGAGACAGTTACCTTCTGGATAACTTTTATTTGGAACACAGCC
Source organism: Homo sapiens (assembly GCF_000001405.40). Taxonomy (NCBI): domain Eukaryota; kingdom Metazoa; phylum Chordata; class Mammalia; order Primates; family Hominidae; genus Homo; species Homo sapiens. The sequence continues at coordinate 219,929,842 of NC_000001.11, read as the reverse complement.
TGTTGTCAATAGAAGAGTCTTGGCCAGGTGCAGTGGCTCACGCCTGTAATCCCAGCACTTTGGGAGGCTGAGGTGGGCAGATCACTTGAGGTCAGGAGTTCGAGACCAGCCTGGCCAACATGGTGAAACCCTGTCTCTACTAGAAATACAAAAAATAAAAAATTAGCCGGGCATGGTGCCTGTAATCCCAGCTACTCTGGAGGCTGAGGCAGGAGAATCGCTTGAATCCGAGAGGCGGAGGTTGCAGTGAGCCGAGATGGCGCCATTGCACTCCAGCCTGGGCAACAACAACGAAACTCTGTCTCAAAAAAAAAAAAGAGTCTTTATTTGGAATAAACCTTCATGTAGGTCAGTCGATTGTACTGCGTATCAGGTCATGCTGTCAGGGACACGTGGGGGTGAGTAGAATATTCTCTTCAATGAAGAATGAGACAAGTACACAGAGGAGGTCAGCCCTGGTTTCTTTGGCGGCCAAGGGACTTGTGTCTACCACAAAGTAGACCAGCCTTCGAGTGCTAGGCAGGAGTGCATGCTTACAGAAGTGGGGTCTGCTCTCCTGAGGGCTGCCTGCGATTCACCCAGGGAAGGAAGCCTTGACAGCGAAGATCCTGAAGGGGAACGGGGACGATCTTGTGCCATGAGTGGGTAATAGGAACGATCCTGCACCGTTTATAATGGCTGTGAGGAACAAGAGAGGATTAAATAGCTTTATCCTGGGGTTAGTGGAATGAGGGTGGAGGGCTGAGTGGCGGATGAGGTCACATTTCACGAAATGAAAAGCAGGAAGCACCCTCAAGGGCAAGTTGCCCCAAGCCTGTGCTCCGGGGCCTTGCACCTGATTAATATGGAATCTGCACCGCAAGGTGCCTATGGGCACGTACGCGAAGGTGTCCCAGTCCACCGCAGCGAACACACCCCACAGCAGCCAAGGCCCTTATGACTGAGTCAACAGGACACTGGCGACCCTGAGGGCCAGGAGAAGCGGGGTGTCTGGGTGAATCCCACCTCTGCATGGGGAGGGAGTCTGTGAAGATTGACGTCCAGACACGCCCCCTCTCCTCCGCAGCGCCCCTCTCTGCACAGTCCTGTCCCACAAAGAGAGACATCGGCTCGTGGCCACCTGCCAAGTCAGGCCCAGGCCGCGAGGGAGGGGAAAAGGGCCGCGGGAGGCGGTGCACGGGCTGTTCAGATACTGCCCCCGCCACTCCTTTAGACTCTGGACGTGCGGGGACTGGTGGCGCTCGGCCTCGCGTTATAAAAAGCGGTGGGGCAGGGCCGGCGAGACAATCTGGGAGGCGGGTACCGGGCCTCACGGATCCGCGCCGCGCCCCCCACCTGTGGCTGCGCGCGGGGTGGGCTGCGCTCCCCTGGGCGGCGCCGGGCGCCCGGGGCTGGTGGCGAGATGGGCCGCTACTCTGGCAAGACGTGCCGGCTGCTCTTCATGCTGGTGCTCACCGTCGCCTTCTTCGTGGCGGAGCTGGTCTCCGGCTACCTGGGCAACTCCATCGCGCTGCTCTCCGACTCCTTCAACATGCTCTCCGACCTGATCTCGCTGTGCGTGGGCCTGAGCGCCGGCTACATCGCCCGGCGCCCCACCCGGGGCTTCAGCGCCACCTACGGCTACGCCCGCGCCGAGGTGGTGGGCGCGCTGAGCAACGCGGTCTTCCTCACCGCGCTCTGCTTCACCATCTTCGTGGAGGCCGTGCTGCGCCTGGCCCGGCCCGAGCGCATCGATGACCCCGAGCTGGTGCTCATCGTCGGCGTCCTGGGGCTGTTGGTCAACGTGGTGGGGCTGCTCATCTTCCAGGACTGCGCCGCCTGGTTCGCGTGCTGCCTCCGGGGACGCAGTCGCCGCCTGCAGCAGCGGCAGCAGCTGGCGGAGGGCTGTGTCCCCGGCGCTTTCGGGGGGCCTCAGGGCGCGGAGGACCCGCGGCGCGCGGCGGACCCGACAGCCCCAGGCTCGGACTCGGCCGTAACCCTCCGGGGGACCTCGGTGGAAAGGAAGCGGGAGAAGGGGGCGACCGTGTTCGCAAACGTAGCAGGTGCCTTTCGGTTGCATCCTTTGGACCGCTTGGCCCTTCCTTCCTCCTCCCACCCGGTCCCTTTCTTCTCACCCCACGCCCTCTTTTTCTTCTGCATGCTTTTTTTCTGTTTTTTTTTTTTTGTTGTTGTTGTTTTTTTTTTTTTTTTTTTTTTTTTTTTTTAATAAATCCATTCCCTTTACAATCCCGCTTTACTTCTCTTCTGCCAATTTAACATATTCCCCATCCCTTCTTTTTTCTCCTGGATCCTCGGGTAGCCCTGGCCTCTTTTCCCTTACCCTATTCTCTGTATATGAGTATTGATTTTCTTGGAAATCGGTCACTATTATTGGGCAACAGGCAGGACTCTCCAACCCCTCCTCCCTCTCATTACTTGCTGTCTGAATTTTGTTGTTCTCCCCCCCTCTTTGCCCATCCGTTTGTCTTCTTGGGTGTTACGGGTTTAGGGGCTGCAGGTGGGCTCCCATTCACCCTCTTTTTGTTTTAACTTGAAAGGATGTGTGAATGAAGTCCAAAGGTGGATCACAAGGCTATTTCAAGGCCAAAATGTACTGTTCTGAGCTGTGGGTGTGCAGAAGGGTCTCCCTTAAGCTAGTAGAAATTTAAAATAACAAAACTTTATTTTGAGTCCATTGGTTTTTTTTTGTTTGTTTGTAGAACTTATACACAACACAAGGTTTCTTCTTTGAATGCAGGTGATTCCTTCAACACCCAGAATGAGCCAGAAGACATGATGAAAAAAGAGAAAAAGTCTGAAGCTCTGAATATCAGAGGTAGGATTGACTTTGGGCCTATTTGAAATCCCTTTCTATGACACACATGGACTGTGTTGTTTATTTCTGTTTGACTTTTAATAAGGCAAAGGTGTGTTTGAAAGTAGGCCAGTTACATGCATAGACTATGACCCAACTCTCTTTCGTAATCACTGCATTGATCCTGAGGGAGAAACTGGTTGCTAATGATTTATCTTAGCTCCACTGAGACCCATGCTAATACTGCCTGCTCCAGAGCTGCACATATTAATATTGTGTTACTACTTTACTTGGTTTTACTGGTCCGTGGATATTGCTAATAAATCATGCAACCCATTTTAATTGAATTGATTTTGATAAAGGTAGGAAAAGAGTAGGTGAGCTGCTATCCAAGGTTATGCCCTATCTCGCATTGCTGAGTGACCCTATTGCATCAGCTATTTCTGCCAGAAATCTGCTTTTGTGAAGGGACCGTTGGCTCACTAAAACCTCCACTCCCAGGACCAAAGGGAGTGTTCTGGTGAGGCCCAAGGCAAGCACCTAGCTAGCCTCTCACCATGTGGTCAAGGTCGGAAGCACTGGACTAAGGTCAGCCCAGGGCTTTTTGAGATGTGTTTCTCGCTGGACACCATTGTAGCCAACATCTCTCCCTTCCAACTTCTTGGGCATAGACTTTGCTTCAGAGTGATCCCAGAAGGGGTTAATCCCCAATTTTGACTTTGAGAATTCCAACAAGGATTAAGCAACCCTCTACTTTCCTGTGGTTTGGGGAAAGCCTGTAAGTGGGGCTTTGATGGAAATAATACAATGAAAAATTAATAATTCAGGAGATACCTTCACTTTGAGTGTCTCACATCTGTTTTACAAAGGAATTCTCAGAGTGAACCTATAGGGAAAATCCAGAAGATAACAACAATAACATATGATCTCCTAAAAATTTCTAAATTAATCAAACAAATTTAAAGGCAACAGGGGAATTTGCTCTCTGAAAGAGCTTAGTAGTGAGCTTTTAAAAGAGAATCTGTAATGAAAAAAAAATCATCCTTTATCTCTCTTTTTTAAGGTCCAGTTTAAAAATATATACATTGGGGTGGGCGCGGTGGCTCACGCCTGTAATCCCAGCACTTTGGGAGGCTGAGGTGGGCAGATCACCTGAGGTCGGGAGTTTGAGACCAGCCTGGCCAACATGGTGAAACCCCACCCCATCTCTAGTAAAAATACAAAAACTAGCCAGGCATGGTGGTGGGTGCCTGTAATCCCAGCTACTCGGGAGGCTGAGGCAGGAGAATTGCTTGAACCCCAGAGGTGGAGGTTGCAGTGAGCCGAGATTGTACCACTGCACTCCAGCCTGGGAGACTGAGCTAGATTCTGTCTCAAAAAAAAAAAAAAAAAAAAAATATATATATATATATATATGTACACACACACACATAAATTTTAAGGTGGAGTTCACCATCAGAGGCTTTAACTTTTCAAAGCCTGTTCTGTTAAGTATCCTCATTTTTTTTCTTCTTTGAGATGGAGTCCTGCTCTGTCTCCCAGGCTGGAGTGCAGTGGCGCCATCTCTGCTCACTGCAACCTCTGCCTACCAGGTTCAAGTGATCCTTGTGCCTCAGCCTCCCAAGTAGCTGGGATTACAGGTGCGCACCACCACGCCTGGCTGATTTTTGTATTTTTAGCAGAAACGGGGTTTCACCATGTTGGCCAGGCTGGTCTCGAACTCCTGACCTCAGGCAATCTGCCCGCCTCGGCTGCCCAAAGTGCTGGAATTACAGGTGTGAGCCACTGCACCCGGCCAACTATCCTCATTCTTATGTTACAAAGTTGAGAAAGAGAATAGGTAGGTGGATTGATGCAAAGAAGAAGAAGAGTAGGCCCTCATAGTTATAGTGATCTTGTTTGGGAAACTTGTATGAACTTGCCAAATTTTAGTCCTAAGCTATTGAAGTTTCTTGGTAGAAAAATGTCAGTAGTAGAATGCCTTGCTATACCTGGCTGGGCCTTTGGTTTACAGGGACTGACACCAGTGCACCTTTAGCTTCTGATAGAGGTGAATAGTGCGGTGGCTGAAAGGTTGGGATTTGGCTTCAAACTGCCTGAGTGTGAATCATGGCTCTGCCACTTAAGAACCATGTGACTTTGGGCAAGTTATTGAACCTCTCTAAGCCTCCAATCCCCTCATCTTTAAAATGAGGATAATAACAGTACCCACCTTATGGGATTGCTTTGAAATAAATGAAACATATAAAGTGTTTAGGCTTATAGTAGGAAAACTAGCTAACATTTTTATTGAGTATGTACTTTGTCCCTGGTACCATTCATGAATGAGTGAACTGGTAGTCACATTAATCTTACTGAGTGGATACAATTATCGTTTAATTAGTGGGTGGAATTGCTGGGCTCAATCCATAGTGCTTCCGTGTTAGCTGAGATCATTCCTGCTGCTTTTGATGAGTACCTGTACTGTGGCTAATAGGAGCCTTTACATATTCCCGGCTAAGTGTGAGGCTGGCCTCCCCTTTGGTGCTGTGTTCTTATCTTGGAGCCACAGTTCAGGGAAGGATCACAGAATGTTAGAACTAGAAGGACCTTAGGGAAATTGGACTTCAACCTTTCACTTCACAGATGAGGAAGCAGGGTGTGGAGAGTTTGACGACTTCCCCAAGTCACCCCAGCTCATAGCAGAGACAAGGCTGGAATCCTGGGCTCCTACATCACATTTCTGGCCCTTTCCATGATCACACATTGCCTCTAGACTCCAGACAGGGCTTGCTTCTCTAGTACACAGTCCACTGAATGGTTATATTTCTAACATTTAAGCAACTGCTTTAGAAAGCAGGACTGTGTCCCACTCTCCAGATCTGCAGAGGTAACAGCTTACGGGGATCTCTGTGAACAAAAACAATTTCTTCACTTTCTTTACTGTTTCTCTTATTCCAATGGGAATTTAAAAAATGAGTTTTTGTTTGTTTGTTTGTTTTGTTTTTTGAGATGAAGTCTCACTCTGTAGCCCAGGCTGGAGTGCAGTGTCGTGGTATTGACTCACCACAAACTGCCTCCCAGGCTCAAGCGATTCTCCTGCCTCAGCCTACAGAGTAGCTGGGATTACAGGCGCGCGCCACTGCACCCGGCTAATTTTTTTTGTATTTTTAGTACAGACGGGGTTTTGCCATGTTGGCCAGGCTGGTCTTGAACTCCCAACCTCAGGTAATCCGCTGGCCTCGGCCTCCCAAAGTGCTAGGATTATAGGCGTGAGCCACCGTGCCTGGCAAACAAATGAGTTCTAAGGAACACACTCTGTCTTCTACTGTAAAGTATGGTAAAAACACAATCCTCTTAAAATGCTCATCAATGTGCTTTGTAGTGGTCAATTTTATTTAATAGGATCAAACATGATGTATTAAAAATGTTGTAACAATATGTCAGAAAGACAATTAGCTTTTTAAAGTTTGGTGTAAATAGATGAATAGCCATCTTGACATCCCTTGAAAAGAAATCCCCTTTGATGAGATGTTTCTTTGTAATTCCAATAAGAAAGATCTCAGTTTTTCATTACCATTTGCCCAGTGCAAATGCACTATTTCCAGTCATTCAACAAATTCAACAGCACTGATGGCTTTCCTAAGTGCTGGGACACATCAGATTTCAACTTGTGTCAAATTGCCAATTTATGTTATATGCCCGTTTTTTGGGGGTTTCGTTTTAATCTAAAGGCAGCAAGTGAGGGCCAAGTACAGAGGTTTGCTGTCTTTGCAAAGCTACCTTGAGAGCATTGTAACTTAGCAGGTGATTGAGTTGTCTACTAAGTGGTGCTCTTTATGTCTCAGATAATGCTGCCAGATTTATCTTTCTGAATCATAGATGTGATCACATCGGAGTCTGCTCAAAGCCTTGGCCGCATACAGGGTATGGTCTAAACACTGCTGACATTCAGAGCTTGCTGTTCCGGTGCCAATACTCCTTTCTAGACATTTCTGCCCTTCTCTTCACCCCTTCATGGCCTCACCTCCCCCATCAGCTCTTCACTGTCTCCCGGCATACCCATCAACATTTAATGTACATCTGTAGTGAGGTGAGAAGCACTTACACCCTGTGATCAGGCAGATCTGGTTTGAGTTCTGCCTCTCCCTTTTCCTAGCTAGGTGACCTTGGGCAAGGAACTTCATCTCTTTAATGTTCAGTCCCGTCATCTATATAATGGAGATAATAGGACCAACATCACTGTGTTGTGCGGATCACATGGGTGGTTAGAATAGCACAGAGGACCCACTCAACAAATGGTGCCTGTTATCATTATCATCACCTCTTGGTCATTCTCAGAGGGTTTTCAGACATTTTTTTACATACTCTACAGAACTAGCCTCTGAGGGAGGTGAGGCAGATATTATTACTACCCCATTTCACAGATGAGAATCTTGCTCCTCAAAGAGGTTGACTCTCATAAGGTCTTTGGCTCATAGCAACAGCGTCAGGGTCTGTGAGTCCAAATTTAGCACGTCAGCCTCCAGCGTTGCCCCACGAGCACGTCCTCCATCTTCAGTTTCCCACGAGTCTCCCGTGAGGTGTTTCTGTCTGAAATGCCTTCTCCTGTGGTTGCCTGTTGAAGTCTGTCTCCTCTCCAGAGTCCTGCCCAAATTACCTACCTCTCAACAAGACTTTCCTGAGATGTCTCATCACAGGAGACTCTTTTCCTCCCTGAGGAGATTATCGATGTATTTATCTCAGAATCTTCCATTTTGAGAGGCTGAGGCAAGAGGATTACTTGAGGCCAGGAGTTTGAGACCAGCCCGGGTAACATAGCAAACCCCTGTCTCTGCAAAAAAAAAAAAAAAAAAAAAAAAAAAAAAAAAAAAAAAAAAAAAAAAAAAAAAACACACACACACACACACAAACAAGAAGGTAAAAAAATTCTTTTAAAAAGTAAAAAAATTAACCAGTGCAGTGGCACACATCTGTAGTCCTAGATACTTGGGAGGCTGAGATGGAAGGATCATTTGAGCCCAAGAGTTCGAAGTTGGAGTGAGCTATGATTGTGCCACTGTACTCCAGCCTGGGTGACAGAGGGAGACCCCATTTTTTCTCTCTCTCTGTCTCTCTCTCTCGGTCTCTCTCTCTCTCTCTCTCTCTGTCTCTCTCTCTCTTTCACACACACACACACACACACACACACACACACTCAGAGACACCCCACAGAATTTTGCCAGTGCACTGTAGTTAATGGTCATGACCAGGCCTTCTTCATCTTTGCATGGGCAGCCAGAAGATACATTGCATTATTAAATGTCAGGAATTGAGTGGGATACTGCTTTAAACAGTTTTTCAAACTGAAGGCTGCGACAATTTGGGCCCTAGAATTAGTTTAGTAGAAAATTAATTATAATTGAATGAAATAGAATAGATAATATTAAGAAGTCATATATAAGGATGAGTTTTGCTTTCCCATGAATTATTTGTTGCAATTTGTATCTCTGTGCTAGGATGCAAAACATAATTCTTACTGTGGATTATGGGAAAAACAAGTTCAAAAGTTACTATTTTATGTAATTCTTAGGGGGTAATAGTGGGATTTCTCAGAAGGAAAAGCTGAAATTGAATTTTAGAACTTACATGAGGCAGGATGCACAGTAGATCTCTGGTCAGACCACCCAGATTGATATCCCCAGTTAACACTTTTTAGTTGTGTGATTTTGGACAAGTTACTTATGTATTCTGTGCCTCAGTTTCCTCATTTGTAAAATGAAGAGAGTACCAGCCATAAATAATCAAAAGGGTCAGATTCCAGTTTTCCAGAGTTTATTCAAGTGAAAAGTTGGCAATGGCCATTCCGGGACTCATCACTCCAGAGAAATGGGGATAGGGTTCCAAAGTTAAAAGCTAAATTCTTGCTTATATATAAGACAAAGAAATTTAGCAGGGTTACAACATTTTGTATACAAGCCTGGTTTAGTAGTTAAAAAAATTAGTTACAATTTGTTTTCTTTTCCACGCGGCTTGTTTTCTTTATAGCTGGTTTTCATTTCCTTTCCAACTTAAAAGAGTGTATTTAACATTCCATATTAAGGGACTGTGATAGCCATGATGTCTTGTATGAAAAAGGTAAGAGGGAGAATGAAAATCAACAGGAAGAGAGAAGGGGGTCTTCCCTGGGGCCCTTTGCCATTTACAACATTTTACAGAGCAATGCAGGTAAGGAAAAAGACTGAATTCAGACATACAACAGCTTACAGCTGCCTGTCACGTAGCTCAGGCCCTGTAATTCACATTCCTTGAAGGCTCAAAATACTTTTGAGTTCCAACAGCTTAGATTTTGCATTACTTATTTTTACAAGGGTAACCACCTTACAGTCCTTAAAAGGACTTAATGGGTAAGTATAATACGCTTAAATCAATACCTGGAGCATATGTGTTAGTTAGCATAATAATAATAATAGTTATTATTATTAAAGACAAGAGTTACTGTATGTCATAGGAGTTATGACAATCAACCAGAAGCTACTGTTTTATTGAATGCCTACATTGCTATTATATAAACAAAGGCAATTTGGAGTATGGCCCTGATCCTCATGTTACTTACGGAGGAAATGGACCTAACATGTATGAGACAATCAGAGAATAACAGACTGTCTCACGCAGTAAACATGACATCACATGTGTATAGGAGATATTAGGCTTTCATATTTTTATGGTAGCATTTTGTACTGTCCTGAAGCAAGTTAAAGCTTCGATTCTTAGCTCCTTGTAGAGGAACAAAGTATTTTTGAGTTTCCCTTCAGTGGTTCAGGACAGGGACTGGGGAGTTAAAAGCTCCTTTGGGGGTGGGGTGTTGGGAGAAAGGAGCACAGCATTAGAAAATGAGAATGTTAATGTATATATTGAATCAAGATCTTATTATCATAAGTAAACACTCATCCAAAAGGAAATATGGGAATTCTTTTTATTCCTGTATTTTTTTGGGGAAAATTTGAGGCAACTGCCTCAAATTACATTTAGTGTTCACATGCCATTTTACCTATGATGTTATTTAGAATTGTGGAGTTGTTGCCAAGAGGAGGAATTAGCTCAATTAAAGCACCTTCCAAATGAGACTGTTTAGTCTTAGCCATGAGTAAGTTGTTAGTAATTTGGATTATTATTAATTCTACTGCATAAGTCTGTGGAATACATGGAGAGACAAAGCAGACCTTTCTTAATATATATGCTTTCTTCTAGAGCAGTGCTTTGGAAACTTGTATGTGCATTCCAATCATCTGGGCATTTTTTTTTTTTTTTTTTGAGACAGAGTTTCACTCTTGTTGCCCAGGCTGGAGTACAATGGCACTATCTCGGCTCACTGCAACCTCTGCCTCCTGGGTTCAAGCGATTCTCCTGCCTCAGCCTTCTGAGTAGCTGGGATTACAGATGCCCCCACAATGTCCAGCTAATTTTTTGTATTTTTAGTAGAGATAGGGTTTCACCATATTGGCCAGGCTGGTCTTGAACTCCTGACTTCAGATGATCTACCTGCCTTGGCCTCCCAAAGTGCTGGGATTACAGGAGTGAGCCACCACGCCCAGACTCACCTGGGCATCTTTTTAAAACGCAGGTTCAGATTCTACAGATCTGAGGTGGGTCCTGAGATGCATCATTTCTAACAACCTCCTAGGTGATGCTGATGCTGCTGGTTTGCAAACTATACTTTGAATTGCAAGATTCAGATGTTGCTTTTTGTAAAAAACAAACAAAATCCCCCAAAACCAAAACCCAAAACTTTGTGTTTATATTTTATAATTTTTCTGACCAAATTTTTACCTAATTTACTTACTGAATCCCAATTTAGTCTTTGGCTAACAATTGGGCACTCAAATCTTTGCTGAGGAATGCATGTGTTCTATATCATAATCAATATCTTTAGAAACAATTCCCTTAATTAAAGGCACCCACAATTTTTAGTATTATCTGTAGAATTTTAATTTTATTTTATTGTGATAAATGGCTCTTTATGCAATGGAAATGTTGCCAGAGTCCCTGTTCTTGGACACCTCTTAAACCAAATGCCATTTAAATGACCACAGACTAAATACAAAGTAGGTAAATGCTTACAGGGAAAGGGGAAAGTGGATCAAGGTAGAAAAAAGACAATTTGTTTTAAACACTCTTAATACAACTTGTTCTCTCTCCCCTTAAACATGTTTAAAACAACGTAAAGCACAGATGATTGTCTGAAAGAAAAAGAAATCATTTGCACAGCCCCTGTTTTCCAGCTTGGTGCCCTTTGATGGGTGGTGAGTGGTAGCGATGTGGCCCAGTGAGACGGCACAGTCGCTCTTCCTGCAGGTCAGAATCTTCCTAGGCTGTTGCTCTTCCAAGGTACTCTGAGTCCTGCGATGGTGGCCTGGGGTTTTGTTTCCTAAGAAGTAGTTGCCATTATTTTGATTCATCCTACTGTTCTAACCAAAACAAAAACCAAAAAACTCCAAATGGTAACAGATATTCATATACCCGGACACCCAAGTCAGTGAGTGTCACGTGGCTTCCAGATTTGCATCTGTGCTGCAGTAGTCTTTCTTCCTGGCAGGTGTACTTTTGCATGTGATGGGAGATGCCCTGGGGTCCGTGGTTGTGGTCATCACGGCCATCATATTCTATGTGCTTCCCCTGAAGAGTGAGGACCCGTGTAACTGGCAGTGTTACATTGACCCCAGCCTGACTGTCCTCATGGTCATCATCATTTTGTCATCTGCCTTCCCGCTTATCAAGGAGACCGCTGCCATTCTGCTACAGATGGTCCCAAAAGGAGTCAACATGGAAGAGCTGAGTAAGTAGACTGAATTTTGATCCAGAACCACTCTCAATTTAATGTTATTCAGGCCAAAGGACAAGCATTATTTAAGAGCAGTGTTTGAGTTATGTATTCTGAAACACCTTAAATCACCAGGTGGTAGAGATGTCATCATATGTTTTATAGCCTATTAAGATGACTCAGCTCCAAGTACCAAAGGTCCTTTGCAATCCGTGATTCTCTGACTCAACTGCAAATTTTTAAGAATGCAATACTTGGTCTGGGCATGGTGGCTCACGCCTGTAATCCTGGCACTCTGGGAGGCAGAGGTGGGTGAGTCACCTGAGGTCAGAAGTTCAAGACCAGACTGACCAACATGGTGAAACCCTGTCTCTACTAAAAATACAAAAAAATTAGCCAGGCGTGGTAGCACGCGCCTGTAATCCCAACTACTCGGGAGGCTGAGGCAGGAGAATCGCTTGAACCCGGGAGGCGGAGGTTGCAGGGAGCTGAGATTGCACCACTGCACTCCAGGCTGGGTGACAGAGTGAGACTCTGACTCAAAAAAAAAAAAAAAAAAAAGGAAAGAAAAAAAAGAAAAGAATGCAATGCTTGGATAATACCTATTCCTGGGCTACTTACTTTCATGTCAAAGATTTATTTTAATTCAAATAAGGCCATTTCTGCCAAGAACTTTATTTTATTCTCCTTATTCTAAAAACACAAATCATTCATATTCTAGACCCTGCTTTCTAGTTAATGCGGGCATGCAAGTCACTGTGTCTCTCACAACACTGCCCAGAGCTGCAGGCAGAGCAGGTGGTGGGAGAGGGAAGGAGACAGAAGAGCAGACATACAGCATTGCCTTTGCCTTCCCAGGAGCTAGATCATTTCCCAATTGAGGAAATAAGATAAACATATACAAAGAAATTTGTGATATATACTGGATATGTTTTTAGTAAAGTAATATATTTAAAAACAGATATTTTTAAAAATAGAGGGCTACTTTTTGTGACTCATTCCTGTAATCTCACCACTTTGGGAGGCTGAAGTGGAAGGATTGCATAAGGCCAGGAGTTCAAGACCAGCCTGGGCAACATAGTGAGGCCTCATTTTTAGAAAAATAAAAAAATTATTTTTTATAAATAAATAAAAAAGTAAAGGTTGTAGTGTGTGCCTGTGGTCCCAGCTACTCAGTAGGCTGAGGTGGGAGGATCACTGGAGCCCTGGAGTTTGAGGCTGTAGAGAGCCATAAATATGCCACTGCACTCCAGCCTGGGAGACAGGGCAAGACTCTGTCTCTAAAAAAAAAAAAAAAAAAACCCCACAAGATAGTAATAACAATAGCAATATTTTCATAGCGTTTACTACATGCTAGAAATGTAAGTGTTCCAAGTGCTTTACTTATAATAATTCATTTTAATCCTTAAAATAATACAAAAAGGTACTATTATCATTTCTATTATACAGATAAGGAAACTGAGGCACAGAGAGGTTAGGTAATTGCCTAACGTCATGCAGTTAGTAAATGTCTAAACTAGGATTCAAACTAGCTGACTGCAAAGCCTTTGCTCAAATCAGCACTGAATACCATCTCTCTAAATACATACTCATTTTGGAAAGTATAGAAAATACAGAGGAGCCTAAATGAGATAATAGAAATCTTTCATAATTTGACCATGGAAACTACCACTGTTAATATTTTCTTCTATATGCGGTGTAAAAAGAAAGATCATACCATACACACAGTTTAGCAATTTGCTTTTTCACTTAAAAATACCTTATGTACATTTTCTCATATCCTTAAATATGCAACTTACTTTTAAACAACTATATCCTATTCCATTACATCATTGATTTAACTATTTCCTTGTTGGTTCCATCTTTTTAATGAACACAAGGAGCATTGTCCAAACCATTCTTGTACATACATATTTGGTTATTTCTTTTAGGTTAAACTTTTAGTACTAGAATTGCTAGGAAAGGTTTTTTTTGATCCATGTTGCCAAATCATCCCTTTTAAGAAAAGGCATTGCACTTTATCCTACTATGGGAAGTTCATTCAAGTGTCCATTCCCTTGTATACTCAGCAACCCTGGGGACTTTTTTCTTGTCGTTGTTAGACTTACTTTCTTAAATGACTTTGTGTGGACTAACAATGTGTGGAGAAAGAAGGTTAAGGGCAAATGTACCCACAGAGGTAGAACTAATTTCTTCCAGCTGTTCGTAGTAAGTAGGCAGCCATTTTGGTGAGAATGCTTAACGGAACCATATCCCTCCTGTAGTTCCATGTTTCAAATGCAGCGCTCACCTTGGCTTTTGTTTGCTCTTCTCTGTTATAGTGAGTAAACTCTCTGCTGTGCCTGGAATTAGCAGTGTACATGAAGTGCACATCTGGGAACTTGTAAGTGGAAAGATTATTGCCACCCTGCACATCAAGTATCCTAAGGACAGGGGATATCAAGATGCCAGCACAAAAATTCGAGAAATCTTCCACCATGCGGGAATCCACAATGTGACCATCCAGTTTGAAAATGTGGACTTGAAGGAACCCCTGGAGCAGAAGGACTTACTGTTGCTCTGCAACTCACCCTGCATCTCCAAGGGCTGTGCTAAGCAGCTGTGTTGTCCCCCCGGGGCACTGCCTCTGGCTCACGTCAATGGCTGTGCTGAGCACAATGGTGGGCCCTCTCTAGACACATACGGAAGTGATGGCCTCAGTAGAAGAGACGCAAGAGAAGTGGCTATTGAAGTGTCTTTGGATAGCTGTCTGAGTGACCACGGACAAAGTCTTAACAAAACTCAGGAGGACCAATGTTATGTCAACAGAACGCATTTTTAATCTGGTACTCACATAATCAGACCATATAGACGAGGCACTTTGGAACCACAAGCTTGGCTCACAAAAAGAGCTTTCTGGGTTGTAGGCCCAGACTAGACTTGCAGCATGCATGCTCTGTGTTCACTAGGGGTTGGCTGTTTGGGATTTTAGTTAAACGTGTCTGTGAATTTTTATGTAACTAACTCCTTTCCATTCCCCTGGGTGTCTCATGCTGCTCTTTGACTGTTTCAGCTTGAACATGCATTTTCTAAAGCAAACTGCACTAGTGTATATATCAGGGACATTAAAGTCTGGGACTGGGGCTCAATAGCTGCGGATACAGTGTTCAAAGAAGTTCTTGTTTCTAAACTGATTAGAACTTCTAGCTAATGCTCAGGTGAGATCATAGCTTAAATACATTGAAAAAACTAAAGTACCACAATAGCTGTATTTTTCCCAATCCCCTTAACGATCATAAAAGAGGCAAGTTAAGTATTTCTGGCACTGAAGAAATATCTTTTTTCTTTGATTCATTTTTGAATAAATATAAAATGAATAACTATTAAGGTAGAAAATATTCTCAGAACATTCTAGAGGAGGTAAAGGTTAGTAGGAGGGCGTTGGCCATCTCTACATTTTGTGAGGTGAGAGAAAACTAATGTTTACTTTCTGCTGTGAACTGAACTGCAGCTATAGAATGTTTCAAATGCTTAAATATATAATACATTTTTTTCCATGGAAGTGAGGGAATATTTCAGTTTCCTGAAGTATGACACAAATACTCATATACTGTCTTTTAGAGTCAGTATAGTTGGAGCTGTTTTCATTTAGTGCTTTGATAATGATTTACTTATTTTTCCAAATTTCGTTTGAATTTTCTTTCATATGATTGCATTGATCTATGCAGCATTTACCAGAAAAGAGTATTCCTGGGATAGCAGAATGCATAACACTGAGTGTTAATTCTTGTGAAATAAATAAGCTAGACTGCCTTCTCTTTAATTAGACATATTTTAAAGTATTTATTATAGTTGTCAACTAGTAACTCAATGAAAAAGTTGATGCCCAAGGGAGAAATGAGAATTAGCTTAATTGCTGCCTTTAATGTGTTTTTGAGGAACTTAAAATTTTCTTTCATGTCGCTGATCCATATTACCAAGTTCAAATAAAATTTTTATAATCGGATTCAGACCCATAACCAAACTATGTTGGTAGTAGAGAAGCATCTGTCATGTTTTTAACACATTGCTCAGACATCAGTATTTAAATCAGAACAGTCTCACAGGTATGAGAAAATGGGAAGTGCCTCACTAGACAACTAGTATCATCTCTGGTAGACTGCAAGATTGTCTGAAAATAACCATCTCTTAGTGTGTAAAGTCCTGTTCAGAATCTGCACAGGGTTTTTCAGAGGTGCTGGGTTGATAATGAAGGCAGCATCCACAGAACAAACATCATATTTAAACAATGTATCTTAGTCCTAAATTTGAAGGCTAAAATAAATAAGCAGCTATGATCCGTAGGATAGGAAATTATTATTTTTTTCTTTTTTTGTAGAGACAGGGTCTCGCTATGTTGCCCAGCTGGCCTTGAACTCCTAGCCTCAAGTGATTCTCTCGCCTTGGCCTCCCAAAGCACTGGGAGAACAGTCATGAGCCACTGCACCTGGCCAGGAAATTCTTTATTCCTTGAAAATGTATTATCTGAGTTTAAATTGGCTGTGAAGTAGGTAAATAGAAAAATGCCTAAAAATGTTTTTATTTCTAGGAGCTTATTGGGCTAGGTTATATGCCCTTTATAAGCTCAAAGGGGTTAATAAGTAAGAATTTCTATTTTTAGTATTAAAAGTGTGGCATGTACTCACACAAAACAGTGCATCCTCTTAAGAAACTTGGCATGGAGATCAGTGGGCCAGATTCTCCTACATAAACATTGGTTGAAATTCCTTAGAGCCAAAAAAGAAATTTTTCTCTGACTTCCAAATTTGAAGGTCTAATTTGATTTCACATCATTCTGCCTTTATTAAAAGGGAAAATTATAATTTCACAGTTTTTGTGCAACTGGCTGAAGGAATGGATATTAGTTTGCACTTAAACACTGTTCTTTAATCTCTAAAATATTTTTCTGGGTAAGAAAAGGCACTTAATTCCACTGTAATTAAACCTAACTTCAGAAAAGTATCTTGATAGACAGTTATACCAGATTATGGCCTGGAGTCAATATGAAGTAATACCTTTTTAAGACAGTTTGGCTGACTGCATTTAATAATGTCCAATCATGCTAAGTGCAATAATTTTGTATTGGGTTGAGTGGCTTGCATTTGCCACCTGTGGCACTGTGATGCCTGCTGTATGCTATTTTCACTTGGGTTTCACTCTCTCTTTAATTGTCCTGCCTTTTAATTCTCCCAAGGAAATACAAGAGTTTTCTTTTTCCCTTTAAATCAGCCCTGCTTGGTGGCAGTAGCAGCTGATAAATAGATTTAAAACAGCACTGTTTTCCTTTAAGATTAGAAAAACACTGGCACTCAGTTTGGTGCTCCTGTATACTTAGGTTATTTACAGAAAATCCCCTCCTCCCCGCCTTTTTTTAAAGAACTGACATAATTTTTTTTTGGTTTGTTTGTTTGTTTCTTTGAGACGGAGTCTTGCTCTGTCGCCCAGGCTGGAGTGCAGTGGTGCTATCTCGGCTCACTGCAAGCTCTGCCTCCTGGGTTCACGCCATTCTCCTGCCTCAGCCTCCCGAGTAGCTGGGATTACAGGTGCTCGCCACCATGCCCGGCTAATTTTTTGTATTTTTAGTAGAGACCGGGTTTCACCATGTTAGCCAGGATGGTCTCGATCTCCTGACCTTGTGATCCACCCACCTCGGCCTCCCAAAGTGCTGGGATTACAGGCGTAAGCCACTGCGCCCGGCCAGAACTGACATAATTTTTAAAGTCTACGGCATATTTTGTGTGTCAGCTCAGGGACCAGTTGTCCTGTGTGCTCACCTGGCCTTCTACACGGCCCTACTGCACTTCTGTTTCTACAGAAACAGTCCTTTCCACATTATTTTAGCATTGGCCATAGGAAATACTGTCTGTTTCATTTTCTGACTCTCAACATTGTTTTTGAAAATATAATTAATTTTTTTCATGATATTGGGCCATTATGAATACCCACAGGCTCCATTGTTGACAGAAAATAAAATTACTCTCTTCTTGATAAAATGTCAATAAAGTAGGGAGACATTATTTGAGGAAGAATTAAGAATATTCTCCATATTTAGTTCTTTTTTTTTTTTTTTTTTTTTTTTTTGCCATTGGTAGAGCAAATTCCAGTGGTGGTAAATCAAGAACTCTAAAGTTCAGTAGAGACAGGTGTTTTGAATGTCAAGGAAATCACTGAGGTAGATTTGGGATTACAATAAGACAGCTGCCCTGTGAGGTCATAAGAGCTTTTGTGAGGCTTACTCCAGGGGTTCTCAGTCTTGGCATTACTGACATTTTGAATTGGATGTGTTCTTGCTCCTGATGTGTGGGTTGTGTACTGTAGGATGTTTAGCTGCACCCCTGACCGCTATGCATAAATGCCGGTACTGTCCCCCGAAGTTGTGACAACCAATGTCTCCAGACATTGCCACATATAACCTGGGAAAAAAAATTGCCCCAAGTTCTGAGCCACTGGGTAGAACTAAGGGTAGTTTAGGGACAATGTTAATGAAAGCCTCTCCAAAGTCCCATAGTCTTTTTAATAATTAATTCTGCAGAATTTGCTCTTTAAAAACATATTTTTAAAGGCAAGACCAGCCTATTCATAAAAATTGCAGTTGTTTCCACATAAGAACTTTGGATATTTAAAGAAAAATGTAATTTGAAATGAAAAGCCCTTATAAATCCCTTTATACTCATCAGTCATTATAACAGTAAATGAAATGAAGAAAAAGCATTTGGTCTCACTCTTCTGTGCTGATCTCTTTAACTCCTGAATATCCTCAATTTGATGAGCCCACTATCCAATGAGACTGGATAGTTATCAGCACAATTGATTCATGGGGTTGAGATGTTTAAATCTCCTTCATATTTAAAATGATCGATTTTAAACTTGATGATGTTAATTCTTCTTAGTTCCTGGTAAGCAGCTCATCTTAGTGCTAATGACAAGTTCAGATGTTAAAAAAATCTTTATCATTTATGGCTAATTTTATCCTTTGCCAAATCATATCTATTTTCTTCAAGAGAGCAAAATACATTTCCTGATTTTAAAGTATTCTATTTTTAAATATATCTTCACATTCCTGTAGTAAAAGACTGCAAAAAAAAAAAAAAAAAAAAAAAAACTGATGTAGAAAAAATGAAGAAACATGACCTGATTTGAATTTTGAGTTTGGATGAATGATCGCGGACTGCATGCCTGCTCTATAGAAGTCATGCACCTGATAAAGTGTCACGTATTTGTGCTTCTTAGTTTATTTACCCTTGAGTAGCCACAGGTAGAAATGAGGTTGTCAAACCAGGAATTTAGTTTCTCAAGTGGAAATTGCATTGAAAGATAATCCTCAATGTAATCTGCATGTTCTTACCCATCTGGAGTTTAGATAATGCAGACGAGTCATTTTCTGGTGCTTCTCTTTTCATGTGTTTTATTTCGTACCTTTTTGTTTACATGGAACTTTCTTGAATGTTTGCTAGATGATCAACTGTCACCTCTTAGTACAAAGCCATGCCAGACACTGCACCTACTCTGCACTCTAATGAGAACAATCCGGAAAGGATGATTTTCAAGGGAGAGTGACCTCTTCCTGGAGATCTGAGGTTATGTTACAGTATTGTGGAGTTTTGTTGCTTAAAATTCTCCTCCTGTCCTCACAGGCAATTTTGCTAGAGTTGCAATCCTCACATTTGAGAGAACTGTCAAAACTCTAAGACATAAAGTTTAAATAACTCATTAATAATTGCATGTGAATCCCCCAGTAATGTATGTACATGAGCATACCTTTCAAAGATGTTCAATGGTGCTGTAAATAAAATTTTTTTAAAAAATAGAAACATGACTGAGATATGTCTGTGGCAATTAAACAGATAACTGAAAGTAGCAGAACTCATTTTGTCTTTGTCACTTACCCTGGTAAGTTTATTATTCAGTAACTCCTTGGATTGGTTTTAATAATTTGGGCCTATTTCTGTTTTTCTGTTTTGCTAGTCTCCTTCACACCCCTTCTTCTGTCACCCAGGCTGGAGTGCAGTGGCACCATCTGGGCTCACTGCCACCTCCGCCTCCCAGATTCAAGCGATTCTCCTGCCTAAGCCTCCTGAGTAGCTGAGATTAACGGCGCCCGCCACCATGCCCGGCTAATTTTTTATTTTTAGTAGAGACGGGGTTTCACCATGTTGGCTAGGCTGGTCTTGAACTCCTGACCTCAAGTGATCCACCCTCCTCAGACTCCCAAAGTGCTGGCATTACAGGCATGAGCCACCATGCCCCGCCCTGATTTGGTTTTCTAGAAAGACTGTTTTGGCCCTGGGCTCTGACCGATTTGGCTCAGTAGGCTTCGTGTAGAAGGGAAAGCTGTTTGGATTCAGGGAAGATAGAGAGGCCTGGCTTATTTTGGAGAGGGTCTCTGGATTTGAAATATCTCCAATGGGTTGACTGTAATCTTTATAAATGTTGGATTAGAGGAACAATCTTCCAGTTTTTTCAATTGCTTTTATCAATTAATTGATTTATCAGCATACACTTATTGCAAAGTGTGTGCAAGTGATTCTTGTCTTCAAGGAGTTTATAGTCCACATGTGAACTTAAGTAAGGCCGTGCAACTTAGTGGGAGTTTAAGGGCAGCTGTGTATAGCCTGTGATTGCTGAGATAACCTTGTGCTGGATGCGTTCTGGTGCTCAAATGTGCACATTCCAACCCCTGGGTAGCGTCTGCAATAAAAGGGGGCTACACGACATTTCATGACTATCAGTTTCTTTCAACAATAAGAGTCTGTAGGATGAAGCAGAGGACTGAACCCAGGAGTTAGAGTACAGACTCTCTATTCCACAGAGAATCCCACCTACCCTCTGTCTCTTACCCTGCAGAATATTTTTTTCATACCACTATTATGTTGTAACATTAAGTTATGCATTCACTTATTTTCAGTCTCTCTCACTAGATAAGGCTTTACATAATCCACCACTGTGTTCTTCAGCCCCTATCACAGTATTTGGAACAGTACCTGGCACATAGTGGTAGCTCCATAAATATTTACTGAGTGAATGAATGAATGAATGAAACAAACACAAGAATGAAGGAAAATTTCAACTCTTGGTGTTAGTAGTTACAGGCTTTGAACAAATTCTATAACTTCATTGAGCTTCAGTTTTCTTATTTATAAATGAGGCTAATGATGAAAACCTGTGGTACCTACCACAGCGTTGTAGGAATTAAAGGAGATGATGCATATGAGAACAGATTTAAATGTCAATGGATCTTATTCTTTCACACTTTCAATCTGGCATTCATATTTTTCCTGTTCTTATCCTGCCTCCTGCCATCTAGGTAACTCCATTTTGTCAATTAATTAAACATCAATGCTAAACAGCACTAAATGGTAGTATAAGCAACAGGGTGAAAGTGAAGAAGAAAGAATGAAGAGTCAAAGACAGCTTCACAGGAGAGCTGGCATTTGAAATCAGCCCTGGAGTGGTTCAGCGAGTGGAGAAAGAGGGGAAAGGACCTTCTGAATTGAGAGCTTAGTTTTAATTCTTTAGGCAATTGCCCTTAAAGCTTTGGTGGGAGGAGTGTGAGAGGGCAAATTGGGGAAATGCCAAGAATAGAATATTTTCAGAAGACAATTTTCTCCAAAAATCTTCCTCAGCTGCTCTATGTTGCTCTGTACAGAGCGTTTCACCTGACACGCACTGAGCCACTAGCATCTCCAGTCCTGCCCAGGATGCTGAGCTCCATCAGAGAAGGACTCACTGTTGTTAAGTCAAGTTTAGCCTAAAGCTGCCTCCTTACATATTTAACTTCAGCCTAAAGGTTTCCCTGTACATCATGAACTATAGCTAGTGGAAGTGGAACCAGATTGTAGCCCACACTTGCGCCAGTCACCGAGTTTTGGCCAATCAAATATGGCTCTGTTCCCAGGCTGCAGTGCAGTGGCCCAATCTTGGCTCACTGCAACTTTCGCCTCCCAAGTTCAAGCCATTCTCTTGCCTCAGCCTCCCAAGTAGTTGGGACTACAGGGACAGGCCACCATGCCAGGCTAAGTTTTCTGTATTTTTAGTAGAGACAGGGTTTCACCATGTTGGCCCAATGGTCTTGAACTCCTGATCTCAGGTGATCCACCCACCTCAGCCTCCCAAAGTGTTGTGATCACAGGCGTGAGCCACCATGCCCAGCCTATCCTAATTTTGAAATCAGCTTTCCTTGACTCTTCTCTGTTCCTTTCAGTGGGAACAGCTGCCCCAGATTCCCCCTTACCCCCTGGCTTATCCCCACAAACCAGCTCAAACCTTGCAGCCATGTTTAATGCTGCCTTTACTCTTATCCTATGTCTAACTCATCATTATGCTCAACTAATGCTCCCTGCAAAGTACTACTCATGTCAGCGCCTCCTTTCCATTCCTGCCTGTTCCTCAGGTTCAGCTGTATCACCTCAGCCTGTACTGTTGCAGGAGCCTCTTGGCCAGCTCCCAGCCACCCCTAAACTTCCTCTTGTCAACCCTCTTGCTTCCCTCTGCTCCAGGAGGAGGGACAAACTCCCCCAGCCTGTCACTGTGGTTTCCTTCTCACCCCAGCACCCCCCAGGGTTTATCTTCTTCAGCAGACAAGCAGAGCACAAAGATACCTAAGGAAGTTAGAATGTGAGAGGGTGCAAGGATGCATTTTCTCTATAGGCTAGTGAATCGAGTTTTGTATGAGCTGGGGAGAGAGTATTATAGAGTAGTCTGTTTCTTCTATGCCAAAAGTCTTTCTTCTTCTTTTTTTTTTCTTTTTGATTTTTACATTACACTTACCAAGTTATTTCTTTTCTGGTTTCTCTTTCTGGCTGACTTCCTTTTCTATGTGAGTGTGTCATTTTGCCCCAAAGCTGACTTCCTGTGGATGACCAACTGCGACCTTCCTTGACTAGTGTCCTGATTCCAGAGCACACTCTGATATTGACATATCCCATGAGCGTAAGCAGAGCCATGGCCTCTCTCATCTTGTGTGAGGCAAAAAAGAGGGTGGACTTTCCTTTATCTCATATTTTCACCACATGGTCACATATGTGGCTGTGACATAATAATGAACTCCAATATAGAGCCAAAATATTTGGCACATTGCACAATTCTTTTAGGCTTGAAGATGCAAGAGTAGATTTGCATGGGATTTATAACCACAGGGCTGGGTGGGGACGAGGTGAAGGTGGGGGAGCAAATTGTCCCAGTGGCTAAGGTCGATAGAGGCTTGCAGTGGTGCTGATAACAACCAGGTCTCCTATCTGCCTCAGAAAACTGGGGCCAAAAGAAGACCATGAGTTTGTAGATGTCATCTGATGCCCAAAAGCATTCAGAAAAAAAAACTGTTGACTCTTGGAAGGCATGATGATTGAGAATGTTTTATAGCATTTACTTTCCATTGTTAAAAATTGCACTATTGGCTGGGCGCCGTGGCTCACGCCTGTAATCCTAGCGCTTTGAGAAGCCAAGGCGGGTGGATCACTTGAGGTCAGGAGTTCAAGACCAGCCTGGCCAACATGGTGAAACCTCATCTCTACTAAAAATTAAAAAATTAGCCAGGTGTGGTGGTGGGCACCTATAATCCCAGCTATTTGGGAGGCTGAGGCAGGAGAATCACTTGAGCCTCGGTTGCGGAGGTTGCAGTGAGCTGAGATGGCTCCACTGCACTCCAGCCTGGGTGTCAGAGAGAGACGCTGTCTCAAAAACAAAAACAAAAACAAAAACAAAAAAATTGCACTTTACAGCACTTCCTGAGTGGGGAGACATGACCCATGGTATGACTAATGTTAAGTTATAGGAAAGTGTTTACAGAGAGATTTTATTATAAAAATCAATACATACTATGAACTATAGTTTAAGGTTTAAACATTCTGGTCTTGAAATCTGCCTGCTTTCAAATCCTAGCTCTACTATTTGTTAGTTATTTGACCTGTGAAAGTAAATTGCCAGAGAATTTAAAAAGTTCTCTGGGCCTCATTTGTGCCATGCGTGGAATGGAGGCAATTAGATTTCCTGCCTCATGAGATTGTCGTGCAGACTAAAGGAAATGCGGAACGCTCAACACAGAGCCTGGGTCTCTGAATGTTCTATGAATGCTATTAACAAATCTTCTTTAAATGCCAACTTTAATTAATAAGTAAAATTTGAGCCAGAGTTATTCCAATTGTTAAC
Organism: Homo sapiens; assembly: GCF_000001405.40. Taxonomy (NCBI): domain Eukaryota; kingdom Metazoa; phylum Chordata; class Mammalia; order Primates; family Hominidae; genus Homo; species Homo sapiens. The sequence goes on along the minus strand of NC_000001.11, from coordinate 219,906,107 downwards.
TCACTACTCGTGAAATGTCAAAAATATATGGTGTAGATTAGCCTGAGTGTCAGCACCCAGTTAGATTTGAAATGGCAGAGGCTGTATTACATGACTTTACCAAAGAACTATACAGACCTGGACGCAGAACCCTGCTTCTCCACCCCCAAATTCCAAGGGCCCTTATTTCTAAGAAAACACAATTCAATGCTGAAGGGCTTCAACAAAATACCAGGGCTTGATACAACAGGACCTCACCTCCCAGCCATACACAGGTGGCATCTCGAACAGTAATGTCAATTGCTAGAGGGCTACTGAGTCCAGGGTTCCAGTCAGAGGCAACGAAGTCTTCAGCTGACTCTGGGTGAACCTCCATTCTGTCAATGCCTTCCAGCTAGAGACGAACACACCTGTGGTTGAATGAGTTGGGTTTAATAATTGATGCCAAGAGGAGAAGGTACACCATGGGGAACCACGGGGCATATCAGCAAGAGGGTGTTCACAAACTTGAGGATTTGGGTTCATGTTAGGTGATTTTGGGGGAGGATTAAAGGAAATGAGGCTTTGCTTTGGATTGGATGCTGTCAGCAAGTGGGGATAACTCTGACCAGGTATCTTAATAAATCCTATCTTTAAGGGAAGTGGGGAGGAATGAAGCAAGGCTCAAGTTTTAACTGGGAGCAGTTGTCACTTTTTTCTTTTTTTGAGACAGAGTCTAGCTCTGTTGCTTAGGCTAGAGTGCAGCGGCAGGCCCATAGCTCACTGCAGCCTCGACCTTCTGGGCTCAAGTGATCCTCCCACCTCAGCCTCCTGAGTAGCTGGGACTACAGGTTTGGACTACCACTCTTCGCTAGTTTTTCTGATTTTTTTTATCAGAGACAAGGTCTTGCTATGTTGCCAGGCTGGTCTTGAACTCCTGAGCTCAAGTGATCTTCCTGCCTCTGCCTCCCTCTGCAGTGGCTCACACCTGTAATCCCAGCACTTTGGTAGGCTGAGGCTGCTGTCACTCATTTTATCCAGGGTGGGGTCTGGGATTTTAGGGATTTGCACAGTGCTCTTGTTTTTGTCTGTGCTGAGATGGTATTACAGAGTGATCTTGTTTCTCACCTCACTTCATCACAGTCACGGTGGCCTCTTGTCTGGTGCTGGTGTTCTGAGAGATGGTTTGTGCTCCACAGGGGAATACAATGGCTTAGCTGTGAGAGCCAGGCCAGTCCCACCAACACCAAGGTCTTGTATAGTATCAGTTTCCAGATGCCAGGGGTGTACTTTTCTTTTTAGTATGTTCTCAGTACTTAATATATTTGTGGTACATTTTAATGAAGCAGGCTATGCGCATTGAAATCCTGGCTGAAAGGACACTTAGAAGCTATGTGACCCTGGAAAGTTACTCCACCTTTTGAGGCATCAGTATCTTCCACATTTTATATGTGAGGTCTATACCTGGCCTCCCAGGGGTGCTGTGAAGATTAAATGAGATAATGCATGTTCCTGACAAATAGTGATTTAAAAACTTAGCTATTTTTGTTGAGTCCTTCTGTATAGTTTGGCCTCCATGGCTTTCCGATTTTAAGACATGGATCAAATGCATTCTCTCTCTCTTTTTCTTTCTTTTTTTTTTTTTTTTGAGATGAAGGCTTGCTCTGTTGTCCAGGCTGGAATGCAGTGGCATGATCTCGGCTCACCGAAACCTCCGCCTCCCAGGTTCAAGTGATTCTCCTGCCTCAGCCTCCTCCGAGTAGCTCGGACTACAGGCACGAGCCACCATGCCCAGCTAATTTTGGCATTTTTAGTGGAGATGGGGTTTCACCATATTGGCCAGGCTGGTCTCAAACTCCTGACCTCAGGTGATCTGCCTGCCTCGGCCTCCCAAAGTGCTGGGATTATAGGTGTGAGCCACCGTGCCCGGCCAGCTCAGAAAATTGAAATGCGTTGTTCAACTCAGCTACAGTGGAGCCAGGATTAGAGCCAAGCTATTTTCGATTTCAGTGCCTCTGCCCTTTTCACTATTCTGTGATGCCCTCCACTTCAGAATCTACCGAAGTCCCCAACATAGGGATGGACACACGATTGATGTTTAATTAAAAAGTGTTGGTTTAACTACTATTGAGGACAATAACTTTCTCTAAAGTCATAACCTGGTCAGCATACCCAAGCCAGTCTCCTCAAAGACCAATGCTATATGATATGTCCTGACCAGCAATGCTTCTTTTTTTATATTATTAGCCACTGGATTCTCTTCAGCATTTGGCCTTGACACATCACAAGAAGAAGGAGAAAAGCAAACTGGGGAAAAGGTGAAGTGGTTTCTTGAAGCAGTAACGTATGGTGGAAGACAGAGGCTGAAGCTCAGTAGATCCAAGGGAATGACTCCTACAGAACTGAGGCTATTGATTGGTATTGAAATGTGGGGTGCCTATTCGTTGTCACCCTTATCTAAAAGTTGTTCATTAGAATTCATAATTGCCTTGTCATAAAAGAGGGCTTGCATTTTGAACTGCTGGGCAAGCGAAAACTCTGGACTTTTTAATGTTTTTGAACAGCCTACTCCTTATGAAAGCAACCACACCTCATGGCGATCTCATCAGTTCTCTGGAAAGCAAGTCATGCATTTAGAGGCAGGTCATGCAGCAGAGACGTGGTCTTCCCTCTTTCTCCACAGTGCTCTTCTCTATGAGAGCTCTAAGTACTTTAGATATACAGTAAATCTGTCCTTAACTACAAGTTCTTACTCCACTAAATTCTAACATAAGAAGATTTGCTTCTGTATATCTTTTCAATATCTGGGAGAATTTGGATTCTAGAACATGCAAATTGCGTGTCAACTCCCGCGAGGGTAATTTGGAAGAACAGGGAGCTAGGTATTTGGAATAGAGACAAGGATATAGTTGACAGAGCAGAATTAGAGCCCTTTGCATGGACTTCTTAGGAAAGATAAAAGCAAATGAGGGAAATGAAACCTTGGCCTTGGGACTGCATGTGCGTCAGAGGAGCCAGGAGTAGGCAAGGTCAGGGACTTTGAAATGCAGAGACCAGGAGAGGGGCTAAGGGGATAAAAGCCTAGATGTGTGGCCTGGGGTGAGACTGAATGGTGAGTCCTGGAAGTTAGGGGTTAACATAGCCATGTGTTAACCTTGGAAAAGCATTCAACACTTGGCTCAGAAAAAAAGCACATTGCAATAAGAGGACTATCTGTTAAAGAAAACAACTCAAAATGTACCAACAACTTATTTTCAAAATTAGGGAGATCATGGACCTTTTCTAGCAAGCAAGTGATGATAGCATGAAAAAACATGGCACCTTTATTACTTATTTACAATGTATAATTATTATTACTATCGCTTACACTTTGCACTTTCTTTGTAGGTTTATTTTAGTGGATGTATAATATTTACTAGGCCTTTCATTCTCACCTTTGCCTTCAATTGAAATTTCATAAATAAGGTTTTAAGTCCTCTTCTAGTCCCACACTGAAAAGTTCTCCTATCCGGGAACTTTTTAGATACCCAACACCATTGTTCAGGGAGAGTGTTCTGGTTTATGAATGACTAGTAATAACATCAAAAGGATGCAAAATACGACAACAAAAAATAGGCATGGGTACAAAAGAATAACCAAAAATGCATACTTGCCATATTAACTTCATTTAAAGACGTTTTGAGAATGCAGCCCTCACTTGAATGAAAAGGAAGTTTGCACTGAGCTGAAACATTGAACTATAACAAAATTTGTTGTTGGGCTACTTAGATCCCCATTCTCAATTCCCTTTTCTCCTGCCTGCCTCCACTGTAAAGGCTGGAAATGCCACCTGCTTACTGTCCCAGCTTCACGTGCAGTTCGGGATTCCCATATGGCAGTTTTGGCTGATGGCAAGAATGCAGGAGTTTTTAGGTTTGGGAAAGAGAGAGTGCTGGGAAGGCCTTCATTTTTTTTCTTCACAAAAAGAAGAGATATAACTCTTATTTCCCTTTCTCTCTTCTTTTTCACTTGAATGCAGATTACATGCACAGAGCTATGATAACCATCTTGTGACCAAAAGAAGGGAAAAGACAAAAAAAAAAAAAAGAAATTGATCACAGGGATGCAGTTTGTGATGTTGCTGGGCTGTGTAACCACAGTCAGCAGCTGCTGATCTCTAGGCTTCTTTTCATAGGAGAAGAGTAAACTTGTACTCTTTTAAATACATTGTTAGAAAGTCTTCTGTTACTTGAAGCTAGAAGCATTCCTAACTGATTCATAGTATTGTAATTTTCTTGTTTCCTCATTGGCAAACATGAGTCTGTTCATGGAATTGTATTACCAATTGATAGTCCCTATGGGGAGTGTATATTGTTCCAGCCTTGTCTTTAATTCTTACGGATTCCCGAGTCGTATTTCTTTTTTCTTTTCTTTTTTTGAGGCAGAGTCTTGCTCTGTCGCCCAGGCTGTAGTGCAGTGGCGAGACTTCAGCTCACTGCAACTTTCGCCTCCTGCCTCAGCTTCCCAAGTAGCTGGGAATTCAGGTGCACGCCACCATGCCTGGCTAATTTTTGTATTTTTAGTAAGACGGGTTTTTACCATGTTGCCCAGGCTGGTCTCAAATGCCTGACCTTAAGTGATCCACCCACCTCGGCCTCCCAAAGTGCTGGGATTACAGGCCCAAGTCATAGTTCAAGAATCACAATATTTTAAATTGATATCCATGTTATATATCCATGTTATAGGCTGTTTTATCTATCTAAAATAATTTCTCTGTGTTTTATATTGAAGGAGACAAAGATATTTTGTGAAAGTCAGGGAAAAATCTATGTTCAAGAGTTTTTATAGCCTCATTAATACTTGGGGCTAAACAGTATACATTGTCATCTCATACTAAAACTCTCATGCAAGGTGGTGGGCAGAGTTCCATCCACTTTACAGGTGGAAAAATGGACTTAAATAGATTAAAACTATTATGCAAAATTTTACTGCAAATCAGGCTTGGGGGAAATAACAGAATATTTGCATTATATTAGGAAGCCTCAAGTATTTTCTTAATTTTTTAAGTCCTTAACAAGTGCCACAAGCCCTGGATTTATTTTGCCTACTTAATACATCTTTTACCATGTGGTCCTATGTCATCTCCTCCCTTTCTCCCTCCCTCCCCTCTCCGTCCTTCCCACCTCCCTTCCTTCCTTCTTATTTTAATTCCATCCTTTCAACTTTTGTGTAAACTGTTTTCAATCAAGTTTATTGTAAATCCCATTTTTTTTTTTGAGAAGTAAAAACTTAAAAAGAAGATTAAATGATTGTCTCTTTGAGAATCAGGTCTTGAGTTTCTCTCGCCCATTTAGGCGACTTCTCCTTTTTCCTCAGATGAAACAATGAATTTCTATTTTGCTGTCACATTTTGGATGTGGAATCTGACTTTAGAGAAAGAACCCCTGGTTTCTGAGTCTTGGGCATATCTTTTCAGCCTGGGCCTTCTTTTCTCCCTGTCAAATAAGGAAAGTGGGCTGAATGATCTCCTTTCCAGCACGTCCACCCTAGGATTCCATGGTTCATGCTGTGAGTTTCCTGGCCTTATTCTTGAGAGTCTTGAGGGTTTCTTGCTCTTCTGCTGTGTTATCCTTCTCTGTTTGTACAGCTGTGGCACATGATGAGTGTTTTGATTTTATTCTTGGCTAACTGTATTTCCCTTTAGCTTCCTGCTGATTTGTTTGTTTGTCTAAAGATTTTTTTCTCTTACATTCTTTGCCTGTGTTCTTGCATTGATTCTTTCTGGACTTGTATCCCCATTTTAGTTCCATCACACAGGACCTCTTTGTGCCCCCAATGTCAGGAGATAGGCCTAAGGTCTGTTTTGAAGGCTACTTGTGTTCTTTCAGGACCTGCTCTTCCCACGAGATAGTTGAGTCCATGGAAACAGGAACCTTGCCCAAACTGGTTTTTCTTTCCTTTGCTAAATGGTTTTGGCATCTGTTCCATTGTATTCCATTTCTCCTCTTTGGTTTTCTTTCCTTTTTCTCATTTTGCATAAATCTAGTAAGCTTGTAACTACTTTCTATGGATTACCTTCAAGCTTTAAATATCCAACATTGTATATTCTTTCTACTGGTAGAAAACAGCCTAGTGTGGGGTCATATTCTCAAAACAGAACCTGTGTATGAGAGATGAGTTTTAGGTGATACCTGACTGAATATCTTGTCTTTGAATATTACATACTTATTTTAATGTTTATGGAAATATAGCTGTCACATCAAACTTGTAATTTCATAGTTGTGCTATAAAAACCTCCCCCTTTAATACATTTACTGACATAGCAAAAGCCTAATTTAAAAGAAATTCTGAAATAATGCTAATGGATTGAACACTTACTACAGTGCATGCATTACATATATTAATTCATTTAATCCTCAAAACAACCCTGAGGTAGGTACTACTGTTTACCCCCATTTTAAACATAAGGAAACAGGCATAGGTCAAGTCAGTTGGCCAAGGTCACAAAGCTAGTAAGAGGCAGCACTGGGACTGGAACTTAGCAGGGGTGACTTCAGAACTACGTTCTACCCACTAAACCATGATCCCTCTTAAAAAATCCTGTATGTGGTACATGATTTTGGAACAAATAATGAAGATAGTATTTGAATGATTGAAATTTAGAAATAACTTATGTAATGGAAAGCACATGGGCTTTGAACTTAGACAAACCTTAAATGCTAGATCTGTTAACTGGTCAATTATGTGTTTCTAGACACATCACTTAACCTCTATTAAAATGCCCATCCCAAGTTGTTTTTTTTTTTTTTTTTGAAAAGGAATCTTGCTCTGTCACCCAGGCTGGAGTGCATTAGTGCAATCTCGGCTCACTGCAACCTCTGCCTCCCAGGTTTTAGCAATTCTCTGTCTCAGCCTACTGAGTAGCTGGGGCTACAGGCACGTGCCACTGCACCTGGTTAATTTTTGTATTTTGAGTAGAGATGGGGTTTCACCATTTTGGCTAGGCTGGTCTCGAACTCCAGAACTCAAGTGAGGCTCCTGCCTCAGCCTCCCAAAGTACTGGATGGTTTTGTTTTTTTTTTTTGAGATGGAATCTCACTTACTCTGTCACCCAAGTGGAGTGCAGTGGCACAATCTTGGCTCACTGCAACCTCTGCCTTGTGGGTTCAAGCAGTTCTCCTGCCTCAGCCTTCGGAGTAGCTAGGATTACAGGCATATGCCACTATGCCAGGCTAATTTTTGCATTTTTAGTGGAGAATGGGTTTTACCATGTTGGCCAGGCTGGTCTTGAACTCCTGACCTCAAGTGACCCACCTACCTCTGCCTCCCAAAGTGCTGGGATTATAGGCGGAGCCACCGTGCCCGGCCCCTATCGTAAGTTTTAACGCATATGAATTCCCTCTTCTTTCTGTGAATCTCAGTCTTTTCATCTGTTAAAAAATCAGGATCCGTGACTATTAAGAGGTTTAGAAAAAGTTATGGTGGTCAATATATAGTAGGTGTCTACCAAAAATACACATGAATATCTTCCATTTTGCTGGCCTCTCATAGTTCGTACTTTGGCATTTAGGATCTCCAAGTGCTTTAAGAAAAGATCTCTCTCTCCTATTCCCGTGTTTTGTGACCAAAACAGGGTCAGCCTGGTGAATTTCTTTGATGCCAGTTTCCCCACTGTGGGGAAAAGCACAAAGTACCGAATAAGCATAGCCAGGAAGAGAGCACATTTCTTGTGTGAAGCTGAACTGATAGGAAGGGGGTTGTATCTCTATCAGAAAAGAAACGGGGGTGGGTTACCTTTTAGGGTTCACATGGATAGCTTCTGAATTGGTTTGGTCACTATGTGGGTCATCATAAAGAGGCTGTGACCTGCAAGATGTGACTGTGGGTGAGGACAGCTGTGGTTCAAAATGGGAAATGCCTATAGCAGCATTCTAGTGGTAAAACATTTCCAGATTTTACAACTTTGAACTTATTATCCTATACAAATGGCTCCAGACTGTTTACCCAAAAGTGATTACAATGGCGTTAGATAAAGATATGGCCGTTTCATTCTTCACAAATGATTAAACCTCTGTGACGAATACATGGACAATTGCATTTTAAAGACAGGGGTTGATTAGTTAAGAATTTTGAAAATAGCCAGATGCCCTGATACGATAACTGAAAATAACATTTCATGCAACTTAGTTGAAAGGGCTTTTTTATAAGCCCGTCTCCTCCTCCATGAATGTATGTGCCAGTTTTTTTTTTTTAAATAATTCCACATTCTTCTTGACTTCTTCCATGATGTAGGGAACGCAGAATTAGAGTCCAAAGCTCTACACTCAAGTTTGTGCCCTTCCATTTAAGGCTGCTGGGTGACTTTGGGTGTTTATGAAACCATTCTGGACCTGAGTTTTTTAATAAATAAATGGAAGGGGTGAGATCTGCCCCTGCCTGCCTTCCAGGTTAAGGTGGGGGTTATCAGGTAAGATACTGTAGGTGAAAGTGTTTTTAAAAACTGTGAAGGGCCATAACTTGCAGTGTTGTTATTCTCTATGTCTTCTAACCAGATGCCAGGTCATTTTCCCCTTCCAAGTTCCATGCGCCTTTCCTGATCTCTTCCCTAAAGCTTATCTCCAAAATCTTACAGGAGTCAGAGTCTGGGAGATTCTGCTTTCCAGTTTAAGCCTTGATGGCTCCTTGTTTGTTTATTTTTTGTTTTGTTTTGTAAACACAACATGAAACCTCATTAATTTTGGGGCAAGCTAGTGAAAATCTACAGGGAAAAAAGGGTAATTCAAAATGCGGGCACACTGTCTCATTATGTTTTTCCATTATAGCAAGAGTTTTAAGTGCCTATCATATGTACTCACCGATGTTAGATGAAACGCAAAAGAAACCTTCAGCGGATCTTTAGTCCACTGTGTATATGTGTATGTATGTTGGTGGGGGTGGGGGTGGGGTGGGGAGGAGAGATGCTCAAAATGCATGAAGGAAAACTAGAACAGACACTCTTACCTGAGAGTTCATGGGCTCCATAAGGGGTCCACAGATGGTCTTTCAGGGGGTCCTTGAAAGCATATGTCCAGATTTATGCATATGCGCATGTGTATATTTTCTGCAGAGAGGACTCATAGCTTTCATCAGGTTCTCAAAGGATCTGTAATTTAAAACAGTAACAACTTAAGAACCAAGACAGAGAACACGGCCAAGCTGCAGATAGTCTGACTAAATGGCATGTAGATTATTTATATGGTGAGCTTAGTCAGAAAAAGCTTTTCAAAGAATAATTAAGTCAGGTCCCGAGTCAAGAAAAGTTTCTGCTGGTTCTGCTTGTATGTGTAGATACGACTAATTTATTAAATACGACAAGTCATTACAGTAAGAAGCTGTAACATCTGGCACTTCACTAATTGGGAAAGCTTTATAAAATTGCATTGGAGGCCAGGTGCAGTGGCTCATGCCTATAATCCCAGCACCTTGGGAGGTCAAGGTGGGTGGATCGCTTGGATCGCTTGAGCTCAGGACTTCAGCCTGGACAACATCAGCTATTATGTCTTCAAGTATTGCTTCTTTTCCATTCTCCTTCTTCTTCCCTTCTAGGTATATTCATATGTTAAATCTTCTCACTGTGCCTTTCATATACCCTATCACCTGTTTCCCATCTCTTTATCTTTCCATGCTTTATTTTGAATATTTTCTTATGATTTATCTTCCAACTCATTACTAATCTTTTTAAGTGTATGTAAAAGCTGTTATACTCAGGCACCAAGTTTTCAATTTTAATTATTTTACTTTTTAGTTTTTCAATTTTCATTTGTTTCTTCAGGTACATGCATATATATTTTTCTCAGTTCTCTGCTGAAGTTTTCATGCTTTCATCTTCTTGAGCTTGTGAACTTATTTATTTTGAAGACTGTCTTTGAAACTATAATAACTGAAGTCCTTGTTGATATTTATTTACTCTAGTTTTTTCCTTCTTGGTTTTTATTCATGTCACATTGTCTTCTTGTTTGTCTGCTTATTTTTGGTTGTATGCTTCACATTGTTTGGCAAAATTTTTTTGTATAAATAATTTGAGGCTAGACTGATGTTATTTTATCACAGAAAGGATATCATTTTGCTTTTCCCAGTTATCCAGGGGGCACTAACAATGCTGGATCATCTCAATCCAATGTTACAGACTGAGAGGATTCTAGCTGAATTGCTCTTCTGTAAGGATCTATTTACATCTGGTTTACACTTACTTCTAAATGAATCCTGTTAAGATTCTAATCTAATGCAAGGGATGTTTATCAGGTTCACCTGTTGGCAAACTCTCACTCCAATACCTGTCTCCCTAAAACTGCAAGAATTTCCAAAGTGACACAAAACTTCCCAGGAGTTCTTAGGGACAAGCAATCCCAAACATTGGGCTTACTTTCCTGCACCTTCTCATCCCCCATCTCCTAAACTGGTAATTCTGCATTTGCTTGATAGTTCTCTATTGCCTCTAAGCAGATTTAAATTTCCACTTTTCTAGTTGTCCTCAGCAGAAGAGTTGGCCTGAATGTCCTGGTTTGCATTTGCCGGAAGCAAAGGTCCTCTAAGACATTTAAATTATATCTTAAGGCATGCTCCTTCTCTCACACTTTCCCTACTACTGGAAGTTAGATATTCCCTTTCAAAATGTTCCTGAACTGCAGTTGTCCGTGAAAGTGTTTGCTAGTAATCTGTTTAGAAAATTGACTTGGCTATTCTTGAATCTTTATACTATCAAATAAATTTTTGAATCTGTTTATAGGTTTTCATACACAAAGATATCCTGTGGAGTTTTGATAGAAATGGCATTGAATTTTCATAATATGAATGGGAGATGGCAGATTGGCTTTCTGAAAACATGGCCGAGACAGAGATCGCTTTGTAGCAAGGTTCTATGCTGCAGTTGTAGATTTTCTTGGAAGCCCAGTCTAGGGCTCTTTCTTGAGCCCTTCTATTGATTCTATGAACAGCTTTCACTCTTTTTTGTTTTGCATATTTGTATATTTGCCTTTTATTCTTATGAAATAAGAAAGAAATAAAAATTATTTAAATTACCATATCAATTTAGATTAAGAATTCTTATCTGTTAGTATAAATACACGTCACCCAACTATTATTGCTTATGTGGAAATCATTTTAATTTTTTAAATTGTAGTAAGAATACTTAACATGACATCTACCCTCTCAACAAATATTTAAGTGTACAATACAGTATAGATAACTGTAGGCATGATGCTGTACAACAGATATCCAGAACTCAATCATCTTGCATAACAAACTTTATACCTGTTGCAGAGCAACTCTATTTCTCTCTCACCCAGTCCTTGACAACTGCTATTCTGTTCTCTGTTTCTATGTGTTTGGCTATTTTTAGATACCTCATATTAGTGGAATCGTGAAGTATTTGTTCTTTTGTGACTGGTATATTTCACTTAGCATATATAATGTCCTCAGGGTTCATCCATGTTGTTGCATGTGGCAGAATTTCTTTCCTTTTTAAGGGTGAATATTACGACCTTGTATGTCTATACCACGTTTAAAAAACCCATTCATTCATCCATTTACATTTAGGTTGTTTCCACATCTTGACCATTCTGAATAATGCTGCAATAAACATGGGAGTGCAAATATCTCTTTGAGATCTCGATTTCAGTTCTTTTGGATAAACACCCAGAAGTGATTGCTGAATCATATAGTAGTTGTGTTTTTATTTTTTTGAGAAACCTCTATACTATTTTCCATGGCAGCTGCATCATTTTATATTCCTACCAACAAAATGCAAGGGTTCCAATTTCTCTATGCCCTCATCAATGCGTGTTATTTATTTATTTACTTTTAAATAGCCATTCTAATGGCTGTGAGGTGATACCTACTGTGATTTGAATTTCTCTGATGATTAGTGATGTTGCGTATCCTTTCATATAAGTATTGGCCATTTGTATGTCTTTTTTTGAGAAATGTTCATTTTTAAATTGAGCGTTTTTTTTTCTTTTTGCTAGAATTGAAGGAGTTCCTTATATATTTTGAATATTAACCCCTCATCAGATATATGGCTTGCAAATATTTTCTCCCATTCTGTAGATTGTATTTCACTCTGTTAATGTCCCCTTTGCTGTGCAGAAACTTTTTAGTTCGATGTAACTCATCTTGTCTATTTTTGCTTTTGTTGTGTGTACTTTTAATGTCACATCCAAGAAATTATTGCCAAGACCACTGCCATGAGGTTTTCCCCTATATTTTCTTATAGGGGTTTTACTCTTTTAGATATTACATTTAATTTTTTAATCTACTTTGAATTGATTCTTGTGTATGGTGTAAATTAAGGTTCCAATTTTATTCTTTTGCATGTGGATATTTGGTTTTCCCAACACCGTTTATTTATTTGAGACAGGCTCTTGCTCTATCACCCAGACTGAAGTGCGGTGGTGCAAACATGGCTCAGTGCAGCCTTTACTTCCCAGGCTCAAGCCAGTCCTCCTATCTCAGCCTCCTGAGTAGCTTGGATCACAGGCGTGTGCCACCACATTTGGCTAACTTTTGCATTTTTTGTAGAGACAGGGTCTCGCCATGTTGCCCAGGCTGGTCTTGAACTCTTGGGCTCAAGTGATCCATCAGCCTCAGCCTCCCAAAGTCCTGGGAATACAGGTGTGAACCACTGTGCCTGGCCCCGAAACCGTTTGTTGAAGATACTATTCTTTCCCCATTGTGTATTCTTGGCATGGTCAATTGATCACAAATGAATGGATTTATTTCTAGGCTCTGTGTTTATTTCTAGGCTCTGTATTCTGTTTCATTGGCCTATGTTCCTGTGTTTATGCCACTATCATACTTTTTAAATTACCGTAGCTTTATAATATATTTTTGAAATAAAAACCACGATGCTTCCAGCTTTGCTCTTTTTCAAGATTGTTTTGGCTATCTGGAGTCCTTTGTGGTTCCATATGAGTTAGGATTGTTGTTTCTATTTCAAAATGCCACTGGCATTTTGATAGGGATTGCATTGAATCTGTAGGTCACTTTGGATAGTATGACCATTTTAACAATCTTAAGTTTCCAGTCCATGAACTAGGCATGTTTTTCCATTTATTTGTGTCTTCTTTTATTTCTTTTATCGTTGTTTTGTAGTTTTCAGTGTACAAATCTTTCACTTTCTTTGTTAAGCTTGTAAGCTTATTTTACTCTTTTTGATGCTATTACAAATAGGATTATTTTCTTAATTTCCTTTTTACATAGTTCATTATTAGTGTGTAGAATGCAACTGACTTTTATATGTTGATATTGTATCTTGCAACTTTACTGAATTTGTCTTAATTCTTTTTTTTCTCATAGAATTTTTTTTATTATACTTTAAGTTTTAGGGTACATGTGCACAACATGCAGGTTAGTTACATATGTATACATGTGCCATGTTGCTGTGCTGCACCCATTAACTTGTCTTTTAACATTCGGTATATCTCCTAATGCTACCCCTCCCCACTCCCCCAACCCCACAACAGGCCCCGGTGTGTGATGTTCCCCTTCCTGTGTCCATGTGTTCTCATTGTTCAGTTCCCACCTATGAGTGAGAACATGCAGTGTTTGGTTTTTTGTCCTTGCAATAGTTTGCTCAGAATGATGGTTTCCAGCTTCATTCATGTCCCTGCAAAGGACATGAACTCATCCTTTTTTATGGGTGCATAGTATTCCACAGTGTATATGTGCCACATTTTCTTAATCCAGTCTATCATTGTTGGACATTTGGGTTGGTTCCCAGTCTTTGCTATTGTGAATAGTGCCACAATAAACATATATGTGCATGTGTCTTTATAGCAGCATGATTTATAATCCTTTGGGTATATACCCAGTAATGGGATGGCTGGGTCAAATGGTATTTCTAGTTCTAGATCCTTGAGGAATCGCCACATTGTCTTCCACAACGGTTGAACTAGTTTACAGTCCCACCAACAGTGTAAAAATGTTCCTATTTCTCCACATCCTCTCCAGCACCTGTTGTTTCCTGACTTTTTAATGATCGCCATTCTAACTGGTGTGAGATGGTACCTCATTGTGGTTGTGATTTGCATTTCTCTGATGGCCAGTGATGATGAGCATTTTTTCGTGTGTGTTTTGGCTGCCTAAATGTCTTCTTTTGAGAAGTGTCTGTTCATATCCTTCGCCCACTTTTTGATGGGGTTGTTTGTTTTTTTCTTGTAAATTTGAGTTCTTTGTAGATTCTGGATATTAACCCTTTGTCCGATGAGTAGATTGCAAAAATTTTCTCCCATTCTGTAGGCTGCCTGTTCACTCTGATAGTGGTTTCTTCTGCTGTGCAGAAGCTCTTTAGTTTGATTACATTCCATTTGTCAATTTTGGTTTTTGTTGCCATTGCTTTTGGTGTTTTAGACATGAAGTCCTTGCCCATGCCCATGTCCTGAATGGTATTGCCTAGGTTTTCCTCTAGGGTTTTTATGGGTTTAGGTCTAACATTTAAGTCTTTAATCCATCTTGAATTAATTTTTGTATAAGGTGTAAGGAAGGGATCCAGTTTCAGCTTTCTACATATGGCTAGCCAGTTTTCCCAGCACCATTTATTAATATGGAATCCTTTCCCCATTGCTTGTTTTAGTCAGGTTTGTCAAAGATCAGATGGTTGTAGATGTGTGGCATTATTTCTGAGGGCTCTGTTCTGTTCCATTGTTCTATATCTCTGTTTTGGTACCAGTACCATGCTGTTTTGGTTACTGTACCTTGTAGTATAGTTTGAAGTCAGGTAGCATGATGCCTCCAGCTTTGTTCTTTTGGCTTAGGATTGTCTTGGCAATGCGGGCTCTTTTTGGTTCCATATGAAATTTAAAGTAGTTTTTTCCAATTCTGTGAAGAAAGTCATTGGTAGCTTGATGGGGATAGCATTGAATCTATAAATTACCTTGGGCAGTATGGCCATTTTCATGATATTGATTCTTCCTACCCATGAGCATGGAATGTTCTTCCATTTGTTTGTATCCTCTTTTACTTCATTAAGCAGTGGTTTGTAGTTCTCCTTGAAGAGGTCCTTCATGTCCCTTGTAAGTTGGATTCCTGGTATCTTATTCTCTTTGAAGAAATTGTGAATGGGAGTTCACTCATGATTTGGCTCTCTGTTTGTCTGTTATTGGTGTATAAGAATGCTTGTGATTTTTGCACATTGATTTTGTATCCTGAGACTTTGCTGAAGTTGCCTATCAGCTTAAGGAGATTTTGGGCTGAGACGATGGGTTTTTCTAGATATACAATCATGTCATCTGCAAACAGGGACCATTTGACTTCCTCTTTTCGTAATTGAATACCCTTTATTTCCTTCTCCTGCCTGATTGCCCTGGCCAGAACTTCCAAACTATGTTGAATAGGAGTGGTGAGAGAGGGCATCCCTGTCTTGTGCCAGTTTTCAAAGGGAATGCTTCCAGTTTTTGCCCATTCAGTATGATATTGGCTGTGGGTTTGTCATAGATAGCTCTTATTATTTTTAGATATGTCCCATCAATACCTAGTTTATTGAGAGTTTTTATCATGAAGGGTTGTTGAATTTTGTCAAAGGCCTTTTCTGCATCTATTGAGATAATCATGAGGTTTTTGTCATTGGTTCTGTTTATATGCTGGATTACATTTATTGATTTTCATATGTTGAACCAGCCTTGTATCCCAGGGATGAAGCCCACTTGATCATGGTGGATAAGTATTCGATGTGCTGCTGTATTCGGTTTGCCAGTATTTTATTGAGGATTTTTGCATCAAAGTTCATCAAGGATATTGGTCTAAAATTCTCTTTTTTGGTTGTGTCTCCGCCAGGCTTTGGTATCAATATGATGCTGGCCTCATAAAATGAGTTAGGGAGGATTCCCTCTTTTTCTATTGATTGGGATAGTTTCAGAAGGAATGGTACCAGCTCCTCCTTGTCCCTGTGGTAGAATTCGGCGGTGAATCTGTCTGGTCCTGGACTTTTTTTGGTTGGTAGGCTATTAATTATTACCTCAATTTCAGAGCCTGTTATTGGTCTATTCAGAGATTGAACTTCTTCCTGTTTTAGTCTTGGGAGGGTGTATATGTCAAGGAATTTATCCATTTCTTCTAGATTTTCTAGTTTACTTGTGTAGACGTGTTTATAGTATTCTCTGATGGTAGTTTGTATTTCTGTGGGATCGGTGGTGATATCCCCTTTATCATTTTTTATTGCATCTATTTGATTCTTCTCTTTTCTTCTTTATTAGTCTTTCTAGCGGTCTATCAATTTTGTTGATCGTTTCAGAAAACCAGCTCCTGGATTCATTGATTTTTTGAAGGGTATTTTGTGTCTCTATTTCCTTCAGTTTTGCTCTGATCTTAGTTATTTCTTGCCTTCTGCTAGCTTTTGAATCTGTTTGCTCTAGCTTCTCTAGTTCTTTTAATTGTGATGTTAGGGTGTCAATTTTGGATCTTTCCTGGTTTCTCTTGTGGGCATTTAGTGCTATACATTTCCCTCTACACACTGCTTTGAATGTGTCCCAGAGATTCTGGTATGTCGTGTCTTTGTTCTCATTGGTTTCAAAGAACATCTTTATTTCTGCCTTCATTTCATTATGTACCCAGTAGTCATTCAGGAGCAGGTTGTTCAGTTTCCATGTAGTTGAGTGGTTTGAGTGAGTTTCTTAATCCTGAGTTCTAGTTTGATTGCACTGTGGTCTGAGAGTCAGTTTGTTATAATTTCTGTTCTTTTACATTTGCTGAGGACTCCTTTACTTCCAACTATGTGGTCAGTTTTGGAATAGGTGTGGTGTGGCGCTAAGAAGAATGTAGATTCTGTTGATTTGGGGTGGAGTCCTGTAGATGTCTATTAGGTCCGCTTGCTGCAGAGCTGAGTTCAATTCCTGGATATCCTTGTTAACTTTCTGTCTCGTTGGTCTGTCTAATGTTGACAGTGGGGTGTTAAAGTCTCCCATTATTAATGTGTGGGAGTCTAAGTCTCTTTGTAGGTCTCTAAGGACTTGCTTTATGAATCTGGGTGCTCCTGTATTGGGTGCATATATATTTAGGATAGTTAGCTCTTCTTGTTGAATTGATCCCTTTACCATTATGTAATGGCCTTCTTTGTCTCTTTTGATCTTTGTTGGTTTAAAGTCTGTTTTATCAGAGACTAGGTTTGCAGTCCCTGCCTTTTTTTATTTTCCATTTGCTTGGTAGATCTTCCTCCATCCCTTTATTTTGAGCCTATGTGTGTCTCTGCACGTGAGATGGGTTTCCTGAATACAGCACACTGATGGGACTTGACTCTTTATCCAACTTGCCAGTCTGTGTCTTTTAATTGGAGCATTTAGCCCATTTACATTTAAGGTTAATATTGTTATGTGTGAATTTGATCCTGTCAATATGATGTTAGCTGGTTATTTTGCTCATTAGTTGATGCAGTTTCTTCGTAGCCTCGATGGTCTTTACAATTTGGCATGATTTTGCAGTGGCTGGTACCGGTTGTTCCTTTCCATGTTTAGTGCTTCCTTCAGGAGCTCTTTTAGGGCAGGCCTGGTGGTGACAAGATCTCTCAGCATTTGCTTGTTTGTAAAAGATTTTATTTCTCCTTCACTTATGAAGATTAGTTTGGCTGGATATGAAATTCTGGATTGAAAATTCTTTTAAGAATGTTGAATATTGGCCCCCACTCTCTTCTGGCTTGCGGAGTTTCTGCTGAGAGATCAGGTATTAGTCTGATGGGCTTCCCTTTGTGGGTAACCCAACCTTTCTCTGTGGCTGCCCTTAACATTTTTTCCTTCATTTCAACTTTGGTGAATCTGACAATTATGTGTCTTGGGGTTGGTCTTCTTGAGGAATATCTTTGTGGCATTCTCTGTATTTCCTGATTTGAATGTTGGCCTGCCTTGCTAGATTGGGGAAGTTCTCCTGGATAATATCCTGAAGGGTGTTTTCCAGCTTGGTTCCATTCTCCCCGTCACTTTCAGGTACACCAATCAGATGTAGATTTGGTCTCTTCACATAGTCCCATATTTCTTAGAGGCTTTGTTCGTTTCTTTTTATTCTTTTTTCTCTAAACTTCTCTTCTCACTTCATTTCATTCATTTGATCTTCCATCACTGATACCCTTTCTTCCAGTTGATCGAATTGGCTACTGAGGCTCTTGCATTTGTCATGTAGTTCTTGTGCCTTGGTTTTCAGCTCCATCAGGTCTTTTAAGGACTTCTCTGCATTGGTTATTCTAGTTAGCCATTCGTCTAATTTTTTTTCAAGGTTTTTAACTTCTTTGCCATGGGTTTGAACTTCCTCCTTTAGCTCAGAGTAGTTTGATCATCTGAAGCCTTCTTCTCTCAGCTCGTCAAAGTCATTCTCTGTCCAGCTTTGTTCCGTTGCTGGTGAGGAGCTGCATTCCTTTGGAGGAGGACAGGTGCTCTGATTATTAGAGTTTCCAGTTTTTCTGCTCTGTTTTTCCCCCATCTTTGTGGTTTTATCTACCTTTGTTCTTTGATGATGGTGACGTACAGATGGGGTTTTGGTGTGGATGTCCTTTCTGTTTGTTAGTTTTCCTTCTAACAGTCAGGACCCTCAGCTGCAGATCTGTTGGAGTTTATGGGAGGTCCACTCCAAACCCTGTTTGCCTGGGTATCAGCAGCGGAGGCTGCAGAACAGCAGATACTGGTGAACAGCAAATGTTGCTGCCTGATCGTTCCTCTGGAAGTTTTTTCTCAGAGGAGTACCCAGCCGTGTGAGGTGTCAGTCTGCCCCTACTTGGGGGTGCCTCCCAGTTAGGCTACTTGGGGGTCAGGGACCCACTTGAGGAGGCAGTCTGTCCGTTCTCAGATCTCCGGCTGCATGCTGGGAGAACCACTACTCCCTGAATTTGTCTTAGTTCTAACAGTTTCTCTCTCTCTCTGTTTGTGTGTGTGTGTGTGTGTGTGTGTGTGTGTGTCTACAGTCTTTAGAATTTTCTATGTATAAGATCATGTCATCAGCAAAGAGAGATAATTTTACTTCTTTCTTTCTGATTTAGATACTTATTTCTTTCTCCTGTCCAATTTCTCTGGCTAGAACTTCCAGTACTGTGTTGAAAAGAAGTAGCTAGACTGGGCATCCTTGTCTTGCTCCTAATCTTAGGGGGAGAACTTTTCAATTTTCCACCACTGAGTATAAGGTTAACTGACTTTTCATATGTAATTTTTTTATGTTGAAATCTCCTTCTATTCCTAGTTTGTTGAGAGTTTTCGTTATGAAAGGGTGTTGAATTTTGCCAAATGCTCTTTCTACATCTACTGACATGATCGTGTGTTTTTTGCCCCTCGTTCTGTTAATGTGGTATATTACACTAATTTTTGTATGTTGAAATACTTTGCATTCCATGGAAAAATCTAAATTGGTTATGGTGTAGGATCCTTTTAATGTGCTATTTAATGCAGTTTGCTAATGTTTTGTTTTGTTTTGTTTTGTTTGAGACAGGGTCTTTCCTGTCACCCAGGCTGGAGTGTAAGTGTGTGATCATAGCTCACTCTTACCTCAAACTTCTGGGATCAAGTGATCCTCCTGCCTCAGCCTCCTGAGTAGCTGGGACTATAGGTACATGCCACCATGCCTTGCTAAGTTTTAATTTTTTTTGTGGAGACAGGGTCTTGCTATGTTGCCAGGGCTGGTTTCAAATTCCTGGCCTCAAGCAATCCTTCAGCTTCAGCCTCCCAAAGTGCTGGGATTACAGGCATGAGCCACCACAACTGGCCTTTGCTAATATTTTGTTGAGGATTTTTGTATTTGTGTTTATCAGGAGTATTGGTCTGTAGGTTCTTTTTTTTTGTAATATCTTTGTCTGGCTTTGGCATTAGGGTAACACTGGCTTCAAAAGAGTTGGAAAGTGTTCTCCCCTCTTCAATTTTTTTTAGAAGAGATTGAGAAGAATTGATGTTAAATTTTCTTTAAATGTCTGGTAAAATTTACCAGTGAAGCCATCTGGTCTTGGACTTTTCTTTATTGAGAGGTTTTTGATTATTGATTCAATCTCCTTACTGGTTATAGGTCTGTTCAGATTTTCAATTTCTTCATTATTCAGTCTTGTTAGGGTGTGTGTTTCTAAGAATTTATCAATTTCTTGTAAGTTATCCAATTTGTTGGTGTATAATTGCTCATAGTATTCTCTTATTCTTTTTAATTCTGTGGCATTAGTTGTAATGACTGCTCTTCCATTTTTTATTTAAGTCTTCTCTTTTTGTCTCTTAGCCTAGCCAAAGGTTTGTCAACTTTATTGATGTTTTTTCAAAAAAGTGTTGCCGATTTTTAAAAGTTTTCTATTTTATTTATACTCTAATCTTTATTTTTCCCTTTCTTCTGCTGAAATTGGGCTTAGTCTGTTCTCCTAGTTCTTTGAGGTTGGTTTGTTAATTTGAGACTTTTCTTCTTTGTTAACATAGGGGTTTATTGCCATAAACTTTGCTCTTGGTAATGCGTTTCTTGCTGCCTCCTGTAAGTTTTGGTACATTTTATTTTCATGTCTATTTGTTTCAAGGTGTTTTCTAATTTCCCTTTCATTTCTCTTTTGACCCATTGGTTATTCAAGAATGTGTTGCTTAATTTCCACATATCTATGGAGTTTCTAGCTTCCCTTTTCTGTTGTTTCTAGTTTCATTCATTGTGGTTGAAGAAGATACTTGGTATGATTGCAGTGTTCTTAAATTTGTTCTACATGTGTCTGTTAGGTCCATTTTTATCTATAATGCTCTTCAAATTTGCTGTTTCCTTATTGTTTTTCTGTCTGGATGCTCTATCCATTATTGAAGGTGGGGTGTTTAAGTTTCCTATTATTATTACATTTGTGTCTATTTCTCTTTCAGTTCTGTCAATGTTTGCTTTATATATTTAGGTGCTGTGATGTTGGGGATGGATATATTTATAATTGTCATATCTTCCTGGGTGAATTGACCCTTTTATTATGAAATAATGTCTTTCTATATCTCTTGTGATAGTTTTTGACATTATATAATAATAAATGTCAACTGAGCAGGAAGACATGACAATTATAAATTATAGTTTATGAAATATCTGTTGCTTGAGTTTGGTTAGATTCATTTGTAAAATTGTCTAGGCCTTATACCCTTTTGGTGTGGGATAGGAGCAGATTTTTGAATGACTTTTTAGTTTCCCTAATGGCTATTGGTATGTTCAGGTTTTCTATTTCTTTTTATTTTTGCGTCAATTATGGTAATTTATATTTTTTAGGCATTTGTATGTTTCATTTTCCAAATTTATTTTAGTAAACTTGTTCACAGTGTACTCCTATTTTAAAATCTCTACTGATGTATAGTTACCAGCCCCTTTGTTCTCATATTGCTTATTTTGTCTTCTCTTTTCCCCTGTTGTGATTTAGTGCAGATTATTTTATGAGACTTTTCAAGGAATAAACTTCTATTTTTATTGTTTGACTCTTTTTTGTTGTTTATTTAATAGTTCTGTTTTGTTCATGTTAAGGTTTGTATGCCCACTTGACATCCAAGTGGAGATTTTAAGTAGGCAGTTGGATATCCAAGTCTGGAGCTTACAGAAGAGGTCAGAGATGATGACATAAATTATGAGAATGATCAGCATAGAAATATTATTAAAAACTATTGGGCTAGATGACATCACCCAGGAAATAATGTGGATCAGCGCTTCTCAAAACTGTCTGTGGGGAAGGACCAGTTTTATTTTTCTAATCCAATCTGATGCAAACCAATACTTTGTAAAATACAATTGTATAAATCATTATAAAAATGAAATATAAACTATTTAAAAAAGGTATTCAAATTCAAGCCTAATTTTTTATTCTTAGATACAACAACAGAAACATATACTGTCAAATTGCGATTAGAACTTTCTAAAGGCTTAGTCAGTTTCTGTATTTCTGTCATTGCAGTCTGGTAACAAATAGTTAATGGACTGACACTGGTATGCAGACCAAGGCTTTGAGTGGCACTGCGTGCATGGAAAAGAGAAGAGAATCAAGGACGGAGCCCTGGGGCACTCTGACCTTTGGAGATCTGGCAGCTGGGGGAGGAGCCAACAAAAAAGCTGGAGGAAGAGCAGCCATGAGGTAGGAGGAGAACCAGGCAAGTTTACAGTCAGGGAGGGCTGGAGAGGATAGTGTTTCTAGGAGGAGACAGTGGTCAGACCTTTCGAATGCTACTGAGTGGGTTGGGTTGGGTAATACAAGGACAAAGCATTGATCATTGGCTTTGTCAATATTTGACCAATATTTGGGATGAAAGTCCCTTTAAAGTAACTTGGAGAGAAGATGAGAAGGGAGAAAGTAGAGCCAAGTACAGACAGCTTTTTCTAAAAGTTTTACTCTGGTGGAGATCAGAAAAATAGGGCCACGATTGGAAGGAGATATGGTGTCAAGAGAAGGCATTTTGTTTAAAAAACACAAGGGATAAATATTGTATGATTCCATTTATATGAGGTCCTTAGAATGGTCAAATTCATAGAGACAGAAAGTAGCATGGTGGTTGTTGGGGGCTGGGAAAAGAGGGAATGAAGAGCTAATTTTTAAAGGGCCTTCAGTTTTGGTTTGGGAAGATGAAAAGTGAAATGGATGGTGGTGATGATTGTGCAACAATGTGAATGTGCTTAATGCCACAGAATTGTACATCTAAAAATGGTTAAAGGGTTAAAATGGTAATATCGTAAATTTTATGTTACTACACTTTACTACAATAAAAGACATATTATGTATGAAATATTAAGTGATACTTTTATGTGGATGGAAATAATTCAGTAGAAAAGAAACTGATGGTGCAGGTGACCCCAATTCAGAAGCAGTTTTACTTCAGTGGCTTTCATGTTGGGAAATTACAGTCTGAGTCCCAGTCCATGAGCAGGGTCTGGTGGTGGGTGCGTCTTCACCTGTTTTCCAAAAAAGCAACTTGTTTCTCGTGGTAACTCCAGCCTTCATTCTTGTGTGTGCAAACCAAGCCGGTGGCTTTATGTAAAAAACCTGGTTTGGGCTAGTTCCTTTTTCCCTGAGGAAGTTGAAATTCCACTACCCATTGTCTGCTGTGTCTATTGAAGTAAGGCTTGAGTCTTTGCAGACTTATTATGCAGAGCTCAAGGTAATAAAAGGTAATAATTAATATTAATTGAGTACTGACTGTATACCAGGTACTTTATGCTTACCCCCCATAAGCTTCGCAAGAGCCCTATGAAGTAGGTGTTATTATTAGTATGACCAGTTTACAGATGTGGAAACTGAGGCACATTGATGTTAAGTAATTTGCCCATCGTCACACATTCAGAACATAGGAAGTGACAGCTTTGGGATTTGAACTAAGGCAGCCTTACTTCAGAACTCCAGTTTACATAGAGGGTAGATACAGAAATATGAATTCATCACCCAGTACATAATAATTTGGGCATGCTAATCCAGAAATTTCTCCATCATAACGTCAGCACCATGTTTACATTGTGGGCAGTGGATTTTGTTTTAGCAAAATATGATTTATCACATTAAAGTAATGTCATTCGCTTAATTTTTTGTTGGCATTACATTTTAAAATGTGTTTCTTTTTAGAGCTATAAATGATCTAAAATATATAACCTAATTTTATGTTTTTGCATATTTGCTTAATATTATAATAAAATATTATTTTAATCAACAATGGAAGTCTTAAAAAAATTTTGTCCTTAGAGTTTAAGTAAAAAAAACCATAATGGTATAGTTTTTTTAAGAAAAAAAATTTTTCTGGAAGAAAGAGGATCTTTGTTTTTTTTCTTAGCTCCCTGAGAATTAACCAGACTTCTGTTTGTAGAGAGGAATTAGTGTATGACTTAACAGGACTGTTCTCATTTGACCTAAAAAGACTGTATTTGAGGGACTTTCTGAGACCTGTTCAAAGGCTTCAGCTGCCTGGGTAACTGAGCAATGTAGAAGCAGAATTCCAGTTTTGAATTGCTTCCCAAGGCAGGCTTTATTTAGTTCTGGGAGAGAGGGAATGCACTGTGATTCTTAAAGAAACTCGGTGTGATTTTGCATTGCGATAACAGATTTGCAAGACATCCAGCACTTTTCCATGGGCATTTTCTTAGAGGAAAAAAAAAAAAAAACAGTAGATTGCGATGATCTGTTCTGTTTCCCGAAGGTTGCAGAAGATGTTAAAAACCGGAGCACCTAGATGACAGACTGTGAAGTTGACCAGGGATCTTTGTATTGCCCCATTATTTATCCATTCCTATTCCTAACCGACTTAGTCCAAGCGTGTGCCTTACTTTTTGGTGCGGGGGTCAGGAGTCATAGCTGTTACTATAGGCCTATAAGAACTTTGTAAGGGTAGAATACAAAATGAACATCATTTTCATAGGCTTTTAGGTTGACTCCTTGGTGACAATGAAAAGGTTTAATCTGAGCTCACAAAATTGCTCCTAGACACTATTATAAAGTTTTACCACTCTTATAAGTTCTGCTTTGAATTCCAGTTTGCCCTGTGAAATAATGGGAAATCATTAAATATGTCCTGAATGAATTAACAAATGATACTTTCATTCCTGTCTGATACTTTCCAATATTATTTTGGAATATTATTTGACAGGGGAGTATATACTTTTCTATTTTGACCCTTTACTGTCAGATATTTCATGCCTTGAAAAACCCTAATTCCGAGCTGGAATTCTTCATGGCATGTGAATAAGATAACAGAAAAAAAAATTACATGTCTTAACAGTAACCACATTTGTTAATAAGATGTCTGGGTTAAGCACTTTTATTTTTTTATCATAAATCATGGTCATCTTATCTCCAACCCAGTTGCTAAAAGCAAAAGCACAAGTGAGTTGTTCCTTGCTGGTTTTTCACAGTAAGACTTAAACAGTTAATCAGTTGCAAAGGGAAGAGGAAAATCTGAAAGAAAAGTTGGAGCTCCTAGTTATTGCCTTTTGCTGTGATAAGGTATTAAAGACTAGTGATAACAAAGGCAGAGTGATGATACCCAACATCTGCAAGATTGGGATAATAAAACTGCTACTCTGATAAGATTAAGTGCAAATTCACAAAAAGCATGTAATTTTTTAAAAACCAGTAAACACATATAGAGTGCTTAGTACATTCCAGACATTCCCTGTCTTAAGGTGTTCTCACAGTTTAAACTCATTTAATTCCTACAGTGATTCAATGAGGCAGGTCATTGAATGATGAGGTCATCATCATTTATTCCTCTTTGATAGATGAGGACAACTGAACCATAGGGAAATGAATGTGCCTGAATTCATCAGCTAGTAAGTGACAGAGCCAGGACTTGAACCTAGGTGGTCTTGCTCCAGAGCTCACACTCTTGACTATGAGGCTAACACTGCTTCTCAAAAGATGGCAGCAAATGTATGAAATGTTGATTATCCTCAAATATCATTGATGACCTAGCTCTCACAATCTATGCTTTGAAAAAAAATTGAAACACTTTTATTGTGATAAAGTCTTTCTTATTATCCTTAATCCCAAGGGGTTAGAAAGGATTCAGGCAATAATGCCAGTAAATTACCTTTAACTTTCTGTTTGGAATTTACCATTTAAATGTGGAGAGACAATCATTATCTATACATTTTAGCAGCTACTATTCACTGTAAGTGCACACAGAAAAGCTCACATAATAAGTCAGATAAAAAACTGGCATCAGACAGAGAGAAAAGCAAAATAACTTAAAAGGGACCTAGAGTTTGTGCATGCACTTTTTGCTACATTATTGATTAGGTCATTGTTTCATTCACGTTTTCTTCTGTTAAAGATCAGCTACAGCAATAGCTATAAAGAATTTCGGACATTAAGGTAATAATTTTTATGGTACTTTTATTCTAGAAAGACTACAAAAAGTTTCCAAGAGATAGACTGAAATCTTGAGTATTAAGGTCTCTTCACGTTTCAGAATATAGAAAATTTCCATTCATCTTTAACTAGTCCCTGAACAAATATAATTTTGTTTGGGACACATAATTTAATTCACAGAAAAAACAATGTGAAGATGTAGATGCCATTAAAAAATCACCCAAATAATAAACATTGTAAATAAGGCAGGTATTTCATTATATTAGAGAAAAAATGAATTCATTTTATATGGTTATTAGTTTCACAGTAACAGCGTTGAGATAAATGTAATTCTATGTAGATATTTACTTTCGATTTGCAAGATGGCTGAGAACATCAACCAAACATTTTGCTGCAGTGGCTAAAAGAAAATAAATCATTGATAGTGGTTATTGCTTGTAGGAGTATTTGTTAGGCAAATAAACTTTTAATTACAAATTTTTTACCGATATCATAATCTCATTACATTTCTTAAAACTTTTAGATTAGTCATGGTTGCCTGGCACTCTTTAAAGGAGGCAATTTTCAATTTGTAGTTAATAAATAGGAGACTCACTAATCAATTTCAAACTTGAAATATACTTAAAAGAAAACATTTGATTGCCAAACTTTCAATGTACTTTTTCAGTGATTTAACTTTTCTCTTGTAGAACCAATAACATATTTGGTATAATAATAAGAATGTTACAAATTAAATACTTAACTTGAGCACATTTATTTACTTTCATAGTATCAATTTTGTGTCCTGTAACATAACTTACACATCAAATTAACATGAAAGTGACATGGAATTTGTGTGCTCAATATTTTTTTCTAAATGTATAAAATGAATTAGAAACAAATTAAAGAATATAAAATTCAATGTCTTCTTCTTAAACACCTTGTTTATTTCCTTAGGAATCTAGTATTTCTCATGAGAAATATCATATCATCTGGAATAGGTTAGCGTGACATTAAAAGCTAAAAATATGTAATCCTCAGAACAATTTTCTCTCAGTTCAGGAATGGTCAGTTGTAATAGCCTTGTCAACGTCTCTCCATTTACACTTTTCAGGATAATTTTCTATGTATTCTGTTTATTCCTGAAGTCCTGAGTTTTTTGCATCCTACAAAGTTGGATAGTCCTTTAAAATTTTTTGAACACATTCTGCATTTTCTCATTTAATGCCCTTAAGTTGAATAATGGAGCTATACTTAGTTTTGTTTTGAAAATGTCCTAGTTAGAGCGAAATGTCTTTACAATGACTATGACTGAATGGCTCAACATTTTAAACTGTGAACAACTTATCAGCTTACCTAATTAGTTGTATTGCAATTCAATATTTATATTTCCTTAATATTTTTCCCTTTAGTTGTCTTCCAAAAATCTGAAGTTATTTGATAATTTTATACATAAATAAAATAATCTTTCTGATTTCTGTTTAGATTGTAACAGTTATAAAAACATATAACACAATACATTAGTGTATTAATGTATTCAGTCACAAGGAGTTAATTTTTCAACTCTTGCAGGAAAAAAATGAAGAATTTTTAATATCAAATGCTAACTTTTCAAATTCTAGCCTTTAGTAAATAGAATATTTCTGTTTTTATAAGTGGCACAAGAACTTTGCAAATTCTCAAGATGCAGAGAAACATTTCTGGAAAAGATTGATTTGGAAGGTATTTTTGAAGAGCCTACTCCTTAATTAAGTGCCAACATAGTGACTACAGAACTCTGAAATTTGGTCTAGAATTACGTCCCATGTGAGCTAATGTCATGCTTTCTATTTTACAGGTTTGTCAAAGGATTAATCTAAGCACAACTAGCATTTCCAAGGTTGAATTTAAAAGGAGTAGGCTATTTTACACATATCTAAGTGTGGAGCTTGAATTTGTCTGAGCAGTCATTCATGTTTTTTAATGTGTAGTGTAAGAACAAAGAAAGGAAACATTTGAATGAACAACTGATTAGCCATTATCTTAGTAATTTTTTGATATGGAAAATTTTAGTATATGGCAATATGAAACCAGCTAAGTTGTTAGCATAAAGAAAGCATAAGAGGTGATCTAAAAATCAACATAAAAATTGTCCAAGTTCTTCTCAAATTTTCAATTTAATGGTGCTTATCCCCCCTCCATTAAATAATTTCTAGGAAATTCTTTTCCTAGCGTTTCGACAGCCTATAATTTTTTAAAGAGTTTGCCTATTAGTGTATTACATTTATTGATATTTGTTAAGCACCTTAATTTCATCTTCATCAACCTGAAACATCCTCTGCATTTCACATAATCTCTACTGTAAGAAAAGTGTATATTATATACACATACATGTTGCCTCTATTTCCTTAAGGACGCCAAAGTCAAAACATGGATGTGTAAATTAATTTCTCTCAACATAGGTAGGGACACTCATCAATCCTTTTATCTCTTGAATTTGTTTTCATATTCCGTTCTGCATTATTTTATGTTTTTATATGAAGTCTTATGTCATAGGCAAATCATATTGTGTCTAAAAGTTTAGTTTTGTAGGATTGTAAATGATCAGTATGAGCTCTTCCTTCCTTGATATACAGTCATGGATTGCATTCCTACTGGCATGACCTGACCTTGTTCATTTCACTTTGGGGATAGTCTATGAATTTTCCAGAGTTGAATTAAACATTTATCTCTCTCCTAGGAAAATAACTTTGTTTCCATTTAAGCATCAAAGCTTAAAATTAGCCTTTAGTTTCAGAAGATCTGTATTTAATATGTTCTTTGCAAATTTTTTTGTAGGATCAGGAAAAATAAAAACAGAAAAGGTTAAGAAATGAACACCACGTTCATTCATCTTTAGACACTTTGAAACGAGAAAAATCTCCAATCAAGAGATTATTTGATATTTTTAACACATAAACTTGTACTGAATTTAATTTAATAATAAACAATTTTTTTGTTTGTTTGTTTGAGAGAGAGAGAATATGTATTTAGATATAGAAGGGGAAATCTCATTGGAGCAACAGAACTGTTTTTTACAAAAAATTTTTGAACAAAATTTATTACAAAATAAATTCTTATTTGTTGTGTAATTTTTGGCATTGGTGGTCTGAGTCACTCCTTACAATTACTTTAAAAAGTAATCTATTGGATGTTTAAGATAAGCATCTTTATAATTTTAAGGGACTGTAGATTCAGATAAAATACTATAACTCATCCTATAAATTATGAAGTTGTTTGAAGTGATGGCCATGGCAAAAATAACTGGTAGCCTTATCATCATCATCATCATTTTTCTTTATGACTGCATAGTACTCACCTTGTAGCACTATGAAAGTTTTTATAGGTCCTCTTGAATTGGAGGCATTTTTTACAAATCCTCCATAGTTAGATAAATACACAGCAGCTGTAAAACCTATAAGGGCTGAATATATCTGCCGAGAAAAATTCTACGCTTTTTTCCTTGGGGCTGCAACAGAGTCTAATGAATTTTGGAAGTTAAAAAAGCAGAAAGTCATTCTAAGCCTTATCTGTGGCCTGGAAGCGCCCCCGTATGTCCAGGATCTAGAATGTACAGCAAATGAAATCTTGTTTGAGTATGAAACCAGCAACGGTGGCTTTAGTCTTGGACAAATCAGCAACAGAAAGGGCTTTAACTTGCTGCTGCCCCATTTGTTGTACCCCAAAGACAGAGAACCAGTAATCCTTGTTTTCTTTCCAGCCCCCTCAAAATCTGTTTTCTGGAAGGCAGTTGGTAGGCTAATAAACATTAGCCTATAATGTTATGACGTATTATATTATATTATATATAATTTGCTGAGATTTAATACGCTGCTTCCTCTCAGAAATTTGCATGTTCATTATAGACAATGATGTAAAAAGAGGGGCTTCTGAAGTGTGAAATTTCTGGGATCACTAGGTCGGTCCAGAAGGGCCAGGGTTAGGTGAGGAGAGAGGCTGAATCATGCAAGTGCAGGCTCTAATTCAGTTTTTATTAAAATTTTTGATATTTCCCTCATCATGATTTCTCTGTGTTAATTTTTTACTTTTGAAAAGATTGCATCAAAATGTTATTTATCTTAATTACTAAGTTTTTGGACACCTCCTTAAATTCTGCACGCTACCCTCCTACCCCCAAGTTCAGTGCCTTACTTGCTTCACCCTAGTCCTTGCCCATTCTGGAGGAAGTGATCTTTTCTTGGAGTGGTGGAAGGGAGGTATCCACCATTCCCAGTATTCTAGATATCACACTGCAAAGTTGCCACCCAGTCCACCTTCCCAGCTGAACTTGGTGACCACCAATAAATAGTTTCACCATGTCTATCACAAGTACGCTGTGCAGGGCAACTGAACTGGAAACTTGCCACCAGTCCAGTGATGTTGGGAAGGTTTAATGGGTTCATGTAACGAGGGAGGAGGAGGTCCATGGGTTCAAAGATCATAAAATAATAAAGTCATATAATATTTTTGAATTACTCTAATAAAAAATAAAAGACCTGCCGTATTGCAATGATATCTGTAGCCCTGGAATGATATCTCATTTTGCATAGCTAAATGTGCAGTAGTCATTATTTTTAACATTTCAATTCGCTGGCTTTTTCTGGTAGGATGAAATAGATGTAACCAGGTTGGAGATGATATGTCCTAAAAAGCATAGGGTTTAATATTGACTTCCCGGAGAGACAAATGAGGGCTTCTGGTGCGTGCCTCAGTTGCCTTGGGTGAGAGCTGAAGGCTCAGTACTCCCAAGCCTGGAGTGTGATGAGGTTTCAGCCTTCAAAGGTCAACATCTGAGGCTGCTGAAATGCAGTATTTGGAGTGCTTTTGAGGCTTATGACAGGGAAGAAGAATAGTTGTGTTCAGCAACCCTGAGGATTCATAGGCAGTGCTGTTTTGAGTTGAACTTATAATGTGTTTTGATGGAGTTTGTTTTCCTTCTGTAGATCAGTTTCCTGGTTTTAACAAAATAGGAAACCTAAATAGGGAAGCTCTTAATTGCAGCTGGGCAAGAAGACAGGACTACAGAGAGGATAATCTGGATAAATACCAAAAGTTTAAATTCACTTATAACTTTGCTTTTATATATGAAAATAGATCCTCATCTAAAGTAGGCTTTTCATTTCATTTCAGTATGACTGAGACATCTTCATCATTGTGTTTATGAGGCATTAAAATCTTGAGGGGGAGGTGCCTAATAAATTCATTTAAGAGCTGCCTAGAACTCATTGTGGAAGAAACCTGGCTACAAATAATTAGCCAGTCTCATAGTTGATTCATGCTTGATTAACAATGGTGATGGCAGCCGTACATACTCTTTATTTTTCTACTTCCACAAAAGTCAGAGAAAAGGAATAAACTCACCCTATATTAGGAGATAACTTTCTGTCATGTTTATAAAAAGCATTAGGATATATTAGAAATTAGACTATGATAAATGTTGCTTTTCTTGATATCTTTTTCATGGGAAATATTATGTTTGTGTGTTTAAAGATTTTCCCCTCGATACATAGGGTTTTAAAACGGATTTCATTAATGACTTTCTAACCTTGAGTATGCTGAAATTGGATAGAAATTCAGCTAAAACCCTTGCATTTTATTTAATAAGACCTTCAAATTCATATTTTAAAATTAAGAAAATTATTTGTTTTAAAACATATTAGCTGCCAGACAAACACATAAATAACAGTAACTGGCATAATTGGAGTGTCTTCTTTTAAATGTATCATTTAAGCAGCATTATTAGGCAACACTTCTGTCTAGGAAGAGCAAAGTCAAAACTCCTAGAGTTAATATGTGTAATGAAGAAACGTTCATTAACCTTGTAATATCTTGCAAGTGTCCAGAAGGTTGCAAAAGTGTTTATACAGAAACCCCCCATTTGTCTTTTTATTTTTCTATATTTAAACTTTCCATTATTCAACACCGATTTGTTTTTTGTTTTCAAGATGGAGTCTTGCTTTGTCTTTCAGGTTGCAGTGCAGTGGTGTGACCTCGGCTCATTGCAACTTCCGCATCCCAGGTTCAAGTGATTCTCCTACCTCAGCCTCCCAAGTAGCTGGAATTACAGGTGCATGCCAACATGCCTGGCTAATTTTTGTATTTTTAGTAGAAACAGGGTTTCAACATGTTGCCCAGGCTGGTCTTGAACTCCTGTTCTCAAGTGATCTGCCCTCCTTGGCCTTCCAAAGTGCTGGGATTACAGGCGTGAGATACCGAGCCCAGCCATGATGTTTAAGATGAATAGACAACATTTAAAAATGAAATTTTATCTTTCTCAATATATTTAAGTACTAATATCGAAATTACAATACTTCTTTTTATGACACTTTCCTTTTTGGGGCTTATCTTCCATTAGGTAGGTTCATGTGATCTAGCCTTGGAAACTAGCCACCATTTTTAACACCACTACTATGGGAAGATGAAGCAAACTTTTGGTACATAACATTTGCATTAGGAATGACTATTTGTTATAAAGAATCATGAACCCCAGGATAGTCAGGTTTTCTCACTGAAGTATCAAAATGAGCTCAGTTTAAGGCCATTTTCCCCATGAGATGGTACCATGGTTGGTCGGACCTAGATGACGTGGCTTGAGTGTATTAAATTCTGTTTCATTAACCATCAAAATACAGCAGAGCAATTGATAGATAAAACAGTTTTAAAATAGCTCAGAGAAACAGGGGAGTAGGGCAATAATCAGAATTTTAAAAGTCAACATTACCAATGAGATTAACTTTAATCATGTTAGGCTAGATGTCCAATTGATTTATAAAATGCAATGACTCACTTAAGGTGTTAATTCAGTATGTCAAATGGATTAAGCTGGCCTGAGATCCTGGGAGTCATAAAGGAAACTATGTTGTTGTTTTTTTTTTAATTTTTATTTTATTACTATTATACTTTAAGTTTTAGGGTACATGTGCACAATGTGCAGGTTAGTTACATATATATACATGGGCCATGCAGGTGTGCTGCACCCATTAACTCGTCATTTAGCATTAGGTATATCTCCTAATGATATGGAAACTATGTTTTGAACAAGTTTAGTTTTGTGAACTTTGCTTGCCTTTTGTTTTAAATAATTGAAAGTGTTAGTTAGTAAAAGGCGAAAGATTTATTCGGTCTGAAGAGAAACCAGTGAATAGAAAGGGGGGAAAGGTGGGGAAAAGATTGAGAAATCGGATGGTTGCCGTGTCTGTGTAGAAAGAAGTAGACATGGGAGACTTTTCATTTTGTTCTGCACTAAGAAAAATTCTTCTGCCTTGGGATCCTGTTGATCTGTGACCTTACCCCCAACCCTGTGCTCTCTGAAACATGTGCTGTGTCCACTCAGGGTTAAATGGATTAAGGGCGGTGCAAGATGTGCTTTGTTAAACAGATGCTTGAAGGCAGCATGCTCGTTAAGAGTCATCACCAATCCCTAATCTCAAGTAATCAGGGACACAAACACTGCGGAAGGCCGCAGGGTCCTCTGCCTAGGAAAACCAGAGACCTTTGTTCACTTGTTTATCTGCTGACCTTCCCTCCACTATTGTCCCATGACCCTGCCAAATCCCCCTCTGTGAGAAACACCCAAGAATTATCAATAAAAAAATAAATTTAAAAAAAAAAAAAAAAGAAAGTGTTAGTTAGAAATATCTCTGTTTATTAGCCATTATTAATGATGAGTCATTGTCTTTACCTCATATACATATTGGGCATTGATATATTTGAGTTATGATGAATTATAGTATCGACCCCAAATGAGACTAGGGAGACACAATTTTTGATTTTTAGTAACACAGATTAATTTGGTATTGGTCATCTATAGGTTGATTGGAAAGCAAGAGTCAACTGTATGTTATCTATAAGAAATACACTTTAAGATACAGATAGGGTAAAAAATACAAGATGGAAGAAGACATATCATGCAGACACTTCTAAGAAAGCTAGAGTGGCTATATTAGCACCAGACAAATAGATTTTAAATAAAGAATATAACCAGGAATAAAAAAGAGGCTTCACATAATAGTATAGGGAGCAATTAATCAAAAAGACATCACAATTCTAAATGTGTATGTGGCAAATAACAGAACTTCAAAATACACAGAGGAAAAACTGACAGAAATGAAGCAGTAAGCAAACACAGTTGTAGTTGGAAACCTCAACATTTGCTTTTTGACAATTGATAGAAGAAATTGACAGAAAGTCACCAAGTATATAGAAGACCTGAACAACACTGTCAGCCAACTTGATTTAATTGACATTTGTGGAACATTTCATCCCTCCAAAAAATTTATATTATTTTCAACCACACATAAATTTTTATCAAGATAAACCATATGCTGGGCAAGAAAGCAAGTTTCTGTAAATTTAAAAAGCTTGATTTCATACACAGTATGTTATCTGACTACTATGAAATTAAATTAGACATTAGTAGTAGAAAATTATCTGAAAAACCTCTCCATATTTGAAAATTAAGCAACACAGTTCTAAATGACCCAGGGAGGGAAAAACCCACATTGTTTTGTAACCTGCTGTATTTACTTAACAGTATGTTTTAACGTGTTAATGATTCTGTTGTATAGAGGTACCATAATTTACTTAGCTGATTCACAGAGGCTGCCCATTGAGGTTGTTTCTTAGTTTTTGCTTTTGTAAACAAACGTTGCTATAAATGTTGTTTATACTGTTGACTCCTTTCTTGATTATTTATTTAGGAAAAATTCTTAGGAGTCAACCCTTTTTTTTTTTTGCCAGAGTCTCACACACTCTGTCACCCAGGCTGGAGTGCAGTGGCACGATCACAGTTCATTGTAATCTCCACCTTCCAGGCTCAAGTGATCCTCTCATCTCAGCCCCCTGTGTAGCTGGGACTCCAGGCACATGCCACCATACCTGGCTAATTTTTTTTTTTTTTTTTTTTGTAGAGACAGGGTAGGGTTTTGCCATGTTGCTCAGGCTGGTCTGGAACTCCTGAGCTCAAGGCATCTTCCTGCCTCAGCCTCCCAAAGTGTTAGGATTACAGGCATGAGCCACTGCTCCCAGCCAAGTCAACTATTTTGACCAATTTCTGATCTAAGTGTCTTTGATACATATTGCCAAATACTCCTTTGGAAATTGTACCAGTTTCCTCTCTCAGCGGCAGTTTATTAACATTCCTGTTTCCCTGTATCCCGAATAACACTAAACATTATCTGTTTAGATGTAAGGTGTGAGGGAGCAATCTAACTAGTTAGCCAGTTCACTAACTGCATTTCAGGAAATACCATTTTCATTTGAAAGAACGATTGACAGACAAACTATGGTTCCTCATACTTCGGTATTTCACAGATATGTTCTTGAAATTAAAAAAAGTGAGTGTGTCACTTCAAGGAAAACAACTGACAGTATTTATTAGCAATGATAAAATTTAACCTTTCAAGTAAAAATTAGTATTCTGAAGAACTTGTTTCTCCCATCTTGAGCCCATATTTCTGTATTTTCCTAAGAGTGGTTGGGATATTAATGAATTTGATTTGTTGATGTTGCATATTGAAATGCATCAATATTTGAAATAGCTGCATAGCTCAAAGAATCAATATTTTCCAATTTATTGGTATTCATAACATAGGTTTCCCTGATTCTCAGGCCTTAGAATTCAGACTGGAATTATACCACTGGCTTTCCTGGTTCTTCAACTTGCAGGCAGCAGATCATGGTGCTTCTCAGCCTCTACAATGGCATGAGCCAATTCCTCATAATAAATCTCTTTATATCTATATCTATATATTGGTTCTGTTTCTCTAGAGAGCCCTGATTAATGCAACCAAGGTTATTACAAAATCATACGTAGGTAAAAGTTTCATTTAAAGTGCAAGATGGGCAAATGATTTTTAATATTTCAGAATATGGAGAGCTTATTGGTATGGTTTCAGATTCTGCATTGCAACTAACCATACAGAAATGATCTTTTATTGTGTTTTGGTATATTTTACCAATGAAGAATATTGACAATTGTCTGAAAAGTCTATTAAAAAACTCCTCCCCTTTCCAACTGCAAATCTGTGTGAGGCCACATTTTTTTCATACACTTCAGACTTCAATCAAAACAACATATTGAATGCAGAAGCAGATAAAAGCTATTTTCTATTAAGCCAGATATTAAATAGATTTCCAAAAATGTAAAACAATGACACTTTCTCACAAATTTTTTTCTTTGTAAATATGATCATTTCTCTTAAAATATGTTTATGCTAACATGTATTGGGTTTATTATATCTAAAGAATTTAAAAAATATTTTAAATTACCTTAATTTAATTTCTAATAAGGTAAATACCTACAAGAACAGAAAATCTTGGGTGTTTTTAGTCATTTTTGTGTGTAAAGAGAGTTCTGATACCTGAAAAGTTTGAGAAACCTGAAAAAGATGCTCTATACTGAAGCATCTTTGTGCCAACCATCTACTGTGAACGAGATCCAGTTGGTATAATCTTATACATGTACTGGGTCAGGGCAAAGTTCTGTGAAGTGTCAAGATGATCAAGATCCCTGTAGACTATATTATCACAGAAAGCAGGACAATTAACTTTACCCTGAAACAAGCTATGTAAAGATAAACTGGTTTTGATCCTTGCTTTTGGCTATTGATATGTTTTCATCACATTGACAAACACATTCAAAGTGACAGGGTCTGTGTTGATTGTTCCTGTAAAGATGCAGCATTCAACATGGCAGCCATGGTTTGGGCTATCATCTAGTTATGTTTATGTTAGTCCATCATTATCTGTCACCATCCATCTCGTTTTTACAGAGGTCAGATAGGTGAATTGAATGAGGCTATAACAAGGCTCACCACTCTTTTTTATTTTTTTTTTAATACTTTAAGTTTTAGGGTACATGTGCACAATGTGCAAGTTAGTTACATATGTATACATGTGCCATGCTGGTGCAATGCACCCACTAACTCGTCATCTAGCATTAGGTATATCTCCCAATGCTATCCCGCCCCCCTCCCCACACCCCACAACAGGCCCCAGAGTGTGATGTTCCCCTTCCTGTGTCCATGTGTTCTCATTGTTCAATTCCCACCTATGAGTGAGAATATGCGGTGTTTGGTTTTTTGTTCTTGCGATAGTTTACTGAGAATGATGGTTTCCAATTTCATCCATGTCCCTACAAAGGACATGAACTCATCATTTTTTATGGCTGCATAGTATTCCATGGTGTATATGTGCCACATTTTCTTAATCCAGTCTATCATTGTTGGACATTTGGGTTGGTTCCAAGTCTTTGCTATTGTGAATAGTGCCACAATAAACATACGTGTGCATGTGTCTTTATAGCAGCATGATTTATAGTCCTTTGGGTATATACCCAGTAATGGGATGGCTGGGTCAAATGGTATTTCTAGTTCTAGATCCCTGAGGAATCGCCACACTGACTTCCACAATGGTTGAACTAGTTTACAGTCCCACCAACAGTGTAAAAGTGTTCCTATTTCTCCACATCCTCTCCAGCACCTGTTGTTTCCTGACCTTTTAATGATTGCCATTCTAACTGGTGTGAGATGGTATCTCATTGCGGTTTTGATTTGCATTTCTCTGATGGCCAGTGATGGTGAGCATTTTTTCATGTGTTTTTTGGCTGCATAAATGTCTTCTTTTGAGAAGTGTCTGTTCATGTCCTTCGCCCACTTTTGGATGGGGTTGTTTGTTTTTTTCTTGTAAATTTGTTTGAGTTCATTGTAGATTCTGGATATTAGCCCTTTGTCAGATGAGTAGGTTGCGAAAATTTTCTCCCATTTTGTAGGTTGCCTGTTCACTCTGATGGTAGTTTCTTTTGCTGTGTGGAAGCTCTTTAGTTTAATTAGATCCCATTTGTCAATTTTGGCTTTTGTTGCCACTGCTTTTGGTGTTTTAGATATGAAGTCCTTGCCCATGCCTATGTCCTGAATGGTAATGCCTAGGTTTTCTTCTAGGGTTTTTATGGTTTTAGGTGTAACGTTTAAGTCTTTAATCCATCTTGAATTGATTTTTCTATAAGGTGTAAGGAAGGGATCCAGTTTCAGCTTTCTACATATGGCTAGCCAGTTTTCCCAGCACCATTTATTAAATAGGGAATCCTTTCCCCATTGCTTGTTTTTCTCAGGTTTGTCAAAGATCAGATAGTTGTAGATATGCGGCGTTATTTCTGAGGGCTCTGTTCTGTTCAATTGATCTATATCTCTGTTTTGGTACCAGTACCGTGCTGTTTTGGTTACTGTAGCCTTGTAGTATAGTTTGAAGTCAGGTAGTGTGATGCCTCCAGCTTTGTTCTTTTGGCTTAGGATTGACTTGGCGATGCGGGCTCTGTTTTGGTTCCATATGAACTTTAAAGTAGTTTTTCCAATTCTGTGAAGAAAGTCATTGGTAGCTTGATGGGGATGGCATTGAATCGGTAAATTACCTTGGGCAGTATGGCCATTTTCACGATATTGATTCTTCCTACCCATGAGCATGGAATGTTCTTCCATTTGTTTGTATCCTCTTTTATTTCCTTGAGCAGTGGTTTGTAGTTCCCCTTGAAGAGGTCCTTCACATCCCTTGTAAGTTGCATTCCTAGGTATTTTATTCTCTTTGAAGCAACTGTGAATGGGAGTTCACTCATGATTTGGCTCTCTGTCTGTCTGTTGTTGGTGTATAAGAATGCTTGTGATTTCTGTACATTGATTTTGTATCCTGAGACTTTGCTGAAGTTGTTTATCAGCTTAAGGAGATTTTGGGCTGAGACAATGGGGTTTTCTAGATATACAATCATGTCGTCTGCAAACAGGGACAATTTGACTTCCTCTTTTCCTAATTGAATACCCTTTATTTCCTTCTCCTGCCTAATCGCCCTGGCCAGAACTTCCAACACTATGTTGAATAGGAGTGGTGAGAGAGGGCATCCCTGTCTTGTGCCAGTTTTCATAGGGAATGCTTCCAGTTTTTGCCCATTCAGTATGATATTGGCTGTGGGTTTGTCATAGATAGCTCTTATTATTTTGAAATACGTCCCATCAATACCTAATTTATTGAGAGTTTTTAGCATGAAGCGTTGTTGAATTTTGTCAAAGGCCTTTTGTGCATCTATTGAGATAATCATGTGGTTTTTGTCTTTGGTTCTGTTTATATGCTGGATTACATTTATTGATTTGTGTATATTGAACCAGCTTTGCATCCCAGGGATGAAGCCCACTTGATCATGGTGGATAAGCTTTTTGATATGCTGCTGGATTCGGTTTGCCAGTATTTTATTGAGGATTTTTGCATCAATGTTCATCAAGGAGGTTGGTCTAAAATTCTCTTTTTTGGTTGTGTCTCTGCCCGGCTTTGGTATCAGGATGGTGATGGCCTCATAAAATGAGTTAGGGAGGATTCCCTCTTTTTCTATTGATTGGAATAGTTTCAGAAGGAATGGTACCAGTTCCTCCTTGTACCTCTGGTAGAATTCGGCTGTGAATCCATCTGGTCCTGGACTCTTTTGGTTGGTAAGCTGTTGATTATTGCCACAATTTCAGAGCCTGTTATTGGTCTATTCAGAGATTCAACTTCTTCCTGGTTTAGTCTTGGGAGGGTGTATGTGTCGAGGAATTTATCCATTTCTTCTAGATTTTCTAGTTTATTTGCGTAGAGGTGTTTGTAGTATTCTCTGATGGTAGTTTGTATTTCTGTGGGATCGGTGGTGATATCCCCTTTATCATTTTTTATTGTGTCTATTTGATTCTTCTCTCTTTTTTTCTTTATTAGTCTTGCTAGCAGTCTATCAATTTTGTTGATCCTTTCAAAAAACCAGCTCCTGGATTCATTAATTTTTTGAAGGGCTTTTTGTGTCTCTATTCCTTCAGTTCTGCTCTGATTTTAGTTATTTCTTGCCTTCTGCTAGCTTTTGAATGTGTTTGCTCTTGCTTTTCTAGTTCTTTTAATTGTGATGTTAGAGTGTCAATTTTGGATCTTTCCTCCTTTCTCTTGTGGGCATTTAGTGCTATAAATTTCCCTCTACACACTGCTTTGAATGTGTCCCAGAGATTCTGGTATGTTGTGTCTTTGTTCTCGTTGGTTTCAAAGAACATCTTTATTTCTGCCTTCATTTCGTTATGCACCCAGTAGTCATTCAGGAGCAGGTTGTTCAGTTTCCATGTAGTTGAGCGGTTTTGAGTGAGATTCTTAATCCTGAGTTCTAGTTTGATTGCACTGTGTTCTGAGAGATAGTTTGTTATAATTTCTGTTCTTTTACATTTGCTGAGGAGAGCTTTACTTCCAAGTATGTGGTCAATTTTGGAATAGGTGTGGTGTGGTGCTGAAAAAAATGTATATTCTGTTGATTTGGGGTGGAGAGTTCTGTAGATATCTATTAGGTCTGCTTGGTGCAGAGCTGAGTTCAATTCCTGGATATCCTTGTTGCCTTTCTGTCTTGTTGATCTGTCTAATGTTGACAGTGGGGTGTCAAAGTCTCCCATTATTATTTTGTGGGAGTCTAAGTCTCTTTGTAGGTCACTCAGGACTTGCTTTATGAATCTGGGTGCTCCTGTATTGGGTGCATATATATTTAGGATAGTTAGCTCTTCTTGTTGAATTGATCCCTTTACCATTATGTAATGGCCTTCTTTGTCTCTTTTGATCTTTGTTGGTTTAAAGTCTGTTTTATCAGAGACTAGGATTGCAACCCCTGCCTTTTTTTGTTTTCCATTTGCATGGTAGATCTTCCTCCATCCTTTTATTTTGAGCCTATGTGTGTCTCTGCATGTGAGATGGGTTTCCTGAATACAGCACACTGATGGGTCTTGACTCTTTATCCAATTTGCCAGTCTGTGTCTTTTAATTGGAGCATTTAGTCTATTTACATTTAAAGTTAATATTGTTATGTGTGAATTTGATCCTGTCATTATGATGTTTGCTGGTTATTTTGCTCGTTAGTTGATGCAGTTTCTTCCTAGCCTTGATGGTCTTTACGTTTTGGCATGATTTTGCAGTGGCTGGTACCGGTTGTTCCTTTCCATGTTTAGCGCTTCCTTCAGGAGCTCTTTTAGGGCAGGCCTGGTGGTGACAAAATCTCTCAGCATTTGCTTGTCTGTGTTTTATTTCTCCTTCACTTATGAAGCTTAGTTTGGCTGGATATGAAATTCTGGGTTGAAAATTCTTTTCTTTAAGAATGTTGAATATTGGCCCCCACTCTCTTCTGGCTTGTAGAGTTTCTGCCGAGAGATCCACTGTTAGTCTGATGGGCTTCCCTTTGAGGGTAACCCTTTCTCTTTGGCTGCCCTTAACATTTTTTCCTTCATTTCAACTTTGGTGAATCTGACAATTATGTGTCTTGGAGTTGCTCTTCTCAAGGAGTATCTTTGTGGCGTTCTCTGTATTTCCTGAATCTGAATGTTGGCCTGCCTTCCTAGATTGGGGAAGTTCTCCTGGATTATATCCTGCAGAGTGTTTTCCAACTTGGTTCCATTCTCCCTGTCACTTTCAGGTACACCAATCAGACGTAGATTTGGTCTTTTCACATAGTCCCATATTTCTTGGAGGCTTTGCTCGTTTCTTTTTATTCTTTTTTTCTCTAAACTTCCCTTCTGGCTTCATTTCATTCATTTGATCTTCCATCACTGATACCCTTTCTTCCAGTTGATCGCATTGGCTCCTGAGGCTTCTGCATTCTTCACGTAGCTCTCGAGCCTTGGTTTTCAGCTCCATCAGCTCCTTTAAGCACTTCTCTGTATTGGTTATTCTAGTTATACATTCTTCTAAATTTTTTTTCAAAGTTTTCAACTTCTTTGCCTTTGGTTTGAATGTCCTCCCATAGCTCGGAGTAATTTGGTCGTCTGAAGCCTTCTTCTCTCAACTCGTCAAAGTCATTCTCCATCCAGCTTTGTTCCATTGCTGGTGAGGAGCTGTGTTCATTTAGAGGAGGAGAGGCGCTCTGCTTTTTAGAGTTTCCAGTTTTTCTGTTCTGTTTTTTCCCCATCTTTGTGGTTTTTATCTACTTTTGGTCTTTGATGATGGTGATGTACAGATGGGTTTTTGGTGTGGATGTCCTTTCTGTTTGTTAGTTTTCCTTCTAACAGACAGGACCCTCAGCTGCAGGTCTGTTGGAGTGCCCCGCCGCCGTGTGAGGTGTCAGTCTGCCCCTGCTGGGAGGTGCCTCCCAGTTAGGCTGCTGGAGGGTCAGGGATCAGGGACCCACTTGAAGAGGCAGTCTGCCTGTTCTCAGATCTCCAGCTGCCTGCTGGGAGAACCACTGCTCTCTTCAAAGCTGTCAGACAGGGACATTTAAGTCTGCAGAGGTTACTGCTGTCTTTTTGTTTGTCTGTGCCCTGCCCCCCAGAGGTGGAGCCTACAGAGGCAGGCAGGCCTCCTTGAGCTGTGGTG
This sequence comes from Homo sapiens, assembly GCF_000001405.40. NCBI lineage: Eukaryota > Metazoa > Chordata > Mammalia > Primates > Hominidae > Homo > Homo sapiens. The sequence continues at coordinate 219,864,073 of NC_000001.11, read as the reverse complement.
GGCTCCACCCAGTTCGAGCTTCCTGGCTGCTTTGTTTACCTAATCAATCCTGGGTAATGGCGGGCGCCCCTCCCCCAGCCTCGCTGCCGCCTTGCAGTTTGATCTCAGACTGCTGTGCTAGCAATCAGCGAGACTCCGTGGGCATAGGACCCTCCGAGCCAGGTGTGGGATATAATCTCCTAGTGCGCCGTTTTTTAAGCCCGTCGGAAAAGCGCAGTATTCGGTTGGGAGTGACCCGATTTTCCAGGTGCCGTCTGTCACCCCTTTCTTTGACTAGGAAAGGGAACTCCCTGACCCCTTGCGCTTCCCGAGTGAGGCAATGCCTCGCCCTGCTTTGGCTCGCACATGGTGCACGCACCCACTGACCTGCGCCCACTGTCTGGCACTCCCTAGTGAGATCCACCCAGTACCTCAGATGGAAATGCAGAAATCACCCGTCTTCTGCATTGCTCATGCTGGGAGCTGTAGACGAAGCTGTTCCTATTCGGCCATCTTCAAGGCTCACCACTCTTGCATCCTTCAGGTTTTCGATGGTGAGGATAATCTTGGCTGTCCCTCCAATAATTCAATATAGCTTCTGATTTGCTGCCTTTCAGTTTCAGGAGCTCTCATGTTGTTCTTCCTGCCATAATAACTCTTACTCTCTAGGTGAGGGAACCAGTGTGAGGATTCTGCCAGCTGAAAATTGCATAGTCCCAGTGGAGTCACTGTGAGACAGACTTGGGCCAGAACTCCATTTATTACCTGGCTTCCATTAAGTCTATGTTTTTTTTGGTTGTGTGTGTGTGTGTGTGTGTGTGTGTGTGTGTGTGTGTGTTTGAGATGGAGTCTCACTCTGTTGCCCAGGCTGGAGTGCAGTGGTGCGATCTCAGCTCACTGCAACCCCCCCACCTCGGGTTCAAGCGATTCTCCTGCCTCAGCCTCCTGAGTAGCTGGAACTACAGGCACGTGCCACCACATCTGGCTAATTTTTTGTATTTTTAGTAGAGACAGGGTTTCAGCGTGTTAGTCAGGCTGGTCTCGATCTCCTGACCTTGTGATCCACCCTCCTTGGCCTCCCAAAGTGCTGGGATTACAGGCGTGAGCTACCGAGCCCAGCCCCATAAGCCTATGTTATAACCAGAGGACCATAGTGCCCAAAGCAGCTGGTAGCAAAAACAGCTGAGATCCTGTGTACACTTGTCCTTAAAAAAATTCTGGCCTTTCCACTTTGTTTGGAAGTTTGTAGTTACTCTGTCAAATGATTGCAAGTCTTCTTGGGGGAAGGATGGAAAGAATATTTAGAACATATCTGTGCAGTGGTTACAGGGTTGATCCTCAAAGGGACCCGTCTTTGTCCTCAATCAGTGGGCTCTGGGCCTGTGAAGAGATTTAGATCAGGACACTGGATGAGCAACTGTGATATTTCATTGTGAGCAACTGCTATGAGCCTTCAGGTTATCATCTCTTCATTTTTTTCCTATTATATAACCAGAAATTATCCAGTGTCTTAGGAGCTGTCCATCAATCTTGCCCCTAAGAATACTGTGATCTGTTACTTTCACTCTAAATCCCTATGTCTTATGGAACTTGACTGCTGCTCTGAGCTTGCTGACCATTAAGGTACAATTATATCTATCTTGCTTCAGTAGTTAAGTGCTGCTACCTGGGATCTGCTATTCTGAAATTTCATCTTCTTTATGGATACTAGGGAATCTTATTTCATATCAGTATGTCCTACCACCAATTCTGGCTTGCAGAGTCACTGCTGAACTTCTCACCAGTATACTCCTTACTGTCTTAGCAAGGGAAGTGTCTTTTGGGTTCTCAAGAGAATGTGGAAATATGGTAGGTTCTCAGGTTTTAAATGACATTTCTACCTCTCCAAGGCTTCTAATCTCTCTATTTCAGTGCCCAAGAAATTCTCACATTTCAACTTCATTTACTGTCAGCTATTGTCAAATTCAGTCTTTGAAGAGCCATTCCAGCAAGCTCTCAGGAACAACTATTGTTCCTTGCTGGAGCTTTGAATCCTGAAGAACAGATGAGTGGTCCCATATCAGAGAATTATCCCTGAACCACATTTATATTCTTCTTACCCAGCCCCCTCTTCTCCAGTATAACACCCTCAATATCCACTTCTGTATATGTTCCTCTTATTTCTGCTGATGCATTTTAATCCAAGGATCAGTTATTTCCACAATAATTCTACATAATGAACCACCAAAAAACCTCAGTGATATACAATAATAAACATGTATTTTTGACAACATGATTATGGCTGGCTGAGCAGTTCTGCTTATCTGGGCTCACTGGGGGCTTGTTCATGCACTGAGAGTCAGCAGCAAGTGAGTGCTGACTCTCAGTGCTGATGGCTTTGCTGATCTTAGCTGGGCTCTCTCACATATCTGGGGACTTAGTTGCTTGGCTGTGGTCCACATAGCACCTCATCCTCCAGCAAGCCATCCTAGGATTATTCTCCTGGCAAAGGAGAGGTGCAAGAGTAGAAGTATGGATGTTGAGGCCTAGGCTCAGAACTGGCACATGTCACTTATGCTGCATTCTGTTGGCCAAAACAAGGCATGAGACAAGCCCAGATTCAACGGCTGTGGGAGTAGACCACACTTCATGATGTGAGGGTCCTCAAAGTCACATGCAAAGGATGTAGATACAGGGAAAGTGGAGAATGAAGGCCAATTTGGCAATCAATCATTTTATATCCTCTAGCCAGAATTATTTACATCTTATCCACATGCAAGACACATTCTCACCCTTTCAAGGTTCTTCAAGGTCTTATACAACCATAGTATCAGGTTCAAAATCCGGGATGTTATGATCAATATCAGGTCTATAGTGGTTTCTTGGATGCATCTCCTTTTGGTCTGAAGCCCTTAGAATAAAAAGACATGTTATCTTCCCCTACATACCCAATGTGCAATGGTGAATAGGAACAAAACAACCACAATAAAGATTCCCATTCAATAAGAGGAGGCACATAGCAGCCACTGTTTCATGACAGTTCTGAAATCCCAATGGAGAAATGTTTACAGGTTCTCTTGGAGTGAAGAGTGTGTCTTGATTTGGCCTTGCTTCTGCTCTTTGGAGTGGTTCCTGGCTGTACCCTCTGGCCCTTGATTCTGCACTCTGAGACATCCTTACTTTTCAATATCACTTGGTCAATTCTAATGAGGGCAATGGAAATTATGTCCTTGATTTCCCTAATTGGTCTGAGGCTTCTTTCTGTCTGGGGGAGAAGGAATATTCAACTTCTGGCATAATAATGATATTTCTAAATTCTTTTATATCTCTGCTTAATTTGTCAAGGCCCAGGCTCCTAGAATTAATGTATTATAAAGAAGAGACACTTTCCCCCTATGATCATTGGCTTAGCTATAATGATAATAGAGGACATTCAGGTTCTGGGGGCTGTGGAAAGAGGGAAGGGAAGAGAGCAAGGAAGGGGTTAGACCTGTGGGTTTTTATTCATCCTTTCTGGATGATGCTCTGGAACGGAGAGGTGTGTAAGATAAGCTAAAGGGAACACCAGTAAATGAGGGGGTTCCTTCCTCACTCTCTGAAAGAAGAAAGTCTCAAGGGCTGCTCCTACATCAAACTTTGGAAAGGCAATGTCAGCTTAGTAGCTCAGTGTTGTGAGACAGAGGAGCAGCCTTAAGTCGTAGCTTTCTGGAGATGCCCTTGCTTATAGAGGCATGAATTGGACCCAAATGTAGCTGAGGTGTGCTGGGGACTTGGGCTAGAGGGGCTTAGTGTACCAGGGCAAGGGGTTCTGTAGAAATGAACTGCAGGGTAGATGGTTCAGGCTAGGACAGAGTGGGAGTCACAGCTAGACCTCCAGAGGGACTGTAGTGGTAGGGAGCATGTAGGTGTGACTAAATCATGAAGGGAAGGTGACCCTGGCTTCCAGGGAGCAGTGCCTGATGCTAAACTAATGGAATGATTATGAGTTCATCTGTTGCAAATGCCAGCATTGTGTCCAACAGGGCTTCTGGCAACTGCGCAGAAGACAAATCTCCCTGGAGGTGAGAGGACGTGGAGAACATCATGCCTTAGTTCTCTGATTCTTTCTCTCTGTCACCATGCTCTGTGAGCCATACTTCTTCACGATGTTGCCTTGGAGAAGAAAGGTGGGGATGGTATGGAAGACTAAAATCTGAGTGACTAGTCAGTTTTTCCTAAAGAGATTGACATTTACTTAAAGTGTTTTTAAATCTTATGGACATTAAGTTATTTTATTCCCATTAACTAGTAGAAGAGGAGTTAGAAGGAAAGTGCGAATTACATAAAAAAATGATGCTTACTAACAGTTACTGACACTTACTATGTATGAGGAATGTGCCAGACTTAATCACAGTAACCCTCTGCAGTAGTTATTATGGCTGTCCCTATTTTGCTTATGAGGAAATTAAGGCACAGAAAGGCTAGGAAATTTCCCCCAAGGCACATAGCTATGGAATGATAGAACCAGAATTCAAAACCAGGCAGTTTGAAACTCGAGCCTATGTTCTTAAATATTTCCTTTGCACAATCAAATTGTAGAATGAGATAAATTTGCAATTCCACTTCATAGATGATCAGTAAGTATTTTTGGGATAAATGAATGGTGTGCTGAGTACTGGAGGTGGTAGTAGGGATGTGTGTGTGGACATTACAATGAACCCCAATTACTACCTTCCTGGGTCTTAAAGTAGGGATGAACTTTAACTGTGAATAGTGAATTCAGCCTTCCTTAATATATATAACTTATATTTTGATTGTATGTAAATAATTTAGCCTTACAACCAAGGTATTGCCAAAGCAAATACTGAGGGTAATAAGAGAAAGACTCGTTGACCTTAAGTGTGAGACTCCAGTATAATAACAACCCATAAAAGCTGCTGAATTGGAATTACCCAGGAGATAGGGCTGTCAGCCAATTTACTCAGCTTAAAGTGTTCCCTAAAAACAATTCTCCAGGGAAGGAGGGGTCAACCTGGGACACCGAGGTGGAAGGGACTGATAAAAAAGACATACTTTATGTGTGTGTGTGTTTTTTTTTTTTTTTTTTGGTTCAAAGACTCTCAAATACTTTCAAAGAGCAATCTATACGTGAACAGCTTCCTGCATAAAACCCATATAACAGCTGAGCCTATTTGAAGAGGGTCCAAGTTTTCTTTTGTATTTATTGGAGATTGGAGGAATGAAGTTTGCAAACCCAACCTTTGCTCCTTAGGATCACTCATTTCAGGCACATGTTCAGCAGTGGAAAGTTTGTGATTTCTTGGAGACCTCCTCAAGGCCTCTGCTCCTAGGAGCACATGGCAGTGTAGGATAGCAGGACTCCAGCCGAAAACCATGGCGTGAGAACTTTGAGACACATGCACAAGCTTCAATAGCCAATTCCATCAAGTAAAAGAAAGGGTATCAGTGATTGACGATCAAATTAATGAAATAAAGTGAGAAGATAAGGTTAGAGAAAAAAGAGCAAAAAGAAACGAACAAAGCCTCCAAGAAATATGGGACTATGTGAAAAGACTAAATCTACATTTGATTGGTGTACATGAAAGTGATGGAGAGAATGGAACCAAGCTGGAAAACACTCTTCAGGATATTATCCAGGAGAACTTTCCCAACCTAGCGAGGCAGCCCAAGATTCAAATTCAGGAAATACAGAGAACACCACAAAGATATTCCTCAAGAAGAGCAACCCCAAGACACATAATTGTCAGATTCACCAAGGTTGAAATGAAGGAAAAATTGTTAAGGGCAGCCAGAGAGAAAGGTTGAGTTACCTACAAAGGGAAGCCCATCAGACTAACAGCTGATCTCTCGGCAGAAACTCTACAAGCCAGAAGAGAGTGGGGGCCAATATTCAACATTCTTAAAGAAAAGAATTTTCAACCCAGAATTTCATATCCAGCCAAACTAAGCTTCATAAGTGAAGGAGAAATAAAATCCTTTACAGACAAGCAAATGCTGAGAAATTTTGTTACCACCAGGCCTGTCTTACAAGAGCTCCTGAAGGAAGAACTAAACATGGAAAGAAACAACAGGTACCAGCCACAGCAAAAAACATGCCAAATTGTAAAGACCATCAGTACTATGAAGAAACTGCATCAATTAATGAGCAAAGTACCCAGCAAACATCATAATGACAGGATCAAATTCACACATAACAATATTAACCTTAAACGTAAATGGGCTAAATGCCCCCAATTAAAAGACACAGACAGGCAAATTGGATAAAGAGTCAAGACCCATCAGTGTGCTGTATTCAGGAAACCCATCTCAAGTGCAAAGACACACATAGGCTCAAAATAAAGGGATGGAGGAAGATCTACCAAGCAAATGGAAAGCAAAAGAAGGCAGAGGTTGTAATCCTAGTCTCTGATCAAACAGGCTTTAAACCAACAAAGATCAAAAGAGACAAAGAAGGCCATTACATAATGGTAAAGGGATCAATTCATCAAGAGGAGCTAACTATCCTAAATATATATTCACCCAATACAGGAGCACCCAGATTCATAAAGCCAGTCCTTAGAGACCTACAAAGAGACTTAGACTCTCACACGATAATAATGGGAGACTTTAACACCCCACCGTCAATATTAGACACATCAATGAGACAGAAATTTAACAAGGATATCCAGGACCTGAACTCAGCTCTGCAACAAGCAGAACTAATAGACATCTACAGAACTCTCCACCCCAACTCATCAGAATACACATTCTTCTCAGCACCACATTGCACTTATTCTGAAATTGACCACATAATTGGAAGTAAAGCACTCCTCAGCAAATGTAAAAGAAAAGAAATCACAACAAACTGTCTCTCAGACCACAGTGCAATCAAATTAGAACCATGATTAAGAAACTCACTCAAAACCACACAACTACATGGAAACTGAACAACTTGCTCATGAATGACTACTGGGTAAATAACGAAATGAAGGCAGAACTAAAGATGTTCTTTGAAACCAGTGAGAACAAAAACACAATGTACCAGAATCTCTGGGGCACATTTAAAGCAGTGTGTAGAGGGAAATTTATAGCACTAAATGCCCACAAGAGAAAGCAGGAAAGACCTAAAGTCAACACCCTAGCATCACAATTAAAAGAACTAAAGAAGCAAGAGCAAACACATTCAAAAGCTAGCAGAAGGCAAGAAATAACTAAGATCAGAGCAGAGCGTAAAGAGATAGAGACAGAAAAAACCCTTCAAAAAAATCAATGAATCCAGGAGCTGGTGTTTTGAAAAGATCAACAAAATTGATAGACTGCTGGCAAGACTAATAAAGAAGAAAAGAAAGAAGAAACAAATAGACGCAATAGAAAATGATAAAGGGGATATCACCACCAATCCCACAGAAATACAAACTACCATCAGAGAATATAATAAACACCTCTACACAAATAAACTAGAAAATCTAGAAGAAATGGATAAATTCCTTGACACATACATCCTCCCAAGACTAAACCAGGAAGAAGTTGAATCTCTGAATAGACCAATAACAGGCTCTGAAATTGAGGCAAGAATCAATAGCTTACCAACCAAAAAAAGTCCAGGACCAGATGGATTCGCAGCCAAATTCTACTAGAGGTAGAAAGAGGAGCTAGTACCATTCCTTCTGAAACTATTCCAATCAATAGAAAAAGAGGGAATCCTCCCTAACTCATTTTATGAGGCCAACATCATCCTGATACCAAAGCCTGGCAGAGACACTACAAAAAAAGAGAAGTTTACACCAATATCCCTGATGAACATTGATGCAAAAATCCTCAAGAAAATACTGACAAACTGAATCCAGCAGCACATCAAAAAGCTTACCCACCACGATCAAGTCAGCTTCATCCCTGGGTTGCAAGGCTGGTTCAACATATGCAAATCAATAAACGTAATCCATCACATAAACAGAACCAACAACAAAAACCTCATGATTATCTCAATAGATGCAGAAAAGGCCTTTGACAAAATTCAACAGCCCTTCATGATAAAAACTCTCAATAAACTAGGTATCGATGGAACATATCTCAAAATAATAAGAGCTATTTATGAAAAACCCACAGCCAATATCATACTGAATGAGCAAAAACTGGAAGCATTCCCTTTGAAAACCAGCACAAGGCAAGGATGCCCTCTCTCACGACTCCTATTCAACATAGTGTTGGAAGTTCTGGCCAGGGCAATCAGGCAAGAGAAAGAAATAAAGGGTATTCAATTAGGAAATGAAGAAGTCAAACTGTCCCTGCTTGCAGATGACATGATTGTATATTTAGAAAACCCCATCGTCTCAGTCCCAAATCTCCTTAAGCTGATAAGCAACTTCAGCAAAGTCTCAGGATACAAAATCAATGTGCAAAAATCACAAGCATTCCAATACACGATTAACAGACAAACAGAAAGCCAAATCCTGAGTGAACTCCCATTCACAATTGCTAGAAAGAGAATAAAATACCTAGGAATCCAACTTACAAGGGACAGGAAGGACCTCTTCAAGGAGAACTACAAACTCTGCTCAAAAAAATAAGAGGACACAAACAAATGGAAGAATGTTCCATGCTCTTGGATAGGAAGAATCCATATTGTGCAAATGGCCATACTGCCCAAAGTTATTTATAGATTCAATGCTATCCCCATCAAGCTACCAATGACTTTCTTCACAGAATTGGAAAAAACTACTTTAAAGTTCATATGGAACCAAAAAAAAGCCTGCATTGCCAAGTCAATCCTAAGCCAAAAGAACAAAGCTGGAGGCATCACACTACCTGACTTCAAACTATACTACAAGGCTACGGTAACCAAAACAGCATGGTACTGGTACCAAAACAGAGATATAGACCAATGGAACAGAACAGAGGCCTCAGAAATAATGTCACACATCTACAACCATCTGATCTTTGACAAAACTGACAAAAACAAGAAATGGGGAAAGGATATCCTATTTAATAAATGGTGCTGGGAAAACTGGCTAGCCATATATAGAAAGCTGAAATTGGATCCCTTCCTTACACCTTATACAAAAATTAACTGAAGATGGATTAAAGACTTAAATGTTAGGCCTAAAACCATAAAAACCCTGGAAGAAAATCTAGGCAATACCATTCAGGACATAGGCATGGCCAAGGACTTCATGACTAAAACACCAAAAGCGATAACAACAAAAGCCAAAATACACAAATGGGATCTAATTAAACTAAAGAGCTTCTTCACAGCAAAAGAAACTATCATCAGAGTGAACAGGCAACCTACAGAATATGAGAAAATTTTTGCAACCTACCCGTCTGACAAGGGGCTAATATTCAGAATCTACAAATAACTCAAACAAATTTACAAGAAAGAAACAAACCCATCATAACATGCGCAAAGGATATGAACAGACACTTCTCAAAAGAATACATTTACATAGCCAACAGACACGTGAAAAAATGCTCATCATCACTGGTCATCAGAGAAATGCAAATCAAAACCATAATGAGATATCATCTCACACCAGTTAGAATAGCAATCATTAAAAAAGTCAAGAAACAACAGATGCTGGAGGGGATGTGGCGAAACAGGAATGTTTTACACTGTTGATGGGAGGTAAATTGGTTCAACCATTGTGGAAGACAGTGTGGCGATTCCTCAAGGATCTAGAACTAGAATTACCATTTGACCCAGCAATACCATTACTGGGAATATACCCAAAAGATTATAAATCATGCTACTATAAAGACACATGCAGACATATGTTTAATGGGGCACTATTCACAATAGCAAAGACTTGGAACCAACCCAAATGTCCATCAATGATAGACTGGATTAAGAAAATGTGGCACATATATACCATGGAATACTATGCAGCCATAAAAATGGATGAGTTCATGTCCTTTGCAGGGACATGGATAAAGCTGGAAACCATCATTCTAAGAAAACTATCACAAGGACAGAAAACCAAACACTGTGTGTTCTCACTCATAGGTGGGAATTGAACAATGAGATCCCTTGGACACAGGGTGGGGAACATCACACCCTGGGGCTTGTTTGGGGGTAGTGGGGGCTGGGGAGAAATACATAATGTAAATAATGAGTTGATGGGTGCAGGTAACCAACATGGCACATGTATGCCTATGTATCAAACCTGCACGTTGTGCACATGTACCCTAGAACTTAAAGTATATATATATATGATATAAGGAGGGGGTCCTGTTTCAGTTTTCTGCATATGGGTAGCCAGTTTTCCCAGCACTATTTATTAAATAGGGAATCCTTTCCCCATTGCTTGTTCTTGTCAGGTTTGTCAAAGATCAGATGGTTGTAGATGTGTGGTGTTATTTCTGAGGCCTCTGTTCTGTTCCATTGGTCTATATATCAGTTTTGGTACCAGTGTCATGCTATTTTGGTTACGGTAGCCTTGTAGTATAGTTTGAAGTCAGGTAGCGTGATGCCTCCAGCTTTGTTCTTTTTGCTTAGGATAGTCTTGGCTATATGGGCTCTTTGTTGGTTCCATATGACATTTAAAGTAGTTTTTTTTTTCTAATTCTGTGAAGAAAGTTCATGGTAGCTTGATGGGGATAGCATTGAATCTATAAATTACTTTGGGCAGTATGACCATTTGCACGATATTGATTCTTCCTATCCATGAGCATGGAATTTTTTTCCGTTTGTTTGTGTCCTCTCTTAGTTCCTTGAGCAGTGGTTTGTAGTTCTCCTTGAAGAGGTCCTTCCTTTCCCTTGTAAGTTGGATTCCTAGGTATTTTATTGTCTTTGTAGCAATTATGAATGGGAGTTCACTCATGATTTGGCTCTCTATTATTGGTGTTTTGGAATGCTTGTGATTTTTGCACATTGATTTTATATTCTGAGACTTTCCAGTTTTATTTATTTAATTTCTTCCCATCACTTCTTTCTTCCACACTCTCCTCACCCCTTAACATTAATTTTTCCAATCCCATCAACACTCAAGAGGATGTAACTTAACAAACAAACAAAGAAACCCATGCATTACTTACCATTATGAATGTTTTTGGTCTGCTTCTGAAAGTATAGAGAAAAAATATGCATTGCCTCTAAATAAAAAACAAAAATATAAAGTTGATCCAAGGTCTGAGTATGAGTTTTTATTTTAATAGTGTTTTGGAAACAGGTGGTTTTTGGTTACATGGGTAAGTTTTTTAGCGGTGATATCTGAGATTTTGGCGCTCCCCATCACCCAAGCAGTGTATACTGTACCAAATGTGTAGTCTTTTATCCCTCATCCACCCTTCACCCTTCCCCCGAGTCCCCAAAGTCCATTATATCATTCTTATTCTTTTGTGTCCTTATAGCTTAGCTCCCACTTACAAGTGAGAACATACGATGTTTGGTTTTACATTCCTGGGTTGCTTTACTTAGAATAAGTCTCTGACTGCATCCAGGTTGCTGCAAATGCCATTATGTCATTTCTTTTTATGACTGAGTAGTTTTCCATGGTGTGTATATGTATACTATATATGTGTATATATATATATATATATATATATATATATATATATATATATATATATATCACATTTTCTTTATCTACTCATTGGTTGATGGGGATTTAGGCTGGTTCCATATTTGTGCAATTGTGAATTGTGCTGCTATAAACATGCATGTCCATGTGTCTTTTTCATATGACTTCTTTTCCTCTGGGTAGATACTCAGTAGTGGGATTGCTGGATCATATGGTAGTTCTACTTTTTGTTCTTCAAGGAATCTGCATACTGTTTTCCATAGTGATTATATTAGTTTACATTCTTACCAGCAGTGTAAAAGTGTTCCTTTTTCACCACATCCACACCAACATCTATTATTTTTTGATTTTTAAATTATGGCCATTCTTGCAGGAGTAAGGTGGTATCTCAATGTGATTTTAATTTGCATTTCCCTGATAATTGGTGATGGTGAGCATTTTTTCTTATTTTACTGTCCACTTGTATATCTTCTTTTGAGAATCGTCTATTCATGTCATTTGCCCACTTTTTGATAAGATTATTATTTTTTTAATGCTGATTTGTTTGAGTTCCTTATAGGTTATAGACATTAGTCCTTTGTCGGGTGCATAGTTTGTTAATATTTTCTCCCAGTCTGTGGGTTGTCTGTTTACTCTGCTGATTATTTCTTTTGCTGTGCAGAAGCTTTTTAGTTTAATTAGGTCCCATCTATTTATTTGTTTTTGTTGCATTTGCTGTCTGGTTCTTGATCATAAATTCTTTGCCTAAGCCAGTGTCTACAAGAGTTTTTCTGGTATTACCTTCCAGAATTTTTATGGTTTCAGGTTTTAGATTTAAGTTTTTGATCCATCTTGAGTTGATTTTTGTATAAGGTGAGAGATGAGGATACAGTTTTATTCTTTTACATGTGGCTTGCCAATTATCCCAGTACCATTTGTTGTATAGGATGTTCTTTCCCCACTATATGCTTTTGTTTGCTTTGTTGAAGATCAGTTGGTTGTACGTATTTGGCTTTATTTCTGGGTTTTCTATTCTGTTCCATTAGTCTACATTCTTATTTTTAATACCCTTGTAGTATAGTTTGAAGTGGGATAATGTGATGCCCCCAGATTTGTGCTTTTTGCTTAGTCTTGCTTTGGCTATGTAGGCTCTTACTTTTTGTTCCATAGGAATTTTATGATTTTTTTTCTAGTTCTGTGAAGAATGATGATGGTATTTTGATGGGAATTGCACTGAATCTGCAGATCGCTTTAGGCAGTATAGTCATTTTCACAATACTGATTCTACCCATCCATGAATGTGGTATGTGTTTCCATTTGTTTGTGTCGCCTATGATTTATTTCAGCAGCATTTTGTAGTTTTCCTTGCAGAGATGTTTCACCTCCTTGGTTAGGTATATTCCCAAATATTTTATTTTATTTTCACAGCTGTTGTAAAGGGGATTGAGTTCTTGATTTGATTCTCAGCTTGGTTGCTGTTGGTATGTAGCAGTGCTACTGATTTGTGTACACTGAGATTTTATATTCTGAAACTTTTCTGAATTCATTTATCAGACCCAGGAGCTGTTTGCACAAGGCTTTAGAGTTTTCTAGATATGTAATCATAACATCTGTGAACAGCGACAGTTTGACATCCTCTTAACCGATTTGGATGCCCTTTATTTCTTCCTCTTGTCTGTTTGCTCTGGCTAGGACTTCCAGTTTTATGTTGAATAGAAGTAGTGAAAGTGGGCGTTCTTGTTTTGTTCTAGTTCTCAGGGAGAATGCTTTCAACTTTTTCCCATTCAATATAATGTTGGCTATGGATTTGTAATAGATGGCTTTTATTACCTTGAGGTATGTCCCTTGTTTGTCAATTTTGCTGTGGATTTTAATCGTAAAAGGATGCTGGATTTTGTCAAATGCTTTTTTTGTGTCTATTGAGATGACCATATGATTTTTAAATTCTGCTTATGTGATGTATCACATTTATTGACTTGCATATGTAAAACCATACCTGCGTCCCTGGTATGAAACCCACTTGATCATGGTGGATATTCTTTTCAATATGCTGTTGGATTCAGTTAGCTAATATTTTGTTGAGGATTTTTGCATCTATGTTCATGCAGGATATTAGTCTGTAGTTTTCTTTTTCTGTTATGTCGTTTCCTGGCTTTGGTATTAGGGTGATACTCATTGCATAGAATGATTTAGGGAGGATTCACTCTTTCTCTATCTTTTGGAATAGTTTGATTAAGATTGGTACTAATTCTTTGAATGCCTGATAGAATTCAGCTGTGAATCCATCTGGTCCTGGACTCTTTTATTTGTTGGCAATTTTAAAAATTACTGTTTCAATCTTGCTACATGTTATTGGTCTGTTCAGAGTTTTTATTTCTTCCTGACTAGTCTAGGAGGGTTGTATATTTCCAGGAATTTATCCATCTCCTCTAGATTTTCTAGTTTGTGCATATGAAGGTTTACATAGTAGCATTGAATGATCTTTTGGGTTTCTGTGATATTGGTTGTAATATCTCCCTTTTTATTTCTAGTTGAGCTTATTTGGAACTTCTCTCTTCTTTTTTTGGTTAATCTCATTAATGGTCTATCAATTTTGTTTATCTTTTCAAGGAACCAGGTTTGGTTTCATTTATCTTTTGTATTTTTGTTTGTTTCAATTTCATTCAGTTCTGTTCTGACCTTTGTTATTTCTTTTCTTCTGCTGGATTTGGGTTTGGTTTGTTCTTGTTGCTCTAGTTCCTTGAGGTGTGACCTTAGATTGTATGTTTGTGCTCTTTCAGACTTTTTGCTGTAGATATTTAATGCTATGAACTTTCCTCTTAGCACCATCTTTGCTGTATCCCAGAGGTTTTGTATCACTATTATCATTCAGTTCAAAGAATTCTTTAATTTCCATCTTAATTTCATTGTTGACACAACGATCATTCCAGAGCTGATTATTTAATTTTCATGTATTTGTATAGTTTTGAGGGTTCCTTTTGGAGCTAATTTCCTGTTTTATTCCATTGTGGTCTCAGAGGACACTTGATATAATTTTGATGTATTGAGACTCGTGACCTATCATATGGTCTATCTTGGAGGATGTTTCATGTGTTGATGAAAAGAATGTAAATTCTGAAGTTGTTGGGTAGAATGTTCTGTAAATATCTGCTAAGTCCATTTGTTCTAGGGTATAGTTTAAGTCCATTGTTTCTTTTTTGACTTTCTATTTTGATGACCTGTCTAGTGCTGTCTGTGGAGTATTGAAGTCTCCTAGTATTATTGTATTGCCGTCTATCTCATTTCTTAGGTCCAGTAGTAATTGTTTTATACATTTGGGACCTCTAGTGTTAGATCATATATATATTTAAGATTGTGATATTTTCCTGTTGGACTAATCCTTTTATTAGTATATAAAGTCTCTCTTTGTATTTTTTTTAACTGTTGTTGTTTTAAAGTCTATTTTGTCTGATATAAGAATAGCTTCTTCTGCCTGCTTTTCATTTCCATTTGCGTGGAATATCTTTTTCACCCCTTTATCTTAAGTTTGTGTGAGGTCTTATGTGTTAGGTGAGCCTCTTGAAGACAGCAGATACTTGTTGGATTTTTATCCATTCTGCCATTCTGTATCTTTTAAGTGGGCATTTAAGCCATTTACATTCAACATTGGTGTTGAGATGTGAGGTACTGTTCTATTCATCATGCTAGTTGTTGCCTAAATACCTTTCTTTAAATTTTCATTCTGTTATTGTTTTATAGGCCATGTGAGAGTTATGCTTTAAAGAGGTTCTGTTTTGGTGCACTTTAAGATTTCATTTCAAGATTTAGAAATCCTTTTAACATTTCTTATAGTGCTAGCTTGGACGTGGCAAAATCTCTCAATATTTGTTTGTCTGAAAAAGATCTTATCTGTGCTTCATTTATGAAGCTTAGTTTCACTGGATACAAAATTCTTGGCTGACAGTTATTTTGTTTGAGGAGGCTAAAGATAGAATCCGAATCCCTTCTGGCTTATAAGGTTTCTGCTGAGAAATCTATCATTAATCTGATAGGTTTTCCCTTATAGGTTACCTGATGCTTTTGTCTCACAGCTCTTAAGATTCTTTCCTCCATCTTGACATTAGATAACCTGTGCCTAGCTGATGATCTTTTTGCAATGAATTTCCCAGGTGTTCTTTGAGCTTCTTGTATTTGGATGTCTAGGTCCTAGCAAGGCTGGGGAAGTTTTCCTCAATTATTCCCTCAAAAATTTTCCCAAACTTTTAGATTTCTCTTTTTCCTTAGGAACACCAATTATTAGCTTTGACCATTTAATATAATCCCAAATTTCTTGGAGGCTTTGATTATTTTCAAAAAGTCTTTTTTCTTTGTCTTTGTCTGATTGGGTTAATTTGAAAGCCTAGTCTTCGAGTTCTGAAGTTCTTTCTTCTACTTGTTCTAGTCTATTTTTAAACCTTTCCAGTGCATTTTGTATTTCTCTAAGTGTGTCTTTCATTTCCAGAAATTGTGATTGTTTTTTCTTTATGATATCTATTTCTGTGGAGAATTTTTCATCCACATCCTCTATTGTTTTTTAAAGTTTATTTAAGGTGTTTTTCACCTTTCTCTGGTATCTCTATGAATAGCTTAATAATCAAGCATCTGAATTCTTTTTCTAGCAATTCAAAGATTTCTTCTTGGTTTGGATTTATTTCTGGGGAGCTAGTGTGATCTTTCAGGGGTGTTATAGAACCCTATTTTGTCATATTAGCAGAATTACTTTTCTGGTTCCTTCTCATTTGGGTAGACTATTTCAGTGGAAAAGTCTGGAACCCAAGGCCTTCTGTTCAGATTCTTTTGCCCCACGAGCTGATCCCTTAATGTGATACTCTCTTCCTTCCCCCAGGGATGAGGCTTCCTGAAAGCCAGACAGCAGTGATTGTTACTGCTCTTCTGGGTCTAGCTACCAGGCTTTGGGCTGGTGCTGGGGAATGTCTGCAAAGAGTCCTGTGATGTTATCCATCTTCAGGTTTCCCAGCTATGCATACCAGCACCTGCTCTGCTGTGGGTGGTAGGGGAGTAAAGTAGACTCTGAAAGTCCTTGGTTGTAGATATGTTTATATCTGTGTGCTGGCTTTCTCTAATGCTGGTTATGCTACTAGTGAAGTCATGTGGACACACTCAGGACCACTGTTAGCCAGGGTGTTGCAGGCATTGAACTTAGTCATTGTTTTCTTCTTCGTGGGAGTAGGGTTATTCTGTCATGAGTCGCTATAATGGCCAAAGTTCGTTGGCCTCCAGCCAGGAGGTGGCACTTTCAAGAGAACACCAGCTTCAATAGTAGTAGAGGGATCTAAGTTTGCCCTAAGTTGGCCAGGGCAAGTATTTTGTTTTCTCAGGTGATGGGTGGGGCCATAAACCTCCCAAGAGTTTATGTCTTATGTGTTTGGCTACCAGGGCAGGTAGAGAAATACCATCAGGTGGGGGCAGGCTTAGATGGGTCTGGGCTCAGGCTCTCCTTGGGTGGGGCTTGCCATGACCACTGTCAGGGATGGGGGTGTGGTTCTCAGGCCAATGGAGTTATGCTCCAGAGGGGATTATAGCTGCCTCTGCTGTGTCATATAGTTTTCCAGAAAACTAGGAGATAGCTGGTAGTTAAAGACTTCACCCAGCTGCCACACAGTTGGTGGGTGGTCTTGCTCCTGCAGTGCCCTGCTCAGACCTTGTTCCAGGCCTTAAGTTTCTCTGCTGAGAAAGCAAGCATGGCTTTCAGGTCTTGTCCCTCCCTGTCTGCCCACAATTTCGGCAGCAGCTCCTGTGCTTGTATATGCAGCAGTTTCTGTTCACACCTCGGATTCTGCTCGAGAAAATTTGTGCCCAGTCAAAATTATTACAAATTTCATTTGGAAGCTTATTTCACCCTGTGACCTCCCCACCGCCCAGTTCAGCTGGCTGTCTTCCCCAAGGACCTCCATGAGTTATAGTCAGGGATGGCTTCCTTGGGCTCAGGCTGGAGACTGGGAGTGCCTACAGGGCTCTTCCTGCTGCTGCTTCTACTTTTAGATTTTGTGCAGGCCCCTAAATCCATTTCAGCACTAGATAAGGTTAAGTCCTTATCCTGTGATCTGGATTTTCAGATTCCCCCATGGGGATGTATGTTTGGAGGAAGGTTTTCCCCTCTCACACTTTGGGAACTTACAGTTTTTTGCCTGTCTCATGAAATTTGCTGTAGCATGCCGCTTCCTTCAAAGGATCCATGAATTCTTTCAGTTTTCCTGGTGCATTCCTGTGGTGGTTCTTGGAGCAAAACGATGTGAGTCTCCACACACTGTTCTGTTGGTCCAAGTGGGAGCTGCACATTAGCCCTGTCTCTTATTTGCCATCTTCCTCCTAATCCTCCTGAGCATAACTTTTGTGTGATCTATTTTTTTTAGTCTTGGTCTTAATTTGAGGCATCAAGTTTATTTTATTTTGTTAATACTTGGAAAACTTGGGTATTGAAGTACCTTATAAGTAATAGTGTTGCTTGCAAGGTCTGGCTAGTATTTCAGTTCTAAACTGAATAGTTCTGAGTTCTATAGTGAATAATTCTATTCACTATAGAAACCTGAGTGCAGGGAAAAAGAAAAAAAAATGAAAGAAAGAAACTAATTTGGGACTGGAGTCAGAAAATCTGGAATTGGAACTTAGCATTGCCAAATCAGAGTGACAACAGCAGCAAACACTGGTTGAGCACTTACTATATGTCAAGTGCCATTTTTCTAATTTTCTCAGACTGACTAGCTGTATGATTGTGGGAAAGTCCCATAATCTTTCTGAAATCTAGTTGTAAACTAAAATAATACTGTGTACCCATCTTATTTCATAAGGTTGTTATGTGACTCAAATGAGATATTAAGTAACACAAATAGAGCTAAAATTTACAGTTCCCTTATTATGTATCAGGTATGGTTTTAACTGCTTTACATGCATTAATTCATTTATTTTTAAAAACTATCCTACAAGTTAGACAGTTTTATTTTATAGACAAGGGAACTGAGGGAAGAAGACTGTAAGTATCTTTCCCAGGGTTAAATAGCTAGCAATGCATTCAGAGCATGCATTTGAATGAAATGATATGTTAAGATGATTTGAATATATACAACATTTCTTATTTTTCTTTTTTATTTTATTTTATTTTATTATTATTATACTTTAAGTTTTAGGGTACATGTGTACAATGTGCAGGTTAGTTACATATGTATACATGTGCCATGCTGGTGTGCTGCACCCATTAACTTGTCATTTAGCATTAGGTATATCTCCTAATGCTATCCCTCTCCCCTCACCCCACCCCACAACAGTCCCCAGAGTGTGATGTTCCCCTTCCCGTGTCCATGTGTTCTCATTGTTCAATTCCCACCTATGAGTGAGAATATGCGGTGTTTGGTTTTTTGTACTTGCGATAGTTTACTGAGAATGATGGTTTCCAATTTCATCCATGTCCCTACAAAGGACATGAACTCATCATTTTTTATGGCTGCATAGTATTCCATGGTGTATATGTGCCACATTTTCTTAATCCAGTCTATCATTGTTGGACATTTGGGTTGGTCCCAAGTCTTTGCTATTGTGAATAGTGCCGCAATAAACATACGTGTGCATGTGTCTTTATAGCAGCATGATTTATAGTCCTTTGGGTATATACCCAGTAATGGGATGGCTGGGTCAAATGGTATTTCTAGTTCTAGATCCCTGAGGAATCGCCACACTAACTTCCACAATGGTTGAACTAGTTTACAGTCCCACCAACAGTGTAAAAGTGTTCCTATTTCTCCACATCCTCTCCAGCACCTGTTGTTTCCTGACTTTTTAATGATTGCCATTCTAACTGGTGTGAGATGGTATCTCATTGCGGTTTTGATTTGCATTTCTCTGATGGCCAGTGATGGTAAGCATTTTTTCATGTGTTTTTTGGCTGCATAAATGTAAAATGCCTTCTTTTGAGAAGTGTCCATTCATGTCCTTTGCCCACTTTTTGATGGAGTTGTTTGATTTTTTCTTGTAAATTTGTTTGAGTTCATTGTAGATTCTGGATATTAGCCCTTTGTCAGATGAGTAGGTTGCGAAAATTTTCTCCCATTTTGTAGGTTGCCTGTTCAATCTGATGGTAGTTTCTTTTGCTGTGCAGAAGCTCTTTAGTTTAATTAGATCCCATTTGTCAATTTTGGCTTTTGTTGCCATTGCTTTTGGTGTTTTAGACATGAAGCCCTTGCCCATGCCTATGTCCTGAATGGTAATGCCTATGTCCTGAATGGTTTTCTTCTAGGGTTTTTATGGTTTTAGGTCTAACGTTTAAGTCTTTAACCCATCTTGAAATAATTTTTGTATAAGGTGTAAGGAAGGGATCCAGTTTCAGCTTTCTACATATGGCTAGCCAGTTTTCCCAGCACCATTTATTAAATAGGGAATCCTTTCCCCATTGCTTGTTTTTGTCAGGTTTGTCAAAAATCAGATAGTTGTAGATATGCGGCATTATTTCTGAGGGCTCTGTTCTGTTCCATTGATCTATATCTCTGTTTTGGTACCAGTATCGTGCTGTTTTGGTTACTGTAGCCTTGTAGTATAGTTTGAAGTCAGGTAGTGTGATGCCTCCAGCTTTGTTCTTTTGGCTTAGGATTGACTTGGTGATGCAGGCTCTTTTTTGGTTCCATATGAACTTTAAAGTAGTTTTTTCCAATTCTGTGAAGAAAGTCATTGGTAGCTTGATGGGGATGGCATTGAATCTATAAATTACCTTGGGCAGTATGGCCATTTTCATGATACTGATTCTTCCTACCCATGAGCATGGAATGTTCTTCCATTTGTTTGTATCCTCTTTTATTTCATTGAGCAGTGGTTTGTAGTTCTCCTTGAAGAGGTCCTTCACGTCCCTTGTAAGTTGGATTCCTAGGTATTTTATTCTCTTTGTAGCAATTGTGAATGGGAGTTCACTCATGATCTGCCTATCTGTTTGTCTATTATTGGTGTATAAGAATGCTTGTGATTTTTGTACATTGATTTTGTATCCTGAGACTTTGCTGAAGTTGCTTATCAGCTTAAGGAGATTTTGGGCTGAGACAATGGGGTTTTCTAGATATACAATCATGTCATCTACAAACAGGGACCATTTGACTTCCTCTTTTCCTAATTGAATACCCTTTATTTCCTTCTCCTGACTAATCGCCCTGGCCAGAACTTCCAACACTATGTTTGAACAGGAGTGGTGAGAGAGGGCATCCCTGTCTTGTGCCAGTTTTCAAAGGGAATGCTTCCAGTTTTTGCCCATTCAGTATGATATTGGCTGTGGGTTTGTCATAGATAGCTCTTACTATTTTGAGATACGTCCCATCACTACCTAATTTATTGAGAGTTTTTAGCATGAAGGGCTGCTGAATTTTGTTAAAGGCCTTTTCTGCATCTATTGAGATAATCATGTGGTTTTTGTCTTTGGTTCTGTTTATATGCTGGATTACATTTATTGATTTGTGTATATTGAACCAGCTTTGCATCCCAGGGATGAAGCCCACTTGATCATGGTGGATAAGCTTTTTGATGTGCTGCTGGATTCGGTTTACCAGTATTTTATTGAGGATTTTTGCATCAATGTTCATCAAGGATGTTGGTCTAAAATTCTCTTTTTTGGTTGTGTCTCTGCCCGGCTTTGGTATCAGGATGATGCTGGCCTCATAAAATGAGTTAGGGAGGATTCCCTCTTTTTCTATTGATTGGAATAGTTTCAGAAGGAATGGTACCAGTTCCTCTTTGTACCTCTGGTAGAATTCGGCTGTGAATCCATCTGGTCCTGGACTCTTTTTGGTTGGTAAGCTAATGATTATTGCCACAATTTCAGAGCCTGTTATTGGTCTATTCAGAGATTCAACTTCTTCCTGGTTTAGTCTTGGGAGGGTGTATGTGTCAAGGAATTTATCCATTTCTTCTAGATTTTCTAGTTTATTTGCATAGAGGTGTTTGTAATATTCTCTGATGGTAGTTTGTATTTCTGTGGGATCGGTGGTGATATCCCCTTTATCATTTTTTATTGTGTCAGTTTGATTCTTCTCTCTTTTTTTCTTTATTAGTCTGGCTAGCGGTCTATCAATTTTGTTGATCCTTTCAAAAAACCAGCTCCTGGAGTCATTAATTTTTTGAAGGGTTTTTTGTGTCTCTATTTCCTTCAGTTCTGCTCTGATTTTAGTTATTTCTTGCCTTCTGCTAGCTTTTGAATGTGTTTGCTCTTGCTTTTCCAGTTCTTTTAATTGTGATGTTAGGGTGTCAATTTTGGATCTTTCCTGGTTTCTCTTGTGGGCATTTAGTGCTATACATTTCCCTCTACACACTGCTTTGAATGTGTCCCAGAGATTCTGGTATGTTGTGTCTTTGTTCTCATTGGTTTCAAAGAACATCTTTATTTCTGCCTTCATTTCGTTATTTACCCGGTAGTCATTCAGGAGCAGGTTGTTCAGTTTCCATGTAGTTGAGCGGTTTTGAGTGAGTTTCTTAATCCTGAGTTCTAGTTTGATTGCACTGTGTTCTGAGAGATAGTTTGTTATAATTTCTGATCTTTTACATTTGATGAGGAGAGCTTTACTTCCAAGTATGTGGTCAATTTTGGAATAGGTGTGGTGTGGTGCTGAAAAAAATGTATATTCTGTTGATTTGGGGTGGAGAACTCTGTAGATGTCTATTCGGTCCACTTGGTGCAGAGCTGAGTTCAATTCCTGGGTATCCTTGTTAACTTTCTGTCTCGTTGATCTGTCTAATGTTGACAGTGGGGTGTCAAAGTCTCCCATTATTAAGGTGTGGGAGTCTAAGTCTCTTTGTAGGTCACTCAGGACTTGCTTTATGAATCTGGGTGCTCCTGTATTGGGTGCATATATATTTAGGATAGTTAGCTCTTCTTGTTGAATTGATCCCTTTACCATTATGTAATGGCCTTCTTTGTCTCTTTTGATCTTTGTTGGTTTAAAGTCTGTTTTATCAGAGACTAGGATTGCAACCCCTGCCTTTTTTTGTTTTTCATTTGCTTGGTAGATCTTCCTCCATCCTTTTATTTTGAGCCTATGTGTGTCTCTGCACGTGAGATGGGTTTCCTGAATACAGCACACTGATGGGTCTTGACTCTTTATCCAATTTGCCAGTCTGTGTCTTTTAATTGGAGCATTTAGTCCACTTACAATTTAAAGTTAATATTGTTATGTGTGAATTTGATCCTGTCATTATGATGTTAGTTGGTTATTTTGCTCGTTAGTTGATGCAGTTTCTTCCTAGCCTTGATGGTCTTTACAATTTGGCATGATTTTGCAGTGGCTGGTACCGGTTGTTCCTTTCCATGTTTAGTGCTTCCTTCAGGAGCTCTTTTAGGGCAGGCCTGGTGGTGACAAAATCTCTCAGCATCTGCTTATCTGTAAAGTATTTTATTTCCCCTTCACTTATGAAGCTTAGTTTGGCTGGATATGAAATTCTGAGTTGAAAATTCTTTTCTTTAAGAATGTTGAATATTGGCCCCCACTCTCTTCTGGGTTGTAGAGTTTCTGCCGAGAGATCCACTGTTAGTCTGATGGGCTTCCCTTTGTGGGTAACCCGACCTTTCTCTCTGGCTGCCCTTAACATTTTTTCCTTCATTTCAACTTTGGTGAATCTGACAATTATGTGTCTTGGAGTTGCTCTTCTTGAGGAATATCTTTGTGGCATTCTCTGTATTTCCTGAATTTGAATGTTGGCATGCCTTCCTAGATTGGGGAAGTTCTCCTGGATAATATCCTGAAGGGTGTTTTCCAACTTGATTCCATTCTCCCCGTCACTTTCAGGTACACCAATCAGATGTAGGTTTGGTCTTTTCACATAGTCCCATATTCCTTGGAGGCTTTGCTCGTTTCTTTTTATTCTTTTTTCTCTAAACTTCCCTTCTCGCTTCATTTCATTCATTTCATCTTCCATCACTGATACCCTTTCTTCCAGTTGATCGCATTGGCTCCTGAGGCTTCTGCATTCTTCATGTAGCTCTCGAGCCTTGGCTTTCAGCTCCATCAGCTCCTTTAAGCACTTCTCTGTATTGGTTATTCTAGTTATACATTCGTCTAAATTTTTTTCAAAGTTTTCAACTTCTTTGCCTTTGGTTTGAATTTCCTCCCGTAGCTCGGAGTGGTTTGATCATCTGAAGCCTTCTTCTCTCAGCTCATCAAAGTCATTCTCCATCTAGCTTTGTTCCGTTGCTGGTGAGGAGCTGCATTCCTTTGGAGGAGGAGAGGCGCTCTGCCTTTTAGAGTTTCCAGTTTTTCTGCTCTGTTTTTTCCCCATCTTTGTGATTTTATCTACTTTTGTTCTTTGATGATGGTGACGTACAGATGGGTTTTTGGTGTAGATGTCCTTTCTGTTTGTTAGTTTTCCTTCTAACAGACAGGACCCTCAGCTGCAGGTCTGTTGGAGTTTGCTAGAGGTCCACTCCAGACCGTGTGTGCCTGGGTACCAGCAGCGGTGGCTGCAGAACAGCGGGTTTTCGTGAACTGTGAATGCTGCTGTCTGATCATTCCTCTGGCAGTTTTGTCTCAGAGGAGTACCCGGCCGTGTGAGGTGTCAGTCTGCCCCTACTGCGGGGTGCCTCCCAGTTAGGCTGCTCAAGGGTCAGGGGTCAGGGACCCACTTGAGGAGGCAGTCTGCCCGTTCTCAGATCTCCAGCTGCGTGCTGGGAGAACCACTGCTCTCTTCAAAGCTGTCAGACAGGGACATTTAAGGCTGCAGAGGTTACTGCTGTCTTTTTGTTTGTCTGTGCCCTGCCCCCAGAGGTGTAGCCTAGAGATGCAGGCAGGCCTCCTTGAGCTGTGGTGGGCTCCACCCAGTTCGAGCTTCCCGCTGCTTTGTTTACCTAATCAATCCTGGGCAATGGCGGGCGCCCCTCCCTCAGCCTCGCTGCCGGCTTGCAGTTTGATCTCAGACTGCTGTGCTAGCAATCAGCGAGATTCCGTGGGCATAGAACCCTCCAAGCCAGGTGCGGGATATAATCTCGTGGTGCTCCATTTTTTAAGCCTGTCGGAAAAGCGCGGTATTAGGGTGGGAGTGACCCGATTTTCCAGGTGCCGTCTGTCACCCCTTTCTTTGACTAGGAAAGGGAACTCCCTGACCCCTTGCGCTACCCGAGCGAGGCAATGCCTCGCCCTGCTTCGTCTCGCGCACGGTGTGCTGCACCCACTGTCCTGCGCCCACTGTCTGGCACTCCCTAGTGAGATGAACCCGGTACCTCAGATGGAAATGCAGAAATCACCCGTCTTCTGTGTCGCTCAAGCTGGGAGCTGTAGACGGGAGCTGTTCCTATTCAGCCATCTTGGCGCCACCCCCCCAACATTTCTTATTTTTCAACAGAAAGATCTCAAATTCTGTAGACTGGGAAGTCTAGCATCCTTAGGAACATACCAAGAATTTGCATTCAGTAGTGCCGAAGGAACAGCAGCTCCGTGACAGTTCAACTCATAAGTGGCTCCTCTTTCCTTTCTCTTACTGTTAGGTTCCTATAATTCACTCTACGTCAATACATTATGGATTTAATGTCAATTAGAGAGCCTTCAAAGAGCAAAGTGACCTGAACACTTTGCAATGAGATGCACTTGAAAATACAAATGAAAAAATGACAAAATACACTGTTACATCAAAAATAAATGCTATGCACTAGATTTTTCCCCTCTCTACCTCCAACTTGTCCTTGTTCCTGTAAGAAGTCAAGATGTGGCTATGTTAAAAAATGGGTGGATGGGTGAACAGATATGGAGCCAACACTATCTCTTATACACAGAGGAAGCAGTGAAGGAACCTTTCACCTTGATTTTAAGCCTGACAAACAAAGGCCAATTTGGTTGTAAGGAAAAGATGAAGTCTTAGGAGAAAATGACCTTGCCTTTCATTTTCGACCTTATAATAACCATTCTGAAAAGTTGTAAAAGGGAATCCCATGTTGATTAAGATAGTGAATGGACCAAATGACTTCATTGGTTTAAGTGAGGTACACCCTGTCCTCACCTTAAATTCAGGGTGGGAAAGGCCGGACTGTCATCTTACTCTTTTCTAATCATCCATTTAGTGGATGTTATTGTTCGATGATTTGTTCGATGTTATTGCTGTTTACCATGGGGGCTGTAAAAGATGAAGCCATTTTAGTGTAGGTCACCAGAGCACACACTCTGGAGCCTACTGCTTAGATATGAATCTCAGCTCAAGTCCATGTATGAGCTGAGTGACTCTGGGCAAGTTACTCAACCTCAGTTTACTCCTCTATAATATGGGCATAATAACAATTCCTCCTTCATAGCTTTATTGTGAAGGTTAAATAGTTAACATTATGTAAAGTGATTAGAACAGTGCTTCATAATAATAATTATGTTGATATTAACTTATTAAAAATTAATATTACTTAAATTATTGTTATTATTGTTATGCATTTTATTACTTGTCTATAGACTCTGGAAACTCAAGGCCTTTCTGTCTTTTCACGCTTGAACAGGTCACTGTCTTCTACATCCTATCCTTTAGTTTTCTATCAAATTAACTTTTCCAATTAATGTCTTTCATCATTGTTTTTTTTCGGCTCACACTGTGGACTGACCTCACACTGAATAGACAATAACTCAAACACTCTTTGATTACCACTCAAGGCTCTCCATAGACTGGCCTCAACTGTATTCTCCAAACTTTTTAGTAGGGAAGATGAAGTCGCTTTGGTTTCTCAGTCCATTTTCAGAGACAGCAGCACCATCTACTGGACGATCTTTATTCTAAGTAACTGAGCATTCACATTCTCGACTGTTAGAACTTGAAAGAGCGAGAAAGCAGAGGTGGATGTTGGTGTTGTCTTTGGTTCATTTGTTCTAAGATCACATTCCAAGGCTGAATACATGAAAGACCATGAAAGAGTTAAGGGAATGCCAGGTACAGTATTTCATGTTGAAAGACTTTGAAATCATGATTTTAGAATGTAAAGGGAACTTAGAAGACAATGGTAAAGCAGCAACAGTTAGAGTAACGCTGTATGTTTATGTATCGCTGAAAAGTTTTTAAAGAACTCTCACATGATTTGACCCTCAAAGTAGCCCTGAAAAATAGACAACACAGATCTTATTATCTCCATTTTAAATGAAAGGAGAGTTAGGCAAAGGAAGGCTAAATTAGGTGCTTTAGGTTTCACACCAGGAATTGTGACTCAGTGTTGTGGACTTTCCATTACACTATACTTACCTGCTCCGGACTCTCATTCTATAGATGGGAAAACTGACTCCTGAAGAATCTAAGCAACATCTCTCAAATCCAATGGTAAGTTGTAGTAGTATCAGAACAAGAGTCTCCTGATTAACAATTGGCACTCATTGACAATTCTACTTCTTCACTTTCTTATAAAATTTGTATAAATTTAAAGGGTATAGGTGCAGTTTTTTTTTTTAACATGGATATATTACACAATGGTAAAGTCTCAGCTTTTAGTGTAACCATCACCCAAATAACCTACGTCATGCCCATCAAGTAATTAATTTCTCATTCCTCACCCCTCCCACCTCTCCACCCTTTTGAGTCTCCAGTGACTATTATTGCACACTCTACGTCCATGTGTACATGTTATTTAGCACCCACTTTTAAGTGAGAACATGCGGTATTTGGCTTTGTTTCTGAGATGTTTTTACTTACGGTAATGACCTCTAGGTCCATCCATGTTGCAGCAAAAGATGTGATTTCGTTCTCTTTTATGGCAGTGTATATTCTTTTGTGTATATATGCTACATTTTCTTTATCCAATCCTCTGTCGATGGACACTTAAGTTGAATTCATGTCTTTGCTATTATGCCCCACTTTGCCCTAACCCCAATAATGACAACACCATCAGTGAAAAATAGAGAGGTGATGATGAAACTCTCATTGGAATTATTGCTCTGAATTGTGAACATAGGCAGGTGAAGCATGAAAAGGTGAAGCATGAAAATAAATTGATTCTGATACCTGCCATTGGTACAGTCACTCCAGGGTAGAGCCTGGTCCTGAGATTGAAGAAAGAGGCTGGGTAAGATGGCTCATGCCTGTAATCCCAGCACTTCGGGAGGCTGAAGTGGGAGGACTACTTGAACCCAGGAGTTGGAGACCAGTTTGGGCAACATAGCGAGACCACATCTCTACAAAAAATAAAAAAATTAGCCAGGCAGGGTGGCGCATGTCTGTAGTCCCAGCTACTCGGGATTCTGAAGTGGAAGGATCACCTGAGTCCAAGAAGTTGAGGCCCCAGTGGGCTGTGATTGTGCCCCTGCACTCAGCCAGGGTATCAGAGCAAGACCCTGCTTCCTGAAACCACCCTCCCGACCACAGCCCCCCAAAAGAAGGAGGTGGTGAGAGGAAGGGACTGTACCTTGAACCTCAGATGGACTCTCCAGATTTTCCCAGGCTTGGCTCTGAGCCACATTCTCAGGACACCAGGTTAAGGAGGCCACTTGAGCAGGGCTACTCCACAGCTACCTTCTGACCTCTGGCTCTGGGCAGGTCCTTGCCTCTTTCTGCAGGAAATGGGGCAGGTCGCTATGGGGGCTGTGGGTTTTTACAACACATCCTTTGCCAGGTCTAAGACCTTTTCCTGAGCAGCTCTCACAGTTTGAGCTCTGGCACTAAACACACTGGTGGAGTGAGAATGTCTTATTTCCTGGTCTCAATTCCTACTTTTGGGAGTTTTAATGAAGATTTGATCATTCTCTAAGGGCTGAATCCTGGCACAAGAGTTTCCTGGAAATATAAAAATGTCACCTGGGCTTGCTTGCACTTAGGTAACCCTTGCTGGTACAACTTTGAAAGAAACCAGGAGACCCTTTTAGTTAAATATTTAAAACGATTTAATTGTCAAGCCTTCACAAACTCTATTGGTTCTTTTGCAGTTGATTAAATTTTCTAGGACCACACTTTCTAGAGCAATCATTGTTTCATAAAACCAATTTAAAAATGAGTGTTCAGCTAGATTCCAAATTTAGCACTATGTACATTCACCAAATTTCTGTCATTGCCAGGAATTACTGGACTCCTTTTTCTTGTTGGGTGGACAGCTGGAGTTTTCAAATTACACTGTATAGTTTGCTCTGCCTTTTTTTTTTTTAATCTAAGAAGAAAACTTTTTCTTTTTCTTGCTGCATAAACAGTAGTGGTTTCAAATGTCAAAATCTGAACTCTAGATCCTTGCATGAAGCTTACTTCCCATGCTACCTGTGTCCTGTGTCCTTCAAGATGGTGTGTTGAAGTGAAGCGAGGACACACAGTGGAGGAAGCTGTGGACATAAGGTTAAGATGTTACCCAAGATACAGGTCAAGCTGAAAGAGGATGGGGTAAGCGAGAAAAGATGGTTAGAAGGTAAATTTGTTGGTTGGGCGCTGTGGCTCACGCCTGTAATCCCAGCACTTTGGGATGCCAAGGCGGGCAGATCACGAGGCCAGGAGATCAAGACCATCCCGGCCAACAGGTGAAACCCCATCTCTACAAAAATACAAAAAAATTATCTGAGCATTGTGGCATGTGCCTGCAGTCCCAGCTACTTGGGAGGCTGAGGCAGGGGAATCGCTTGAACCTGGGAGGCAGAGGTTGCAGTGAGAAGAGATTGCGCCACTGCACTCCAGCCTGGCGACAGAGCAAGACTCCGTCTCAAGAAGAAAAAAAAAAAGAAGGTAAATTTCTAAATTTCTTTCCTCCTATTTGTCATATCTTCTCCTAGGACACCAAAAGGGCCTCAGGTAGAAAAAGTTCAGAGATTATAAACTGAGCACAATTGATGAGGTCAATTGACTATAGAAACAATGCAAAGCAGCATCATTCATCTGGGGTAATACCCGAGGTTCAGTGTCCCACGCCAAAGAAATCAAAGATACGGACACACGAGCAGTGAGGTTAAGAGCAGAGGTTTAATAGGTGAAAGAAAGAGAAGAGCTCTCTCCTGCAGAGAGAGGGGTCCCGAGCAGGTTTTCTGGTCCATTGTGAAATACATCAGGTTTTATAGATGAGCTTGAGGAGGTGGTATTGGATTTACATAGGGCACAAAAGATTGGTTGGACCAGGTGTGTCATTTGCATAGGGTGCGAAAAACTGGTTAGGGCTAGATGTGCCATTTGCATAGGGCATGAAAAAGCTGGCCACCCCACCCTAATCTTTTATTATGCAGATGGGTTCTCTATCTGGCTGATGCCATGTTGCCTGTTTCCTTACTGTACACGTGGTGACAAAGAAAAGGGAAGATAGAGCCTCCATGTGGAACATGCCTGGCTCTCAGGTAGCCCTTTCCTATTGGCACAGCTGCCAGCATTCACCTGTGCAAGCTTCTAGCTTGCTTGTATCTATGTCTGCAGCTCGATTTTTCAGGCAGTTGTTAGAAAAGAAACGAGTTTGAGGCTGTTTTTCATTAAAAGGGAAATTCTGCTGAGGACTCTCTTACCCATACTATCTGCCTAAATAACTTCTTTCTATCTCTTGTAGCAAATGGATTTTTCAGATGGAGCTCTTTTCCTCTTTGGAGGGAGGGCTTAGCCTGGGGAGGACAGCTAGGTGCCAAAGAGAAAAGAAGCACATTTAACGGAGGCACATTTGACATCCAAGAAACACTGAAATATGGTTTAAATCTTTATAAAAATTTCTATAAAATGTGCAAAGGAATGATTACATTGTTTGACACAGCAAAACATTGTAATATTCTTAATCAGTGGCTCAGCTATCACAAATCTCATCTTCAAGGCAGTTTCTAAGTTGACCAGGTAATTTGTAGTCCAAATGGGGACACTTTTGGGTGCAAAGAGCATGCGATTTATAATTTCACTGGGCACAGGCATACACCAGGCCTGTCCTTGCACACTCCTTTTTCATCTAGTTCTCTCAATTCTGGCATGCACTGCATCACCTATGTTCATGTTTTTCTCCCAACTAACTCATCTGTGGGATTTATTCTGTTTTCCCAGAGGATCTAGAATGTAAATTACTGCTTTGGTCCTTACTGAGATCAGCACAACAAAAACCCAGTGGGTGTTCAAGCCTCATCTCTCACCACCATGCCTCTCTCGCTTATGGTTTAAAAGGAAGTTTCTTGGTCTAGAGCCAGTGCCACCCCAGGAGCAATGAGCACGCTGAACACTCAGATCTTGCTTTTTCTAAAGATTGTTTTTCAGTGAAAGGGGCCAGGGCTTTTTGGAGACATGGCTGATTCTAGGGCAAGAGTGCGAAAAATACAAGATGAGCCTGGAGAGTCTTGTAGTGTCAGGAAATAAGGAAGTGCTCAGAAAGTAAAAGCATGTAGGCATGCATGGGACAGACATACTAACCTGAAAGAGCTCCTGGGGGCCAAAACTGGAAGAATTTAAACAGTAATTTTTTTTTAAATGTAGCATTGAATTATAACACAAGTATAAAATAAATGTACATAAGCCTATGTTGCTATACATAAATAATTGAATAATCAAATTAATGAAGGATGAGCAATAAATTTTCATTACAGAAGAATTTCAGATAGTATGTGTGTATAATCTACCCTCTCCTCACTCTCCAAAAGTGTGAACTGGACATAGTGACTGATTTCCAGTGAGTAGATATAGAAAGGGGAAAATAGTAACTTTACAGTGGAGAAAACTGGCAAACACTACTTTAACCAAAATGATCAAGTTTAACATCACCAGTAATAAGTCATGTTGCTACCACACTACTTCCTGTTTTGCTATGATGACGAGAGGACCTCATCTCTGTGGTATTCTTTTCCAGATCCCATAATCCATGTTGAATCATGATGAAAACATATGATGAACCTGTATTGAGGTATATTCTAAAAATTACCTGACCAGTACTTCTCAGAACTTTTGAGGTCATGAAATACAAGGCAAGACTGAACAACTGTGAGAGTAGAGTAGACTAAGATGACACGAGGACAAAATGCAACATGGCATACTGCCTTGGATCCTGGAGCAGAGAAAGGGCCTTAGTGGAAAAAGTGGTAAACCTTAATAAAGTCTGGAGTGTAGTTAATAGTAATGTACCACTGCTGGTTACTTAGTTTTGAGAACAGTGCCATGGTAATGTAAAATGGTTATAGTGGGAGAAGTTGGGTAAGGGGTATATGTGAGCTCTCTACCATCTTTGTAACTTTTCTATAAATATAAAATTATTCCAAAATAAAAAGTTCATTTTTTTTGAAAAAAAGAACATAGTTTCCAGCTTCATCCATGTCCCTGCAAAGGACATGAACCCGTCTTTTTTTATGGCTGCATAGTATTCCATGTTGTATACGTGCCACATTTTCTTTATCCAGTCTATCATGGATAGGCATTTGGGTTGGTTCCAAGTCTTTGTTATTGTGAACAGTGCTGCAGTAAACATACGTGTGCATGTGTCTTTATAGTAGAATGATTTATAATCCTTTGGGTATATACCCAGTAATCTGATTGCTGGGTCAAAAGGTATTTCTGGTTTAGATCCTTGAGGAATCGCCACACTGTCTTCCACAATGGTTGAACTAATTTACACTCCCACCAACAGTGTAAAAGCATTCCTATTTCTCCACATCCTCTCCAGCATCTGTTGTTTCCTGACCTTTTAATGATCGCCATTCTAACTGGCATGTGATGGTATCTCACTGTGGTTTTGAATTGCATTTCTCTAATGACCAGTGATGATGAGCTTTTTTTCATATGTTTGTTGGCCGCATAAATGTCTTCTTTTGAGAAATGTCTGTTCATATCCTTCACCCACTTTTTTATGGGGTTGTTTGTTTTTTTCTTGTAAATTCAATTAAGTTCCTTGTAGATTCTGAATATTAGCCCATTGTCAAATGGATAGATCGCAAAAATTTTCTCTCCCATTCTGTAGGTTGTCTGTTCACTCTGATGATAGTTACTTTTGCTGTGCAGAAGCTCTTTAGTTTAATTAGATCCCATTTGTCAATTTTTGCTTTTGTTGCCATTGCTTTTGGTGTTTTAGTCATGAAGTCTTTGCCCATGCCTATGTCCTGAATGGTATTGCCCAGGTTTTCTTCTAGGGTTTTTATGGTTTTAGGCCTATCTGGGGTTGGGGGTAGGGGAGGGATAGCATTAGGAGAAATACCTAATGTAGATGACGGGTTGATGGGTGCAGCAAACCACCATGGCATGTGTGCAGCTATGTAACAAACCTGCACGTTCTGCACATGTATCCCAGAGCTTAAAGTATAATAATAATAACAATAATAATAATAATAATAAACAGGACATAGCAACTAGCTTAAAGAGGTTTTATTTACCAAATCTGGACCAATTTTAGCATAAAATTGGGATTATAAACCAATAAATTCAGTTAAGGTTTATGAGTTTGTACTAAGGTAAATGAATGAATGGGTGAATAAATAAATAAATTGGAGGGACAAAAATGTTTCTCCTTACATTGTATTGCCAATTCATAAATGTAGAAGGGACAGTGAATTTAGAAAATTATCAATGGATGCCAAAACTAGTGATTGAAAGTTTGATGATTGAACAGTTACTTGCATAACCTTAAGGTATTTACCTGCAAAGGAAGTACGGGGGAGAAAGCAGGAACGTACTTATGGTTGAAGAACATTGTCAGATGTTCATAAAGAATCACCATTAATATGACGAAAAATAGACAAACTAGCGTTGTGTGCTTCTGGAAAGGAAGCACTGAGGGCACCACATCTCTTTCATGGTTTTTCTGCCCTCCAGAAGGCATTACCTGAATCCTAATCATGGAGAAATATCAGAAAAATTCAGACTGGGAAGCCTTCTCCAAAATAACTGGTTTATATTTTTTTAAATAAATATTCAGGCTAAGAAACAAAAAAATTGGCTAAGGAATCATTTCAGATTAAACGGGAACAAAGAGCCATAACAGATAAATACACGATGTGATATAGAACTGGATCTTGCACTGGGGTAGGTGGGAGCTATTAAAGGACATTATTGGGACAATCAATTACATATGACTATCAACTGGGGATTAGATAATAGTATCCTATCAGTGCTAATTTTCTTGATTTTGATAATTGTGCTGAGATTATGTAAGGCCACGTGTTTTTATAAAATACACACACAAGTATTTTATTTAAAAAAGAGATACTTCTTGCTGCTTTGTGGAGAAAGGACTGCAGAGGAGATAAGAAGGAAGCAGGAAGCCATTAGGAGGCTATTTAATACTACGAGCAAGAGACAAATGAGGCCTGGTGTGGTGGCTTATGCCTGTAATCCCAGCGCTTTGGGAGGCTGGGGCAGAAAGATCCATTGAGGCCAGGAGTTCAAGACCAGCCCAGGCAATATTGTGAGACCTAGTCTCTACACACAAAAAATAAAAATATTAGCTGGGCATGGTGGCACGCCCCGTAGTCCTAGCTACTCAGGAAGATTGCTTGAGCCTGGAAGTTTGAGGTTGCAGTGAACTATGATTGCACCACTGCACTCCAGCCGTGGTGACAGAGTGAGACCCTGCTCCTAAAAAATAAAAAAAAAAATTAAAAAGATGATGCTTTTTTGTAGTTGGTGGTACTTGTAGAAATGGTGAGAAAAGGCTGGTTCTATTTGGAAAGTAAAACCAAAAGGGTTTGCTGATGGATGGGCTGTGGATGACTGGGAAAAAGAGACAAGGATTTCAGCCTGAGCAACTGGGAGAATGGAGGCGGGAAGGGGCTGTCACTTAACTGAAAGGGGAAGATCCTGAGAGGAGCATATTTTGGGGGTGGGGGAAGATCAGGATTTCAGTTATTACACATTGTAACTCATTGCTTTCTCTCAAGTGTAGCTCTGATAATCCCATTTCCCTGGCTGATAATTTCATTTCTTCAGTAGTTGAGATGTTACCACCAAAGGACTTGGCATTCGAGGTCTTTCTCAGCTTGGTCCCATAACACTTTATAAAGGCAGTATTTGCTCCCCTCCTCAGTGTTCCTTTTGTTTCAGTCTAATTGAAAGACTTGTGATTGTTAACTTTTTTCCTGTTGGTGTTTCCCAAAATAGGGTCTGTATATAGTTGTTGATCTGAATAATTGCTACAAATTGTACTGGCAGAAATATTTTTCTTTTGATAGTTACACACTGATCTTAATGTATATTAGAAAATGACAACACTAGTTCATCAAACCTGTGATAACATTAGTATTATCATTAGTACAAATCTTGAGTATTATCATTAGTATTATCATTAGTACAAATCTTGGTAAAATAGTGGATCGGTTTAAAGTCAATAGAAAGAAAAATATTGTATAAGATATTACAAAATAATAATATGAAGGTGGAACATGAAAACCTGGAGCTGGATAAATACTGTACTGTTAGGGGATAATTTTTTAAAATATGTTTCATTTTATAAAATTTAAATATACCAAAAATAGAGAGAATAAACCTGTCATTCAGCTTAGAGTTGCCTCATGTCTAGGTTGAAGGTCCCTCTGGCTCACCAGTCTATTCCAGCTTAGTCAACCAGGAGAACCCACAGGAATTCAGTGCCCCTAAGCCCCTGTTTAAAAATGAAGGGCTTTTGAATAGCCAAGGCAATTCTAAGCAAAAAGAACAAAGCTGGAGGCATCACGTCACCTGACTTCAGACTACATACTACAGGGCTACAGTAACCAAAACAGCATGGTACTGGTACAAAAACAGACACATAGACCAATGGAACAGAATAGAGAGCCCAGAAATAAGGCTGCACATCTAGGACCATCTGATCTTCAACAAGGCTGACAAAAATAAACAATAAGGAGAGGACTCCTACTCAATAAATAGTACTGGGATAACTGACTAGCCATATGTGGAAGATTGAAACTGGACCCCTTCCTCATACATACCACATGCAAAAATCAATGCAAGGTGGATTAAAGACTTCAGTGTAAGACCTCAAACTATAAAAACCCTGGAAGACAATCTAGGCAATACAATCCTGGACACAGGAATGGGCAAAGGTTTCATGACAAAGATGCCAAAAGCAATCACAACAAAAGCGAAAATTGACAAATGGGATCTAATTAAACTAAAGAGCTTCTGCACAGCAAAAGAAACTATCAATTAGCAGAATAAACAGCCTACAGAATGGGATAAAATATTTGCAACTACGCGTCTGACAAAGGTCTAATATCCAGCATCTATAAGGAACTTAAAGAAATTTACAAGAAAAAACAAATAACCCCATTAAAAAGTGGGCAAAAGACATGAAAAGACACTTTTCTAAAGAAGACCTACATGTGGTCAACAAACATATGAAAAACAATATCACTGATCATTAGAGAAATTCAAGTGGCAAAACCACAATGAGATAACATCGCACACCAGTCAGAATATCTATTATTAAAAAGTCAAAAAATAACAGATGCTGGTGAGGTTGTAGAGAAAAGGGAACACTTACACACTGTTAGTGGGAGTGTAAATTGACTCAACCATTGTGGAAAGCAGTATGGTGATTCCTCAAAGAGTTAAAAACAAAACTACTATTAGACCCAGCAATCCCATTACTGGCTATATACTCAGAGGAATATAAATCATTCTACCATAAAGATACACGCATGTGAATATTTATTGCGGCACTGTTTACCATAGCAAAGACATGGAATCAACCTAAATGCCCATCGATGACAGATTGGATAATGAAAATGTGGTACGTATACACCATAGAACACTCTGCAGTTATGAAAAACAACAAGATCATGTCTTTCATGTGAACATGGTTGGAGCTGGAGGCCATTATCCTTAGCAAACTAACAGACACAGGAAACCAAATACTGCATGTTCTTACTTATAAGCGGGAGCTAAATGATGAGAAGTCATGAACACAAAGAAGAGAACAGCAGATACTGGGGCCCACTTGAGGGTGGAGGGTGGGAGAAGGGTAGGAGGTGGGGGGAGCAGCAGAAAAAGTAACTATTGGGTACTAGGCTTAGTACCTGGGTGATGAAGTAATCTGTACAACAAACTCCCATGACACGAGTTTACCTGCATATCAAACCTGTACATGTACACCCAAACCTAAAAGAAAGTAAACAAATAAAAATGAAAGGCTTCGAAGCCAGGAGTGGTGGCTTACGCCCATAATCCCAGCACTTTGGGAGGCCGAGGCAGGAGAATCCTGTGAGGCCAGGTGTTTGAGACCAGCCTGGACAACATATTGAGACACTGTCTCTCCAAAAAAAAAAATTAGCCAGGCATGGTGGTATGCACCTGCAGTCCCAGCTACTGGGGAGGCTGAGATGGGGGGATTACTTGAGCCTGGGAGTTCAATGATGCAGTGAGCTATGATTGAGCCACTGCATTCCAGCCTGGGTGACAGAGTGAGACCCTCTCTCTAAAAATAATAATAATAATAAATAAAAATTAAAAAAAGAAGAGCCTTAAATACTCACCAAAGAATATGAACTTGATCATATAATAATGGGACATTACGGTGAAATTATTTGAATAGAGAAATGACGAAAGGGTTACATTTCAGTTTAGAAAGGACTTAGTGATAGAGTAGTATCATAACATATAATGGCTGAGATGGTGGTTGTAAATCTGGGGTATTAATTTAAATGGCACTGATTATTAAGAGCCATATTTTGCTATAATGCAACCATGGGTCCAATCAGAACTTACCAGGGGAAATGCTCACTACCTCTTTACTATGGTGGACACACTGGGGAGAACACTGGGTGTGGAGTCAGGCAGCTTCAAGCTGGTAAGACACCATATCCATATTTTGCTATTTTCTAGCTATATGGCCATGGGGAAGTCATTCTAATTCAATGAGTTTTTCTTTAATTTTCTAAGCATGGTGTTTTCTTTTCTTTTTTTTTAATTTTTAATTTAATTTTATTATTATTATACTTTAAGTTTTAGGGTACATGTGCACAATGTGCAGGTTAGTTACATATGTATACATGTGCCAAGCATGGTGTTTTCTATACACATCTATTGAGATAATAATAGTTGTTGTAACGATGGCAATATTCTAGAAGCATTCTGCTCTCTGCAGATGCACTACTTTGGTGATTTAGTATTCTTTTATAGTGACTCCAACCCCCAACTCCCTGCCTCAAGCCTATGTTTTTTTACTTTGGTGGGTGAGAAGATAGAGATAACTGTGGGGATGTACTTTATCATCAATGAAAGAAGGGATAAATAACAGAAATTTAAACCTTTGTTCTGTGAGCCTCTTGCTTCAAGGGAATCAGCAGGTTACCCTCTGTGGGTTCCTGTTATGCATTTGGAAAGAAAGAAAGCCTGATGAGGGAGGGGATGACATTGTTGAAGTTTCTCTTTTTAGCTGGCAAAAATAACACATTTAAAGGTATAGCAATAATTCTCCTGCCATGTTTCTCACAGAGAAGCAGTGGGATCTTGTTGGGAATATTACGTCTTTGGAAAGGGAGAACTTCCTCAATCAGAGGACATAAAACAGTAATGAGAATAAACATTTGGTAAATTTAGGAAATCAACTTCAGCTTGGGAATCCCAAAAGGGAGCTCGTTTTGTGGGGTGGAAAGATATTTTTCCAGGGCTGACCCTTAGTAAAAGGAAACTTATGATTTTAAGTTTAAAAGCTCCAAAGGACTAATTCAAAGTGGAGAAGGGAAAGTTATTTTCATGAGAATTCCTGCTAAGACATTTGCGTACTGTAAACCAATTGCCTGTTGGCTAATAGGATTTGAAGTTTTGAATCTGTGCACTTTTTTTCAATTTCTGTGGAATGGATGAAAGCAGGGAAAGGGACTTAGATAGACCTAGGTGTGAAGCGAAGCATTTTCATCTTAGATCAATTACTGAACCATTCAAACTCTAGCTTCCTAATCACTAAATGAAGATAATAAAATCTACACCTCGGATTTGTTGTGAGAATTAAATGAGATATCTGTTAAGGGTTCAGCAGGGTGCCTGCATGTTGAAGTGCTTCATAAATGGGAGCTATTGTTGTTTTCATCTGAATCAGCTGGCCTCTCCCCACCTCTCTGGCCTTCTCCCTCATGTATTTGAAACCTACTGGATGGGCCTCTAATGAGCAGGCTATCTTTATGGTTAGATGCTTCTATGGGGAAAGAAATGTAAAAAAGCAAATTTTTAAAAAGTAAACTAAGGAGTAGCGCATGACATCATTCGTAATAAAACAGAGTTAAGGAGTCCAACTGGAAAGGTTTATGACTTTGTAGTAACTTTGTGTGTGTGTGTGTGTGAATATACCAGTGAGATTAGGGTGGGTCAAAGACATTTATATTTTGTAGAAGGGAGTGATTTCACTTTTCCTTTGTGTATGATGTCCATGAAGCTAATTATAGCTGAGATTTATAACAGCTGATCAATTTGGTGAAATGGAAAGACACTCAAAAGAATTAAAGAGTAAAAATGTTATTATTTAGCATTCTTTCATCAGATAATCTTTAACTGCTCCTGCCAACCTGGTATATGAGAGTTGGTTTTTCCAAAGGTAATTCTGAGGCCCTTGATGATAACATTTTTGTTTTCTATTGTGATCAGTGAAAATCTTACCTCTCCAACAAATTGCTTTGTACTTCAGGACAAAGATTGTCTCCTTTACTTCTTTTTTTTTTTTTTTTTTTTTTTAATATTCCATGGTGATATGGTTTGGCTGTGTCCCCAGCCAAATCTCAACTTGAATTGTATTTCCCAGAATTCCCACATGTTGTGGGAGGGACCAAAGGAGAGGTAATTGAATCAGGGGATTGGTCTTTCCTATGCTATTCTCGTGATAGTAAGACTCATGAGATCTGATGGGTTTATCAGGGGTTTCTGCTTTTGCTTCTTCCTCATTTTCTCTTTCCACTGCCATGTAAGAAGTGCCTTTCTCCTCCCACCATGATTCTGAGACCTCCTCAGCCATGTGGAGCTGTAAGCCCAATTAAACCCCTTTTTGTCCCCAGTTTCAGGTATGTCTTTATCAGCAGCATGAAAATGAACTAATAATATGGTAATTAGATTATTTAATAATTACTCATTTACTTTGTCTTGTGAGTCTTGAATGATCAAAACTAGTTTAAAATAAGGTCATGGAACTTTTAGTGTTAATCCTTTTTTACATGTTCTTTGAACATAACTATTTAAAAATTGGCAATCTGTGTATTTACTAACCAGAACAGTCCATTCTCAAGTCCTGCCATGTAACAGGGAGTTCCCTGCGTTCTTTTTATTGTTATGGCCCATATGAGACCTGATGAGTAAATGGGATCTGTCCTCATACACATCTTAGCATTTGGATTTACACAGATTCTGAAATGCAGAATTAATACTTAATGTTAAATTCTGATGTCGAAATATGTGCCCACTGAGAATTCTACTGGGTTTGTTTATAGAAAATAAATATTAATTTTGTTAAATTGAATGCATTTGCATTTCTTTCCCCAAATTACCATCAGCTTGCTTAACAAAAGACATGCAGAGGCAAATCCCTCAGTTAGTGACTTTTCTATTTTCCCTGGGATGCTTTTCATAGACGCTTGTGTGTGTGTATGCACGTGTGTGTGTGTGTATGTGTGCATGTGCGTGCTATTTATACATATATATAATTTTTTTTTGTATCACTTTACAGTGTCACTTGAAATGAGGGAGCTCTTATTGATATATTCCTTTTGGCTAGTTTTCATTGCATTGTCTGTATAGGTGACCGACTTGATGGGACAATTCTTCAAACACACACAAGATGCTATATAAGGCCAAGGCTTGAGTGACTTGACTTATAAAGTAGAACAAGTCACTTTTACATTCAGGCCATTAGTTACTTACATAGACAGCAAAAGGAAAAGTAGCTGAAGATACTCAGCTCCCTGAGGTCCTTATCCTACACACCAGAAAGGAACGACACAGAAACAAAAGGGACTGGACAATGGCAACACAACTTAAGGGATTCCCCTTTGCTAAGGAGCCAATTCTAAGCTACAGTACAATGGATTTATATCCTGCATCTCTGCTTTTAGGGAGGCAGCCCCAAATTCTTCATACCTCATCAGAACCTCTGAGGCAATGAGAAACAACCTTGTGACAGCCCCCAGAAGAGAGAGGGAGGTGGGTGGGTCTCACAGCAGCTCATCACGAGCCTCTCCTGAGCTCATGTTTAGGGAGGACTGTGAGACATTCATTGAAGACATACATGAGCTGCAGTCCAAGCCTTTGCCTGCATGTCCCATCCAGACACGTGCAAGGCCACCAGGGCACCATAGTGGAGCCATCTCTTACACCATCCTTCTGAAGCATCCATCTCCTACGATGGTCAAGTGAGATAGACTACAGCAGGATCTCTCACTCCATTTTGAAGACTGACTTATCTTGCTTGCCCAAATTTCTTGTAGCTGCTTGAAATCCACAGAGAAGTTTTCTTATGGGCAGATTTCAGTTACTAAGATAGCTTAGGCCCACTCCATCACACGTTACACTTGACTCCAAGAGGATGCCCAATGTATTAAGAAAGTAAAGCACTTTCTGAGTGCTTTGGTGCAGATTTTGCCGTACAAGGCTTTAGTTGGTGACCTCAGACTAGTGGTTAAGAACTTAGACTCTGCAGTTGGATGGTTCTGCCACTTACTAGGAGGGTGAACTTGAGCCAGATATTTAACCTCTGTAAGTCTCCATTCTCTAATCCACAGAATGAAGACAACAGCACAAGAAACTTGTATGAAGCAGTGCAGGTAACGTGCTCAGAATGGTGTCTGAAACAGGGTAATACCCAATAAACGTAGCCCTATATGTTATTGGGAATCTATTGGCGCTGAGCTCTTTACTGAGCACATGGCACTGGGGAGAAAGACAAGGGAAAAGAAACCCAAACATTGTTAACTTACCATATAGTTGAATGAACTGAACATGGACAGTCATAAAATAGCCTACCGATGAATATCAACCACGGTCTTTGCAAAGGAGAAATCAGTAGTCATAAAATTCATCCTTTGGTTGAACTATGTTTGATTACAGTTCTAAGTTGGCCCAGTGACTTGTGGATAAAGGCAGAGAGCAGTGGGTCACTCCGTAAAGGCCACCACCAGAGTGCTGTCCATAGAGTCTCTTTGTATAATGGTCTTGGCCAGGCATTGCTCGCTTACCTCCATTTTCCTTTCACAGTCCAGCCTGAGGAATGCCTGCTCAACTGGTTTGATCATTTTGACTGAAACAAGCGGTCATTTCATGTCCTATGGGATGCTTGCTGAGGACATTAAACACAGGTGTGTGGGGATAGGGGGTGAAAGCACAGCTATTTTCCAATTAGGAGCCCCTTGGTTCCCTGAAATCCAATCACATGGAGTGAACCAGACGCCCCTGTCTGGAGCTCTGTGTTCAACTCAGGATCCAACTCTCAGTGGAAAATTAAAAACAAAGTCATTATTATATATTAGATTTATTAAAAATGCAACTATTACCAAGAGCCTGTGGGCATGTGTGGAAAATGCTGTAATTAAATTAAATTAAATTAAAGCCAGCAGTTAGAAGTAACATTTTCCACTAAGGAGGAGGAGGAGGAAGAAAAAAATAAGCCCATCAGAGAATTCCAAACCAGAAAAGTGCAAGAAGTGGCCAGGATTCTTCTAGGAGAAGGAAGATGTCATAACTGTTATTATTATTATTATTGCTGCCCTGAGATAATGGAAAAGTAATATATAAATTTGGAACAAGGTTGGAACTTTCCAGGCATTGGGAAAAGATGTTTATTTGGAAGAAGGTGAATAACATTAAAACCAGAAATGGAATGGCTACTATTATAGACAGAAAGTTTATTTGTAGTGATTATCTAGAGTCATTATTCCAATAGTGACTATCAAATCAGTGGGAAAGCAGTGCTCTTTCAATGTTGCCAAGGTCATGGAAGGGTAAAATTGTCTGTTGGCAGTTGCAGCTGTCATACTTTGTTGCTAGAAGAATTGGGTTGTGTTAAGATGATAGGTGATGGTTAAAGCTGGAGCTTTAGTCCTAGCTTTAAGACAGGCTACGTTTCTTGTTTTCATCTCCATGTGGTGGAAGGAAGGCAGGAAGGAAGGCAGAGAGTTAGTGTGATGACCCTACATGTATCTACACTTAGTTTTTTTTTTTTCTTTTTTGAAATGTGTTGCTACAAAGAGAGTTGCATGGTCCCTGCAAAGGCCTCTAAGCGTGTCTCCATGTCCCTTTGGAGGCAGAAGCTCTTTAATTGGTTGGATTGCTGGATTAGCATGTCTATAGCCTGATTTGTTGGCCTCTTCTGCAAGGTCAACACTGGCTACAGTTATGCTGCTTTTTCAGAAATAAGGATAGTTCTAGGGTATGTTTAACAAATGAAGTGGTCTAGGCAGCTTGAGAGTGAGGTCACAG
Organism: Homo sapiens; assembly: GCF_000001405.40. Lineage (NCBI taxonomy): Eukaryota > Metazoa > Chordata > Mammalia > Primates > Hominidae > Homo > Homo sapiens. The sequence goes on along the minus strand of NC_000001.11, from coordinate 219,821,399 downwards.
CATAGCCACTACTTCGGGGATGGCAGCTTCCTAAGATGCCTGGTCAGAGGAATTCCCTGGCAGCAGCACCAGAAGCAATGGCTGTTCTCATGGTCCATGGTCATGGACTGTCTGGCTACCAGAAATGTTCCACTAGTATTTGGTATCAAAAACTTTTATCTTGTCCCATACCTGGAAAATTTGTTATCCTTCTGGATTTTACCAAGGATGTGTTTTTGCTCCCAACTGGCTTTTTCTGATTTGGTTGAACTTATTGATCAATTTGGACATCCCATTTGACTGATTTGATTTACACTTGATCAAATAGTCTCATTCATGTCAGTCAAAATGATTGAACCATTTGCTTGAAGGTGACTCTAGGTTGTCACCAGGCCGCTTAGAGAGTTTGATGGAAAGCTCTGAGGTCCAGAAAGAATCCTACCCTCTGAATGTGGCATTTTGGGGGCATTCTGCACAAGAACTGGTTTCACTTTGCTCAGGAAGAAAGCCTGTGAGGACTTTTAATGATTTTAGGATTTTTTTTTTTTAATGGTGAGCTCATTGATTACAGTTCTAAAACTCTTGAGGGATGAGGGAGATGGTGAATTCTGGCATTGAGGCTGGCCAACCTTGTAGTCAGTGAGGCTCTTTGGCTCTGGAGTGGGGCTAAGTTTGTCTCTGGCTGTGAATAAAGACTTCTTGAGTTTACATAAAAGGGGTTTGCTCATCCCCTGAAATCCCCATGAGAAGGACTGGGGAAATCAGAGCCTTATTTAACACAATATAATTTAAACGCCACAAAACCTCTACCCCTTTTACACGCATAGAACTCAAGTGCCAATTGCTGAGCCTTGAGCAGGTCTGCTTTTATTCTTGTGCAGGTTTTCCCAGGGTATTACTGTCAGGGTGAGGTGGTCTGGCTGCTTACCGTAATCCGAGCCCTGGTTGCACAGTAAGATTTTAATTTTTCTTGAATTCTAACCAAGTGGCAGAAGTCAAATGTTGGAGTGCAAGGGGAATCAGATACTTAAAATCATTTTTATCTGCTTGGATCAGATCTGCAAAACCACTAAAAAAGCCAACCACTCGTTCCATCTGCCACATAGTGCAGGGAAAAGAACTGGTTTCACTTCTATAGAAAAACTATATCATTTTCAGATACTTTGGAAAATTGTAAACTATTCTCAGACGTTTCTTTGTAATATGTCCTCCGCTTCTCTCCACAAAAAACATAGGAAAGATAGGATGATGATATCAGGAAGTATAAATCACATTCCCTTATAATATCTTTTTTGCTGTGTGTATGTTTCTTTTCTTTCTTTCTTTCTTTCTTTTTTTTTTTTGAGACGGAGTCTCGCTCTGTCACCCAGGCTGGAGTGCAGTGGTGCGATCTCGGCTCACTGCAAGCTCCGCCTCCTGGGTTCACGCCATTCTCCTGCCTCAGCCTCCCGAGTAGCTGGGACTACAGGCGCCCACCACCACACCTGGCAAATTTTTTGTATTTTTAGTACAGACGGGGTTTCACTATGTGAGCCAGGATGGTCTCAATCTCCTGACCTCATGATCTGCCCACCTCGGCCTCCCAAAGTGCTGGGATTAAAGGCGTGAGCCACCGTGCCCAGGTTTTCTGTGTATGTTTCTAATGCCAATATTAAGAATGATGAGGAAGAAATGTTAAAGTGGCATGATGGCTCCATGTGGATGATTTGCACTCTGATGGCCTCATGAAGTCAGATTGCCAGAAGCAAACTGGGACATGAAATGTAGGACATGGAGAGGAATATCAGAAAATTTCATGCTGTTTCTAAGGAATTGTACCATTTGCAAAATATGCTGATAATATTTTGGATTGCAGAATCTCCATGTCCATGCTGTGTGTGTGGTTGAGTTGGAGTTTGTAGAAGCACAGCTTGAAAATGGCCAGGTGGCTAACCACTGGAAAAAGGACATGGCTCTTCAAACCAGCGGCTGAGCAGCCTTCCGGATGGGTTGGAGGAAGGGTTTAGGGGGTGCAATGTGGTTTGAGAAAAATCGACATAGCTGAGGAAGGGTGAGATGAAGAGTAAAGGAGAAGCCCAAATAACATTTCATACAGATAATCACTCCATATAAGCCCTGAATGAAATGATGGGAAAATATATTGTTGCTAATTCACTGGCTTTGCTGTCATTACTGGATATCTAATTTCAGCAAAGGCTTTGGGGTAAAATGGTAATAGAACACATATATATCACCAACCAACCTTCATCCTAAACATGATTGCATGTGAAATGGCTCTGACAAGGCGGAAGGCAGAGCTGATCAATGTTAGCATGAACATAGTAGGCTTAGACATTTATATATGGCCGGGCGCAGTGGCTCACGCTTGTAATCCCAGCACTTTGGGAGGCCAAGGCGGGCAGATCACTTGAGGGCAGGAGTTCAAGACCAGCCTGGCCAACATGGTGAAACCCTGTCTCTACTAAAAATACAAAACAATTAGCTGGGCGTGGTAGTGGGCACCTGTAATCCCAGCTACTCAGGAGGCTGAGGCAGGAAAATCGCCCAAACCCAGGAGGTGGAGGTTGCAGTGAGCTGAGATCATGCCATTGCAATCCAGCCTGGACAACAAGAGCAAAACTCCATCTCAAACAAACAAACAAACAAACAAACAAAAATTTATATACATTTTCTTTGTATCATGCCATTTATCAAAAAGTACGAACATGGCTTTGAATACGGCTTCTGGTTTTGTTTTTCAATTCTGTGAAGGATATGTGAGGTATGGGAAGAAGCATGGACTTGGACAGATCTAGATTTGAGTCCCAAGTCTACCATTTGTTACCTGCTGGATCCTGAGCAGGCTGTTCAAACTGTTTCAGCCTCAGTTTCCCTATCTTCAAACCAAGGATAACAGTACCTACCTTATGTATAGTCATGAGGATTAAATAAAATGATGAATCAAGAGCACTAATTTTTATCTTTTTAAACCATAATATACAGTAGGACATCCTTTTTCCTTTTTTTTACATTTATATTTGGTGTTCCTAGATGTACACACACACACACAGAGATGCATATGACTTTAACAAAAATTTCATGAAACAATGCTTACTCTCACTAATGATACACTCTGATAGTTTCTGTTCTATTCTATTTCACATTTACAGAAATTCTGGTCATGACCCACTAAATTTATTTTACAACCCACCAAAGGGTCTTGACCCATAGTTTGAAAAACATGAATCCGGCACATAGAACAGTGTCTGGTACACAGTCATTGACCTGTAAGGAATAAACACTGCTCTGGGGAAGGAATGATGTCATGTAGTAGGTTTACTGAGGCATAATTCTTTGGCCAAAGGAAGTTGTAATAAAACGCTAAAAGTTTCTTAATGAGAGTAGCATGAAGGTTGCCAATATGATAAAAGCACTTTCTCCTCCTCCTCCTTCTTCTGATTAAGGCACAAAATGGAAAAAAATGAGGCAAAGAGACTGAAAAAATTAGAAACAAAACATGATGATCTTTTCCTTAAAATAATTTAATTAAAATTTTCTAGCTTAAAGACTGATTTCAGAATGGTTAATATTGCAATTTTGGGCAATAAATATTTAAAGGGGAGAAATCCAAGGAGGTTGTTTACATACAGTTAACTAAAAGCAGAAAAAAGTAGGGCCTGCTGAGTTTCTATCTTCTAGATGATGGTAAAACATCCTTTTCTTGTCTCCTTCTGCAGAAACAAGTAGAACATGAATTCAGAGTGAAGGAGATGTTAAAGGTATGGTTGGTGTATTGGTTTTCTACTGCTGTTATAACAAATTGCTACAAGTGTAGATGCTTAAAACAACACAAATTGATTATCTTATCGTTTCCATGGGTCAGAAGTCCGGGCACATCACGGCTTAGTGGTCCTTCTGCTCTGAGTCTCACAAGACTGAAATCAACATTTTGGCAGGGCTGCTTTCCTTTCTGAAGTCTCAGGATGAATCCACTTCCCAGCTCCTTCAGGTTGATGACCTGATTCAGTTCCCTGCAGTTGTAGAACAGAGGTTCCCATTTCCTTGCTGGCTGCCCACCGGGAATCAGGCTTTTCTCCTAGAGGCTGCTCCATTCCTCCTCATGCTTCCCGTGGTGCTCCCTCCCGCGACTAATTGAGTCTCTCTTACCTCTCGAATCTAACTTCTCCTTCTGCCAACCTCTCTCTCATTCCCACTGGAGAAATTACTCTGCTTTTAAGGGCTTATGTAATTAATTAGATTGGACCCCCTAGATGACTCAGGATAGTCTCCCTAGCATAAGGTCAGCAACCTACAAAGTTTCTTTTGCTATGTAATGGAACATATTCACAGGATCCAGGGAGTAGGGCATGGGTATTTTTGGAGGGCCATTAGTCGGTCTGCTAAACATGGTTCAGAAATCATTTTCTCTTTAAAGAAGAGCTCTTACAGTCATGAGATTTTCCATGGGTTTTAAGTACCTACAGTTACTGGATGAATCTTAAAATTAAGGAATTTTAGAGGCATCTTAAGATTCATGAGGTTCAACTTCCTCATTTCACAGATGAGGAAATCAAATGGAATTACTTGCCTACACTTACAGGAGACTGGTAAAAGAGTCAGTGGTACCTCCCACGTTTCTTGATTTCTGGTCCTTCATGGCTCAGGTACTCAGAAATCATGATGGAGTATGTTATTGAAAGGGTGAATCATTAAGAAGAAATAAATGAAAAGTCTCAGCAATTGGAAAACCAGGATTTTGTTTTGCCTCCTTCCATATAGGAAACATTTGTAAGATAGAATTCTGGCAGTTATTTGTTGAAGGGTCATTTTATACCATCCTCTCATATTTAAATGTGAATAGTGGACATTTTTTTTAAAAAGACTTAATTCTAAATGATATCTGTGATATCAGAGATATTTAAAATTTTTCTTATTCAGATATTTCAGATAAAAAAGAGTGTTTTTTTCTTCTTAATATAGAATAAATAACATTGTTTCTTTAATGAAACCCAAGAGGATGAGGATGAAAAGGAGTGCAAGAGGACAGAAAGAGAGCTTGAAACAATCAATTCTTGGGAGTTCCTAAATGACAGTCAATGTTGTGCCCTTGCTGTCTGAGGCTGATATTAACACACAAGACCAGTAGTAGTTTCTTATTTGTCAGTGTCAATGGAAGTAGGAAAGAGGTTCTATCATCTATCTATCTATCTATCTATCTATCTATCTATCTATCTATCCATCTATCTATCTATCTTTCCATCCATCCACCTATGAATTATTCTTTCATTCCCACTTCATTTACTCTGTACTTACTGAGAATCTGTTATATGCCTGGTGCTATGCTAGGGGCTGGGATACGTTGAGAAATGAGATATGGCCTTCGCATGAGATCACAAGATGTGATCTTCGGGGAGCTCACAGTTTAATCAGGGAGACAGATATTAGAACAGATGTAAAAGCATGTTGCCCCAGAATTGTAACTAAAATCCCAACCTGAAAGGAAGATGCTCAAGTAATCCTATTTTTTAACAAGAGGCAAATAGGAGCCAGATATCTCCCTCCAGGGCTTACAAGGAGGAGGTAGAACTTCCCTATTAGCACCTGCCACCCTCCAAACACAGGATGAAGGGGTGGGAAGGGGAATGATGGTCCCTTACATAAGAAGTCTTGAGAATGAATGGGAGACACAGGGAATGTTTTGAGTCACTAGCCTTGTGAGGAGTGCCGTATTCATGATAAGAGGTGATTGCCACTCTCCCTTCGGGTAGCACAGGGGTTGATCTCCTTCCCCATCATCAAGTGAAGGGGTTCCCCACAATCCTGTGTAGAGATTGGGTGTGTCTGTGCAAGGCAGGGTCACTGGCATCTCATTCCTTAGGCATCAGACTTGCTGATCTGCCCCTGAGTACCAGAGAAAGGGAAGAGAATTGGAGGAAGACTACAGGGCTGCAGAAAGAGTACCACAATCAGCACAGCCACCAGTTAGTCTGGCAGGGGTCTGTGAGTCTCTAGTGGATAGAGTGGAACCTGCAGAGATGGCTGGGCTTGAGCCCTTTTGATGCTACTCCACTTGAGAGAGCTACACACAGGATAAGGGGACCCCATCAGCAAAGGGCTATGGGAGATGCAGCATGAATGACAGGATATGGGAGGATAGAAGAGGTGAGGCAAGAGTAGCATTTGCCATGTCAACAAAACATGTAGTCAGAAGGCCCCTTCAGTGCTCTCCAGTCAACATATTCATGAGCCTCACAAAAGAGTCAGCTTTGGATTCCTCCCCACGTGCCCAGCCTTAATGGCCAGTCAGGGTTGGCCAGAGAGAGAACTGCAATGACTCCAGTTAAGTAAGGAGCTGTTTGCTCTTCACCAATCTCCCGTATCTCACTTCCTTGTTTCCATCACCAAAGAATCCAGTCCTGAGCACAGAGGTGGTGCGGTAATGAAAGAGTGTCATCCTTCACTCTCCAAGTCCCTCAAGCCATAGGTCTGATTTGCAATGAGGGAGAGGAAAAGTTTTGAATCAAATATGAGTCCAGAGTTATTAACAGGATGGAACTGAATTTTAATAACTGAAAAGTTATGACACTTGTTCGAGGTGTTAAAGGATTTACTATTGAGTGGGGAAGGAAGATTTGACAGAGTGTGAATGAAAACAGCGATTAAAAAATTTTGTTTGTTTCCCACTGATATGAAATTCCAATTCCTCAATGCAATGGTTACAAAATAAATGCAAAACAGAGGGACTGGGCTGTAATGGTGGCAAGTACTTTTTCTTTCTTGCACAACATTTTGTTTTTTTCTAGACTTCATAAACTTGTCTTAATTATCGGTTTGCTTCAGTTTCTATTTACATATTACCAATTCGACCTCAACCATTTTTATCAATTGTCAAAATCTTCTTTCAGTCTGTTGGAGTACCTAATGTGTTCTATTACATGTACTTTGCTGAAGAAGTCTCATTTAGATCTCTTTCGACCTGTTTCAGTTTGAACTGGTTGCTCTCTGTGTCTGCTTCAGAGCTATCAGCTTGTGGTCTCCCAAGAATATTTTTCTGGGAATTTCCTTTTTTTTTTTTTAAATTTCACAATGATATACCTTATTTTGTGTCTCTTTCCATCTTCTTCTATTGTGCTGGGTGAGCACTTGATGAAAATGTATACTTTCCATCAGAAATTTGTGCCTTCCAGTTTGGGACTTATTTTTTCTCTTTTGGTGAATTATTTAGCCGATGATTCTAGTCATCTGTTTTCTGTGTTCTCTCTGAATTTATCTATGGATACTAAACTCCTTGGGTTGTACCTTAGATTTTCTTATGTGTTTTTTCCCCTTTCCATTGCTTTGAATTTTTGCTCTATTTTCTGGAAGATGATCATTAAGGTTTAAAACATTGAGGTGTTAAAATCAATTAATTAGGCTAACAATGTATTTTGGCAAGCATCCCCAAATTCCCTACACTTTGGAAGAGAAGGCTATCTGAAGAAGCCATTTAAGTTATTCTCCTGGTTCCAACCACATCTGTGTCCAAACAAATGGAAATAGCTTGAAATATTCTCTCTTTCTTTGACAGCCTCCAAAGGGAAGCATCATAGAACCTTTGGCTTATAAACATTTAGGGTTGAATGGAAAATTAGAGATTTATTATGATACTCTTTTAGCAGTTGAGGGGACTGAGACCCAGAATAGTAAAATGCCTCTCACAAGGTCACATGGCTGGTTTGTGGCAGAGCAGGAACTAAAATCCAGTGTTCTATATTTTAAGTTCAGTTTTCTTTGCAACATACCACATTATCACTCACAGTCCCTGTGGAAATTTCTTCCTTGCATCTAACTGAAATTCTTCACTGTGTGTTTGAATCCCAGTTTCCTACTGTCTTTACCAAGAGTGATGAGTGTTGGCCATTGTTCCTGGCAATAGAAAGTCTTTGTCTCTGTTAGCTGTATGTTATGTTTTCCTCTGCTGGGATGGGGCGATGTCCATTTCACATTTGCACTTCTCTGAAGTTAACAAGAAAGCTGAATAATAAAAGACAAAACTGGTAGTTACTGCTGTTTGCAGTAATTTCTCAAATACTTGCATTGAAACCAAGGTTAAGATCTGGTTCCCACATGCCTGTAGGTTTCATGCAGATGTCTCCTCTCAGGGAACAGACTTTTGCTTATTTCATAACTGGCTGAAGGCATTGTTTCCACCCTGCAAAACTCTCGCCAGGTGGACAATTCAACTGGGGTCCAGAACTTAAAATGGTAGCTTTGTCTAAGGCAATCCTTTCCCTACCACTCTGTGCCTTAGTTTTTACATTTATTGACATTCTACTAATTTTGAGTTGGGCTTTCTAAACCTGCATGCACTACCTCTGTGTATAAAAATAGAATTTGATATACTCATGCCTCCTCCTCTTACTTCCTCCTACCTCCATTTGGACCTTTTGCTGTTTAAAATATGCATGATCATTTAAAACCATGAGTGTATTCTTTGATAAATATTTTTAAAAGATTCTTGGCTCAAGAGTTGTTTTGTGTTGTTTTGGAACTGGGAAGGGATCGGGCTGCAATCCAGCACTCATTATTAGATGTTTTCTCTCTGATGTATGAAGACAGCTCAGGTGGCTGTAGCTCTGCATAACCACAAGAGGGCAAGAGAGTCTAAAGAATGAGAAGAGGACCCGCCACGGAAACAAACTCCTCTTTGTTCACCTAGAGGCCAAATCATCAGATGATCTGCAAAACCTGGCAACTCTCAAGAACAATAGAGGGGCATGTATTAAGTGACCAGCTTGCTAGTCAGACCATCCAGAGGAGAGCAGCAGACTGCTAGGTCCAAGATTTATAAGCTGCAATCTTTGGCTAGTCGGCTGACCTCTCTGAATCTTTTTCTCCTCTGTAGAAATGGGTATTGCCCATCAAGCACCTGCCTGTCTTCCTTCCAACTTTTCCCAGGGGTTGGTTCCAACGCCTAATGCCACGCTTTCTTCAATGCCAAATGTCACTCCGCTGAGAAACCTTCCAGATCCCCTCATCCTTGCTCTCATACTACTCTGCACTGACCTGATAGTCTTTCTCTGGTTGTGTTCTTATTATTTGTTTCCAAGTCTGCTTCCCTCATTTGACTAGAGCTCTTGCAGGGCAGCTACTGTGTATCTTTATACCTGGCGTTCAAGGAACTGTGGAATTCTAAGCATTTCTCTCCCTTCTTTTTTGCTCCCTCCCTTCCTTTATTCGTTTATACAGGTTTTTGTTCCAAGAATCAAGATAGGCATTAGGGAGGATGTGGTCCCTGCTCTCAGGATTACAGGTTAAATAATATTTTGGCTAAAACTCCCAGTATGAAAGAGTAAGCATAAGAGCCACATGATTAGTCATTGCACTTACTGAAATAAGCAAATGTTAGCATGATGTACAAAGGGAAGAGAAGACATATCTCATTTGGCACATACTGGGGCTCAGACCACTCTTGGCTGTAAATGTAAAAAAGATGTTTCCAAAGAAATATAAAAATATATACACAAGGAGGCTTGTTTTTCATTTAATTAGAAATGAGCAGGTGAAAGGGATTTAAAGTTCTCATAGGATTCAAAAATGCCAGAGAAGCGTGGAACTGTGCAAACTCACTGTGCTCAGTGAAGAATGGTGCAGTTAGTGGTCAAGAGTGGGGCTTTGGGGTTAGAGTGAGCCAGCTTCCTCACTTACCTACCTAGGAGGGCAGGCAAGGTGCCTCACCTTCCTAAGCCCCAGCTGTTTATTTGAAAAATGAATACGAAATAGGAGACAGTTGGCTAAAGATCAAGGGTAATGCCTGGCACATGAGGGACATGTCAGCTGTTATTGACTGTGATCATCCTTCTTTTTTGTAATTGACTTCACCACATTCAATAACTTTCCACAGTGAGGATGAGCCTTACAGGAGGTGCCTGAACATCCCAAGAATGGCAGCAGATTTTTCAGGGAAACAATCATTCTTATTTGGTTGGAGGATCTAACAACGCAGCTTTGGGAGCCCCAGTCCTGTAGTGTCCTCCCTTGGGCGTGAGAATAGAACCAACCAGGGTGGCTTGGTGTGTCACCAAGGTCTGATGCTGCCCTTCCCACATTCTAACTCATTATGAGTCAATCATCCATTAATGCATCTGAACAAATTAGCTCTGATTTATAATTTTATCTTGGGAGGTGGCGGAGTCCCATAAACTGCTTTACTGCTTCGCTGATGATCATTTGAGCCAAGGGAAACAAAGGAAGAAAAGAATGAGATTTAAGCACAAGTTTTAATCACATTCCACATATAGAAATGCAACAAGTAAGCCAGCCTTTGGAAATGGCCATTATCACAAATGTATTGTGTGTCTGAGGCTTTGCAAATGTCTCTGCTAGGACAGTATGATTGCAGAGGTGCATGGAGGTTAAATACAACTTCAGAGCAGCCTCACAGTGCCTTGTATGGCTGACATGCCTTTAGATGCCCTGTGGCTTTCCAGGCAGGAAAGGGGACCCAGTAGATGTGCTGAGGTTTTCACACCTATCGCAGGCTTCTTAGTGTGAATGTGGAGCTTACCAGGGCTAGCTCTTGCAGGCTGCAATTTCCAGATAACTGGAAGTTACACAGTGATGGTGGCCATTGGTTATTCTGATTATTACAAAGAATCAGGAAAGATATTATTTACTCTTTTATTGGATTTTCCAACATATGGCAGGGTTGGGTGTGTTGCTCTCTCATCTCCAATAACGAATCGGCTTTCTCTTGGCCAGCAACTCTTGTGCGTAGGAGGCTGAATGCCTTGTTCTCTTGGGAAAGATAGACTTAGCTGCCAGGATGAGGAATCCAGCTACGCCTGGACAGGGTGGGGTCTCCAGAGAGCAATGTGAGGGAGAGGGAGGGATTGAACAAGAAGACCTGGGCTCTGGTAAAGTTAACTTTTTAATATTTACTAGGGAGCCTAGAGTTTCAGTTGATAACTGCGTGATGTGTTTGCACCAAGTGAGCCAAATGACATCCCAGAAAGCTGTGTGAGAGAAGGCTTTGCAGTAATTCAAACATAGAAAAGGACCTGGAGTATTCAGACACCACATAGTGCCCAGTGCTACAGGCTTGGGATAGCAAAAGAACCTGTACTGCGGATTCATTCATGACTTCATTTCAGCACAATGACATTATCAGGAACATTAAATTAGTGTAACTGATGTGAATTTTATTTATAAAGTTTATTTTCATTTATAGTTACATGTTTTGATTAATATATGTACCTGTTTAGGTAAGGTCATGATAATAATAATTTAAGTAAACACTAGGAAATTACAAGGTTTTTTTTTTTTAAATGAGTTCATGCATTACTCATGTTTCAGAAAGGCTAAATTAAAGAATATTTAAAAGGGTATTTTTCTGTATCAACGTTCAATCAGAAATAGAGATCCAGTATGAGTGACATGGAATAGGGGGTTTATTATTCGATCTCATGCAACTGTGGGAGCTGGTGAAGAAGTCTAAGGAAGACTGTTATCCTTTTGTCTGGTCTGATGGCGAACCTGAAGTTGCTGTACCTCTGCAGAGCTGGCAGCTGGGGAATAATAAGCTGGGCATGAAATAGCACAGAAGACAAAGAACAAACACAACTGAGAGGACAATCTGGAACCTACGACCATCCCCTACCACCTCCAAACCTGATATGCAGAACCTGAAGCAGGAAATGCGGTGGCGGCTGGTACAGCTGCAGGTTTGGCTGCAGGCTTACACTGACAGGGTGATCCCACAGATTTGCTACAACAGCCACTGGTACCTACATCCACCTTCAGAACATAATGGCTGCTACTTCACTTTTGCCCTCTGAATCTCAGGCAAACTTCTCTTGAGGTTAACCCTAACCTGCACCAACTGTAGGAGGGAGTGTTGGGAATCTTAGCTCAAGGTTAGTTAAGTGGATACAGTACAATGCCATTGCAATGATTTAATTTCAGCTATTTCTGGGATGAGTGTTTAAGCAGAATCTATAACACAGCATATATTCACTTAATTCTTATTGAATGAATAAATGATTTGATGAACAATATTGAGGTTCAATTAGTCTCACGTCTTGATGATCCCAATTTTTCAGTTTAGCAGAGGGTTTGGCATGTAGTTCATGCTCAGTGAATATTTGTTGACTGTTACTGAATGGTGTGGCAGGAAGAGCAATGGTGCAATGGTTAGCCAATCATGAGGCTTCAGGGTGGTCCCAGTTGGCTACTACTTCACTGTGGGGTCCTAGAGCAAATCACGCCAGCTCTGTGGCCTTGGTTTGGTCTAAGGGACTGAGATGAAATAATCTCTATGTAACCCTTTTGCTCAGAAGTTTCACAGTTCAGAGAGTTTATCAGATTGCTTATAAATGGTGGGGGGGTGGAATATTTCACAAACTGAGCATTTGGAATGAGAGTTAGAGAATGTGAGTGATCATTAAGCAAAGCAGGACTGGGCGGGGCCCGTTGGGAGCCCTGGAATCCATCAGTCTGCAGGGAGACCTACCTGGAGGGTGCTTGATTAGAAGAAGAAGGATAGGTGCAGACGGGAGTTGCAAGGGAACTCGGGGCCAACTTTGCCTGTTGGAAAAATTGTGCCTCAGCTAGCTCTGCTCCATAAAGCACGATCTGACTCGATTCAAGTCTGGCTTCTAAATCGTGTTAGTTTTTCTGCAGAGCTAATTCTCTGCAGAGCAGAGATCTTTGTCCCATAGCAAGTGGCAGTGTCTTCTGAGATTCCCAGGCTTCCTAGGACACAGAGCCTTGCCTTGAAAAGCCTTCTTTCTTGGTTTGGGCACTGATTTCTTCTATCTGTCCTAATTCTGCCAGTTGCTTTCATGCATATGCTATTTGAGCTGAGCTTGGCTGATGGTTCTAAATTTTTAGATGAAAATGGTGTAGAAAGTCCTTTTTTTTTTTTTTTCAAATATGTGAGATAATTTGTAGTCTTTTGAGCATGAGACAAGAAAAATCTCCAGCTTAGGCCATGGTAAATGATAAAAAGTCATGGTAAACTCATTCCTGTTTTAGACGGAATAACCATTTCCTTATGCATACCCCACCCTGGCCACCTCCCAGGACCTCAGATGCATGAGGTCCAATTCAAGCTAAATTTAACAGTTTATCTAGAACTTAAAGTCAGTCAACAGCTATTTACTGAGCATCTACAATGTTGTTTGGCTAAGTAGGTGCTGGAAGAATCCTGAAACATAATTAAACATAATACTTTCAAAGAACTAATCATCTTCTTGGAAATAGAACAAACACATGAACAATTAAGAAATGAATGTGCATGACAGGTGGCTCCAAACATGGTGGACTCTAGGGGAGGGCTTTACAAATCTATGTGATTCACAGAAGAATTTTCTTTTACATGATGGGCATGGAACGAGGCTTGTAACAATTGTCAAAAAACAGGAGAGTTGTTCCAAGCTGGAGATGGGAATGACAAAGAGGTGATAAGAAGACATGAAAGGAGGACAGAGGAGAAGTAGATAGAATGTTAGATCGATACAGAGTAGGACTTCTGTATGTTTTTTCTCTTCTTAACATTAAAATATTAAGACTTTATTTTTAAGAGTAGTTTGAGGCTCACAGCAAAACTGGATAGAAATTCTACTGTTTCCACTTACCCCCTGTCCTCACACACCCATGACTTCCCCCACTATTGACATGTCACACCACAGTGGCACAACATTTGTAAGTTTCTGTGCTCATCTTTCCTTGATATTGTTAGACTCTTTTTTTAAATTTATTTTTTACTTTTTAGACAGAGCCTTGCCCCGTTGCCCAGGCTAGGGTGCAGTGGTGTGATCTCAGCTCAATGCAACTTCTGCCTCCTGGGTTCAAGCGATTCTTCTGCTTCAGCCTCCTGAGTAGCTGGGATTACAGGTGCGTGACACAATGCCTGGCTAATTTTTGTATTTTTAGTAGAGCCAGGGTTTTGCCATGCTGGCCAGGCTGGTCTTGAACTCCTGACCTCAGGTGATCCACCCGCCTTGGGCTTCCAAAATGCTGGGATTATAGGCATGAGCCACCGCACCTGGCCCAGATAGACTCTTTTAAGACAAGATGCTAAACTGGAGTTTAGGTATTACCTGGCACAATCCCAGTTTCGAGATATGAGCCTCTGTTTTTGGAGGATATTTTCTGAAGAACTATTGTCCGAGATAACCAGTTTAGATTAGGAATCTAGGCTGAGAACCAAATTCCTAAAGCCCATTCTATTTTTCTGGTGCAGACCCATACATCTTGCCTCTTTCCCTTCTAGCAGCTCAACGTCTATAGGTTAGTGCTCTAAAAGAACTTCACAGGTGGCAGAACTGAAAAAAAAAGCCTTTTTTCCCTCTCATAAAAATACCTCTTTACTTTATGCCTTTCCATCATCTCATGTAGCTTTCCAAAAAATGAAACACGTACATAAAGACCAACTACACTCAAAATGCTGAGTGGGTCAGGGAGAGACTGGGATCTTGATCATTAACCAAGGCTCTGTGGAGGAATTAAGTTGTTTGACTTGTAGCTCCAGGCTTGGTGAATTAGGTAGTATTTCATTTCAATCCTTTGTAGGATTCAGGCTGCCAATATCTAGGCTTTGAAGTGGTTTCCCCCTCCTATGATGTAACTGGATTCCCTTTGCTCGGCCTGAAGAGGCGTTCTTATACTCCTTTTCCCCAAACTAGTCACCAGTGGTTTGCCAGGCTGTGAGTCTGATGTGACTTCTCCTCTGGTTTCCAGCAATTCTCCCCCAAAGTCTATATTTCCTGCCCTAGATAATTTAAGAAATGAAGATTGCAATACATTCTGCCTGTATGTGTGTGCTTGTGTGCATTTGGTCGGGGGTGGGTACTGGGCTGGTAGCAAGTGCTGCAAATTTCAACCCTCAGAATTTAACTCTTCCAACTCAACTGGGATTTAAGAGTGACTCTACTAACTCTATTTCTTTGTTTTGGGCCATCCACACCAGCACAGGCTTTACTGACTCTTCAATTTCCATTAGAGGAGCGTTGCCTTACCCATTTTTTGGTTGTTCATTGAAGAAAATGGGTATTTTATTGGAATCATAGAATGTCTTCACTCCAAAATCTTTCCAGAAGTTAACAGATTGATATTTCGTCGATCTACTCATTTTCCATGTCGTGAGAAATAGTTTGTATTGAGGCTTTTCTGAGAGATAGAGGCAGGCTCTCTATAAGTCACTTTCACTTTGAGTAAAGGCCCCGCCACCAGAAAGCTGTGTGTTGGGATGTATTTTGCCTCTTGCATAGATGTATTCACTGACTTTCACCATTGTAGTATGTCTCTAGCCAACACTGAGAGGCATGTAGGGGCAACTGTGTGAAACTTACTTTATTTACTGTAAGAAAGCTTTTGAAACATTGCCCTTCATCATACATTGTCTTTCTTAAACCAGGAAAATAACAAAAACAAACAAGTAAATAAAGATTCTATCATGTCTCAAATATGGTTTTTCTAAAGTGTGGTTTCTTAAGAGGAACAATTTCATAGCAGATATAAAATCTCATTGTATCAGTTCCTGCTGATTTAAAAGTTATAGTAGTTTGTACCTATGATTTTGATCTCAGATCAAACTGGCTTTTAAAATTTTATTTTTATTAATTAATTAATAATTTTTTTTTTTAGAGATAGGGTCTTGCTCTGTTGCCCAGGCTGGAGCATAGTGGTGCAGTCTCAGTTCACTGCAGCCTTGAACTCCTGGGCTTAAGAAATCCTCCTGCTTTGGCCTCCCAAAGCGCTGGGATTACAGGCATGAGAAACCACATCCAGCCTGATTTTGATCTTAATGTAAGCATGACATATTTTGTAACTTAAGCTCATGGTACCTTCTTTTGTCAAAAAGTCTTTGGCTGGTTCATAATTATGGCCTTAATTTACTGCATTTAACCTACAGATGCTCGTTTGTTTAGTGGCTTATAAAATGGTCTGGGGAAAGTAAACGGTATTTATTGGAAATGTTTTTGCAATTTGGAGGTTAAATCGTGTTTCTTCTATCAACTCAAATTATTCTGTCTAGGTCTCTTCACACTAGGTGGCAGAAGTGGCTCGTGGAGGAGTCTAATTTCTTGACACGTGATTTTGATTGCTCCTGGGGGGCAGGGGCACTGAGGGGAGAGGTAAGTCAGTTACTTATAATGGACACTGAGATGTCTTTCTCTGGTGAAGTGAGCAAATGTGTGGCTTGGGGGATTGTCTCTGATTCCGAACCTGTAGCCCCACCCATCTTTCTGTCTCTATTGTTGCATCCAAGAGACAGAGGTGAGGGCAGGGAGAGAGAAAGAGCACCTTCATTTTTCCTTATATTAAAGTAACCAGAATCACATTTAATAAACCACAAGAGAGATGAGAAGTTACAAGCTGTTATGCACCCTGAATTGACCTGCCTCTGATGAGCTACAGGAGACAGTCGTCTGTCGTGGCCCATGGGTCTCTTGATTGTGTTGATGGATACCAGGTTAGCAGTGTTCCTGCTTGGAATTCTGCTCACATGTTGCTTTTGGACCATTTCAGTTGTTTAGTCAGCACAGTGAGAGAGCATGAGAATTGGGTAGGGGGGTGCTGCAGCCTTCTTTGATACGGTCTTGTTTTGGGCAAGTTACTTAATCTTCCTAATAAAAAAGTTTCCTCATCTGTAAAATGGAGATGATAATAGTACTTTATAGTGTGTCTTTGAGAATTAAAGGAGATAATACATGTAAAGTGTTTAGCACATGGTAAGTAGATAATATATGTTTGTCATTGTTTTTTGATCAAGTCAAACTCTATAAATGAACTTTAGTTTCATAACTTATAAGATGATAGTTTTGAATAATAGATCTGTCATGTTGTTAGCCTTCAAAGTTTAAAAACCTGTGTACAATGTGTGCACTGTCTATGTCATTTCTATATCACTCATAGGGCCTCGCACCTGGATGTGCACACAATAGTTAATCATGCTATTAAGTGCTTATTGAATTCTGGATAAATAGAGAACATAAGGAACTATGCTTCTAACATGATTTATTTTACATATAAGAAGATAGTTAGAACAGAAGTAATATAGTCCGTTTGTTCCTTCTTGATCATTCATTTAATCATTATATTTAAAATAATGAACATTAATGCACCAAACCATTACTACACCCTAGGAACTGAGCAAAAGGCAGCAGGTATAGAAAGCAAAGGTAGAACAAGTTTCATGTCCTCAATGACCTGACTTCTGGGTAGGGAGACAGAGAAATGTAATATGGTGCCAAAAAACCTAAGTCTGCACAGATTCCACTGGAGCCAAGGGTGAATGAGCTTGTTGTATTAGCAATTGCAAGCTGTTTGATGTAGCTAGTGTGTAGGGTGCTTTGGGGGGTGTTCAGAGATGAGGCTGCTTACCAACATTTTCTAGGGTCTAAACTGTGCACGCACTGTTTGAAATGTAGATGTACCACATTTGAAATGTAGATGTACGTAAAGTTCAGCATTTTAAATTAATGAAAAAATATTGACTTTAACAATTGTTCTGAAACTTCTCTATGGTAGAAATGGTAACAACTATACTGCATTGTACAACTCATAGAACTTAGACATTATCTCATTTGATTAATCATAATAATAGTATATTTCATTTAATGAGCCTATATTATTTACTAGGTACTATGTTTGACACATAACATATGTTATCTCATTTATTCTTAATTAGAACCCTTTCTATCAGGAGCCCAAGTTTACCAATAAAGGGTGTAAGTTAGGAAGAACCAGCTTAAGCTCTGTGAGAGCAGAGATCATGTCTATTCATCTATCCCTCTATCTGGCATGCTGCCTGGCACCTAGTAGGAGTTTAAGTGATGTTTATTGACTGAGTAGATAATATGACTTTTTCAGGTAAAACTAGTAACTAATGGAGACAAATAGGAAGGTACTGGATTTTGACAATTTAGTTCGACATGATCATGGTTAGTGGAAGTCCACTTTTTTTGTGATGTAGGAGAGATTCAAACTCAGTTTATGTCCTTTTAGCCATAGATCCTTGCTGGAAAGAAATGCAATCTTGGTCATCAATTGCTTTTCATTTGTCAAGGATGTTGACTCTGGTGAGACAGTCCTTAACTGTGCAGGACAGGCTATCAGTAATTACGTTTTTGAGGAGTCAAAAGTTATTTGTGCATTTTTGACTGCATGGGGCGTTGGTGCACCTAACCCCTTGTGTTCAAGTGTCAAGTGTATTGTTTCTGAGAAACCTTTCTTTTCATTCTTAGTTTGATCCAATAGCCTCTAGTCAAAGGTGCTGTATTATTGTTTCAGCTTCTGGTCTTGGGGTCATTTTGGTTGAGGAAAGGTCACCAAATTTTGGGAATGACTTCATGACTGAAGAACATTTTTGAGACTTTTGAGTTTGCTCCCTTTCAAAACAATGTTTTTCTCTTTAATGAACTTAACTGAATAATTCAGCCAACAGTTTCTGATAGCTTACTCTGTGTTAGGTCCTATGATGGGTGCTGAGGATACAAAGATGGTAAGACACAGCTCTTGCTTTCAAGGATAAAAGGGGGAGACAAACTTGTAGACAGATTACTTTTGTATTCAGTGTGTTTGAGACCCTCATTGGGAGAACATGAAAGGCCTATGGATGCACAAAAGAAGCAGAAATGGAGGCCATTGTTGGCTTCCCAGCATCAGCAACTTGAGGCTAATGGGAGGTAAAGGTGGGGAAGAACTTGTAGGAGGGGCAAAACCATCTACTGGCTATGAATGGGTGAGAAGGCTCAAGTTGCACCAGCAGTAATCTGATACCTCTGCCTCATCATTTTGATGGGCCAACAGCTCCCCAGATTTTAGAACCAGATTAACACTGCACGTATTATTTTTGTCTCTTTCATATTCATCAGCTGAAAGAATGCAAGTCCTCATTGACTTGGATGGCTCTCAGGTGGAGAAGCTGAAGCTTACCCTTTCTTCTTCCATTCATGGTCCACTGATGTATGGCACCTCTAACGGTTGTCCTTGGTCTAGGCTCTGAGATGCTGATTTATCTTTGGCCATTAATCTTTTTTTTTTCTCTCTCTCTTTTGAGACAGAGTCTCACTTGCTCTATCGCTCAGGCTGGAGTGCAGTAGGGCAATCATAACTCACTGCAGCCTTGAACTCCTGGGCTCAAGCGATCCTCCCACCTTAGCCTCCTATGTAGTTGGGACTACAGGTGCACACCACCATGCCTGGCTAATTTTTAAACTTTATTTTAGGTAGAGACCGGGTCTCACTATGTTTCCCAGGCTGGTCTCCAACTTCTGGCCTCAAGTGATCCTCCCGTCTCGCCCTCCCAAAGCACTGGGATTACTGGCATGAGCTGCTGTGCCCAGCCTGGCTATAAATCTTCAATCTGTTGTATTACTAATTCTTCCTTTAATCTCCTTTTCCCCAGTTTTCTCCCTTTGTGTTTATTTTGTTCTCTCAGTGAGTACATAACTGAGATTATCTCTATTTATTCTAAGAATTTGGTAAAAACGTTAATGCAAACTTAAGTACAAAAACTGCTGGGCAGAACTGATTATCTACACCTGCTATCAGAGAGTGAGGGAATCCCTGGAGAAGCAGGGGTGCTATCACACAGTTAACAATCTGAGCAAGTCTCATCTCTTGAACCCCAAATTTAGTTTAGTTTACCAGACAGAATCCATGACTGCTCATCAACATAATAGACCAATGGTAAGTATGAGGATGCCAGATAACAATTTGTCTCATGATTAGAAGCTAAGGGCAGGTAGCAGCCATTCAGCAACCCTGAAATGACAAAGTTAGGGAATTGGGTTTTGAAAATGAGTCACCCAAACATTTTCTTTCCAAACATCTGCAGGTTGTTAGCCTGATTTATTTTGAATTAAAAAATCTTTTTGAGCTGGCTGACAGCTTATTTTAATTCCCAGCTGTTAAAATGTTTCAGCAATTGGAATTAGGGGCCGTGCCATTGCTTTTGATGTGGCGGGAGCCAGTTCAGCGCTCAGGTACACTTGGGGGACCTGCCCCTTCTCATCATGGCCCTCTATAGTTTTATTTCCTTCTGTTTAAGAGCTTGGTGCTTTGAGTTCTTTGTTTACGATCTATTTGCTTGGGTCTTATAGAACTGGTGGCCAAGGGAGTTTAGCTCATATTCCAGGATGTGGTGGCTTTTATCCAGCACACAGTGCTTTGTTGCTGTCTTAGATTCCTTCTGTGACAAGTTGGGGGATAAACAAATAAATAAATAAGTGTATATTTAATTAATATTGCCGCCTCCTTTCCCAAAATATGCTGAAGTAAACTTTCTACCCAAAGCAGTGGTTCTTATAAATGTTTTCAAGATTTTTATGCAGATTGTTGTCTTGGTAAAGGCTCATTTTCCCTGGTTTTGAACGAATGCCTCTCTTTTTTGTTGTGATTTTGGATAGGGGATCTGGGGACCTAGTCTCCTCTATCCTGATGCCACTTACCACAAACAGCTGACACCGCTACCAGCATCTATCATGACCACCACCAAGGAGCTGGTCCTGGCCACCCCTGACTCCTGTGGAATGCTGTCTGATCATTACTATTCCTTTTAATGCCTGATTTCCCCAAGGAATTATCTACACTAGCTGCTTTCCCTCTTCAGCTTCTCTTTATGCCTCAGTTTTTTCATTCTGTTTGTGGCTCATTCTATGCTTCTGTTGACACTGGGCTCTCAAAGGTCATTCATGGCTTTTTTTTCTTTCTTTCTTTTTTTTTTTTTCCCGAACATGTTTTTTAGAGCATGCTTTCAATTAGAAAAGTAGTATGGCTTATAATATAACATTTAGAAAACACAGACAAATGTAAAGAAAAAACATTCATGATCCTGTTTTCTAAAAATAATTATTTATAACATCTAGTTTACCTCCACTTGGACATTTTATTTGCATATGGGCATATATTCAAAAAATTGAGCTCCATGAGATTTGTAGTATTCATTCTTTTTCAATATCATGAGCACTCAGACCACTGGAAAATCCTCATGAACCATGCTTTAAGCATTCATGGCTTTTTAATTGGATCTCAGTCTTTTTGTTACTTGATTTCTTTGCTTATTTCATGACCTCCATGTATCTGCATTAAGGGAAATTATAAAACCAAAGCCTAGAATGACATAATGGGACATTCAATATTAGAGTAAAGATTTATGACTTTATTCAGTGGGCACCAAGAAATCCAATCCTGTTTTTTAAGCTGTAAAATGAAGCATCAGATTAATACAAAGATGAAAAAATGAATAGAAGAGACCATTATGAAGATGGTCACAATAGTCTAGGTGGAGATAGGTATTGAAAGTATTAATTAGAATAATAATACAGAGAATCTAATGTAAAGCAAAGTTTGGAGAAGCATTGAAAGAGTCAAATAGATAAGATCAGGGGAATGATAAAATATGTAGAGGGAAAGTGGAAGGAGAGAGATGCCTTTCTCTAATTATGTTCTTCAGTTTTGACTTTCATGTTTCTATTCCTGTTCTCTCTTTTTGTAGTATCCTTTTTTGGTCATCTCTTTTCATTGAAATCTACACTTTATTTTAAGTTCCGGGGTATACACGTGCGGGATGTGCAGGTTTTTTACGAAGGTAAATGTGTGTCATAGTGGTTTGCTGCACCTATCAACCCATCATCTAGGTATTCAGCCCAGCATGCATTAGCTATTTCCCTGATGCTCTCCCACCCTGCGCACTCCCCGCCCTAGCAGGCCCCAGTGTGTGTTGTTCCCCTCCCTGTGTCCATGTGTTTACATATGAAATGTATACTTTTTATCAGGATTCTTCCTCTTCATGAAATTTTTCTTGATTACCTCAGGCAGATATTATACCTCCAATTTCTTAGAATTCTGTCATACTTTCTATATCTCAAATTTTATCTCATTATTTTAGGGCAATGATCTCCTCAGCCGTAGTTAGGTAGACAGCTTGTGGTTTAGGCTTTAGATGAAGGTGTAGGAATAAGAAAAACGCAAAGAGGCAATTGAAAAGTATAAGATTACATGATCTAATGACCAAGATGAAATTACAAACTCCATTTCATGTGCGGTCTGAATTAAAAATACTTTAACTTGTGACAACATTTTCAAGTTAGCTCCTTGGGAGCTTTGTTAGGATAAAATGAGTAGGAGGAACTTACCCTTTGGTAAGAAAATACATCATAGTTTCCATGTCTCTCAAGGAACTGGAAGAGAGTGCTCATTCTTTTTTCTGGAAATTTAAGAAAATTATTTTATATTAAACAATTATCCTCTCTCCCTCCCTCCCTCCCTCCCTCCTCCCTCCCTTCCTTCCTTCCTCCCTCCCTCCCTCTCTCTCTCCTTTCTCTCTTTCCCTCTCTTTCTCTTTCTTTTTTTTTTCTTTCTTTTTTTTTTTTTTGTAGGATCTCCCTCTATCGCCCAGGCTGGAGTGCAGTGGTGTGGTCTCAGCTCATTGCAACCTCCGCATTCCAGGTTCAAGCAATTCTTCTGCCTCAGCCTCCTGAGTGGCTGGGATTAGAGGTGTTAGCCACCATGCCTGGCTAATTGTTTTTTTGTATTTTTAGTAGAGACAGGGTTTTGCCATTTGTCCAGGCTTGTCTTGAACTCCTGGCCTCAAGTGATCCACCCGCCTTGGCCTTCCAAAGTGCTAGGATTACAGGCATGAGTCACCATGCCCAGCCTACTATTATTTCTTGACAATCTTTCCTGAAGAATTTATCTTTATGTGACTGAATGTGAGTTAATTTGTTTTCTAGAAAGATGCATTAATACAAAACAATATTGGTTTTCCACTAGGCTTTTCTTTCTCTAAAGACCTTCAAGTCTTAAGAGAAATATGACATTGAGTGTGAAAGCAATATATTAGAGAAAATAAATATTCCCTGCCTCCAGCCTTCCATTTTAAATTTGGCTAAACTTTGGGAATCATTTTAGAAGAGTAGGGTAATATTTTGAGTGAGACTCTCTCAGATGCAGTTTAGTTGGGAATGAGTCATATGGGTGCTTTCTTAATGATACGTTATGACACATCACATGAAGATGACTGAATTTTCCTTTTCCTCTTTCTTTCCATTAGCACATTATCTACTTTGCCTCTTTTTCAATGATGAGTATCCAGCTTTGTCTTTTCACTTCCTTTCACATTTCAAGTCTGGTTTCACATTCAGAATTTATTAAAAATGACTTTGAGAAATGCTAATTTCACAACCATCTTCAAAGATTCTGTTCAGAGTTCTAGGATGGAGTTTAAGACATTGCATTTTCAGTGTCTACCACCATCACTCTCTGTCCCTAGAGGATTTAGGTACAGTTGGACTGTGGATTACGCTTTGAAAAATTCTGGACTAAAGGAGCTGATTGAACTTTATCTCTTATTACAGCATCTCTCTCCAATTGCCTTGGCCCATTAGTGAGCAACTACTAGATTTAAATTTGTATGTTTCTTCCAACGCATCTCTTTTGAAGGTTTATTATAGTGTTATGTACCCATTCAGAGCTTAGTACCTATAAATGGAGAGGATTCTCTGAAGATAACCTCCCTTTATCACTTCTAACCTCTTATTCTTGGGTTGTGACCATTTTGCTTACTCAGGGATTCCTAAATAGCCTTTTCAAAAAGTGCTCTAATGAGTAAATTAAAGTAAAAAGCATTTTTAATGATATTCATGTATCTGATAACGATTTGGACTTAACAATGCTGAAATTCTATAACTCAATGAAATGCACTTTTATAATGTTATACATCTATATTTAAATTACCTATTAAGATTTAAATCACAGCAAAACTTTCTTCTCTCAGATAATGCACTGTGGAAGTTATGAATTTACCTCTCATTTCTTTCCAGTAATTCTTTCTCCCATTTTGTGTGAGATATTTGTCTTTATAATTTGACATATTATTTTGGTGTTGCTTAAATATTGCAACTATTATGGGTAACTGAGCTGGCTATTGACATTGTTTGCCACTTATTATAAACAAGAAAATAATGAAGACAAGTCAAAAATGTCAGAACCTGTTAATGATGGGATCGCAGTTATGGTTGGATATACATCAAGGATGGGAGTAGCTAGCTGCTATTTATTATGACATTGTACCAAGTGTGTTAACTTTTGTTATTTCATTTTTTCTCATTTTATTCTTATTGACTCATGTAAGTATAATCATTCTAATGTTACAGAGGAGAAAACAGAATCTCAGAGAGTAACCTGCCTTAACCACAACAATGTAAGTAATAGAAGCAGAGCATGAATCCTGGCTTGCTTGACTCCAGAGTCTCAGCTTTCCCCACTACACTGTGCTGTTATGATGCTTAATTCATTTATTGTATGCCAACTTAATAAAAATAGATTTTATTCAGTGGAAACTCTCTGAATCATACTATATTGGTGGATGCATGTCATTATACATTTGTCCAAACCTGTAGAATAGAAAACACCCAGAATGAACCCTAATGCAAACTATGGACCTCAAGTGACAATGATGTGTCTATGTAGGTTCATCAATTGTAACAAATATTCCATTCTGTCCAGGGGTGTGGATAATGGAGGAGACTATACATGTGTGGGAGCAGGAGCTATATGGGACCTTTCTGTACCTTCCTCCTAATTGTGTTGCAACTCTAAAATGGATCTTAAAATATATATATGTATTTCTTTTTCTTTTTATTTCTTTTTTTTTTTTTTTTTTTTTTTTGAGATAGGGTCTCACTCTGTTGCCCAGGCTGGAGTGCAGTAGCACAAAATGCAGCAGCAGGATTCTCTTGCCCCAGCCTCCTAAGTAGCTGGGACTATAGGTATGCACCACCACGCCTGACTAATTTAAAAATTTTTTTGTAGAGACAAGATCTCACTATGTTGCCCAGGCTGGTCTCAAACTCCTAGGTAAAGTGATCCTCCAGCCTCTGCCTCCCAAAATGTTAAAATTACAGGCATAAGCCACTGCCCCTGGCCTAAATATATATATATATATATATAATTATTATTTTTTGAGACAGAGTCTTGCTGTGTCACCCAGGCTGGTGTGTAGTGGCACAATCTTGGCTCACTGCACCTTCTGCCTCCTGAGTTCAAGTGATTCTTATGCCTCAGGCTCCTGAGTAGCTGGGATTATACACATGTGCCACCATGTCCAACTGATTTTTTAGTAGAGACAGGGTTTCACCATTTTGGTCAGGCTGGTCTTGAACTCCTGACTTCAAGCGATCTGACCACCTCAGCCCCCCAAAGTGCCAGGATTACAGGTGTGAGCAACAATGACTGGCCAAAAATAATTTTTTTTAAAAAAGATTTTGTTCTGATTCTGATGGGGAATGGACTCTTTTCTAAAGTTACCAGCAGTTCTTTAACTGGTTAGCGCTACGTTAGGCATAGCTCGTAGTTTTTAGGGTGGCAGGTATGTAAAAAAAGAGGAGAGATGGACAAAACCAAGACAGCAGAAGTAGCTATTTGAGGGATTTCGGAACCCTTGACTGACAGTCACTTCCTGGGACAGTCCTGATTTTGCTGCTCTTTCCCCACCTCTTTCTTTTCAAGGCTTACTCCCTACACACTTACCCTAGCTCTAACCCTTCCTGCTGAGGGGCACCCCATTCACAAGGCAGCGGATACCAGATGTGAGGAATGGAAAGAAAAACGTTGTTACTTGATTGTTCTTATGAGTTATACACTCAGGCTCTTGGTTGGAGGGCTCTGATGTGAAAGCTTGGCTTCAAATCCACTGAAAAACTAGCATGATTGAAGTGGTGAACTGGAGATAGGGTGGGGGTGGCCTACCACGAGGACTAATTTGTTCTTTAAGTTTATCTAATGGTTTGTAAGGGTGGAAATATCTCTGGGGAAGTGTGATGGATTCTCCTAGGAAACTGACTTCACCAAATAATTCTTTTGAAACTGTTTTCAGAAAGGAGACAAGTGGCATGAATCTATTTACAAAGAGAATCACCTCTGTGTCTGTGACCCGAGAGCCATTCCCGTAGTGATACAACTTGGACATTTGTTCAGGAGGCAAGCGCTCACGCTGAGTGATTTTCAAAGCTGTTCGAGGGCATTTATCAGGCTTTTAACTCTAGGTACTCTTTCCCACGGTGTGAAGGCCAAGAGAAGGGATCCTGGGCTCTCTTCCCCGGCCCCAGGATGGGAATTCAGGGGGAAAAGGTCATCTACTCTTATCCCACAAAAGAAAACTTATTCATCAGTTGTCAAGCTAAGGAGCTTCGGAGTCCACAAATAGGGAAATTGCTAAGAGCTTATCAGTAGTGTTCACCCCCCAACCCAACCTGGGGCCACATGGAGAATGATGTTGGGGGCACCAATCTTGTCCTACTTCAGGTGAAAAGCAGGGGTGGGGGGTTCATTCTGAAGGGCTCCTTTGTTAAAATTCCTTCCAATTCCAGGAAAAACATGCACTCCAAAGCCATTATCTCTTTTACTTCTTACTAGGGGACTTCCAGGAAAGAGACAGAGGGAGCGAGAGAAAAAAAGAGGAGGGCAGAACAGCTGCAGTGAATTTAGTCGCCTCTCCAGTTGCTTTCCTTGTTGCAGAATATTTCACATCCCAGGATTTTCCTTCTTGTCCTCTGGACTGTTGATACACCCAAGATCTTAATATCCTTTCGATCACAGGTTAAAGACATGGGGTGGGGCCGGGGGTTGAGGGAGCAGAAAATTGTATTTTAAAGTTTTGTTCTATTTGTTTTATCAGCAATTAAAACTTTTTGTGGTCCCTACCCTGGGCCATGAGGCCACCCTGCTGTGAATTCAATCCAGCCTGACCAGCTAGGACAATGATCATATGAATTAATGGATCTTGATAGACCTCAGTTCCCCTCTTCTCGCCTCACTGAGCACAGCCCAGGCTTCAGTGGCTGCACGTGTGAGCATCCACTCCCACACTCTACCCAAATCACATGCTGAATTCATTGCACATGTGAGCCGTGCTGCACCTGTGGTCTGGAGATACCAGAGTAAATGTAGCTGTGCACCTCCTCTGGGTGTCAGAGGACCTGAGGTTGCTCCTCTGCCTCAATGAGGGGATCTTCCTTCTTCCCTCACATCTCTCCTCCTCTTTGAAGTCGGTAGCATGATTTGGACCCAGCCTCTTGGGAGAGGTGAAATACTCTTTCACTTTGGAACAGCTGAGGTTTGCTCATGGAATCGGAGGTGCTGAAGTCACAAGATCGTGGTGTGGGTGACGCTGGCGTTTCTTAGTAATGAGCCTTGCTGACACATCCCAGGAGAGGAAGTTAGGTTAGGGCAAGGCAAGTGAATGAAATTGATTAAAGGCTGCAACAGATTAAAAAAATTAATGTACTTCATTTAGGGTTATGATGTCTTCTTTCCTGGGTTAATCCATAGGCAATGTGGGATTAGGGCTCCTTAACCTACACCTGGAAGATTTCACGTCAGAGGAAGGTAAGATAGGGGAATCTGTAGGGGCTGGTCTGTGAGCCAGCATTGAGAGTTTAAATTGAGCCCCATAAGGAAAGCCTTCCTTATCTCCCATAACTAGGAATTACGATGGTGTCTGAGGAGGGGAGGCCTCTGGATGCAGGGTTTACTGTAAAACTGAAGGACAGCAAGGCTGATGCTCACAAGTGAGGGTGGAACAGGTATGGTAAAAGTGCTTTGCATTCAGCAGTCACTCAACAATGACTGAATTAAAGCTATTTTGTGATAAACTTTGTTTGATAGGCTACTGCCCCAGAATGTTTGCAAATATGCTCATTTTTGAGGTTCACAGCTGTCCTCTCCTTCCTGAGGTTCTACTGAGGCATCATTTACCTCCTGGTAGATGTGAGATGTGGTGATCACTATAGGGTAGGCAGCTTGGAAGCAAGGATTGGTGAGCAGTCTTTTGTTCTGAGTTACTACTGCAATGTAGGCCAAATTCCTCTAATTTTTTTTAAAAGACAGAGTGTAGATATTGATATTCTCATTTCCTTTGGAGCTAGAGTAACCCAGAGTAATAAAACCCCTTGGGCAAGCAAAGCAAACACAACTCAAGACAAACCACTTGCACGAGAGGCTTCAAATGGTGATTTAGATTTAGAAAGTTAAGTGATGGGATCTTGAAGACCACATATTCCTTGGGAAAGGCACATGATCTGGCCAGCCTGAAATGCATCATCAGCCCCTTTGAGGAGGTCAGTGACCCATGTTAATGTAAGGTATAAAATTCCAGGTTGTGGAATTCGGTGGTGCAACTCATGAGGGTTCCTACATTATAGCAATCTTTAAATGGTTTGATAAAGTTGAGAGAGAGAAACAAAACTGAAGATTCTTTTTTCTCTCTGAGTAATGAGACTCTTGGATGAAAGGCTTTTTCTATATATGGTTTTTAATCTTCATTTTCCACTTTCTGGTACCCAGATCGGCGCAGGGGAGATCTTTAACTTGGATAGCAGTTTGTATTTCTAATTCAGCCCCAGATTAGTCTCCTATTGTGTATATGAGATGTTGAACACAAAAGAAAACTGCCTGAGAGTGTGAGTTGTGGAGGTGGCTGGGCCAGATGCTTGCCTGAGTGATGAGCTGCAGATATCGGCTCAAGTGGAATACTAAAAAGGGCTGGTACATGACTCCAACATCATTGAATTTCCTTTTTCTCCTGCCAGTGGACATGACAACTGAGGATAAGGTGGCTGGGAGACCATGAGGGCAAATGTGACACAAGGCAGGAGTCTTGCCCGAGCTTGTCAGCTGGTTCTTATTTCCTCATGCTGCAGGAGCCTTCTCTGGTAGGGCAGAAAGACAATGAGATCTCCATGCGATTTTATGGATCAGTTTTCACTTTTCCAGATGCAAAGAGAGGAGCCATAATTACCTTGCATATGTTTTGATAGCATCCCTTGGGCAAGTGGAAGGGGTAACTCACAACAGATAAACTCTGCTTTTGCTCCAGAAATGTCTCCTGCATCTGCAACAGGGGGGTGTTGAGTGATGCTATAGGCAGCTGGAAGGGCTCATTTATTTGACCTAATTATTCCCAGTGTAGACCTGACTCATCATAATGGGCTCTTCTTCAAAGGAAATGAGAGCCAGATTGTCTCCTTGGCAGCAATGGAAAACAAATGCTATCCACAGAATGGCTGTTAGATTAAAAAAAGGTGCAACTTGCCTTTGGGGCCAGCTGATGTTTAATGATGTTACCAAGAATAGAGGACTGGAAAGAGAGTAGTGTCAACTTCTGACATTGTAGCTTTCTAAAAATGTTCTTAATAAAATTAACTTACCATTGGATGCCATGAACAAAAGTAACCACATACTCAGAATCCAAGGAAAAATGGAAGCCTTGGGGTGTTTTTATTAATAATCGATGAAATCTCTATGGGTACAATGGAGGACTTTTCACATAGAGACCTTATTATTTCTTAATCCTCTTGGATGCTCTATTGAAGGATTAAAATGATCTTTTTTTCCTAAGGGATGGAGAAATGGAGAAAGAGAGTTGAAATAACTCTCCTATTACCATCAAGCAAATCAAACACAGAATGGGACCAGCATGCCACATTCCCTCTGTGAAGCCTTGGAGTGCAACTGCATTAGCTCAATGGTGCATTTCACAACGTCACAACTTCATCTCAGATCATCACAAATTGTCCATATTGAAACCTGGGTGCAATGAGAATAATCACTTAAATTTTCTCTGGTCCCACTTTTCTGCTTTACAGTGGTAGTTGAGAATGTCATACCCCTAAGGACATGGGGAAGATGTGTCCTTGACTGATTGATCCCTGTGACACAGTCTGACACTTTGCTTTTGTTCAGCAATTCTCAAAGCACTGGATTGCAATGATGCCCTGTTGACAGCACTGTTCAAAAGTCGACCTGTTGTTGCTGGAACCTCCAAGAATACAGTGTTTGATCTCAGCCAGGATCCTGTCTTGGAAGAGGAGAGGGAATCCCAAAAACTACTTGTGAAGAAGATCCCATTGTTCAATCAAATCCTCGTCACTGTAGCAATCCATGCATGCCATTGCAGTTGGCATTCTGACACGTGTACACAGTGTTTTCATCTCTTCCCTGGAGTTGCAGCCAAAGCCTGAGATTCCTTTCGACACGACCCTGAAAAAACTCTGGGTTTGTGCTCCCCTCTGCTCTGCAATAACATACCAGCTCTGTGATGTGGCCAATGTTTACCTAGTTGGTGGGAGGACTTTTTAATATCAAAAGGAAAACATTTCTTCTGCATTCCACATAGGTAAGATGTGGTTTGCTGTTGTGCAGGGATAAGGATTTGGGGTGGGGAAGGGATGAAGAAAAGAAAAACAATCCCCCCACCCATGTTTTTTTTTGAAATTTTCAGGGCTAAAGTGATGGGTCAGAGTAGGTGAGCAAAAAAAAAAAAAAAATCATCAAGCAATGCGGGAAGATGAAAGATGAACAGACTTTGTTTTAAAGAGTCACAGTCATGACTGAGCATATGTTTCCTTTGCATTCAGTTCCAAAAATAGATGATTAGTAGTGAGAAGCAACTGGTTTCTGATACTTATCAGAGGTCAGTTAATATCATTTCCAACTGTTGGGGTTAGATATAGGGTAGGCTGTATATCTAATGGAAAGAGATTATAAAACTTCATGGTACCTTGGATTATATTTCACAAAGCTGTTTCTGGCCAGACAAAGCAGTTAGCTAAGTAAGAGGAATTTGCCCAAGGATAAAAGGGGCTGGTAAGTTGTAGTGATCTTTTTAGATACTCTCTGTTTTAAATAGTATGAATACACTGGCAGTTTATCAGTTATCATGGAACAGTGGGGGCCAGGGAGTGAGGGATGAGCAGGAGGGGACACACTGAAGACCAATTGGGTGAAGAAGCGGGTCCAGCTGGGTATAGAAATCAGTGCTCTATTTTCTCCATAGACCCCACAAATGGTAGCTTGCAGGCTAGAGATTCTCTGAACCTCTAATGTTACCTAGAAACCTGAAGAGGCTGAGGGTGCCCTGTTCTTAGGGAAAGAACAACCTTGCTTTAAGTTATGTTGTTAAATGTTTTGTCAGTTTGATTTAGTTTGTTAATTTCTCCAAAGCAGAATCTGCCAAGGACATTCCCAAAGATCTACTTACTTATTAGAGAAACCAAGAGAGTCCCAGCAGCACAGAGGGATCGAGAAGACTGAGAACAGAACTGGAGGTGAGAATATGGCCACAGGAGACCCCAGGACTTAACAAATGCACTGGTTTGACTTATTTTCTGGATATTTTCTGGATGTATATACTGCCTTTACTTCTCTTTAAAATAGGGGCAGTGCTAGAGGTATTGACGTTTCTTGAAATGTTCACAAGTCCTTGACACAGACTTCAGGGACTTGCAGTGATCTATGTAGACTGGATATGCTTCAAGTGGAAGGTTGTTGACTTTATTTTGGTCCCTAGGGTTAACATCCCACCTTATGGATTATTCAAGTTAAACTCTCAACAGCTGTTAGGGCTTTGTACTTCCACAGAGCTCAATCTTTCAGTTGACTGCTCATTGCTGAGCCCTGTACCATGCACTCTGGGAGTAATATAGGAAGTCTCTTCCTTAGGCATTGATTTGCAAAGGCTGAGTAGGTGAGAGTATGAAGGCGTGTAGGGGTATGGGCTAACTTTTTTTTTTTGATTGGGATCTCACTCTGCTCTCCACGCTGGGGTGCAATGGTGTGATCATAGCTCATGATAACTTCATACTTGAGCTCAAGTGATCCTTCAACCTCAGGCTCCCCAGTAACTAGGACCACAGGTGCATGTCACTACACCAGGACAATTTTTAATTTTTTGTAGAGACAGGGTCTCGCTATGTTACCCAGGCTGGTCTCAAACTCCTGGCCTCAAGCAATCCTCTGGCCTTGGCCTCCCAAAGTGGTGGGATTACAGACATGAGCCATCATGTCCAGTCTGATTTCTTCCTTTCTAATGTAGCTTTTCTTCTGAGGTTGAGGGAAACAATATAGTGCAGTTATTAGTATATTCTATAAATACTTATTGGGCATCTATCCTGTGACAGTCTGAGATTCAAAGGTTAATTAAGAGACAGAGAAGTCGTCAAATAATTTATGCTTGATTTACATTTCTCTCCTCTCACTAGACTCAGCTTCTCTAGCATAGCATTATTCTTCTTTACTTCCCAATCCCTGGCATCTAGCATAAACCCTGGCCTATAATTGGTACTCAACGAGTATTGAAATGATGTACAACAAGAAGTTTGCATTGATATTTTTCTTTCCTTTTCTCTAACAACTTTGCTTACACATAACAACTGACCATTTTCCTTCTATCAAAATAGAACATTTCCCTCTCTGGGCTGCTTATTTACCATTGTGTCTCTTACAGTTACTATGAGGAGGAATAAACCTTTCCCTTATTGGCAAGACTGCCTTGCTATTAGTACATATTATATCCCATAGAGGCAGAAACTTTTTATTCTTTTGTTCACCACTGTATCCTCAGCATCAAGAATATACAGGGCTTTTAATAATTATTTGTTGAATGAATACATAAAATTGAAATCAGGACAAAGGTTCTAACTATATGAGGCAGGTTAGGTTAAGCTTTGCTGCAGTAACAAACAAATCTGAAAATCTCAGCACCTGAGCATACGTAGGTTTATTTCTCTTTTGCACGAAGTTGGCTCTGGGTCCTGCAGCTTTCCAGGTCAGCTTCTTTCCCAGTGGCAACTTAAGGATCTAGTCTGATTGCGTCCTGTATATACCCAATCTAGAACATGCAGCTTTTGAGTTGCTGTATTATGCGAAGAGAGGGTACAAAGGTTGCATACAGACTCATAAGTGCTTTGACTTGGAAATGATCTGTGTTTCTTCAGTTCAGACTTTCGGTCATCAAATATAGGTAAGCCTATGAGTATTTGGTGAGCATGCCACACTAAGTATGTTATTCAGTGCTTGCTAAATGGTGCTGTAATTCCATGAAAAAGTAACTTGGTGTTCCCTGCTCACTCTTGCCACTTCAGTGCAGACTGGTCAATTTCCAATTGCCGTTTTCCTGAAGTCCATCTTGATAAGCCAGAGATTGCTTTGGCTCCAACATAAGAGGCTCTCAGTAGCAGGGAACTATGCTATGTTATGCTGGGGTTCAAATTTTAATAAGACATATAGCATCCACGGAGGAGTTTAAGCTGTTTAAATTTCTGGCTCCCAACTGGACTAAGCTTGTCAAAGGCAGCATTGACTCAACCAATGACTCAGGGAGTTGGTATATAAATACCTCAGATCCCTCACTGCTCTGGTGAGATGGCCCTGAGATGCATTTTCTACACTGGCTCCCAGAGATGTCATTTGGATTAAATTCCAATTATCCACAGTGGCAACTACCTTTATTGCTATCTCCCCTTCCCTGTCTCATTTTCCCATTTCCTGACTCCCCCAACAGTGTTTCTTGGGGTTCTCTCTAAAATTAACTATTTGCACTTGAATCCATGTCTTTGGGTCTGTGTATGGGGGAAACAACAAACTGAAAGAGAAGGTTAGAAGGTTATCTAGATAGTTATCGGTGTGTGTGTGTGTGTGTGTGTGTGTGTGTGAGAGAGAGAGAGAGAGAGAGGCAAAAAAACTTCATACAGATTAGGGAGGGGACCCTAGGGAGGCCTCTTCCTTCACTATCTGCACTTGGAGAACTGCTTAGGTAGCTGGAATGAAGGAAGTGAAAGAATACAAGCGAGGGGAAAGGAGAATCCCTGAGATGCCAGAAAGATTTTCTCCTATGCTATGCATTTAAGCACATAAAGTCTGGATCCTACTGTGAAAGTATTGGCTACCTGAAGTCTTGGGGAGAGGGATTCCCAAAGGTGTTCTAAAGCAAGCACTTCCTGGGCAGCCAACATGATACCTGTGGTAATTGGAGCCCTGTATTTATAAGCACTTCTTATTGGGATTCCAGAAGTGTAATTGGACAGGTTGACAAGTAGCTGTGGCTGCTTGTAACTGCAACACAGGGCTCAGAGTCCAGGCTGGGTGCAGTACTGAAGGAGTAAAGCATGTCGTTTGTGGTTCTCCACCTCTCCTTTTAGTGCCCTCTGCTCCTTTTTGGCGATCTGCTATACCCCAAGGGTCATATAATGGTAAAGAGACCTTATAATTTATCATCTAAACAAGGGCACTTAAAAAATTACCTTCCCAATATTCCAATGAGAAAACCAAGAAGTCATACAAGTGCTCCAAAGGCCAGTAAGTGGTGGCACCAGGATTTAAAGTAAGATTTGGGTGATTTCTTACTGCACCACCCATGTTCCGCGTTGACTCTGACAAAGGGCTTCCTGGCAGGGAGAATGGGGCTGGGGCTTGGGAGTCAGGAGATGCAGGATGATCCCAGGTTTGCTATTCACTCATACGAAAACCTTGGCAAGTCCTTTCTTTTCTCTGCTTGTTTTCTTATGTTTTGAGAGTTCTTTATATGTCCTAGATAACATGTTGCTTATCAGATACATGTTTTGTAAATATTTTCTCTTAGTCTGTGGCTTCACTTTTCATTCTTTAGCAAGCCTTTCACAGAGCAAAATCTTAAAGTTTTGGTGAAATCTGATTTATTAATTTGTTCTTTTATGGCTAATTGAAAGGTTTTCTCCCAGAAGCTTTATGGTTTTAGGTTTACCCTGAAGTCTACCATCCATTTTGAATAAAGTTTTGCATACAGTTTGGTGCCATAAATCAAAGTTAATTTTTTTACATATGAATATTCAATGGTTCCAGCATTATTTTTTTTTTAAGAGACAGGGTCTTGCTCTGTCACCCACGGTGGAGTGCAGTAGCATGGGCATGATCATAGTTCACTGCAACCTTGAAATCCCAGGCTCAAGCAATCCTCCTGCCTGAGCCTCCCAAATAGCTAGGA
Organism: Homo sapiens; assembly: GCF_000001405.40. Classification (NCBI taxonomy): domain Eukaryota; kingdom Metazoa; phylum Chordata; class Mammalia; order Primates; family Hominidae; genus Homo; species Homo sapiens. Next base: position 219,786,655 of record NC_000001.11, on the reverse strand, counting down.
CTACATGTGGGTGCCACCATGCCCAACTAATTAAGAATATATATATATTTTTTTAGAGGGGAGGTCTTGCTGTGTTGCCTAGGCTGGTTTTGAACTCCTGGCATCAAGTGATCCTCCCACCTTGGCATCCCAAAGCACTGGGATTACAGGTGTGAGCCACAGCACCTAGTCCCAGCACCATTTGTTGAAAAGATTATTATTTCTCTACTAGATGGCTTTTACACTTTTGTCAAAAGTCAATTGTCCACATATGCATGGGTCTGCTTCTGCACTTTCCATTCTGTTCCATTGATTATTTTGGTTTGTTTCGTTTCCATCAATACTACACTGTGCTGATTACTATGTTTATAATAAATCTGAACCAAGATAGTTTCAGTCTTCCAATTTTGTTCCTTTTCAAAGTTGCTTCAGGTCTTCTTGGTTCTTCACATAGTCATGAATTTTAGAGTCAGTTTGATAGTTTCTACAGAAAAACCTGCTGGGATTTTGACTGACATTTTGTTGATTCTACAGATTAATTTGGAGAGAGTTGCCATCTTGACACTATTGAGTCTTCTGACCTGTGAACATGCAAACTGGGACACATTTGAGAATGAAAGGGGACACTATGAGTAAGCCAGGGCAGTTCTGGGCAGATTGGGAATTATGGTCATCCTACCTGGTGCCCTCTTGTCACTGCATGTGATGATATCTTGCTGGTGGCATGGTTCCCACAACTCTCATTTACTCCTGTCCACCTGAAAATTTATTATGTTTCCAGTGGTTTTAAGTATATTCCTGGCACAAATATATCAATAAATAAAACCTTAAAATCACAGTATCCCATTGGACATTTTTCTTGGATGACAAGAGTGACAATGGATTAGCCTGATAAATCAATCCCTAGTCAGAATTACGTAGCCTATGTCTTATTCTATTACTCATTCTTTTGACTTTCCAATGTGTCCAACACATATACATAGAGCACTCGTGTAATGGGTATGATGCTTGGTAGTATTCTTTAACTTTTAAAAACAAACTCTGAAGGCAGGTTAGAGGGAAGGTGCTTCAGACTGTCTTTAAACATTCATCTCTGCAAATTAGATAACAGATGTGAAATGCCCAGTACTGTTTCTGATTCATGCTAACCCCCCTATAAATTCCCCTCCCTGGGAGCACATCAGAGTCCTGGACAGTCCCTGCAGCCAGCCGGGAAGGTCCTTCCTGGGGAGGGAGAGAAGGATGTGAACCCTGATCTTCCTATATTTGGGGTGGATCAAAAGCAAAGCTCATGTAAAGTTGGCAAAAGAAAACTCAAACTATTGTGGCAAAAAATATCGTGACAAAAAATCTGGATGAGTTCTTCTTAGTGTCCCTGCCAGCAATCTTGCAAGATACTTGGGGACATGACCTTCATCGCTCTTTGCTGTCATACATCAAGGGTCAGGGTTTGGGTGGAGCAAGGAAGGAGGTGGTCACTTTGAAGCCCTTGCCATTCTTGTGGGCAGGAAGTGAAGTATTAAGGGTGTTATCCAAACATTCTCTCTCTGCTGAGTTTTGAATCACCATGACTTCCTGTGCATCTCTTTTGTACTATGTTCCTTTCCTGGGACGCTCTGAATCCATTCAGGTGGTCAAGATGATAAGCTCAGCTGGTTAAGCTATGGGGCTAAGGAAATCAGGCTCACAGGTTCAGTCTCTATATGAGCCAGTTAACTCGGCACACAAAGCAATCTGTCCAAGTCCTCAGATTGCCTCACTAACTCCCACCAGCTGGCTTGAAAACACGTGCTGTGTAGGGCCTGGAAGACGGATGGCTAAATCATAGGCCCATTCCCAGTCCTGGCAAACTCCCCATAAAGGAGGCCCTCCAGACATTAGAAACCGCTCATTAGATTCTGGAACTGTTCATTAATCTGGCAGCACTTCATTTTAAGGCCTGGTGTTTATCTTGAAGTAATTTATGAGCGACAGAGGATTTTGTATTGTTGTAAAAATTGGTTGTTGATAGTGTACCAGCCTACTTGATAAATGACTCCTTGCTTCAGTCTGCTGGAATGCAGAGTCCACTCAATGGGACTTGAGGAGGGAGACCGTGGGCCAGCCAGTGGGGGCTTCGGAAGTTTAGTTCTTCATTTAGAAACTTCTACTGAGTGCCTTCCATGGGCCAGTCACAGTTTAGATGCTAGGAATTTAAGTATTCATTATTTCCACCAATGTTTTCTTGCCTATTCCATGCTAGGCATTGTGCTGGACCCTAAAGCCTCAGCAGAGAATGAGACCCAATCCATGCCTTCAAGGAGACCTGAGCGTGGGGCAGGAAATAATTTATTTTGTGCCATGGACTTTTTTGGCAGTTTGGTGAAGCCTGTGGAAGCCTTCTCAGAACAATTTTACAGGCATACAATAAAGCACATGAGATTACAAAGGAAGCTAATTATAACATAATACACTTGTCAAAACATTAAACAAATGCATCAGTGCTAAGTGCTAACTATTGAACATGTAAACCATGATTCATGCCTGTTCATTGCCTTCTTCTAAGGGATACTGCCCCAATCTCAGCTCCTGCTGCTGGGGTGGTCCTCACCTTGTGTCTCTATACACCCAGACACAGCTGAGTAAAGACAGGGAAGCACTAGCCTGAAGGCTACTGTTCCTAAGCAACTGAGATGCTCTGACCAATCAGAAAGAGCTGCCTCGTCAGAGCATCACTCTTAGGAAGTGTAATTGGAAAGCAGGAAAAATTCTGGCAATAAAAGGGAACTGAAGATGAAGAAATACAGAAAGTGGACTCATGTAGAGTTGCAAGTCATGAGGTGTCTGAGCAAAGTAAGGTTATGGGGAAGCTAAACCAATAAACAGGCAGAAGCTACTAAGAAAGGGAGAGAAGTGAGTGATTCAGTAACTTGTAGTGGGAGAGAGGTAGACTAACACGAAGAGAAGCAGAAAAGCAGAGTAGCAAGGTGGCAGAGTGGTGAAGGGAGAGCCTTAGAAGGAGAATTCAGAAACTTTTCTTCTGAAATCCCTTGAATTGGTTTGGATTCAGAAGAATCCTTTATTATTTATTTATTTTTGAGACAGGGTCTTGCTCTTTTGCCCAAGCTGGAGTGCAGTAGTGTATTGCGGCTCACTGCAGCCTCGACTTCCTAGGCTCAAGAGATCCTCCCACCTCAGCCTCCTGAGTAGCTGGAACACAGGTGCACAACCCCACACCTGGCTAAATTTTAATTGTTTTTTGTAGAGATAGAGTCTCCCTATGTTGCCCAGGCTAGTCTCAATATCCTGGGCTCAAGGAATCCTCCTGCTGCAGGCTCCCAAAGTGTTGGGATTACTGGCGTGAGCCACCAAGAACAACCATTTCAGTTTTTCTCATGGGAGCCTGGTTGTGTGTGTGTGTGTGTGTGTGTGTGTGTGTGTTTTTAATTGCACTGAAGGCTAGCTTCCTGGATGACATTCCCATTTTCTTTATTACCATGCAGATTCTCACAATAAACTTTCGTTTCCTGAGGCAACTAGAGTGAATCTCTGTTCCTTGTGATCAAAAGAGTCAAATCCAAACATGGCAGGGTGGGGTGAGGACAATGAGGCCATCCTACTCCGCCTCCAGCAACGGGTGTGGACAGAGACTGCTTCCCAGCTCCCTTCTAAATTGATTTTGGATTTGTTAAAAATTACCCAGTTAGTTCAAAATTTTGGCAAAACATGTCATGGTTTATTAAAATACTGCTTCTTTTTCATGTTGTTGACATTTTAATTTCATTACACTGTGTGGTACTTAGGGTAAAAGTTTATTTGGTATTTTAGGAGAAGGGTATGGTAAAAGAGAAAAGTCATATCAGTAAAAAATTCAAGGTAATTAAAAGTGATATTGAAGTGGCCCTGTTGTCTGGGGTAAATACCCAAGGTTCATTGCCTCATGCCAAGGAAATCAAGGACACCGATACAGGTGAAGTGAGGTTAACAGCAGAGGTTTAATCAGCGAAAGAAAGAGAAAGGAGAACAGCTTTCTCTCCTGGGAGAGACAGGGGTGCCCAAGTGGGACTTCCAGCCCACAGCAGATTGCACAGGATTTTATAGACAAGCTCGAGGAGGTGGTGTCTGATTTACATAGGGCCCAAAGATTGGTTGGACCAGGTGTGACATTTACATAGCATGGGGGTGGGGTAGGGGGCAGGGGGAAGTGGGGAAGCTGGTCACCCCGCCATAATCCTATTATGCAAATGGGGTCTTTGCTGGCCTGGGCCATGCTGTCTGCTCCTGACTGCACACCTAGTTGGCAAAGAGAACGGAGGATGGAGCCACCATGTTGGTCATGTCTATCCCCTCTTTCCTGTTGGCACAACTGCCAGCAATCACCTGTGCAAGCTTCTAGCCTGCGTTTCTATGTCTGCAGCTTGATTTTAGAGGCTCCTATTTGTTAGAAAAGAAAATAATTTGGGGACTTCTTTTCATTAAAAGGAAAACCTTACTAAGGACTCCTGTACCCTTATTATCTGATGAAATAATTTCTTTTTAACTCCTATATCAATGTTTAATAATGAAATCTCATTCATACCTTGATCACCTGGTAATGGATAGTAAGGTAAGAAGAGCCAATAATGACCTCTAAAATCAGAAGTTGCATGTGGATCACTTAGACTAGAAAGTATAGTCCATCCTATAAATGAAGGAAGAGGGTATTGGAACCAGCAGGGACTCATTCATTTATCTATTGGGTGGCTACTATGTTGTCAGGCAAAAACCAGACAGATATTCCCCCAAGGAGCTTACATTCCAGAAGGGGAAAATAAACAGGCAACAAATTTTAAAAAAGGCAAATAGATGAGATATGCTAAGAAAGCTATAAAGGGGGTCATGAGAAGAGAGCTACTGGGTCTGGTGGGGCTACTTTAGATCAGATAAGTAAGGAAGACCTGCTTCTGTTAGGAGGTGACATTTGAGCTGAGACTTGAAGGATGAGATAAGCCAGCCATAGGCAAAACTGGAGGAAGTGCATTCCAGCCAGAGGGAGCCTGAGTGCTCCTTGGAGAAGAGCATGGGAGGAAGAGGAAGAACTATATGAGTGAGCCAGGAGATAAGTAAGGACCACTGGCTTAACAGCCATTTATGGAATGCTGAAAATGGACCAGGCTCTGTGCTGGTCTCAGCAATACAGCAATGGACAAAATATACAAAAATCTCTGTCTTTATGGCAGTTATCCTCCAGAGTGGACCAGGTCCTAATGTGCCCTATAAGTCATAACAAAGGGGTGAGACTTTAGTCTGAAGGTGATAGGGAGCCTTTGAAGTGCTGAAAGCTGGGGAGTGACACAATCAGATTTGCATTTTAGAAATACCAGCTCTGAGGTCAGTGTGGAGAATGGCTGCGACAGGGTATTCTAGAAGCAAGGAGACTGCCCAGAGGCAGGTGGCAGAAAGAAGATGCTGTTCTTTATGTAGACAGTGAAGTAGGCTGGAAATAAATAGAGCCATTCTAGAGATACTAAGAAAGTACAGTGGACAAGATCAGATCATGGACAGGGGAAAGATCTAGGATACAGAAGTGTACTGTCAGGTTTCATGACTTCAAGTATCGGGTGGATGTTGTTGCCATTTATTTCGTTGGGCAATGCAGGAGGAGGAGCAGATTTTTGGAGAAAAATTAAATTGTATTATTCTTGTCCTTGATGCAGTTTGTACTTTATTGAGGAGACAAGTATGCAAATAAAATCATTCCATCAGCCAACGTACCAGTCAGGATAAGCTAAACTTTGATGTGCAAACTAACAACCATCAGAATAGCAGCTTGACACAGCAAAGATTTATTTTTCTCTCGTGCTACACATCTAAAACGGACAGGATTGAGTGGGGGTCTGTTTTCATTGTAGTCCCTGGACTGAAGCCTATAAATATACGTTCCATCCTGACATACGCATCCATTGGGACATGGTTAAAAAAAGAAAGAGAGAGAAGTAGTGAATCACACACTGGCTCTTAAATCTTCTGTCTGGAAATGGTTTGCATCACTTCTGCTCACATTTCATTGGCCAAAGCAAGTCATAGGGTCATGCCTAACTTCAAGAAAATGAGGGAGTGCCATCATTCTGTGTACTGAAACGAGGGAGACTATTCGTTCTTGCTATTGCAATCTATTAGGTGGTGCACAATTTCAATTTGTCCTTTATTGACAATAGTAGTTTTGATAGCTTGATTAAAGTGGTGTCTGCTAGACTTCCTCACTGTATGGTTATTTTCCCCTTTGTAATTAATAAATACATTGTAGAGAGTTACTTTGAAATGATGTAAACTTCCCATTTCTTATCAGACTTTTAATTAATTAATATGTAAGGAGATTTATGATTTCTGTTTAATTAATATCTAAACAGACTCATGGCTACAATTTCTAGTCTACTAAGTGATTCATATGCAACTTCAGATTTTAAAGGTCATGGTTTCCATCGAATACTCATGGTATTCAATGAGTTATCATTATTGCTGTCGTTATTTACTCGATGCTCAAATTATCCCAGATTTGATTTGGCCATTGGGAACCTTTCAATCTGGCTTCTATGTCTTTTTGTCATGGCCCTGCATTCTTCGAGCACTTCCTTGCTCCAGAATCATCTTATACTTTTCTTGCTCCAGCTCTGGCCATGGGTCCAGTCCTTTCTCCAAGGAGCCCTGATTGTTTATAGTGGAGAACGGTATTTAGAAGTGAAGATTGGGGTGCTTGGTGTGTTATTTGCTATTGGGATGTTGCTGCTTCCATGCTCTTTCGGGGGACAGAGCTGTAGGATAGAGGCATGTATGCACACGTACACAGACATACAGATTTACATCTATACTTGTATCTATCTTTATCTATTATGTACATTAAAAACCGTGAACTCACATTGATGCCTCCAATTCAAATTCAAATTCAAAATCATACGGTATATTCTGGTTTTCTCTCTCTCTTTTTTTTTCCTATTTACAAATCCTTTCTCTCCATTGAGAAAGTTGGTCCTCATATCCAAACTTATTCCATAAGCTTCCCCTTTACTCCCTTACCCTGTGTAACTAAACTTTCATTGTCACTGCTGTCCCCTCCCTCACGTCAGAGCCCTCCTCCCACACTGGCTACTCCCCTCAGGTGGGGACCCTCCTCATTGTGCCTGGACTCCAACAACCAGGCCCCCTCTCCTGTCTGGACCTTCTCACTCTGATGTCCCCTTAGGTGGAAGCTCCTCACTTTGCCTGGGCTCTGACTTTTCATTCCAGGTTAATGAGGATGTTGCAGCAGCAAAGAAGTTAGCCTGGTGACATACCTGTATCCTACTAGGTATCTGTGTGCAGACCATTTATAAACCTGAGAATGGGTTACAGCCAACTGAGAGTTAGAAACCCAAGTTTTCTGATTCCCAGTTTTTTTCTCTCTCTCAAGTTCCTGGCATCGATAGCAATTAATGGAATCCATGGAGGCTTTCTGTGGTTCTCTTTCTCAGTTTGGGCCCCAAATGGATTTATTTTGGAAACCAAATGTAAGTCCATTTACTCATTTAAGGGTTATCTAAAGGTGAAAAAATGCTACTTTTTTTTAGCAGTTCAGAAATTTTTCAAATGCTTTTTTGCGTTTGAATTTCTCAAAAGCAACTTTGTTTGGAAATTTTAAACTTGGCATTCCTGGTACATAACCCTGAGTGAGGAATGTGTGCTTTGCCTTGTTTGAAGAAATTTGGTTTTGAAATAACAAAGTTATGGATGTTTAAAAATACTGCACGGAACAGACACTGTGAGTTATTTTCCTTCGCCTTTGAAACATACTCTATATTGTGAAGCTGGTAACTTTCATGGGTGGGGGAATTTAATAGCATATACTTGACTGATGCAAATGTGAGATCATTTTATAAGCCACATGGGGATCTAGTTGAGGCATCTTTTCAATTTTTACTCAGTAAATTCACTTGATCTCTGAATAACTTAGAATCCTGGGGCATAGTGCCTGTGTCCATATCACGTACTCAATGATTGTTGAGCTGATGTGAATTGAACATGCTTGTTCTCATTTGGCTGCTCATTTCCCCTCCAGCTCCAAGTGGCTAACTATGGTCTGGGAGGGTGGTTAACAAATTACAGTTCGTGGGCCAAATACAGCCTGCCACTGTTTTTTTTTTTTTAATGGCCTGCAGGCTGAGAGTGGTTTTTACATTTTTAAATTCTTGAACAACAATAAAAAGAAGACTAACGTATCATGACATACGAAAATTACATGAAATTCAAATTTCAGCATCCATAAAAGATGTTTTATCAGAACACAGCCATTCTCATTCATTTATGTATTATCTAAGACTGCTTTCACACTACAATGGCAGAGATGAGTAGTTGCAACAGAGACTGTATGACCTGCCAAGCCTAAAGGATTTACTATCTGGACCTTTACAGAAAGAGTTTGCTCACCCCTAATCTAAGAGACAGAACACACATCGTCAGTTCCTTTTTAAGATTACTTGCTATAAAATTAAAAGCCAAGCCTTTTTTTTTTTTTTTGGTTTTTAGTATATTTACTGTATTGTGGGGCATGTGGAATTCAGTGTTTTCTAGTGTATTCACTATGTACTATATACACTACCACTGTCTAATTCCAGAGCATTTCTATCATCCCAAAAAGAAATGCTGTACGTATTACAGTCAGTCCCAATCCTCTCTTCCCTCACATTCCCTAATCTACTTTCTGTCTGAATGGATTCACCTATTCTAGACTTCATATAAATATACATACCATATAAGTATTTCATATGAAAATTTCATTAAAATGTTCATACAATATGTAGACTTTTGTGTTGTTTTTTTTTTTCAAAGTTCATTCATTTTCTCACATATAGTAGTACTTCATTCCTTTTTACAAGGCTTTCTTTTAATTTTCTACTTTAATACTTCTGGCCTGCCTCCTCTTTGACATTTGATTGAATTCCAATTCAATATCAATAACAAAAATTATTGTGATAATAATAAAAGTATAAATCATCAAGCCAAATATAAATTTTTTAAACTCTGTCCATTTTGTTAATTGCACTATTTCCACATTTGATGACTAATAAAGATATCATGAGTGAAGAGATTTGGATGATAACATCTATTTTATACATCTCTAGGTTTATGTCTAATTGGTGCATTTGTTTTGCTTTCTCTAGCTCTTTATAAGCTCCAGAAAGATAACTTCTTTCGGATTTCATATGCATAGTGTATTAGTCCATTCTCGTGCTGCTATGAAGAAATACCTGAGACTCGGTAATTTACAAAGGAAAGAGGCTTAATTGACTCACAGTTCCACAGGGCTGGGGAGACCTTGGGAAACTTACAATCATGGCTGAAGGGGAAGCAAACATGTCCTTCTTTAAATGGTGGCAGCACATTGATTTTGTATCCTGAGACTTTGCTGAAGTTGCTTATCAGCTTCAGGAGATTTTGGGCTGAGACAATGGGGTTTTCTAGATATACAATCATGTTGTCTGCAAACAGGGACAATTTGACTTCCTCTTTTCCTAATTGAATACCCTTTATTTCCTTCTCCTGCCTAATTGCCCTGGCCAGAACTTCCAACACTATGTTGAACAGGAGTGGTGAGAGAGGGCATCCCTGTCTTGTGCCAGTTTTCAAAGGGAATGCTTCCAGTTTTTGCCCATTCAGTATGATATAGGCTGTGGGTTTGTCATAGATAGCTCTTATTATTTTGAGCTACATCCCATCACTACCTAATTTATTGAGAGTTTTTAGCATGAAGGTTGTTGAATTTTGTCAAAGGCCTTTTCTGCATCTATTGAGATAATCATGTGGTTTTTGTCTTTGGTTCTGTTTATATGCTGCATTAGATTTATTGATTTGCGTATATTGAACCAGCCTTGCATCCCAGGGATGAAGCCCACTTGATCATGGTGGATAAGCTTTTTGATGTGCTGCTGGATTCGGTTTGCTAGTATTTTATTGAGGATTTTTGCATCAAATCACAAGCATTCTTATACACCAATAACAGACAAACAGAGAGCCAAATCATGAGTGAATTCCCATTCACAATTGCTTCAAAGAGAATAAAATACTTAGGAATCCAACTTACAAGGGACGTGAAGGACCTCTTCAAGGAGAACTACAAACCACTGCTCAAGGAAATAAAAGAGGATACAAACAAATGGAAGAACATTCCATGCTCATGGGTAGGAAGAATCAATATTGTGAAAATGGCCATACTGCCCAAGGTAATTTATAGATTCAATGCCATCCCCATCAAGCTACCAATGACCTTCTTCACAGAATTGGAAAAAACTACTTTAAAGTTCATATGGAACCAAAAAAGAGCCTGCATCACCAAGTCAATCCTAAGCCAAAAGAACAAAGCTGGAGGCATCACGCTACGTGACTTCAAACTATACTACAAGGCTACAGTAACCAAAACAGCATGGTACTGGTACCAAAACAGAGATATAGATCAATGGAACAGAACAGAGCCCTCAGAAATAACACCGCATATCTACAACTATCTGATCTTTGACAAACCTGAGAAAAACAAGCAATGGGGAAAGGATTCCCTATTTAACAAATGGTGCTGGGAAAACTGGCTAGCCATATGTAGAAAGCTGAAACTGGATCCCTTCCTTACACCTTATACAAAAATTATTTCAAGATGGATTAAAGACTTAAACGTTAGACCTAAAACCGTAAAAACCCTAGAAGAAAACCTAGGCATTACCATTCAGGACATAGGCATGAGCAAGGACTTCATGTCTAAAACACCAAAAGCAATGGCAACAAAAGCCAAAATTGACAAATGGGATCTAATTAAACTAAAGAGCTTCTGCACAGCAAAAGAAACTACCATCAGAGTGAACAGGCAACCTACAAAATGGGAGAAAATTTTCACAACCTACTCATCTGACAAAGGGCTAATATCCAGAATCTACAATGAACTCAAACAAATTTACAAGAAAAAAACAAACAATCCCATCAAAAAGTGGGCAAAGGATATGAACAGACACTTCTCAAAAGAAGACATTTATGCAGCCAAAAGACACATGAAAAAATGCTCACCATCACTGGCCATCAGAGAAATGCAAATCAAAAAACCACAATGAGATACCATCTCACACCAGTTAGAATGGCAATCATTACAAAGTCAGGAAACAACAGCTGCTGGAGGGGATGTGGAGAAATAGGAACACTTTTGCACTGTTGGTGGGACTGTAAACTAGTTCAACCATTGTGAAAGTCAGTGTGGCGATTCCTCAGGGATCTAGAACTAGAAATACCAATTGACCCAGCCATCCCATTACTGGGTATGTACCCAAAGGGCTGTAAATCATGCTGCTATAAAGACACATGCACACGTATGTTTATTGCGGCACTATTCACAATAGCAAAGACTTGGAACCAACCCAAATGTCCAACAATGATAGACTGGATTAAGAAAATGTGGCACATATACACCATGGAATATTATGCAGCCATAAAAAATGATGAGTTCATGTCCTTTGTAGGGACATGGATGAAATTGGAAATCATCATTCTCAGTAAACTATCGCAAGAACAAAAAACCAAACACCGCATGTTCTCACTCATAGATGGGAATTGAACAATGAGAACACATGGACAGAGGAAGGGGAACATCACACTCTGTGGACTGTCATGGGGTGGGGGGAGGGGGGAGGGATAGCATTAGGAGATATACCTAATGCTAAATGACGAGTTAATGGGTGCAGCACACCAGCGTGGCACATGTATACATATGTAACTAACCTGCACATTGTGCACATGTACTCTGAAACTTAAAGTATAATTAAAAAAAAAATGGTGGCAGCAAGGAGAAGTGCAGAACAAAAGGGGGAAAAGCCCCTTATAAAACCATCAGATCTCAAAAGAAGTCACTCACTATCAAGAGAACAGAGGGTAACTGCCCCCATGATTAAATTACCTCCCACTGGGTCCCTCCTATGACACGTGGGGATTATGGGAACTACAATTCAAGATGGGATTTGGGTGGGGACACAGAGCCAAACCATATCTCATGGTGTAGGGCACAGGACTTAGAATCACAAGGGTCTGATGGCATTCTTCCTGAATCATGTTATTGGAGATACTCATAATGCGTAATGATGACAAATCTCAATTGGATACTCCACCCTGCCTGATTATCCTACAAACATCCCTAGTCAGTTCACTTTCTCATTCTTGCTGTGAGTTGGTTGCCTCATCTCATACTTCCCAGAGAATATGGAAAGAACAAGATGAGAGTTAGGTCCATAAGTATGCCCCATGTACTTGCATGTGTATCTAGATGATGATACAGATCATCACCTAACAATGGGCCTTTTCACCAGAGGTAATATTCCCTTTATTTCTCTCCTGGATCACATTGCTTCTTGCCTTCTACAGGACTTGGCTCCTTATTTACCATTTCCTTGTTTCCACTACCAGTTTTCCTCCTCTTCTGCATCATTCCAATCAGCACATGAGCTAGTTCTAATAAGATTCATCTTTTAAAACCTGCCCTTTCCCCAGCACTCTTCTCTAATTACTGCTGCAAGTCTTTGCTACTTTTAAGAGACCTGCTAAAACCATTGTCTATGTACTTGTTATCTTCACTTTCTCATGTCCTTTTCTATTCTCCATTTATTCTAAACAGATTCTATTTACCACCACTTGTGACACTTGTTAAGGTCCCTAGAGACTCCATCTGACCACATCTATTTGATTATGTTTTTTCCCTACTTTGCCTACCAGTCACACACACTGTGGTGTTTCACTTTCCTTTTAAAACACTTTCTTATCTGGTCTTCGTGGGTACCACACTCTTCCGATTTTCCTCCCACATGATTGGTGATTTTTCTTCTTAGACGAATCTTTGCAGGGATTGGACATCCCAGTCAGAAAATCAAAAATCTGAAATGCTTTAAAATGTGATGTTTTTGAGCACTGATATGATGCTCAAAGGAAATGCTCATTGGAGTATTTCAGATATAATGCATGTATTCTAATGTCCTCCAAAAATTGAAATCCAAAATACTTCTAGTCCCAAACATTTTGTCTATGGGATACTCAACTTCTACCTAGTCTCTGCTTTATCCTCAATAGCTGCAACAGTGCTTGGCATAGAGTTGGTCTCAAAGATGACTTGTGGAATGAATGAACTCACCGACCTTGTTCCCGCATTGACATCTTTGTATTTGCTGATTTGCTTGGAAGATTTTCCCTCCAGGCCTCCACTTGGCTTCCTTTTTGTCATTGTTCAGCTTTCAATTCGAGTCACTTCTTTGGAGCAGGCAGCCCTTGCCAGCCTTCTGCTTCCCATTCCCACCCCTGTGACTCTCTAGGACAGAAGTAAGCAAACCTTTTCTTCACAGAGTCAGATAGTAAATACTTATGACTTCTCAGTTCATCCAGGACCTGTCACAACAACCTAACTTTGTCACTGTAGTGTGAAAGCAGCTGTAGATAATTCCTACATGGGTGAGTATGGCTATATTCCAATACAATTTTATTTACAGATACTGAGACTTGAATTTTGTACATGTCATGAAGTATTAATCTTTTGATTTTTTTTCAATCATTTAAAATGTTACTTTGTGAGCTGCACCAAAATAGGCAGTGGGCTGGATTTGACCCAGAGGCTATGGTTTGCTAATTTCTGCTCTAGTGCATTACCCTCTTTTATCTTTGTGGTGCTGAAAATTATGTTATTTATTCATTTGCTATTGTAATTTGTTTTCCCTTTCTTAGAACATGGTTACCTTGAAGGCAGGAATTCTGCCTTATTCCTTATTCTATTCTCAGAGCCTACAACACTGCCTAGATGCCTCCTGCCCAGGCTAGAGCTACCCCTACCAGACCTTGCCCCTCCCCATAGCCCTTTCTCTTTAAAGGCTTATTCTCTTTCCTCTCCCATATTGATAGCTTCCCTCTTAGGAATTCAGGGTTCATTTCAAGAGAGGGAGTCAGTAAATTTGTCATCTGGTTGGAACAGGAACCTCAGATTTTAGTGGGGAGGGGCCCACTTAACGTGATTATAGCTGATTCCCGGCATCTAACTGTTCTGATTACATCCTATTTATCCCAGTGGTAAAGGAGGGATCCCCCTCCACATAGTGTGAGATAGTCATGCACGAGACACTTGACACTGGGCAGATAAGGGTGACAGCAGTTTAATAGTCACATCTATTCACTCTGGAGGTAGAGGACACTGCCTGCCATGCAGGGCCAATGGGGTTGCACTCAGGAAGAATGAGCTGGCAGGGACTGTGGGAGGCAGGCTTTGTAGTATCAACAGGGTGAGGTGACCCCTGGTTACCAAGCGAGGATGTGATTGGCTTGTTTGAATAATTTCATGTGCTGTTAGGGAGATAAAATCCACTAAGTTGAAAACTGAATGGGGTTAAGATGATTGGGCTGGTGGGAAACTAGCAGAATGGGGTCTGTTTCCTGCTGGGTTGGGTATATCTGGTGAGAGCAAGAGAACTCATGGGTAGGCCTTTTGGGACCTGGCTCAGACCTAAAATTTAAAGGGCCACCTTAACATCTCGGCTCAAAGATGTTAAGGTGGCACTCTAAATTTTAGGTCTGATATACTAGCACCAAGCTTAGAGTAATAAATATTTGTTGAATGAGTGAAGGATTTTACTTAACCTTTATTCAGTATCTGTATGTAACAGCTTCATATTTGCTACTGAGGACAAAAAGAGGATTGGGAGGCCGGGCGCGGTGGCTCATGCCTGTAATCCCAGCAGTTTGGGAGGCCGAGGTGGGCGGATCACGAGGTCAGGAGATCGAGACCATCCTGGCTAACACGGTGAAACCCTGTCTCTACCAAAAATACAAAAAAAAAAAGAAAAAATTAGCCGGGTGTGGTGGCGGGTGCCTGTAGTCCCAGCTACTTGGGAGGCTGAGGCAGGAGGATGGTGTGAACCCGGGGGGTGGAGCTTACAGTGAGCCGAGATCGCGCGACTGCACTCCAGCCTGGTCGACAGAGTGAGACTCCGTCTCAAAAAAAAAAAAAAAAGAGGGTTGGGTTACAATTACATTTACATTATAAGGCTCTGTACAAT
Source organism: Homo sapiens (assembly GCF_000001405.40). Lineage (NCBI taxonomy): Eukaryota > Metazoa > Chordata > Mammalia > Primates > Hominidae > Homo > Homo sapiens. Next base: position 219,771,629 of record NC_000001.11, on the reverse strand, counting down.
TACAACAGAGAGCAATAAATGTTCTAATGGAATGTAGGTTCCAGGGTTTGTCAGAATGCTGATGATAAGTCAATGTATGGGTAGGATGGGAACAAAAAGAGGGAGTTGCATTGAATCAGTTCCATGTTTTTGTTCTCATCTGTTCATCCAGTATTTATTGAGGGTCTATCATGGGCCAGGCTAGGCAACTAAGCTTTTGTTGTTTCTAACTGAACCCAGGAGACAAGCTACAATGGTTGAACACAGAGGATGAATTGGAATTAGCATATGAACAAGGGCACACTAATGTGGTCTAAATAGTCTTCCCGAGAACTGTAGGAATGTGGCCAGCACATGTTCTCATGTGAGTGTGGTGAGTCAGGGACACCTTGGAGGGGCGTTTGGAGTTCAAGGCAGTGATGGACGTGGATTGGCAGGAAGGAGAGGTAAGGCAATCCAGGCATGAGTCATTCTATGGTTGGTTTCCTTGCTAAATAGATTCTTTCACAGGGAAGAGTCATCTCTTGTCCAACTACTTTCCTCTGTTGGATTTGCACAGCCATAGACTACACCACGTCTTTGTTTATGGGGATTATAAGGCTGTATTTGCAGCTGAATTTTAGTCAGGCAGAACCTCTCATCATCCAGATCCTGGTCTTCACCATAAAATGTGGGCAGGAAATGGGAGCCATAAACTCCTTGCTCTCCTGAATCAACTTATTTTGATAAGACTCTTTAGTCCTCATTTCACTCTTCGTGTGGTGGAAATTCGTGTCTGTATTAATTTGTCACACGTTTATTGAGCAAGTGCTTTGTGCAAGACAAAGGGCCTGGGTCTGGGTAAAACAGCAATAACAACAAAAAATAAAGATCCCTGTTTTTGAAAAACTTGCAAGATAACAGGGAGTAATAGCAACAACAAGATAGCAAATAAAATCCCACGTAAATAAAGTATAAGACACTGACTCTCAAACAAGAAAACTGTGGCTGAGTTTTGATTCAGCCTTCTATTAGCTGTTACACCATAGAAAGTAGCTTAGTCTGTCTCTTGGCTCTTCTCTAAAATGGGACTAATAGTTCAAACACCTCATAATGTTCGTGTGAGGATGAAGTAGTATAAGATTAAATGTTGTTAGAGCAGAGTCTGAACATAGAAGTCAATAAATGCTAGCCCTTATTATTATTGTTATTATTATTATCATTATGACAGAGACATGTTCAGTATGCAGTGTGTATACATAGGATAGACAACCAATAGGGAGGAAAGGATTCGTGAACGTTTTCCCATAAGTGGTGACACTTGAACTGAATCTGGAAAGAAGGGTAATGACCGTTGCTAAAATGTGTCGAGTACTTATGAGAGGTCAGATACTGTTCTGAGAACATAACATGGATAATCTCTCTTAATTCTCACATTACCCTCTGAGGTATATGCTAATATTACCTTCATTATTACAGAGGAAAGACAAGTAGGACTTAACCAGGCAGAGAAAGGACCTTGGGGAAGGCATTTTGGATAGTGGTACAGATCCAAAGGTCTAGAGATATGAAAGATTACCAGATTAATGGAACTCAAAGCAGTGCAATATGGCTAGAACAACAATTTAAAAAAGATGGGAAATGGTGTGAGGTGAAGCTGGAGAAATAAGAAGGCCAGATTATTGCTGTCATCCCAGAGACTCATTGGATACCCCAACTGAATATGGCCCAGCATTCTCTCTAACAAAGCTCTGGCCATCCACTTTTTTATTTTTATTTTTTAAATTTTTCCATAAGTTATTGGGGTACAGGTGGTATTTGGTTACATGAGTACATGAGTAAGTTCTTTAGTGGTGATTTGTGAGATTTTGGTGCACCCATCACCTGGGCAGTATACACTCACCATATTTGCAGTGTTTTATCCCTCGCCCCCCTCCCACTCTTTCCCCCAAGTCCCCAAAGTCCATTGTATCATTCATATCCATTTGCATCCTCATAGCTTTGCTCCCACATATCAGGGAGAACATACGATGTTTGGTTTTCTATTCCTGAGTTATTTCACTTAGAATAATAGTCTCCAATCTCATCCAGGTCACTGCAAATGCTGTTAATTCATTCCTTTTTATGGCTGTGTAGTATTCCATTGCATATAAATACCACAGTTTCTTTATCCTCTCGTTGATTGATGGGCATTTGGGTTGGTTTCATGATTTTGCAATTGTGTACTGTGCTGCTATAGACATGTGTGTGCAAGTATCTTTTTCAGTTAATGACTTATTTTCCTCTGGATAGATACCCAGCAGTGGGATTGCGGGATAAAATGGTAGTTCTACTTTTAATTCTTTAAGGAATCTCCACACGGTTTTCCATAGTGGCTGTACTAGTTTACGCTCCCTCCAGCAGTGTAGAAGGGTTTCCTGGTCCCCACATCCACGCCAACATCTACCGTTTTTTGATTTTTTGATTATGGCCATTCTTGCAGGAGTAAGATGGTATCGCATTGTGGTTTCAATTTGCATGTCCCTGATCATTAGTGATGCTGAACATTTTTCATATGTTTGTTGGCCATTTGTATATCTTCTTTTGAGAATTGTCTGTTTATGTCCTTAGCCCACTTTTTGATGGGATTGTTTGTTTTTTTCTTACTGATTTATTTGAGTTCATTGTAGATTCTGGATATTAGTCCTTTGTCAGATGTACAGATTGTGAAGATTTTCTCCCACTCTGTGAGTTGTCTGTTTACTCTGCTGACTGTTCCTTTTGCCATGAAAAAGCTCTTTAGTTTGATTAGGTCCCAGCTATTTATCTTTGTTTTTATTGCATTTGTTTTTGGGTTCTTGGTGGGGAAATCCTTGCCTAAGCCAATGTCTACAAGGGTTTTTCCAATGTTATCCTCTAGAATTTTTCTCGTTTCAGGTCTCAGTTTAAGTCTTTAATTCATCTTGAGTGGATTTTTGTATAAGGTTAGAGATGAAGATACAGTTTTATTCTCCTATATGTGGCTAGCCAATTATCCCAGCACCATTTGTTGAAAAGGGTATCCTTTCCCCACTTTATATTTTTGTTTGCTTTGTCGAAGATCAGTTGGCTGTAAGTATTTGGGTTTATTTCTGGATTCTCTATTCTGTTCCATTGGTCTATGTGCCTATTTTTACACCAGTACCATGCTGTTTTGGTGACTATGGCCTCATAGTGTAGTTTGAAATCAGGTAGTGTGATGTTTCCAGATTTGTCCTTTTTGCTTAGTCTTGCTTTGGCTGTGCAGGCTCTTTGTTGGTTCCATATGAATTTTAGAATGGTTTTTTCTAATTCTGTAAGGAATGATGGTGGCTGGTATTCAAATGAGGATTGTGCTGAATTTGTAGATTGCTTTTGGCAGTATGGTCATTTTCACAATATTGATTCTACCCATCCATGAGCATGGGATGTGTTTCCATTTGTTTGTGTCGTGTATGATTTCTTTCAACAGTGTTTCATAGTTTTCCTTGCAGAGGCCTTTCGACTCCTTTGTTAGGTATATTCCTAAGTATCTTATTTTATTTTTATTTTTTGTAGCTGTTGTAAAAGGGGTTAGTTCTTGACTTGATTCTCTGCTTGGTCACTGTTGGTGTATAGAAGAGCTACTGATTTGTGTACATTAATCTTGTATCTGGAAACTTTTCTGAATTCTTTTATCAGTTCTAGGAGCTTTCCGGAGTCCTTAGGGTTTTCAAGGTAAATGATCATATTGTCAGCAAACAGTGACAGTTTGACTTCCTCTTTACCGGTTTGGATGCCCTTTATTTCTTTCTCTTGTCTAATTGCTCTGGCTAGGACTTCCAGTACTATGTTGAAGAGGACTGGTGAGAGCAGGCATCCTTGTCTTGTTCCAGTTCTCAGAGGGAATGCTTTCAACTTTTCCCCATCCAGTGTTATGTTGGTTGTGGGTTTGTCATAGATGGCTTTTTTACATTAAGATATGTCCCTTGTATGCCGATTTTGCTGAGAGTTTTAATCATAAAGTGATGCTGGATTTTGTCAAATGCTTTTCTGCATCTATTGAGATGATCATGTGATTTTTAAAAATTTTGTTTATGTGGTGTATCACATTTATTGACTTGCATATGTTAAACCATCCCTGCATCTCCGGTATGAAACCCACTAGGTCATGGTTGATTATCTTTTTGATACGTTGTTGGATTTAGTTAGCTAGTATTTTGTTAAGGATTTTAGCATCTATGTTCATCAAGGATATCAGTCTGTAGTTTCCTTTTTTGGTTATGTCCTTTCCTGGTTTTGGTAATGCCACCTTCATAGAATGAATTAGAGAGGGTTCCTTCTTTCTCTATCTTGTGGAATAGAGTCAAAAGGATTGGTAACAATTCTTCTTTGACTGTCTGGTAGAATTCTGCTGTGAATCTATCTGGTCCTGGACTTCTTTTTTGTTGGTAATTTTTAAATTACCATTTCAGTCACACTGCTCATTATTGGTCTGTTCAGGGTATCTAATTCTTGCTGATTTAAGCTAGGAGGGTTTTATTTTTCCAGGAATTTACCCATCTCTTCTAAGTTTTCTAGTTTATATGGATAAAGGTGTTCCCAGTAGCCTTGAATGATCTTTTGTATTTCAGTGGTGTCAGTTGTAATATCTCCTGTTTTGTTTCTTAGTGAGGTTATTTGGATTTTCTCTCTTCTTTTTTTGGTTAATCTTGCTAATGGTCTATCAATTTTATTTATCTTTTCAAAGAACCAGCTTTTTGTTTCATTTATCTTTTATATATTTTTTTGTTTCAATTTCATTTAGTTCTGCTCTGATCTTAGTTATGTCCCTTCTTCTTCTGGGTTTGGGTTTGGTTTGTTCTTGTTTCTCTAGTTCCTTGAGGTTGACCTTAGATTGTCTGTTTGTGCTCTTTCAGACTTTTTGATGTAGGTGTTTAGGGCTATGAACTTTCCTCTTAGCACTGCCTTTGCTGTATCCCAGAGGTTTTGATAGGTTGTGTCATTATTGTCATTGAGTTCAAAGGATTTTTTAATTTCCATCTTGATTTCATTTTTGACCCAATGCTCATTCAGGAGCAGGTTATTTTCCATGCATTTGCATGGTTTTGAAGGTTCCTTTTGGAGTTGATTTCCAGTTTTATTTCACTGTAGTCTGAGAGAGTGCTTGATATAATTTCAATTTTCTTGCATTTATTGAGGCTCATTTTATGTCATATCATATGGTCTATCTTGGAGAAATGTGCTGTTGAATATAATGTATATTCTGTGGTTGTTGGATAAAATGTTCTATATATATCTGTTAAGTCCATTTGTTCCAAGGTAACAAATGGACTTAAATCCATTGTTTATTTGTTGACTTTCTGTTTTGATGACCTGTCTAGTGCTGTCAGTGGAGTATTGAAGTCCCCCACTATTATTGTGTTGCTGTCTATCTCATTTCTAAGGTCTGTTTGTAATTGTTTTATAAATTTGGGAGCTCCAGTGTTTGGTGCATTTATGTTTAGGATTGTGATATTTTACTGTTGAACAAAGACTTTTACCATTATAGTGTCCCTCTTTGTCTCTTTTAACCACTGTTACTTTAAAGATTGTTTTGCCTGATATAAGAATAGCTACCCCTGCTCACTTTTGGTGTCCATTTGCATGAAATGCCTGTTTCCACCCCTTTACTTTATGTGAGTCCTGATGTGTTAGCTGAGTCTCCTGACAGACAGTTGGTTGGTGAGTTCTTATCCATTCTGCTGCAGGGTTCAGTATCTTTTAAGTGGAGCATTTAGGCTGTTTACATTCAATGTTAGTATTGAAATGTGAGGTACCATTGCTTTCATCGTGCTCTTCGTTGCCTGTGTACTTTGGTTTTTTTTTTGTTTGTTTTTTGTTCTTGCTTTTTAACTTACATTTTGTTTTATAGGTCCTGTGTGATTTAGGCTTTAAAGAGGTTCTGTTTTGATGTGTTTCCAGGATTTGTTTCAAGATTTAGAGCTCCTTTTAACAGTTCTTGTAGTGGTTTCATGGTATTGGTGAATTCTGTCAGCATTTGTTTGTCTGAAAACAACTGTATCTTTTCTTCATATATGATGCTTAGTTTCCCTGGATACAAACAAGCACCAAAAGGTATTTTAAACTAAGACACATTCAAAGAAACATTTGAAAGGAAAACAGATAAAAGCATCAAATAAATGTGGAAGTGTAACCCCAACAGCCCAACGCTTAAGTCATGTCCATGATTTAGGGCAGGTACTTGAGAAGGATGCTGGAGCCTTCTAGCTCTTAGGAACCCTAAAGCCACCTGACCAGGTGGGTGACACATTTGAAGACAGGCCTGGTTCAAATGGCAGCTAACACTCTCCTGTTTGTAATCCAAGAAAGAGAAGCTCATTAGTACCTCTCTTCCCCCCTCCCCTGTCCAATGCACCACTGGGGACTCTTCTTAACAGCATATCTTCTATTCCAGTGATTCATGACTTTGATTAAACTTTATCTTTTTAGTGCCCCTTCTTCTCCCTGTTTTATAAGACAAATGTTATTTTTGGGGGTAGTGTTCAGGGTCAGAGACTTTTCAGGGTGCCTGTGCTCAGTCTGATGGTGAGACCAGGATGTTGAATATTTTGTCATTTGCCTAGGTGACTTGATACTTGTAAAAGCGTATATCTCTCTCTGTACCTCCATGCTGACCAAACTTCAGTTCCTCTGAGAATTTTATGCTAAGAAAAGGCTCATCTTCTAAGAAAATAACACTAATATTAAACAGTTGTCTCTTGGAGGTCTATGATAAGCAAGATGCTTTACACATCTCTAGTCAAGGGACTGTTTTCTTCATTTTTCACTAGAGAGAACTGAGGCTTAGAGCATTTAATTCCCAGGTCTTCAGTCATACGGTATCTACTAGACCTGGGGTTCAAACCCCAGTCCTTCAGACTCCAAAGCTCATGCATTCTAGACCACACTGGAGCTGCCAGCTTCTTGTTATAGAACACTTTGGGGTTCCCTCTCTTGATGTGACTGCAAGTAAACTCTGGCATTTATTTATTTATTTATTTATTTTTTGTTTGGGATGAAGTCTCACTCTGTCGCCCAGGCTGAAGTGCAGTGGCACCATCTTGGCTCACTACAACCTCTGCCTCCCGGGTTCAAGCAATTCTCCTGTCTCAGCTTCCTGAGTAGCTGGGACTACAGGCGCGCACCACCACACCTGGCTAATTTTTGTATTTTTAGTAGAGACAGGGTTTCACTATATTGGCCAAGCTGGTCTTGAACTCCTGACCTCAAGTGATCCTCCCACCTCTGCCTCCCAAAGTGCTGGGATTACAGGTGTGAGCCACCGAGCCAGTCCTAATTTAATGTTCATGGATGGTAATTACTGTCTTTATATTTCTCGTTTAATTATCTCTCTTTTTTATTCTAGATTATTTTTCATCTCTCTGATTTTGTTTGTAACACTTGCTGAATATACATTGGAGTCTATTTCAATCTGCCTCAAATTCTCTACTTTTTTTGAGATTTGGAGTTTAGATTATAAATAAATGACTAATAAAGTCACCCAGTCTTCAGCTCTTTATTAATAGCTAATAAACTTCATTGGTGCTATTGAATTTTACGGGGTATTCATTTGCCATGTATTGCCTCATATTGCATTTAAATTTCCATTTAGCCAGAGGCCAGACTCTTAGGCCAGACACCTGAAAGCCAAGCCTTCTATTCTCCCTCTCTCACTCCATATGCAATTAGTCAGTTTGTTCTCCTGACCCTATTTCCTCATCACCTCTATAAGTCTCCCTTCCTTCCTCTCTTTTATAAGCAGTTCGGGACTTTGATATCCCTCTTGACTATTGCAATTACTTTCTGACTGATCTTCCTTCCTCTAATCACTCTTTACTTACTACAGCAATCATTTTTTAAAATTTATTTTTTATTTTTAAAAGTTTTAAGAGACATGGTTTCACTCTGTTGCCCAGCCTGGGTGCAGTGGCACAATCATAGCTGACGGCACCCTTGACCTCCTGGACTCAAGTGATCCTCCTGCTTCAGCCTCCCAAGTAGCTGGAACTATAGGCATGCACCACCACACCTTGCTAATACAGCAATTTTTGTAACATGCCTATCTGCTGGGTTTATTCTACTTATTATTTATACTGCTTACTGTTTATCATGTATTTATGATCAACAGGTAAGAGCAACCATCTCAGTGTAGCACACAGAATCATCTGAAATCTTGCCCTTACTTACCAGATCCACGTGGCCTTTTAATACTCTTCCACAAGCTCTCTCATAGCACAAGGGACTTCAAGCTATTGTGGTCCCAGAGGAGGCCATGCATTCTCACTCCCCAAGTTTTCCTGTGTGCTGTCTTCTCTGTCTGGACTGCTGTTCACCCCCGACTCACCCACTCAAACAATTCTATTTGTGAAGGTTTTTCTGCACCTCTTTCTGCCTCACATATATTTAACCAATCCCTCTTTTATGCTCATTTTATATGTTGGCTTTTTTATTTTTATTTATTTATTTTTTTTAATTTTACTTGAAGTTCTGGGATACATGTGCAGAACATGCAGGTTTGTTACATAGGTATACATGTGCCATGGTGGTTTACTGCACCTATCAATCCATCATCTAGGTTTTAAGCCCCACATGCATTAGGTGTTTGTCCTAATGCTCACCCTCCTCTTGCCCCCCCACCCCCCAAGACAGGCCCCGGTATGTGAGGTTCCTCTCCCTGTGTCCATGTGTTCTTGTTGTTCAACTCCCACTTATGAATGAGAACATGTAGTGTTTGGTTTTCTGTTCCTGTATTTGCTGAGAATAATGGCTTCCGGCTTCATCCATGTCCTGCAAAGGACATGAACTCATTCTATTTTATGGCTGCATAATATTCCATGGTGTATATGTGCCACATTTTCTTTATCCAGTCTATCATTGATGGGCATTTGGGTTGGTTCCAAGTCTTTGCTATTGTAAATAGTGCTGCAGTAAACATATGTGTGCATGTGTCTTTATAGTAGAATGATTTATAATCCTTTGGGTATATACCCAGTAATGGGATTGCTGGGTCAAGTGTTATTTCTGGTTCTAGATCCTTGAGGAATTGCCACACTGTCTTCCACAATGGTTGAAATAATTTACACTCCCACCAACAGTGTAAAAGCGTTCCTATTTCTTCACAGCCTCAAGATGTTGGCATTTGTTGATGCATCTATCTTCTCCATGAATCTGTGGGTTTCCTTATGGGTCGGGAGCAATATGGGGTAGGGCAGAGGCTGTAAACTGGTGGCCAGCAGGCCAGGTATGGTCCCTGAAGTGTATTAAAAATACCTTTCATAGCATTTAATTTTCTTAAAAATTAGTTGCCAACTTTGAAAATTCAATTGATTTCATATGGAAATTAAAGCTTCTGGCTTTTCTTTAAACATTAGAAGGTCAGTATCCCAGGGACCTTATTTCTGCACAGCAACCATCAGCTGGAATAAGACAAGTGCTCTCAGGTTTGCTTCTCTGGTTCAGATTCCATATCTGGTCCACTGGAGGCACTGGGGTATGAAAACCCTGAAGCAGTAAGGATAGGGGTGGTGGAGCTGACCTCGGCTCTAATTCCAGCTTTCCTGTTTATTGGATTTGTTACCTTGGGCAAGTGTCTTAACTTCTCTGAACTTGAGCTTATTCATCCTCAAAAGGTAAGCAGTAGTATACTGAAGGATTTTGCAAAGTTTAAAGGGGAAGATGAGCAAAGAACACTTGGCATATAGTAAGCATTCAATATTAACGGCTACTTTGATATCATTATTGTTGTTTTGAATAAGTATCCATGAATGAACATGACCCTTGCCATCAGAACACTAACCAGGCCTGACCCTGTTAGTTTCTGAGATCAGATGAGATTGGGTGCATTCAGGGTAGTATGGCTGTAGACTGAACATGAATCTTATTCCCCCAACTATGCTGCACACTTTTTGAGGCCAGAGAACAGGACTGTTCTTTGTAAGTACTTTGTAGGCAAAATTTGATATGTGGTGCCCTTGTGCCTTGGGGGTAGGCAGTATAAATGAGGTTTAAGAAACAGTCAAGGAAGTCTGTCCCTTCAGGATTTCTCTGTGTCCCTAGGGGCAGAGTCTGCAATTTCTACGTCTGTAGAAAAGTTTAAATGTCACTTTCTCAGGGAAGCATTAGCTAATGCCCCAGAATAAGTAATATTCTCCTATGACATGTGCTTATACAATTTCATTCTTCTCCGTTGCAGTGCTTTCACCATTTCGATTAATAATTATCCTTAGTGTGTATTTCATCTATGAGACAGTACAGTCCACAGGGCAAGGATCAGCCTGTTTTTCACTGTTGAACTACTGGTGAGCTAAGCACATAGTAGGCATTTGGTAGAAGCCATAGATGGTAGTAGAACCATGACTTGGTTTCCTCATATGTGCAATAAAGGTAATAATACCTACCTTGTAGTGCAGCTGTGAAGATTAAGTAGGGTAATTAAGGTAAAATCTGTAGAATAGTACCTGGCACATAAAAGTACTTAGTAGTATTTGCTGTTCTTATTTTCAGCAAATATTTATTGAATTTTCATAAATAAATGATTACATGAATATATTCTTCCTTATTGAGCACAGAAGAGTAAATGATCAGATAGCACATACACCTGTGTTCTGGTGCAGTATCTATCAGAGGAAACTCACAGGGGCAGGGCTGGAAACAGGTATGCAGGTCCTCTGCTGCCCCTGTGAATTAGTGTACAAATCTATCAGGGACCAATGTTAGACTCCAGGAGAGGGGCTCTGGCCCATGGTCTTCTGCATTTATGTGATATTTTCCATGTCACATATCGTATTTGTGTGCAACATACCAGGAACTAAGTCCGTGGGTGGCCAGGACCACTGGAATAGGCAACCTCTGGTGTAACAATAGAGCTTGAACAAAAATTAGTTGGGGTTTCAGTGGCCTGGGCAGTAAGGCAGGGAAGGAAACTGGGAATGGGATGGGCTGGGTCTAGAAGCGTTAACCTTATTGAAGGCCCACTTTCTTAATGGGCAGATGAGAACGGTAGTTTAAAGTCTGGTAGATTAGAATTGAATAGACTATAAGAAAATAAAATTTTTCAGGTGGAACAGAGGAGGAAGGATTCCCTAATAATGATGATACTTACAATCTGATAGTATCCATATCAAGATTATAGACAACTGTCCTTTTTGCAACAGGATCCCAAGAGGTACTGAAGACAAGTTCTAGCTTCCAGAAGGAGCCCAGCAAGTGCTTGACAGGAACTCCCACCGGGTGAGCTGGGGGCAGAAAACAGCTCTAGTGTCAGGTGAAAAATTGATGCCAAAAAAAAAAAAAAAAATGAAAACAGCAGCCTTGTCTTAGTATAGAAAGTGGGATGGTGAGGGAATATAGCTGGTTGGAAAGGGGTGGCTGATGTTGAGTAGCCATTTAAGGTATGCTGGCCATCAGGAACAGGTCACCAAGCAGCAAATGCCAGGTCCTCCCTCTGTCTACTTGTCACCTCACATCCCCCAAATGACAGCAGACATCCAGTAATGAGTAGTGGCCTAGGGGTTGGCTGGGATTGAACCTCTAACTTTCATTACCAGCTGCTAATCACTGGTAAGGAGGGGACGAACTGACCACCTCAACTTTGACTCCCACAAAAGCCACATTTCAAGATGTGAGAGTCCTCATCTTCTCAGGTCTATCCCTGCCTGTCTTGTCTTTTATTGAGTTATATATATATATATATAATTATGATAATAATTATTATTTTTTGCACAGCCTTGGAGATGACCTCTCCTGGTCATCAGTACAGAAGGTTGTCTTCCTGGCATCTGCAATGAGATGGAGCCAGGAATGACCTGTTAGCTCATGATCAAACCCAACTCCAAAAATTTTCAGTTTACTTTCCATCCTCAAAAGATTGAGAGAAGCCTCATTAAGCACTCAAAATCTTTGATGTTTGACTAAGCTGACCCTGTTGATCCATTCAAAAGTTATTCTTAGCAGAGCAGGGTGAAGAACCGGTTGGGATTTATGTGGGGGCTGCAGGCTGAAAAACACTGAGCAAGGGGCTGGCCAAAGTTCCTCTTGGGAATTTTGTCAATTACAGTGCTCAAGTCTTGGCCCTTGATTTTTTTTTTTCTCTCCCCTTAAGGGGGTGAGGGCTAGTTAAAGCAGTGTTTCTCAAGCTTGAATGTACATGAGAATCACTGACAATCTTATTGAAATGCAGTTTCAGATTAAGTATGTCTGGGGTTAGGACCAGGGTCCTGATATCGTCTCCCTCCCTTCCTTCCTCCCTTCCTTCCTCTCTCTCCCTCCCTCCTCCCTCTCTCTCTCCCTCTCTCTTTCCTTCCTTTCTCTCTTTCTTTTCTTTTCTTTCTCTCTTTCCCTTTCTTTCTTTGTTTCTTTGTTTCTTTCTTTCTTTCTTCTCCCCTTTTGTCCTTCCTTCTATCCACACTTCCTTCCTCTTTTCTTTCCTTTCTTTCTTTTTTCTCTCCTTCATTCCTTCTTTCCTTCTCTCTCACCCTCCCTCCTTTCCTTTTTTCCTTCCTTCCTTTCTTTCCTTTCTTCCTCCTTCCCTTTCTTTCCCTCCCTCCCTCCCTCCCTCCTCCCTTTCTTCCTTCCTTCCTTCCTTCCTTCCTTCCTTCCTTCCTTCCTTCCTTCCTTCCTTCCTTCTTTCTCTCTTTCTTTATTTTCTTTCTTTATCTTGCTCTGTTGCCCAGGCTAGAGTGCATTGGTGTGATCCTAGCTCACTGCAGCCTCAATCCTGTGATCTTCTTGCCTCAGCCTCCCTAGTATGATACTCTATTTCAAATAAGCTCCTAGGTTATGGCAATGCTGTGAGCTCAAGGACCACAGTGTGAAAGGCAAGGGTTTAGATTGTAGTTTATGTTTATCAGCCAAATTGTGGCTCCAGAGAGAAGCAATAAAGCCTAAATCAAAGTGGATATATTTGTAGAGTGAACAGCATGCATTTTAACAGAATCAATTGCCTGAATGGTAGAGTCTCATTGTAAAGTGGATTTAGATTTTTAAGTTATAATGAGAGAAATGCTTTAGTATAATTTTTAAAAGGGGGCACATCATTTGACCTACCATAAACCAAAGTAGTATTATAATGAGGCCCTTCAGAAATGAAACTTGTCAGATGGATTTAGGTTTCCATTGCAGAAACTCCTTTGGAATAAATGTCCCCAAATTTCTCTACTTGAGAAATATAAATTTCTTGGGATGCAAAAATTGTGAACAAAACTGTTGGAGGGAAGAGATGAAGAAGAGGAACATGTGCAGGATCATAATGCAGCTTTGAAGGCAAAAAACAAAAACAAAAACAAAAATCCAAACAAAAACACCCAAACCCAGTGGGACTGCCATTTAGATCTGAGCCAAAAGAATGGGCTTGAGATCAATCAGCCTGAAGCCTCTACATTCTGAAGGCAGGAGAACGGCTAAAGTTAGCATGTGCAGCTTCCTACACACTGGGAGTAATCTAAAACAGATATTCTCCAAAGGATACTTCCAGTGTTTCCTGGCCCTGGGCCAGACACTTCAAAGCTTCATTATCAGTGAATTGTGGTCCCTCTGTTAGGAAAGCTGGGTGATGCTCTGAGGAAATGTCAGCTCCTGATCACAGTTTCCTCTCATTTCAGTGCACAGAGGTCAGAGGCGCTGAGGGCTGCCCACACTCTGCCAGCCGGCCAAGTTGCCGACTCTAACTGTGCACGTTGGAGCTTGCCTTCTTAATTTCATCATGAGTTAAGATGCTATCTGAAGGGAAGCAGGGTTTGAAATGGTCTCTGCTAGCAGATGGATGACTTCTCTCCAGAAATCTGACTCTGCCAGAAACCGCTCACCTTTTCAATGAAAAGAACACAGACAGATTCCATGTCCTAGGCTTTTCAATTGTTCCTGGTTGAGTTGGTCAGTTGTCAGCGTTGGGCACCCCTGTGGTGCTAAGTATTATACACAAGGATTAGCAAGCTCACAAGACAGGGAATCTTAAGAAGTCTATTTTGAAAATATGAGGACGTCACATATTTCCATTTCTACAGTCTCTTGAGTTCTGAGCAGTAGTACTTGCACCAATAGAAGTGCACTGTGGAGCTGAACTTCCTCAAACCCAAGAACTCCTTCATTGGAGACCAAATGTCCTCTTTGTAGTTTAGTGACTGTATTAGTCTCTTTTCACATTGCTATAAAGAAAGACCTGAGATTGGCAATTTATAAAGAAAAGAGGTTTAATTGGCTCACAGTTCTTCAGGCAGTACAGGAAGCATAGAAGCATCTGTAGATCCCCAGCATCTGGGGAGGCGTCAGGAAACTTTTACTCATGGTGGAAGGCAAAGTGGGCCCAGGTATCTTACATGGCAGGAGCAGGAGGAAGAGAGAGAGCGGGGAGGTGCCACACAATTTTAAACGACCAGATTTCCTAAGAACTCACTCACTATAGTCAGGACAGTACTAAGACAGATGATTCGAAACCATTCATGAGAAATCTGCCTCCATGATCCAATCACCGCTCACCAGGCCCCACCTCCAACACTGGGGATTACAATTCAACATGAGATTTGGTGGGGATACAGATCCAAACCACATCAGTGACACAAACATGGCATAAAGATGAGACTACATTCACACAGCAAGCCAGGGTCCTAACTCTGGATCCAGGCATAAAGCTGTTCGCAAGAGTGTTAGGACTTCCGAGTTCGCTATCCTGACCTTAAGGAAGTATAGAGAGATAAACATGACTAATTGGGATCCAGGAAATTGTTCTGTTGTTTCTGGGACTAGTTGATTCTTGCTTTGGGGGACTTGGGTGGAGAGAGGAGAGGAATAAAAAGGCTGGGTGCACAAATGGTGAGAAAAATTGCTCCAAGCCAGGTAGTACCCACCTTTTTATTCTACATGGGCTTGAATGTCAGCTTTGAGTGAAAAGGAAATGTCCCTTAGTGGACTTAGTATTATGTGCCATTGTAAAAACTTTTGTCAGCATTTTGGGCTGTTTAGTAAGTGTGTCATCAGGGCCAGTTCTTGGAAAAATTGAGGTTTGTCCCTAATACCTATTTCTCATTCTCTTTCCGCAGTAAGATATTAGTTGATAAAGCTTAGGGTGTGATAGCTCTTGGGGATATTTGCATATTATTAGAACACTCTTTTGTTTTTCAAAATAAAAAAGTTTTATGAGGTATAACCAATATATAGTAAACTACACATATTAAAAGTATATACTTTGATAAGTTTTGACACATATATATATTTGTGAAACCATTATCACAATAAAAATTATGAGTGTATGCATCACCCCCAACATTTTCCTTATGCGCATTTGTAATGTCTTCCTCTCATCCCTGAATCTCCACTGATCTGTTTTTTTTTTTTTTTTTTGGTCACTATAGATAAGCTAGGATGTTCTAGAATTTTGTATAAATACAATATATTCTCTATTTTGGTCTGGCTTCTTTCACTGCAGATAATGATTATTAGATTTATTCACGTTGTGGCATGTATCAATACTTCTTTCATTTTTATTGTATTAATATGCCACAGTGTGTTTATCCATTCACCTGTTGATAGACATTTGGGCGGTTTCCAGGTTTTGGCCATGACATTCTGCTGTGAACATACTAGCTGCTATGAACATTCTTGTCCAACGTTTGTATGGACATATGGTTTCATTTCTCTGAGGTAAGTACCTAGAAGCGGAATGCCTGGATCATGTTGTAGAAGAATGCTTAACTTTTTTTTTTTTTTTTTTTTTTTTGAGTCGGAGTCTTGCTCTGTCGCCCAGGCTGGAGTGCAGTGGCGCGATCTCGGCTCACTGCAAGCTCCGCCTCCCGGGTTCACACCATTCTCCTGCCTCAGCCTCCCGAATAGCTGGGAGTACAGGTACCTGCCACCACGCCTGGCTAATTTTTTTGTATTTTCAGTAGAGACGGGGTTTCACCGTGTTAGCCAGGATGGTCTCAATCTCCTGATCTCGTGATCCGCCCGCCTTGGCCTTCCAAAGTGCTGGGTTTACAGGCGTGAGCCACCGCGCCCGGCCGAAGAATGCTTAACTTTTTAAAAATATTGCCAAACTATTTTCCAATGTACTGGTACTATTTTATAGCATATTCCTACCAGTTCCTTCATATCCTCACCAACCCTTGGTATAGTCAGTCTTTTTAAATTGATCCACTTTAATACGCATGTAGTGATATCTTATTGTGGTTTTAACTTATGTTTACTTAATGACTAACGATGCTGAGCATCTTCATGTACTTATTTGGCATCTATATTCCTTTATTGGTGAAGTGTCTGTTCAAATAGTTTGTCCATTAAAAAATGTGGGTGTTTGCTTTCTTCCTATTAAGAGTTCTTTATATATTGTGGATACAAGTACTTTATCAGGCATATGATTTGCAAATATTTCTCTACGACTATGGCTTGTTTATTCATTCTCTAACTAATGTCTTTTAAAAAGCAGAAGTTTTAAATTTTGATAAAATTCTAATTATCACTTACTTTTTCTTTCATGGATTGTGCTTTTGGTGTTGTATTTAAGAAATTTTTGCCTAACCTGAGGTCAAAAAGATTTTCTTCCATGCTTTTTTCTACATGTTTTGTAGTTTTAGGGTTAACATTTCAGTCTATGATTCATTTGAGTTACTTTTGTATATGT
The DNA here is from genome assembly GCF_000001405.40 of Homo sapiens. Taxonomy (NCBI): domain Eukaryota; kingdom Metazoa; phylum Chordata; class Mammalia; order Primates; family Hominidae; genus Homo; species Homo sapiens. Next base: position 219,755,044 of record NC_000001.11, on the reverse strand, counting down.
TGCAAGATACGGATCAAAGTTTATTTTTTTTGCTTGTAAACACCCAAGTGTTCCAGCACCACTTGTTGAAAATAATATTCTTTGTCCACTGAATTGTTTTTGCATTTTTGCCAAAATCAGCTGTATATGTATGTGAGGCATGTATGGACATTGTACGTGTTCCATTGATGCCTATTTCTGTTGAAGTCAATACCATACTGTCTTGATCACCTTAGCTCTGATGAGGCTTGAAATCAGATAGTGTTAGTCCTCCAACTTTATTCCTTTTCAAAGCTGTTCTGGCTATTCTAGGTCCTTGCGTTTCCAGATAAATTTTAGAGTCAGATTGTCAGTTCCTACAAAAAGAGCCTGCTTGGATTTTGATTTGGATTGCACTGAATCTACAGACTGGGGAGAATTGATATCTTAAGAATATTGAGTCTTCCAACCCATGGACATATTATATGTTACCATTTATTTAAATTTGGTTTATTTTTGAAAACACTGCAGAAATGTCGTGTTTTGTAGATTTCAGGTATTGCACATGTTTTGTGAGATTTACTTCTAAGTATTTCATATTTTTGTTGCTATTGTAAAGAGTGTTTAAAAACATTTAATTTTGAATTTTTCTTGTTAGTATAATAGAAAAACAGTTGACTTTTATACATTGATCTTGTATTCTCCAACCTTGCCAAGCTCACTCTCTACTAGCTCTTTTTTGTTGATCTCATTGGATTTTCTACATAAACAATCATGCTGTTAGAACGTTCTTTAAGACTAAAAAGACTTCAAGACCAATACTATTTTAAAAGCAGAATTTTTTTATATGCATATGTAATCTTAATGAAAGCAGCTCACGGAGAAAGGTCAGTACTTTAACAATTCATTTCTGACGATGGTTCTTTAGAGCACCAGAAGGTGATGAGTGACACAAAAGTTTCCTTGGCAGACACGTGGATCCTATATCTTTGGTTTCTCAGCACAACAGTGGACTGTCTCACTTTCACTTGCTCCAGCCCAGTCTGGTGCTGGGCTGTAAATTCCATTTTATAGTCATATTTTATGTGCACTTAGAATACCTCTACAAACCATACAGGAAAAACCTATATACATGGCTAGGTGCTAGCACACATTTCAAATTAATTATGGCTTTCAATTCATTGATAGTGAGTTATTACTTTTTAAAACATTTTAAGTTGCCTGTTTTATCAAAGGGGAGATAAAATTGAAAACAAAAGAAAAAAAACCAGCAACAGTACATTTGCATCTTTATTTATCCTTTCTTTGCAGTCCTGCAGTTTTTTCTTTTTTTAAAATAAAAGTTCACTTTTTTTTTTCTCCTTTGGGAAAGGATTGCAGAGGTAGCTAAACCACATGGTGAAAACTCATGTGAAGACTGAGCTTTTGATGTGTTTATTTTTGCTGGTTCAGGGAGGCATGGTAGTTGACAGTGGAATTGCTTGCCTCCCAGATGGTGCAGGCAGAAGCGTTACTGAACGTGCATGCCCTCACCTCGTTCTCTCACACTTACACATATGCACTGCCTTGTGTTACCTGCAGAACCTCTCTGACCTGCACATATACTCCACATTCCTCATGCCACTCTCCTTTCCCTCATCCTCCCTGGCTCAATGTATCTTGATGCACTTGTTGATAATACTGCAGATTGTCAGCATTGCTCATGTGTATGGTTCTGGAAGAAAACGCAAGATTAGAGGCCGGGCATGGTGGCTCACGCCTGTAATCCCAGCATTTTGGAAGGCCAAGGCAGGCAGATCATGAGGTCAGGAGATTGAGACCCTCTTGGACAACATGGTGAAACCCTGTCTCTACTAAGAATATAAAAATTAACTGGGTGTGGTGACACGTGCCTGTAATCAATCCCATTACTTGGGAGGCTGAGGCAGGAGAATTGCCTGAGCCAGGGAATCAGAGGTTGCAGTGAGCCGGGATCACACCACTGCACTCCAGTCTGGTGACAGAATGAGACTCCGTCCAAAAAAAAAAGGGAGATTAGAAAACCCCTAACTCCTATACATGTGTTCATGACAACACTTTAGCTTTAGTGCCCACTTTCTCCAAGACAATGGAAACATGAAGGAAGGATATTGAGTAGTTAAGTAGAGAACTAATGACCATCCATTGAGCATATTATTTGTGAGGCAAGGGTAGGGGGAGTGACAGGCAGAACAAGAAGGTCTCTCCTAGCATTCACTTAGTCAGCAAATATTTTTGAGTGCCAACTATGTGCTAGCCTTTATCTTAAGTGCTTCGCATATTTAACCAAAGATAGGGGAGGGTGGTGACAGAGAATAAATAATAAGTGTAATAAATAAGCAAATTATGTAGTACATTAGGTGAAAATTATATGGAGAAGAGAAAGAGCAAGGCTGGCTCTATTGCTTTTCTCCAAATAATTGGACACAAAATGGAATCCAGAGAGGAATCTGGAGAGGAGTGAAAAATGATTATAATTTTGAATAAGGATTGCAGAATGATATTTAAGCTTGAAGGAGGTAAGAGAGTCAGCCATACAGAAGTGCCATTTTACCCACTGTGACTGGTTTAAATGGGACCATGCCTGGCATGTTTGAAAAATAGCAAGTGGCCAGCACAATGAAACTGAGACCTGGTCCAGTCCATGTCAGCCTCTGGTAGCTCTGAATATGAGAAGAAACCTAGCTGGAGACAGGAGGATGGGTTAGCTGCTTTCTTTAGGCCCCTCTTAGTCTCCAGTATTGTGGTTTTTGACAGCTTCTGCCAGGAGGGCACCAGCTGGTGTTTGGTCACACTCTATGCTGCCTTCCAATCTCTAGCTATTTCATTAAAAAAATTTGGGTAAGAGTGAACAATAATAGAAGCTTCAGATGTGAAAATAAGGTTGAGTTTTGTTAGAAAGGTATTTGGGGCTGTGTTGGATGGGGTGGTGTGGGCAGTGTGTGTGTGTGTGTGTGTGTGTCTGTGTTTGTGTGTGTGTGTGTGTGTAGTTACTGTTGCCAGACAATGCTTCTGAATATTCTCAATAATGACAAAATCTTGGCCTTTTGTCAAGATCCAAGTCTGGTGTATATGATGGGTGGGAAAAATAAACTGTAATGAAGCTGACAACCTTGGGTGAGCCATAACTTTGATCTGAAGGCAATTTGCAAAGTGAAGTTCCAAAATGATTTTAGCACCAGCAGGACTTTTTGGATGTGTGTGTGGTTGCCTACGGGCTACTTTAAAAGGAATACTCTTAGGAAAACAAGCTTGATCCTTAAGGAAAGAAGATGACCTTAAAAAAAAAAGAAAACATAAGAGGCAGGACCATTTGTTCTCCAAACCTGGAGTAACTACAGCATTCTGTTTTCCTAAAATGTGGAGGTGTTGGAGAAGGTGTTGAGGTGTTGAAGGTCAGATTGCTTCTGCCTCACGTCATCTGCAGGGTGAGGAACAATGCCTCCATTGTTGTATGTGTGTATTTCTCATTATTAGAATGCTATGACTGTCTTATATTTTTATGAAAATTTGGTGAATCTGTAAAGGAAGTGTGGTTGTATTCTCACAGAGGGTGAGGACTTTTCTGGTATGAGGAAGAGTCATGGTTCGGGTCGGAAAATGGCACGAGGAAAGAGTTTATGAAATGACTTCAGGTGAGAATCTGTTCTATTCATCTAATGCTTGGTCTTAAGCATGGATCAACATGTTGAGATGTTTCCAAGTGGGCCACCAAGTGGTGGGAGTTAACACAGTGGCCAGAATGTAGAGGTGAGTAGTTGGGGGCAGGTGGGCATTGGGGTGGGGGAGCTGTCCAGCTGTACCAGTCCTGTGGGGCTTAAGACAAAGCGTTCAGTAAGACAGAGTCTGTGAACCTTGGGAGCAAATAAACCAAGGTAAGATCAAAACCTAGATTCTTTGTGTTTCTTCTTTTCTGTAGCCTCTCTTAGCATTTAATGAAAAGATTTTGAAATTTTGAGCTATTCTAAGGGGAACCAACAGTGCTGAAAGGGAAGCAACTTATCACAAGGGCCAGTAAAGTGGTGGTAGCAGGGATTAAAATTACAGGGCTCTGGCTGGGTGTGGTGGCTCAGGCATGTAATCCCAGCACTTTGGAAGGCCAAGGCAGATGGATTGCTTGAGTTCAGGAGTTCGAGACCAGCCTGGGCACCATGGTGAAACCCTGTCTGTACTAAAAATAAAAAAAATTAGCCAGGTATGGTGGTGCACACCTGTAGTCCCAGCTACTTGAGTGGCTGAGGTGGGAAAATCACCTGAGCCTGGGAGGTCAAGGTTGCAGTGAGCCAACATGGTGCCACTGCACTGCAGCCTAGGTGACACGATGAGGTCCTGTCTAAAAAAATTAAAAATTAGAGAGCTCTAAAGGAAAGGGCAAAGTCCAAGATGGCAAATCAAGGAAACATGTCCATTCACCTCTTTTCATCTGGTGATTTGCTTCTTCAAGCTAAAAATCTCAAGTTGCAGTTCTGGCATTAGTTTCTTTAGGAAAACTGAGATTGCTTTACAAGGTCTCACATCTTCAGTTGAAAGTCAGATCAGTTTCCATATCCAGAAAAGTAGCTTCCTCTAATCTGCTGTTTTGCTTTCTGCAGTTTCAGTTACCTGCAGTCAATGGTGGTCAGAAAATGGAAAATTCCAGAAATAAACAATTCATGTGTTTAAAATTATGTGCCGTTTGAGTAGCATGATGAAATGTAGTGCCATCCTACTCTGCCTTCCCCAGGGAATCTTCCCTTTGTACAGCATCACCATGCTCTAAGATCCAAGTTAAGAATGAGTCCATAGGCCGGGCGCGGTGGCTCACGCCTGTAATCCCAGCACTTTGGGAGGCCGAGGCGGGTGGATCATGAGGTCAGGAGATCGAGACCATCCTGGCTAACAAGGTGAAACCCCGTCTCTACTAAAAATACAAAAAAATTAGCCGGGCGCGGTGGCGGGCGCCTGTAGTCCCAGCTACTCGGGAGGCTGAGGCAGGAGAATGGCGTGAACCCGGGAAGCGGAGCTTGCAGTGAGCCGAGATTGCGCCACTGCGCTCCAGCCAGGGAGACAGAGCGAGACTCCGTCTCAAAAAAAAAAAAAAAAAAAAAAAGAATGAGTCCATAAAATTGTGAAGAAGGGAAAAGAAATTCTTTCCGGTTTTGCTGTCACACCTCAGACTGCAAGTTACAACCACGGTGTGTGATGAGAGTTAAGATGAAGAAGGCATTAAATTTGTGTGTGGAAGACACAAATAGAAATGCATTCTGGTTGATAGCAATCAGATTTGGTACTATCCATGGTTTCAGACATCCACTGGGAGTGTTGGAACATATCCTCCTGGAGAAGGGAGCAACTGCTGTTCTTAACCGGGTGAATCTCACACCCAGAGCTTGCTATTTGCATATAGTTCTCTATCACTGATGCATTTATTAACAAGATATACCATCAAGAGGGTTTTTGATTAATTGTTTGGCAGTCTCAGTGTGTCCTGGCTCACAAGAGCTAATCACGTGCATTTTTCCCAACACCACATGGTAGACTGTGATTGCCTGTGTAAGGAGTATGACACCACAGAAACTGGCAAACTGTACAAATCAGGGTTTTCCCACCCTCAAAATCTGTATGTTAAACATTTACCAGCACAACATTTGTCCTAGTGCTTTTTCCTCTTTTAATAGAAGATAAAATATGAAATAAAAATATTTTTTTACAGGTCCACAAGGGACAAAAAATAAAGCTACCAAAAGTTTTGGTTATTTGGATCGTTGTTCAGTTTTACTCACAAAACAAGAGAGGCATTCGGTCACAGACATTAAGAGCCATTTCAGAATTTTATGGGTATTTTTGTCTCATATTTCTTTGGGTAGTGTCATGCAAGATTTGGAGTATTTTTTTTGAAGTTAGAAAACCCTGGACTTGGATCTTAACCTACTGTCTTTAAGACGAATGACAATAGAAAAGCTATTTAAATTCTCCAAGGTTTAAATTTTCTTATCTGTGACGTTAGAATGAAATATTTTACATGTGGGGGAGTTTTGTAATTTATAGAGCTCTAACACTGTAATCTATGATTACACAAACACCTTCAGTAGGTAATAGTACTGTTATTCAATTTATACTATAAAAGTATTAAGGACTGCCTTACTTTTTCCTACAATATACAGATGTGTTTTTTCTTTTTCTTTTTTTTTTTTTTTACAGCTATTATGGTACTGTACAATAGCCAAACATTTGACTGGCCAAGCCCTTCCCTTTTTGAATGGTGGGAGAGGAGTTCTTTCAAGTCCCAGTGAATAATTATTTAGCATTAACGTCTGAATCATGGGAACAGTGCCTGCTTATCCCACTGCTGATTGTCACCCTGTGAAATGGAGGATAATAAAATATAAATACACTTTACAGGACAGTAGAAACAAAGAAGGGAAGCTTTTCCATATTCACTTCCCTCTTTCCATACCCAGGCCTCTTCTCAGACTGAACTTCCTTCTTCAACCTTTTTGTAGTATCAGTTGCTGATAATGACCTAAAAACAGAAGTACACTTTAGTGAGGATGGCTGCTATTGATCAAAGTTGTATCACCCAGACCAACAGTTAAAAGATTTCTGACTTCCTCCCTTATCTATGGAACTTCTCTTTGTTCTTCGTCACCCCCATCCCTCTTCAGCTCTAAGTACATACTTACGGTAGTCATTCCATTTTGTCCTCTCTGTTCTCTGGCTTCGGAGGTTGTTGATCCATATATTATGTTCTCATTCTAAACATCACAGTGTTCACTTTTCTTTGCATTCACTTTGTATTTAGTGTGGGCAATAGATTTTGCTGTAGCCTTCTAATTATTTCATTTGTGTTTATTTTGCATTGAAAACTGTCTGCAAGCTCTGCAATATCTTCTCCTATATAACCTTTCCAAGTGTTAATTTCCTCATTTGCAAACAGAAAAAAAAAGATACTAATACTTTTCTCTTAGAATTGTGTGGATTAAATGAGATGATGTATGAGTATGTAAGAACCCTTAACATGGTGTCCAGCATTTTGTAGGTGTTCAACAAATATTAGCTATTTCCTCTTCTTTTGCTGTTCTCCTTCATGCCTAAGACAAAATTTATCTACAAGTAAGCATTCAGAAAATTGTTATGGGGTACATAATTATAACACCCATATGGATAGTACCTATTCTTCCCCAGTCTTGTGGTTTCTTTTTCTATTGAGGGATTTCTGTTAGTAGAACAACACCCTGGTTTCGTCTCCCTTGGGAAGGAGTGATATATTGGATAAGTTCGAGATGAAGAACTTTAGAATGGGGAAGAAAAGAAGCTTGTGATGAAGAACAGAATGAGGAAATAGCTCAGCCCCTTTTTGCTCTGTGTGTGTGTGTGTGTGTGTGTGTGTGTGTGTGTGTGCATGTGTAGCAGGGAGACATGGAAGATAAAAGGAGATTTGACTGCTTATAAGCACAGTCTGACCTGCTCCTTTATGCTGAAAGTTTTACAAGGGCAAGCTCCCACACGAGGGGGTCTTTGTTTTTTCAGCCTTATACGTGCATACTTCTGTGATTCAGTAATAAAGGGTTCATTGTTGCTGCACATGGAAGCCACATTCTTCAATATGAGATTGATCAAAAGTTAAAGTGGTATTTTTATCTACATATACTACTCTTTTGTGCCTCTCAATTGGATCTGAAATTGGGTATGAAAAATAGCTTTTTAAAAAAAAAAAAAAAAAAAACTCTTTTTTTTTTTTTTTTTTTTTTGAGACAGAATCTTGCCTTGTCACCCAGGCTGGAGTGCAGTGGCATGATCTCACCTTACTGCAACCTCTGCCTTCTGTGTTCAAGCGATTCTCCTGCCTCAGCCTCTCAAATAGTTGGGATTACAGGTGCCCACCACCATGCCCAGCTAATTTTTTGTATCTTTAGTAGAGATAGGGTTTCACCATGTTGGCCAGGCTGGTCTTGAACTCCTGACCTTGTGATCTGCCCGCCTTGGCCTCCCTAAGTTTTGGGATTACAGGCGTGAGCCATAGCGCCTGGCCAAGTCTTTCTAATATCTCTAACAATCTATTCTTCCAGTTTGTGTAATACAAAATTATATCAGTCCCACAGCATCCTGTTTCTCTTATCCTACTTTAAAAAGTCTCTTTCATATGAATTCGCAGGTCCAGTGGAATTCCAGGACCAGTGGAAGCCATCATTAATTTTTTTTTTTTTGTAAATTATCCAAAGCGCTCTTTATTGCTTTGACTTCTCGATGGATCCTTTTCATTTGGTGTCTTTCTGAAAATAATAACTTGTTTTTGAGGTTTTGCTATTTTTGGTGCACTTCTGTTATATTGACCTGTTAGAATCACAATTGCTGTATTTTTCATCTTAATATTTATTTTATTTAAAAATTCTTTATGTAAAAATTCTCATCTTTATCTTCTTCAGAGGACAAGATTTCACTATGGAACATGGTTAGAGGCCAAAATTGCTAACCTCTGAGTGACTATAAAATACTTGAGCAGATTCTTTTATCATTTTCCTCCAATTCTGACTTGGAACCTGTGTGTAGGGTCACAGAGAGGAGGGAATGGGAAGGAGGTGATGATTAAAGAACAGGCAGAAAAGATGGGCTATAGGCTGCCAAATAGGTTTATGACGGGGATTGGTAGAGAAGTGTTCTCTGTGCTAAGATGCTTTTTCAGAGCCCATTGAGCCCTGGGACAATTGATGATGTTCATGTGACACTAGTGGGGAATGAGTCAACATCAGTTGTCGGAAGGAGGGAGTTATCAAGCACACAGATGTGTCAGTTCTGAGAGACAGACTGCATTCTGTGGCATTTTAATGGAGAGTAAGATTGCCAATGAGCCACCAACTACAGAGCTCTATGTTAAGCTAAAGGAGAAACACCAGGGATTTCACCCTCTTCAGAGTGCTGGTGAGTTTTGTTTGAGAGCACTTCTCAGAACTGAGTTTGGGAAAATTTATCATTGACTCCAGAACAGCTGGAGTGGTTTGTATTGGGGGCTACTTTTTCTTTCAGAACCATTGTTCTGTCCATTGTTCATAGGATCCAACCACTGGGATAATAAGAGGTCAAAAGAATGCCAATTACAGGAACTCTTGGCCTATCCTACCTATATAGTGAGTTATCAGACTTTCACTTCACCAACCCTGCCCATAAAAAAACCAACAGAAGTGTATTCTCAGGGTCGTATTCATTTGTTAGCTAATTAACAATTTATTCACTGAACTCATTTTGGACCCTTGGCATTGGGCCTGATGATGGAAATATAACAAATCCATAAGCTGTGGCTCCTGGTCTGCTTTTGAGGGAACTCTGAGGTTTCAGGGGAGGCAGAAATCTGAACAGCTAAGCCACAAGCTCATACGAATCAAGAACTAAAGGTTGTGGAAGCACAGAGGAGAGGCCAGTCTCTTACACAGCATGAAGACATAGAGGGTGCAGCTTTTCCAGGGGAAGGAGTGACCAGCAATGTATACCATTTCTAAAACGTGCTGATGCGTTGAGTATCATTGAAATTTGCACCACCTGTTTCATTGAGTTTTCTCACGCTGAGGGAACTTCATGGAACACATGGGTGTCAAGACAGTCAGTTGTGAGCAGAAATGATTTTAATATCTTACTAATCATGATAACATCTAAATAAGTGTGTCATAAGAAGATAGATGCCTGTGAAGGAATTGCCTGAAAAAAAAAGTGTGGTTGAACCAGATTATTGCAGTTGGCTGAAGGAATTTCATTTTTCAAACATATTTGTAAACCATGCAGAAGCTTATCTGGGTGACCTTCTGGCAAGTAGCAAAGGGTGATGCTACCTCGGTGATGTCTGGGAGTGGTGAGGCTTGAGTTGTTTAGGGCCAGGAGGAGAAATAGAAGATATTTATTCTCCAGACACTTCTTATCAGATGCAGAGTTGGAAGTATCCTGATAAATCTGGCACTAGTTAAACATCCGCTGAATTATACACTCCCATGGGAAAAACCTACCCTTGAGAACTTGGTCTTTTTATTTGCTTTGAGAACCTCAGTTGCTAAACTATACAATTCCTGGAAGCATCTTGACAGCATGAATTGATTATGAAGACAGTGTTAGTAGCACTAAGGTTTCAGTGCATTAGGTCATTAGAGTTCTTCATCGTGAAAAGAATAGTTGGGACATTTGCTGAAAGGATGATGACATGAAAGAAACACCATTTCCCACCAAATCTACAAAGGTTACCATGGCATTACCTGCAAGCAGCTTGCACAATATAGCAGACTTTGGGCAGATCTTATTGTAGTCAGTGTTTCCAGAAGTAGCCACTGAGAATGGACATGACCTTTCAAAATGCTGCTTTATTTTTTGTGATTGTGAAAATGGCAAGTGGCTGGGCATGGTGACAAACACACATAATCACAGCATTTTGGGAGGCTGAGGCAGGAGGATCACTCAAGGCCAGGAGTTTGACACCAGCCTGGCAACATAGTGAGACATCATTTCTACAAAAAAAGAAAAAAACATTTAAACATTAGCTGGGTATGGTGGGATGCACCTGTAGTCCTAGCTACTTGGGAGGTGGAGGTGGGAGGATAGCTTGAGCCCAGGAGTCTGGGGCTGCAGTGAGCCATCATGGTGCCAGTGCACTCCAGCCTGGGTGATGGAGAGAGACTTTGTCTCTATTAAAAAAAAAAAAAAAAAAAAAAGAAAGAAAGAAAAGAAAAAGAAAAAGAAAGGTAAATTATTATAAACATGGAGGCCAGGGCATGGTTCTGTAATCAAAGTATTGAGTAGAAGGAAGAAAAACAATTTTACTAACCATATATATATGTATGAAATCATTTAATCCTCATAATATGAAATCATTTAATATGAAATCATTTAATCCTCACAATAACCAGTTAGACATCATTGCTCTCATTTTACTGAGAAGGAGGCTGAGGCGCCAAAAAATTAATGAATTGAGTCAGGGCAGAAAGTGGAAAAGACACTGGACCAGATCTTAGAACCTAATACTTATTTCTTTGCAATGTGATATTGTGTAAGTTATTTAGCCTGTAACCTCTGTGTCTAATGTCTCAGTTTAATGATTGAAAAGATAATAATTCCAACAATAATATATTAGTGTACTACTTTATACTTTATGAATGTTTTTCATATTTATTATCTCATTTGTTCTTCACCTAATGCCTGTGTAGTAGCTGGCATAGTTGACACAAAATAGTGGAAAGTGCTAGAGTCCTGGGTTCAAATCCTGGCTCTGCCTTCAGTCTGCCCTTTCGAGATTCAATCTCATTTTCACTGCAGTCGAGATAATAATGCCTATTTGCAGCGCTGTTGTGAGATCTGAAAGAGATAGATGCGGGTAAGCATGTTTAACAAATGGTAGCTCCTATTAAGGGCCCATTTGAGGGATGAGAAGAATAATACTTAGATACTGCATGAGTTCCTCAAAGTTGCACACAACATTCTAGGCAGTGAGGTAAGGAGTTAGAAGCATAAGCTTTGGAGTTAGGTGGACTTGGGATTTAATTCTAGCTCCATTTCTTCTTCTTCTTCTTCTTTTTTTTTTTTTTTTTTTGAGACGGAGTCTTGCTCATCGCCCAGGCTGGAGTGCAGTGGCGCGATCTCGGGTCACTGCAAGCTCCGCCTCCTGGGTTCACGTCATTCTCCTGCCTCAGCCTCCCGAGTAGCTGGGACTACAGGTGCCCGCCACCATGCCTGGCTAATTTTTTGTATTTTTAGTAGAGACAGGGTTTCACCGTGTTAGCCAGGATGGTCTCGATCTCTTGTCCTCGTGATCCGCCCGCTTTGGCCTCCCAAAGTGCTGGGATGACAGGCGTGAACCACCGCATCCGGCCCCTCTAGCTCCATTTCTTATAAGCTGTGTGATCTTGGGCAAGTTATTCAATCTGTCTGAAATTTAGTTTCCGCATATGTAAAATTATCTGTAAAATAATCATAGCTTCTTAAGTGGGTGGGTGATGGAGATGATAAAATAAAAAGCACCTAGCTAAATGCTGGTCTCTTTCCTTCTTTACGCTCCCTCCTTTCCTTTCTTCCTTCTGTCCTTTCATTTGTAATCTGGTACATGCCCAATACATGTTAGAAGATCAAATATAATCTTTTTTAGAGGAACCAGCTTGATGTTGTAAAAAGCTCACAGGCTTTGAAGTTGAATGTGTAATGGTTGAGGTTGAGGAGTCCTGAACTGACCCCTCTAGCTCAGTGATTTTGTGCGAGTCACCTCACCGTCCTTTAAACCGACTCACCTGTTAATGATCCTTACCTTAAAGGGCCACTGTAAAGAGTGCAGGAGGGAGATGATTTGGATGGTGCTTTGTAGTGTCATAGAGCTAGAGAAGTGTTATACTTATGAATATGGAATTTTGGGCATTAGGCAATAAATTAGAAGATGTTTTTGTGAGTGAGGGCAGTGGGCCTAGATACCAAAGTTTTTAGAACAAAAGGAAAGTCCTGTCTCAGGCAGAGCTGAGACAGGTGGTTCAACTCTCACCATGTTGCTGTCATTGCTCATCTCATTAGCCCAGTCCTTCTCTGTGCCTGGTACTGCCCAGACTTACCAAAAGGAATCTGTAAGTCCATATGCATATGTATATTCCCAACCAATGAATTTAAAAAGTAGATTTTCTATCATTATTCTTACCAAAGTTTTCGTTGTTAAAAAGAAGCCTAATGGCAGCGAAAGCTAGAAGCTACTTCACTTGAGTGGGGCAATTCTCTGGTGGCAAGGACTGGGTCTTACTTATCTTTGTATCCTAGTGCCTAGCACAGTATGTTATGAACTTAGTAGATATTCAAGAAATAGTGTGAATAAGTGAATGAATAAATGTGTTTTTTTTCATTGACTTAGCACTATGCCCAGTTCCTCCCTTTGGAAGCCTACAGAGTCCAGGTGTGGCCAACTTGACCTCTGGCTTCCTTTGCCTTTTCATGTGAGTTGATCTGCCTCTGGGCTTACAGAGCTTTTGTTTGAAGAGTATCCTGCTCCCTTGGAGTTGTTTGTCTGATAGACTTTTCTCCTCACAGGATGATGATATCACTTGAGAAATTCAGCTCTTAAAAATTCCATCTCGTCTAAACTAGGAAACAAGCTCATCTCAGTCAAGCTGTATACCTGTTATTATATCTCAATAATATCCTGCCCTACTATCCCTTTTGTCTTTAGTGTTAAGAGAAAGAAGAAAAGCAACAACCCAAAATGACCTACATGAAACATCTCAAAAGTTTTCAGCACTTAGTTATTATCACCTCTCATGGGAAAAAGCCTTAGGCAAAATGTGGGAAAATGGTCCCTTAAGTGGAAAAAATGAAGAAAGGGAAAAAAATGAGATCAGTGAAAATAAATACAGTACAAAGCTCCAAGTGATTCAGTTTTGTTAAAAGTAAAGTGATGATAGGTAGAGGGAGTGCTCTGATTGTGAGTTATTTTCTAAAACCCCAAACAAGGGATTTGGAAAGCTGAAAGGCAAATCTGTCTCTTAAACTTCCCCAGAGAGATCTTTCAGGGAGAGCTAATATCTGTAGCTATTTTGGGAAGGTCACCTATTAAACAAGAACCTTGTGTGCTGAATTCATTTGGGGCTAGCACTCAAGGTCGTGGACATCCATGAATCAAAATGTTCCCGAATGTGGATTGTCTGCAGCCAGTTGGAATCTGGTGGAATTTCTTCAGGAACTGGAACACCATCCTTATCCCTACAGCCTCCACTGATGTCACAAAACTCTACAAAGGAGCCCTCCAATGGATCTCAAATCTTTCCATACATTTGAATGGCAGATCCATTTTATTCCAAGGAATGTTCTCAGGAGCAGAGATGTGTGGCCCAGAGGCTCACATATTCTTTTCTGGTTGGTGGTTGTGAAATGCACGGTGTGGTGGTAAAGGTCCAGGAGCCTGGCATTTCTTGAATTTGGACTTGGGCCAGATGGTACGTGACCCAGTGTTCTGGGGGCAGAATACTGGAACTTTGGTGGCATATAGCAGGTTAAAACATAGCTTGAGAATCAGATATTTCTCTCTCAGTTGCCTACTGATTAAGTGGCAGAGGACAAGTTAAGTATTTTGGAACTTACCGCCATGTTTAAATAAGATGAGTATAATATTTAGATCACGAGATTATGTGATGATTAAATTACGCAGGCAAAAAGTGTCCTGAACTGAACTTGATCAGAGTAAGTAGTAAATGTTGCTATTGTTATTATTCTCCAGCTAGAGAGCTGGGAAGAGAAACAGGATCACATATAGGATGTGAGCAAGAGGATGTTCTTCTATTGCTTTTGTATTTTCTTTTTATGAGGAATCACTGAATTTGCGTTGTTGAAACATTGTCACAAATGGAGTTTGTAACATTATTACAAATAGAATAGCATTTTGTTACTCCTTGAAACATTGATGCAAATGGATTTAGGTTCCAAGGCAAACCCAGAATGTTGCTGAAATAATGTGCTTTAGCAACAAGATTTTGCATTTTCTCTTTCTTCTCGTTGCCAGTGTAAGTGATTTAATTTGTGTGAGCTGCTTTAGGAGATTTATCATACTGTTTTTATGGGTAAATCCATTCCCAGCTACAGACAACTGGAATATAACTTATTTGTGTGCTGGAGGCTTCCAGTGCTGTTTTAGGAGGATTTTAATTGTGTTGGAAATCAGTACTCATGACTCCTGGTGAATATTTTTATTTTTTTAATCCTGCAGGAAATTTCTAGTGCTTTGGCTAAGCGGCTGGGAGGGAATCTCAGCCTTTGGCCACAGCTACCTTTCCCTTTTCTTCTCTGTCTCCTTTTCCCTTTGGTTCCTCTCCCAGGATCTTGGGTATTTCTCTGGGCAAATGAGCCTGCTTGAATGACTTCTATGTGGGGCTACTGTTTTGATGCTGCCTTTAAAAATATGTCAATTCAATAATTTTACTAAAGAAATATTTTTATAGTAAGCAGTTGGTTACTTAAGGTTAAAGTTATTTAACCAGTAACCTTAATCTAATTCATAGAGTAAGCCTATAACATTTCCCATTTCCACGACATCCTGTTTTCTCCTCATCCCTACCAGTAACAGGTATTATTGTTATTTTTAATTTTTTGTCAGTCTGTTAAATTTTAAGTGTTATTTTCTTATACTTCCTAATAAATTTATACCTATTTTCACATGTTTGATGGCTATTTAGAACTGTTCTTCTCTGGATTGTCTATATATCCTTTGCCTGTTTTCTATTAGTTTGTCTTCCTGACAATTTGGAAGAACTTTTTAAAAATAAATAAACTGTGGACATTAGCCTGAATGTGTTCTGTTTGGTGAACAAATAGTCTCTCTCTCTCTCTCTGAGTTTCCAGTCTTGTTAAAATGGCATCATCCAGCCTTATGCTGATTTAGATGACTTAGAATGGTTTTTCTTGCAAGATTGTGTTTTGCACATATGTTTAAGCCATTAATCCATATGAAATTCAGTTTTGTATGTTGTATAGAAGACCACTTTTATTTTCTTCTGGACACGTGGCCACTTATGACAGCAGCATTCATTAAATAATCCACATCTTCCATGCCTTCATTCTATTTTCACCTCTTATTTGTACTGGGATCTATTTCTGTATTTACTATTCTGTTGTTGTGATTAGCGTGTCTATTTCTACCATTATTAAATTGATCTGATTATATTGGTTTTGTAGTGTGCTCTGTGTCTTGTTTTTCCTTCTTTTTCATGTTCATTTTGGTTCTTCTTAGGCATTTATAAATCTATATAAACTTTAATAGGTATCTAATTACAAAATAACCCCATCTGTTGAGATTCAAATTGGAATTGCATTACATTATATATTCATTTGGGGGAGATTAATTTTTAATAACAGTAAGTATTTTTACTCAAGAACCAATGTAAGGAGAAATACAAATTAAAAGTAAGAAGCTTACTTCTCTCTGTAAAAATAAGGGAAGAAACTTCTTCCCCATATTCCTTTTCTTTCAGATTTTCTTTATGAAATTCTCTTTTCAAAAGACAGTTAGATATATGAGTCTGGAATTCAAGTGAGAAGTCTGGGCTAGAGCTATAAAACTGGGAGTCATTGGCATATGCTATTTAAAGCCATAATATTGTTTGAGATCACTAATCAAGTGCAGATGAAGGAAAAAAGGGACCAATATTAAGATATTGGGGAATGACAAAGAATGGCTAGATTACTGAGGAAAATTAGGTGATTAGAATTTCTTGGAACTAAGTGAAGAAAGTATGTATTTCAAAGAGGAGGGAATGATCAGCCATGCCAAAATGCTGCTTACAGGCAAAGTAAGTGGATGTTGGATTTAGGAACATGAAAGTCATTAGTGATCTTGACAAGAGGTCACCAGTGGAGGAGAGTGTTAGAGGTGAAAGCTTGATTAGGGTATGTTTAATGCAGACTTCGAGGATGACAATTAAATGTAATGTATGGTCCTCAATTGAATCCTGGATTAAAATGCCACCATCACTGTCACCATCACAGATACTATCATCATTATCACCATCACTGACAATAATAAAAAAATCTGTAAAGAACATTATTGGGACAAATAGAGAAATTTAAATAGGGACTATTAAATAATATTGTAGCAATGTTAAATTTTCTGATAGTGAGGACTGTATTGCAGTCCTATAGGAAAATATTTGTAGGATATACATACTTAAGCACTTAAGGAATGACATAATGTTTGTAATTGACTCTGAAATGGTTCCTCCAAAAGAATGTGTATGTGTGTGCATATACTTCACACTTAAATACATACATATATGTGTATATAAAACATGTATTTGTATATGAAGACTAGAGAGATATCATGGAAATGTGGCAAAATATTAATAATTAGTATATGGAGGTGGAGGGTACATGGATCTTCATTTTATTATTCTTATACTTTTTGGTGAGCTTGGCATTTTCTAAATAAAAAGTTGTAAAGAGAAACATTGAGAATGGAAGAAGAGGAATTAGAAACAGTGCATATAATTTATGTTTTTATCTAGTGCACAAGTAAAGATATTAACTTTAGATGGGAGCACCAATTCCTCCTCTTCAGTAAAAGGCAGAAAAGTGGACTACATGAGTACAGATTTCAACAGATGCTGATAGATATGGTAGTGTGGGTCTATACCTTTTCTTACAAAAGTAACCTTTTGTATTTATTTTCTTTTGGTTGTTCAACTTTCTTAGTGAAGTGGGAAATAAGATCATCAACTGAACATAAGGATGGGTGAGGCTTAAGGAGAGAGAAGCGCTGAAGTGGGAAAGTGAAGGCACTACGGAAATGCAATTTCTGATTAGCGTTAAGGGGCCACCTGGGGTTCAACAACAAGCAGACTTAAGGTAAGACCAGTCGGTGTAGCTGTGTGTTTTTCTTTAGTCAAATTCAGATACTTGGTTGAAGGTATGAAAGTTGAAGTGGATTTAGTCAGGGTTGTGGTTTCCCAAGAAAGGACAATACTAGAGAGGACAAGAATTGTTGAAGGTGTATGCAAGGACATGATTATGATCACTCATGGAGTAAAGCTGGGAGAGGGGTGAGGCCTGGTGAAAAAGTTGTATGATCAATGGATTGGAGATCCTGTTGAGGGAAAATGATAAAAGTTGGATACCAAGGAGAATTATCTGGAACGACAGGAGGTGGTGGTCAGAGAGTGGGAGATATGAAATGGCATTTACGGAGGGGTTACAGTTATTGCCAATAGTGAACTACTCTTGTTTTTCTGGAATATCTTCCTTACTCATAGTATACTATTCATTGGCTGGATTGCTAGAGTTCTATTTTATTTAGATATTTTGCATTTATATTTAAAAGTGAGATTATTCTTATTTGATTCTTTTTTTTTTTTTTTTTTTTTTTTTTTTTTTTGAGACCGAGTCTCGCTCTGTCACCCAGGCTGGAGTGCAGTGGCACCATCTCTGCTCACTGCAAACTCTGCCCCCCGGGTTCACACCATTCTCCTGCCTCAGCCTCCCCAGTAGCTGGGACTACAGGCGCCCGCCACCACGCCCAGCTAATTTTTTGTATTTTTAGTAGAGACGGGGTTTCACCCTGTTAGCCAGGATGGTCTCAATCTCCCGACTTCATGATCCGCCTGCCTCGGCCTCCCAAAGTGCTGGGATTATAGGCGTGAACCACTTCTCCCGGCCTATTCTTATTTGATTTTTATGTTCTGGCATTAGAGATATATTGGTCTTATAAAGTGAATTGGGAAGCTTTTGATAATTTTGGGAACAGGTAAAGCTTAGCTGTTGACTTACCTGTCTTGTGCCCTTTTCCATAGTAGACTTAAATCACTTTCCAATTTATTTCAATAGTTATTAGTTTATTCAAGTTTTCCATGTCTCTCAAAAATTATTTTGATATTACTACCAAGTCATTTCTTTCTTATGGGTTTCAAAACTTGTTGCCACAGGGTTGTATGAAATATTCTAGTTCTTTTTATCTCCTGAATCCGTAATTTTATCCCTTTTCTTATTCCTAATTTTGTCTATTTGTGCTATAATCAGGTACACAATGGTATTATCTGTTTTACTTTTTTCCAAAAGTAACCTTTTGTATTTATTTTATATATCTACCAATTTTATTTTATTCTTCATTAATAAAATATTTTAGATTTATTAATTCCTTTCTCCTGTGTGTTTTTTCCTTTATTTTAATGATCTGTTAAATGAGTGAACTGACTGGGCACAGTGGGTCATGCCTGTAATCCCAGCACTTTGGGAAGCCAAGATGGGAGGATTTCTTGAGCCTAGAAGGAGCTTGAGGCCAGCAACATGCCAAGACATTGCCTTTCCAAAAAAACAAAACAAAAAAAAACTGTGAACAAGGATTCTTTGTTTTATATCTATTTTTAAATTACGAAGACATTTAAAACTGTGCATTTAATTTTTGCTTAGTGTCAAAGAATTTGAAACAAACTCCTTTTCATTGCTCTTCAGATCGTTTGTGATTCAGATTGTCTCTTTAAGCATTGTCTAGATATTTGTGAATAAATTTTCAACTATTTAATATTTTTGGCACCAACTTTTTATTATTTGTAATTGTATTATATTATTATCAGAAAATATGGCTTATAAAATTTATAATACATTTAGCCTGTGAATTTTCTTTTGTGGCCAAGTACATAACTTGCTTTTGTAAACGTTCCTTCAATATATGAAAGAAATATGTATTTGCTATTTAAGGGATGTAAATTTTTTTTCTATCTGAAAATCAAGTATTATTTAATTTGCCTTTGACTTATTGTTTACTATATATAACAAATTCTGTAATAAGTGTATTAAAATAGCTTCTTCTAATTGTATTTTAGTTGAATTCTTCTTTTATTTCTATTTTTATATGCTTTACATATTTAACTTATATTTTGTGATGTGTATAGGTTTATCACTATTTTATCTTCTTCGTAAGTTGTGCCTTTATTTACATAATGTTCTTATTCATTCTGTTTAATATTCCTATCTTTAAATTCTACTTGTGTGACATTTTTCTTGCCACTTCTATTTTCTTTTTCTTGATATTTGCCTGAATTTTTTTGCCTTTTGCTTTATTGTCAACCATTCTTTATTATTTTTTAAAGTGTTTTTTATAAATAGAATATAGCTTTATTTTTGTATTTTAGCTTAACCTGTCAGCCTCTTTTCTTGGTTTGTTGTTGTTGTTTGTTTGTTTGTTTTTGAGACAGGGTCTCGTTCTGTCACCCAAGCTGGAGTGCAGTGACATGATCTCGGCTCACTGCAGCCTTGACTTTTTGGCCTCATGTGATCCTCCCACCTCGGCCTTACAGGCATATGCCCCCATGCTTGTCTAATTTTTTGTATTTTTTTGTAGAGATAGGGTTTTACCATGTTGCACAGGCTGGTTTCAAACTCCTCTAGTCTCTATTTTTTAAACAGGAGAATTTAGTTATTTTCCATTGGTTGTAAAGACTTATATACATGCCTTGTCCTCATACATCTTCCCTCCCTGGATGCTGGGCACCGTCAGATAGTCGTTCTACTTTGTGGACTCCTTGAGGATCAGGTCTGGTTGTAGTCATACTATGCTACAAATGGTTGCAATTCTACCAGCAGACAGGAGGCTGCTGGAATGTCCTTTCTTGTATTCTTTCAGCCTCAGGGGTGCGGACTCACTCCATTCCTTTAGCTTCTCTCTAGATTTCTTTAGGCCAACTCTCCAGGGAGAAATGCCAGCCCCAGTTTTTTCTGCTTAATTTTCTTCAGAGCCCAAGGTCTTATTTACACCTGGGTCATCATGGACTTCAGCAGCAGTTTGGCTCAAGAACTGTGTACAGACTGGAGTTAGGAGTGGAGAGGTTTTGAGGTGAGTTGAGGCTGTCATTTTCCGAATGTCTTCTAAGACCTGCCACTGATGTTTATAATGACCATTTTTTTCTTCAGTTTTGACATATATGGTTTACCACACAATAGGGTTGTATTTTGAGAAAACGCTCAGTAGTCTTCTCCTCTCTATATACTTTGGCTCATACTTAGACAAAGCACCTAACTGTAAATAGCCCAGTAGGGATACTGAGCATCAATAAAATAAGAAAGAGCAAGTGGTTTATTTTTATGGTCAAACTGCTTGGCATTAGTTTTTAGAAAAAACTTGTCAAGTACTTTCTGCCCTCATACTCTTTAAACCAGTCAGAGGCTAAGGGGCACTGTCAGAATGTCCTACTTTGGCTTGGGAATTTCTTCTTTCTTTTTCTATATTTTCTAGGAGTCCCTAGTACTTCTACCATAAGCCTATCCATTCTGGGACTCTGACAATGATTCTTAACTGTGATTGTTATCAAGATCACTCATAGATTTTAAAAAGATACATATATCAGGGTTGCATTGGCTCTAACTTTGTGTCTTTGGAGCTCAAACTTTTTTTTTTTTGGTAAAGGCTCTTAGGTGACTGATATATTCCCAGGGAATTATCTTCTCATCGTTGCTATGCTCTTTTTCTTTCTTATTCCCCCTTTTCTTAAATACACCAAATCACTGACTTTCATTACTAGCACACTTCAAAGGCTTAAAGAGTTTTTCAAAAAGGCTGGACCTTTCTAATGTCAGACATGCATTGACTCTCCACAGCTACTGCGCTTAGCATTATGAATTTGCTCTCTAGGGTGTGGTCTCAATTGTGTAAACAGATTGGCCTTCACTCCCTTGTATATTCATGGCTGGAAGTGGGAACAAGCATGGACACTGAAAGTTTTGAGCAGTAAATGTCCCTTTAAGTCTATGTCAGATAGCTTCTATTTGTGCCTCTAGATCCATTCTCCACCCTTATCTCCTTGCCCTCTGTTCCAGGAAGCTGACCTGTGTGGACTATAGCAATAAGTTCCCTTTCTTGATGAGGCTGGGCCAACTGGGAGCCCTGGTAAGAGAGCAAGGTTGATATATTCAGTTCCCTTTTTCCTTCTTTGTGAGGACCTTGAGCTGGCTGTGGCCTCAGCTGAAGGTCACTATTCCTTTCAACGTGGCTTCCTCTATGTGGTATTCGTCTTCTGGTTTCCACCATTCTCTCCTTTCTCTTGCTTCTCTGGCCTAGGAGTAGTAATGGCTATGTGGCGATCTTGCTCTTTCCTGTACCTGATCTATGTTTTTGGAAATAGCTCCATTGTAATTAAACCCTCTGCCTTGTCTTGGGTGTGTCATCTGGCTCCTGGTGGGATGCCAACTGACCCTCCCTATTTCCCATGATAACAGTGACCCTGATCTCCCTGCTGCTTGGTAGGAAGTTATAAAAATGGCAGGATGATCATTAGTCTTTTTAGCAGATTCTGTGGTGTGTTGCCCAGACTTCCTCTTTCAAGACTTAAATACTCATTCCTTCAGCTGCTAAGAGTGTTGGTGGCTGAGTTCCCTTCTGGAGATTGTCCTCCACTGAAGAGAACTGCCTCTACCAAGAATGCCTTTCCTGGGGCAGTCTGCATCTGGAGACTAGTCAAATGCAGTGTGGTGATCAAAGACATGGCTCCTTATGCCAATTTGGGATGACTGTGCAGGGCCGTTCCAGCTCCTTTGTTGTGACTGTCCAGCTTTTCCCTCTGCCCAGTCTTTCTTCCTTCACTCTCCTATAAATGTCGATCCTGAGCATTCTAACCATTAAGCTTCCTTCACACAAACCTCTGAGTCAGAGTCTGAATTCCCCAGGGAGTCCAGCCTATCATAGTCTTCAATCTGCAGCCCCACCCCCCCCAACCCAGTCCCCCACAGCTGTCTTCTTGATCTGTCTCCACCTGTCCTCATCACTTACCTATGGGAGCAGACCTGGAGGGTCTTCATTTTGAAGGCAGTTTCCAACACAAATGAAGGATACACATATGAGGGAAGTCTAATGAGAGTGATTCTAGGCATGAAAATATATGGAGAACTGGGTGTGGGGAATCCCCTAGGGTGTCTCAAACTTCAAGATACATAATTAAATTCCTAGAACCAGGGTGGAGAGAGGAAAGGGGACTAGGAACAACAAAGTAAATACAAAGAAAAGTAGAAAGAGTTGGTGGCTAAATGGACTATTTGAAGGTGTGTTTTAAATTAAATGTTATTATGATTTTTAGAGATGAGTCTGTTTCCCAGGCTAGAATGCAGTGGCTATTCACAGGCACGATAATAGCACACTATAGCCTCCAACCGGCCTCAAGTGATTTTTCCCGCATTGGCCTCCCAAGTAGCTGGGACTACAGGCATGTACCACCATGCCCAACTTTGGGGGATTGCTTTTGAAGCATAAACTGTCCCAAGATGGATTCAAGATGTTAAACTAAATAAAGCTGTGTACGCTGTCCCATCACCTGCTAAGGTCTGTCTAATCCAGATTTGTAGGCCTGCCCTCTGCAGTAAATGAGACATAGGAATGGCAAGGGTAAATTCTGTTTTCATATTGGAAATTTGGCCTCTTCCTGGAGGGTGAATTCTGAAAAACAAAGCTCTTTTTCGTTAAAGAGCTTATGGAAACTTCTTTGAGGAAATCGTACATTTTGCCATTTTAAAATATTGAGCAGAAAAAAGAGTACACATTTTTAATTTTAAAAGGGCCCAGAACAGAGCCAAAAAGGAGCCTGTGATCCAACCCTGCACTGGTTTGGCTGGATTTTCAAGTTTATGAGCAAACCACCAATTTGTCACCAAAGGCAGATGGGTAGCATTGGACTCTTCTAACCTGCTGGCTATTTCTGGGAAGGCAGACAGAGCCCCTATTCACTGCCTGCTTGGGAAAGCTTTGAAATCCTCCCCCACAGATATAATCCTCCTTGAGATCCTTCTGATGAGCTTGCCTCCCACCCAGGAGAATAAATTTTGGTCTAAAGGTGATTTAAGCCACAGTGTGGGCTTGATTAAGAAGAACGTCTATTTTATTACCAGTCAGATTTAATAAAAGGCAGTATGCTCTGATTAGTAACTTGCAAAACACAAAGTGTTGTTGAAAGCTAGAAGGGAAAGGTTAGGACCACTTCCCGAAGGTGCTTGGAAAGAACATTGAATATATTTCCCCTATTCAATTGCCCTTTTATACTGAATCTGATTGCTGGACCTTATACACTCTAAATACTACAAAACATACTCGACTTGCTTGACAGTAATTTAGTAGGGTTTGGGATTATTTTCTTAACTAATTTCCATAGCAGGAATCCAGTACCCTCAAGTATAGACAATGGGTTGATAAGGCTTTATCTTTAAACTTTCTATGGCCTCATTATTTGTCATTTACTTGATTTAATTTTTGTAGTCATATATTTTTACTATATTGCTTTCAGTTTCAAAATGTTAATCTTTTCTCAAACATATTCATTATTGACAAATAACATTGTTTACATTGATAATTAAATAATGATCTGTTTAATGTTCATCTTCCATACCAGACTATAAGCTCCAATGATTGATTTGTTCTTATTTCACAACATAGTGCCAGCATATAATATGCATTATAAAAATAGTTTTGAATAATAGAATGTATTTATATAATGCATTCTAATTTACAAAATGTTTTCACATACATTTTCTTATTTTGATTCTTACAAAGTACTGTTTTGTATAGTTTTGTTATCAGAAAGGGGTCCCGATTCAGACTTCAAGAGAGGGTTCTTGGATCTCATGCAAAAAAGAAGTTGGGGTGAGTCCATACAGTAAAGTGAAAGCAAGTTTACTAAGAAAGTAAAGGAATAAAGAATGGCTATGCCATAGGCAGAGCAGTGTCATGGGCTGCTCAACTAAGGACACATATAGTTATTTCTTGATTATATGCTAAACAAGGGGTGGATTATTCATGAGTTTCTTGGAAAAGGGTGGGCAATTCCTGGAACTGAGGGTTCCTCCCCTTTTTAGATCATATAGGGTAATTTCTTGACGTTACCATGGCACTTGTAAACTGTCATGGTGCGGGTGGTAGTGTCTTTTAGCACGCTAATGCATTTTAATTAGCGTGTAATGAGCAGTGAGGATGACCAGAGGTCACTGTTGTCATCAACTTTGTTTTGGTGGGTTTTGGTCAGCTTCTTTACCACATGCTGTTTTATTACCTACGTCTTTGTTACCTGTATCTTGTGCCAACCTCCTATCTCATCCTGTGACTTAGAATGCCCTAACCTACTGGGAATACAGCCCAGTAGGTCTCAGCCTTATTTTACCCAGTCTCTATTCAAGATGGAGTTGCTCAGGTTCGAATGCCTCTGACAGTTTGGGTAGATATTGCCATATGAATTTCACCAGCGGGGCTGAAACTTAGATTAAGTGGTGTACTTATGATTAAGTGGTGTACTTATGGTCACAGGGCTACTAAGCAGTAAAGCAGTGGTTCTCAAAGTGTGATTCCTGGACAAGTAGCATTAGCATCACCTGGGAACTTGCTAGAAATGTCAGTTCTCAGGCTGCCTTCCAACATGAGACATACTGAATCAGAAACTTTTTGGGTCTGGGTCCAGCAGTTTGTGTTTTAAAAATTGCTCCCCATGATTGTGATGCATACACACAGTACATGTTGTGGTTTGAGAATCACTGGTGTAAAGGAAGAACTTTCACTATACTTCTTAAACAAACAAACAAACAAACAAAAAAACCTCAAACTAAAAGCATCTTACTTTGACACTATGTCTTCTTAATCCAAAATTATATTATCTTTGCCCTATCATTTTGGCTCCCTAATATTATTTAAACATAAAAAGTTTCTGAAATTGAGGCAATAATTAATAGCCTACAAACCAAAAAAAGTCCAGGACCAGACGGATTCACAGCTGAATTCTACCAGAGGTACAAAGAGGAGCTGGTACCATTCCTTCTGAAACTATTTCAATGAATAGGAAAAGAGGGAATCCTCCCTAACTCATTTTATGAGGCTAGCATCATCCTGATAACAAAGCCTGGCAGAGACACAACAAAAAAAGAGAATTTTAGGCCAATATCCCTGATGAACATCTATACGAAAATCCTCAATAAAATACTGGCAAACTGAATCCAGCAGCACATCAAAAAGCCTATCCACCATGGTCAAGTCCGCTTCATCCCTGGGATACAAGGCTGGTTCAACATATGCAAATCAATAAACGTAATCCATCACATAAACAGAACCAATGACAAAAACCACATGATTATCTCAATAGATGCAGAAAAGGCCTTTGACAAAATTTAACAGCTCTTCATGCTAAAAACTCTCAATAAACTAGGTATTGATGGAACGTATCCCAAAATAATAAGAGCTATTTATGACAAACCCAGTATGTGCCCAATATCATACTGAATGGGCAAAAACTGGAAGCATTTCCTTTGAAAACCGGCACAAGACCAGGATGCCCTCTCTCACCACTCCTATTCAACATAGTGTTGGAAGTTCTGGCTAGGGCAATCAGGCAAGAGAAAGAAATAAAGGATATTCAATTAGGAAAGGAGGAAGTCAAATTGTCTCTGTTTGCAGATGACATGATTGTATATTTAAAAAATCCCATTGTCTTAGCCCAAAATCGCCTTAAGCTGATAAGCAACTTCAGCAAAGTCTCAGGATACAAAATCATGTGCAAAAATCACAAGCATTCCTATACACCAATAATAGACAAACAGAGAGCCAAATCATGAGTGAACTCCCATCCTCAATTGCTTTAAAGAGAATAAAATACCCAGGAATCCAACTTACAAGGGATGTGACGGACCCCTTCAAGAAGAACTACAAACCACTGCTCAATGAAATAAAAGAGGACACAAATAAATGGAAGAACATTCCATGCTCATGGATAGGAAGAATCAATATCATGAAAATGGCCATACTGCCCAAAGTAATTTATAATTCAATGCTATCCCCATCAAGTGACCACTGACTTTCTTCACAGAATTGGAAAAAACTACTTTAAAGTTCATATGGAATCAAAAAGAGCCTGCATTGCCAAGACAATCCTAAGCCAAAAGAACAAAGCTGGAGGCATCACACTACCTGACTTCAAACTATACTACAAGGCTACAGTAACCAAAACAGCATGGTACTGGTACCAAAACAGAGATATAGACCAATGGAACAGAACAGAGGCCTCAGAAATAATGTCACACATCTACAACTATCTGATCTTTGAGAAACCTGAGAAAAACAAGCAATGGGGAAAGGATTCCCTATTTAATAAATGGTTCTGGGAAACTGGCTAGGCATATGTAGAAAGCTGAAACTGGATCCCTTCCTTACACCTTATACAAAAATTAACTCAAGATGGATTAAAGACTTAAATGTAAGAATAACACTGTAAAAACCTTAGAAGAAAACCTGGGCAATACCATTCAGGACATAGGCATGGGCAAAGACTTCATGACTGAAACACCAAAAGCAATGGCAACAAAAGCCAAAATAGACAAATGCAATCTAATTAAACTAAAGATCTTCTGCACAGCAAAAGAAACTATCATCAGAGTGAACAGGCAACCTACAGAATGGGAGAAAATTTTTGCAATCTACTGATCTGACAAAGGGCTAATATCCAGAATCTACAAAAACGTTAAACAAATTTACAAGAAAAAAACAAACAACCTCATCAAAAATTGGGCAAAGGATATGAACAGACACTTCCCAAAAGAAGACATTTATGCAGCCAACAGACATATGCAAAAATGCTCATCATCACTGGTCATTAGAGAAATGCAAATCAAAACCACAATGAAATACTATGTCATGCCAGTTAGAATGGTGATCATGAAAAAGGAAACAACAGATGCTGGACAGGATGTGGAGAAATAGGAACACTTTTACACTGTTTGTGGGAGTGTAAATTAGTTCAACCATTGTGGAAGACAGTGTGGCGATTCCTCAAGGATCTAGAACTAGAAATACCATTTGACCCAGCCATCCCATTACTGGGTATATACCCAAAGGATTATAAATCATGCTGCTGTAGAGACACATGCACACATATGTTTATTGTGGTACTATTCACGATAGCAAAGACTTGGAACCAACCCAAATGTCCACCAGTGATAGACTGGATAAAGAAAATGTGGCACATATACACCATGGAATACTATGCAGCCATAAAAAAGGATAAGTTCATGTCCTTTGCAGGGACATGGATGAAGCTGGAAACCATCATTCTAAGCAAACTATCACAAGGACAGAAAACCGAACATTGCATGTTCTCACTCATAGGTGGGAGTTGAAAAATGAGAACACATGGACACAGGGTGGGGAACATCACACACTGGGGCCTGTCAGGGAGTGGGAGACTGGGGGAAGGATAGCATTAGGAGAAATACCTAATGTAAATGACGAGTTGATGGATGGAGCAAACCAACATGGCACATGTATACCTATGTAACAAATCTGCACGTTGTGCACATGTACCCTAGAAGTTAAAGTATAATAAAAAATAAGTAAATAAAAATAACAAAAAGAATAGCTTTTCCTACTTGCTTGTGGTTTCCATTCACATGCAATATCTCTTTCTGTCCCTTCACTTTCTGCCTATTTGTGTCTTTATGGGTGAGGTGAGTCTCTTGTAGGCAGAATATGGTTGGGTGTTGTTTTTAATCCACTCAGTCAGTCTGTATCTTTTAAATGAAGAATTTAATCCATTTATATTCATGGTCATTATTGAGAGGTGAGGTCAATTTTACTATTTTCTGGCTGCTTTGCGTGTTCTTTGTTCCTTAGTGTCTTTTATTTATTTTTTTGCAGTTGTATAGTTTTCTGTAGTAATAAGGTTTGGTTCCTTTGTCTTTCTCCTTTGATATAGGCTCTACCAGTGAGCTTTATGGTTTTGCATGTTTTCATGATGGTAGTTTTTATCTTTTCACTTCAGATGTAAGAATCCCTTGAACATTTTTTTTTTAAGGCCTGTCTGGTGGTGATTAATTCCTTCAGTTTTTGCTTGTCTATGAAAGATTTTATTTACCTTCATTTCTGAAGAATTGCTTTGCTGGGTATAATATTCTTGGTTGACAGTTTTTTTGTTGTTTTCCTTCAGGACTTTGAATATAACATCCCATTGTCTCCTGGCCTGTAAGATTTCTGCTGAGATATTTGTTGTTAGTCTAATGAGGATTGCCTTGTATGTGACTTGATGCTTTTCTCTTCCTGCTTTTAGAATGTTTTCTTTGTCTTTGCCTTTTGACAATTTGACTATAATGTACCCCAGAGAAAAACAATTTGGGTTAAATCTACTTTGTTGGGGGGATTCTTTGAGCTACACAGACATGGATGTCCATCTCTCTCCCAAGACTTGGGAAATTTTCTGCTATTATTTTAATAATTATATTTTCCTCACCTTTGTCTTCTTTACTCCTTCTGGAACACTGATAATACAAATAGTTGTTTGCTTAATGGTATATCATATATCTTGTTGCCTTTCTTCCTTCCTTCCTTCCTTTCTTCTTTTCTTTTCTTTTCTTTCTCTTCTCATGTTATTTCACAAGACCCATCTTCAAGTTCAGAAATTCTTTTTTTCTGCTTGGTTACTGTGCCTTTGAAGCTCTAGATTGTATTTTTAATTTTATTTATTGAATTCCTCATCTCTAGGATTTCTGTTTGGTTCTTTTCAATGTTAACTATCTCTTTGTTAAATTTCTTATTCAAATAATCATTTGTTTTCCTGATTTTGTGGAATTATTTATATATATTCACTTGTATCTCACTGAATTTCTGTAAGATTATTCTTTCAAATTTTTTTTGGCATTTTATGTATTTCCTTATGATTGGGATCTGTTACTGGAGAATTACTGTCTTCCTTTGGAGGTGACATGTTTTCTTGCTTTTTTATGGTTGATGCATTCATACATGGATTTCTATGCATCTGGTGGGAAAGTTGCCTCTTCCAACTTTATGGTGTAGGTTTCATAGGGAAAACCTTATTCCTATGAATGAGGCTTGCATTGTCAGTTTGATTGGTATATGTTGGCTTTGGTTTTAGGTGGACATAGTTTTGTAGTGTCTGTGTAGTTTCTTCAGCTGTAATCCACACTAGTGGCATTTGGGAGTTTCTTAGTGGCCTAGGCTGGAAGAGTATGTGGTGATAGTGGTTTAGCTTTGCCAGGAGTAGGCTTGCTGAGCTGTTTCTCAGATTGGGGGCACATATGTGCACATCATGGGGTAGCCAACTTGGAGTCTAGCTGACTGTAGTTGGGGACATAGGGTTGTTACTCTGGCTATGAGCAACTGCCTTGGGGATGCCTGCTCAGGGGGAGCCTGCAGGGCTTTTCCTCAGGCCTGTTATATAGTTGCATGGCTGTTCAGCTGGCCTGTGAGTGTGTCTATTGGGTTTGAACCACTGGCCTGTTTATCAGTCCCAGGACACAGCTGCATGGCTGCTTAGTTGGCCTGGAAACGTGTTTGCCAGGAGTGGCTTACAAGACTATTTCTCAGGCCCAGGACATGGTCACATGACTTCTTCACTGGTCTGGGTTTGTTTCTGCTGGGGTGGCCCATGGGGCTATTCTTGGGCCTGGGATGCAGGCAAAGGACTGCTCAGCTGATCTGAGGTGTGTCTGCCATGGGTGGCCCATGGGCTGTTTTTCTTATTTTTTTATTTATTTATTTTTTTGAGACAGAGTCTCCCTCTGTCACCTAGGCTAGAGTGCAGTGGCGCAAACTCAGCTCACTGCAAACTCTGCCTCCTCGGTTCAAGTGATTTTCCTGCCTTGGCTCCCCAAGTAGCTGGGATTACAGGTGCGCACCACCACACCCAGCTAATTTTTGTATTTTTAGTAGAGACAGGGCTTCACCATGTTGGCCAGGATGTCTTGATCTCTTGACCTCGTGGTCTGCTCCCCTTGGCCTCTCAAAGTGCTGGGATTACAGGCGTGAGCCACCGCACCTCTCCAGGCTGTTATTCAAGTCCAAGGTGGGGGCTCTTGGTTGGTTGGTTGGCCTGGAGGCATGTCTGTCAGGGATGAGCTGTGGGGCTGTTTCTCAGGCCCTTACTGGGGTTTCGGGGCCATTGGAAAGGCCAGGGATGTGTCTGCAGGGGGTGCTGTGGGGCTATTTCTTAGGTCCTGAGCATGGGTATGTAGCTACTCCACTGGCCCAGGAGCATATCATCTGCTTGGACGGTCTAGGGCCTCTCCTGCTTGTGGGAGGGCGCAGCAATTGGGCTGGCTCACAAATGGATTTCCTGGGCAGTGCTGACAAACTGTTCCTTCGCCTGGAAGTGCAGGTGGTGGGGGTTGATTTTCCTGCTGTTCAGAACTAGAGTGATAGCCAATCCTGGGCCCAAGTTCTGCACAGCTAAGGTTGCAGTATTCAGCCACCTGTGTGGGCTTGGCACAATGAAGGTAAATCCTTAGAGCTGGAGAGGTGCAATGACTACTGGTTCCCCAGAGCAGGGTACACTCCAGAGGTGTGTGTAAGCTGCCGTAGTACAGCACCATCTTTTCCCAAGATGGTGCTGTACTACAGCAGCTTAGCTCACAGGAGTTGGGGGATGGAAATGTACACCTTGTGCTCCTAATCCAGGACAATGCAGCCACATGAATTCCTGGTAGCTCTCCAAACTGGACTCAGTGAGTGTAAGGACTGTTGGTTCATCCATTGTAAGGACTGTAGGCATGAAGTTTGGTGGCAGTGGAGGCTGGTGGAGATTTTTTGATTACCTTTTCTCTGTAACTGGATGTCCCTCCTGACTCTTGGCAGATCTGATCCCAGCAGGGGAGATGGGGCTGTAGAGGTCAGGTGCCTCCACACTGTCCTCCTGGATTTCTAGTTGCCACAGGTGCATCTGCACTCCCCTGCTGTACTCCAGTGCTCTCCCTTGAACACTCCTGTCAAATCTTAGCTGTTTATTCATTGCTTTGGTCCTTTCTTACTAAGACCTCCTTTTGACCCATGGATTATTTAGAAGTATGTTGTTTACTTTCCAAGTGCTAGGAGATTTTCTTCTTTATTTGTTGATTTCTAGCTTGATTCCACTATGGTCAGAGGACACACTGTATAATTTTAAATCTTTTAAATTTGTTTTTTTAATAACCCCAAATATGGTCTTGTATGCTTAAAAAATGTGAATTCTTCTGTTGTTGGATGGATTGTCTTATAAATGTTAAATTTTGTTGGTTGATGGTACATTCGTCTGCTTGGTCTGCCATAACAGAATACCACAGACTAGGTGGCTTAAACAACAGATGTTTATTTTCTCACAGTTCTGGATGCTGGAAATCCAAGATCAAAGTGCTGGCATGTTTGGTGTCTCTTGATGCCTCTTTCTTTGGCTTGCAGGTGGCTGCCTCATTTCTGTGTCCTGGATTGGGAAAAACCCTCTCCAAATGTGTTTTTTCTCTACTCTCACACCACAGCATTCATCAAAATAGAAGAAGACTTCTGAAACCAGATGTGTGTGGGTTTTTCTCCACACACCAAGCGGTGGACACCCATTCAGTCCTGACACAACCTACTCAGAGATAGTGTCAGATTCCACACATTGGGGTCTCAGTCCCCAAGACTGCCACCCATACCCACAGATACCAGTTGCAAGTCTGGGCCTCCAGAAGTTCTGGCCAATTGGCTTCAAGTTGGGGTTCTCATGACCCACTCTGAGTTTAATTAATTTGCTGAAGTGGCTCACAACTCAGGGAAACACTTTTGTTTACTAGTTTATTACAAAGGATATTACAAAGGATACAGATGAAGAGATGCATAGGGTGACATATGGTGGAAAGGTCACGGAGCTTCCCTGTCCTCCATGGGTATGCTACCCTCCAGGAACCGCCATATGTTCAGCTATCCAGAAGTTTTCTCAACCCAGGCCTCTTGGGTTTTTATGGAAGCCTTCTTTCTCCCAGGGTATAAGGTGGGACCCACACAGGGGAGGGTCTTAAGACCCACAATCAGAAAGGTAGGGGAAGATTCCAGTCCTACATTGGGACAGGTGAAAGGAAGGCAGGCAAGAAGTTCCATTTCCTGAGGCCTGCCTCTGAAGCCTAACACACCCAACATTACAACAAAAGACAGTAACAAGGGATATGGGAGTTATGAGCCAGGACCCATGGATGAAAACACATAAAAAGCCTACATACTTATATATGTTTCCTATATATCATAATGCCACACACACACACACACACACACACACACACACACACATGTTTCCTATATATCTTAATACTACGGTCCTCACATGGCCTGTTTTGTGTGCACGCACATCCCTGGTGTGTGTCTCACTCTATATATCCTAGTCTCTCCTTATAAGGACACCAATCAGATTGGATTAAGGCCCACCTTAACAGCCTCTTTTCAATTAACTCTTTAAAAAACCAATATCCAAATATAGTCACATTCTAAGGTTCTGGAGGTTAAGCCTTCAAAATACAAATTTTTGGGAAACACAATTCCATCCATAATAGATGGTTTTGTTGAATTCTTATGTAGTTTTGCTGATTTTCTGTCAATTGTTGAGCAGATGGTGCTGAAACTTTCAACTGTAACTTTATGTGAACTTGTCTTTTTCTCCTTTCAATTCCATCAGTTTTCGCATCCCATATTTTCCAGCTTCATTGTTTGTTGCATGCACATTTAAGATTGCTGTACCTTCTTGGTTCACTGACCCTTTTCTAATATATAATATCCTGCTCTGTCTATGGTAATTTTCTTTGTTTGGAAATCTACTATCTGATATTAATGTAGTCACTCCTGCTTTGATTAATGTTTGAATGATGTACAGTAATCTCTCTTTATCCATGAGTTGTTATTCATGAGCAACCATGGCCTGAAAACATTAAGATATTTTGAGAAAGAGAGAGAGAGAACACACACACACAACTTTTACTACAGTATATTGTTACGATTGCTCTATTGCATTATTAGTTAATATTGTTAATTTCTTATTGTGCCTAATTTATAAATTAAACTTTATCATAGGTATGTACGTATGTATAGGAAAAAACATAGTATATATGGGCTTCAGTACTATCCATGGTTTCAGGCATCCACTGTTGGAATGTATAACCTATGGATAAGAAGGAAGTATTATATCTTTTTCCACCCTTTTACTTTCAACCTGCCTATGTCACATATTTGTGGTATTTTTTTTTGTAGATGGCACATAGTTGGGTTAAGTTCTTTAATCCACTTTGACAATGACTGTCTTTTATTTTTAATTGGCATATATAGACCAATTTATATTTGATGTAACTATCGATATATTAGGGTTAAAATATGCCTTTTTATTTTTTGTTTTCTGTTTGTTCACTTTATTGATTTATTATCTTTATAGATTTAGGGGGTACAAGTGCAGTTTTGTTACATGGATATATTGCATAATGATGAAGTCTGGGCTTTTAGTGCAGCCATCAACAAAACAGTGTACATTGTACCCATTACATCATTTTTCATCCTTCAGCCTTCTCCCACCCTCCCACACCTCCAAGTCTCCAGTGTCTATTATTCCACTCTCCATGCCCATGTGTATACATTACTTAGCTCCCACCTATAAATGAGAACATATGGCATTTAACTTTCTGTTTCTGAGTTATTTCACTTCGGATAATGGCTTCCAGTTCCGTCATGTATAATGCCGAGATAAACATATGAGTGCCAGTATCTTTTTGATATGATGGAATATCTACCCTTCTCTTTGGGTAGATATTCACAGGAGGATTGTTGGGTTGAATATTAGTTCTGTTTTTAGTTCTTTGAGAAATCTCAATATTGTTTTTTATAGAGGGTGTATCAATTTACCTTCCCACCAACAGTGTATAAGCATTCCCTTTTCTCCACATCCTCACCAACATCTGTTATTTTTTGACGTTTTAATAAGAGCCATTCTGATTGGTGAAAGATGGTATCTCATTGTGGTTTTAATTTGCATTTCTCTGATGATTAGTGATGTTGAACATCTTTTCATATGCTTGTTGGCCATTTGTATATCTTCTTTTGAAAAATGTCTGTTCATGTCCTTTGCCTACTTTTTAATGAGATTATTGGTATTTTTTGTTGTTGTTGAGACATTTGAGTTCCTTGTAGATTCTGAATATTAGTCCTTTGTCAGATGTATAGTTTGCAAATATTTTCTCTCATTCTGAAGGTTGTTTGTTCGCTCTGTTGATAATTTATTTTGCTGTGCAGAAGCTTTTTAGTTCAAGTCCCGTTTGCCTATTTTTGTTTTTGTTGCATTTGTTTTTCAGATCTTAGTCATAAATTATTTGCCTAGGCCAATGGCCAGGTTTTCTTCTAGCATTTTCATAGTTTCAGGTCTCACAATTATGTTCACTTTATTTTTTGCTTTTCTATAATCTTTTTTCCTTGACTTCCTGTGAATTACTAGAACATATTTTTTAGAATCTCATTTTGATTTATCTATAGTGATCTTAAGTGTATCATTTTGTATAAATATTCAAATGGTTTCTCTGGGTATTACATTATATATACATTACTTATCAGAGTCTAATAGTGCCATTAGTTTACCATTTCAAGTGAAGTACAGAGACTTTACCTCTTTTACATCCCTTTACCCTCTTCTCTTTATAACTTAATTATATAAAGAATTTTCTTTATATACATTTAGAATAACATAAGATAGTGTTATAATTATTGCTTCAACAGTCAAATGTAATTTAGAAAAGTCAAGAGCAGAAGAAAAGCTGAATGAACTCACTCATATTTTTATATGCCTCATTTCTTAATTCCTTCTTATATTCCAAAATTCTTTATTTTATTGTTTATTTTCTGTTTAAAAACTTTGGTTAGCCTTCCTTTTAGGGTATATCTGCTGGCAATAGTTTCTCTTGGTTTTACTTTATCTGAGAATGTCATTATTCCTCCTTCATTCCTGAAGGATATTTTCACTGGGTATTAACAGTTATTTTCTTTCAACATTTAAAAAACATTGTGCCACTTTTTTCTAGTCTCCATGCTTTCTAATCAAAAATCTATTTTCTTAGAATTGTTTTCCCCCTATTGCTCAGGTGTAGTTTTTCTCTGACTATGTTCAAGATTTTCTTCTTTGTCTTTATATTTGGAAGTTTAATTATGATGTGTTTTGATATTGATTTGGTTGGATTTATTCTGTTTGGCCTTCCAAGAACCCATAGGTTTATGTCTCTTCCCAAATTAGGGAAGTTTTTGGCCATTATTTCTTAGAGTACTTTCTTTAGACCTGCCCTCTTTCTCTTTTCTTTTTAGGACTTCAATGACAGATTAGATCTTTTGTTACAGCCTCACAGGCCCCCAAGGCTCTATTTATTTCTTTAAAAATTCTATTTTCTCTGTTGTTAAGATTGAATAATTTCCATTGGTCTACCTTCTAGCTCAAAGATTCTTTCCTCTGTTTCTTCTGTGCTGTTATTGAGTTCATCTATTGAGTTTTTATTTTGCTTATTGTATTCTGGAATTCTAAAATTTCCATTTGGTTCTTCATTATGTCTTCTATTGCTTTGCTGATACTTTTATAGATTTGGCTAATTTTACTTTTTCATTTTTTTCAAACATCTTCGTAAATGATCATTGTAGCACTTTCATCATGGCTGCTTTAAAATCTTTGTCAGAAAAGTCTAGCATCTCTACCATGTCAGTTTTGGCATTTATTGATTGTCTTTTATTAAACTCAGTTTGAGATTTTCCTGGTTCTTGGTGTGGTGAGTGATTTTTTTTTTTTAACTGAGATCTGGATAGTTTTGTGTTATGTTGTGAGACTAGATATTACTCAAACCTTCAGTTTTAATTGGCTTTCTCTGTAGCACACTGCCATAATTGGTGGGGAGTGTTACCTCATTATTGTCAGGTGGAGGTAGAAGTACAGATTCCCATTTGGCCTTTGTTGACATCTAAAGTAGGGAAGTTCCTTGTTATTGCTGGCTGGGCGGGGAGGTCCAGCTCCCCACATAATCCCCACTGACACCATTGGAAGGGACCCTGTAACTGGCTGGAAGAGATGTAAATGCTGTCTCCATACTTGGCTTTCTTTAATGTTACCTTAGCAGAGTATTGGGTATTTCACCATAGCCTCATAAGGGTGGAAATCTGGGCTCTCCACTTGACCTTTTCTGGCACAGACATGGTGGGGCCACCATTTTTCCTGTGGTGTTTGGCTGGAGTAATACGATTATTGTCTAAATTTTTTTTTTTTTTTTTTTTTGCTGGGCTTTCTCTTTCTTGATCCTTTGGCTAGAGGGTGGAGGATTTGTTGGAGCTCTTTTTGTCTGTACCTGTTTTCATTTCTGGGTTACCAGCTTCTTACAGCTCCAAGTCTGGTATACAGGAGGTTAAAAAGAAAACCAGGTAACTCACCACTGTGTTTCCTCACATCATGAAGTCCCTAGGTGGTCTGCCTTCTCTCCTCCATTTTTTCTTATGTTTATTTTACGTATATGGTACAGGTCTTTTAGTTGTACTTAGTGGGAGAAACAGGGAAAGTACATCTACTCAAAGTTCCTGAAAGGAGAAGTCATCTAACTATGTTTCTTAATACAGTTCTTTTCCTAAAAGAGAGAAGTAGGTTTTTATTTTCAGATACAATGTATTTTTTAAAGAAAGTATGCCTAAATGGAAGTGTATTCCATGTAATGTTCCCAGTGCTTTGACTGTAATATTTGTGCAACGTAAGTATGTCAGGATTTTAAAAGTTGCCTTGTTGATCTGGTTGCGATTTAAAAGTCGACATTTTGCCTTGGTTCTCGGATTTCCTTTTTATGCCTATAAAGCATTTACATCATTTAGTCAGTTAGCCAGGAGTACCTATTGCCAATAGGCCTCCAATCTCAAGTAATTCTGGGTGGGAAGTATCCAGGAAGATGTTTAGATTTGTTCATGGAAAATAGATAAGCTTTCCGATCAACTGATATAGAGTCGGATAATAGAACAGCTGGGACTTCTGTTGGGCCTTGAGTGATTGGTAAAATTTAATTAGTAGTGGAAGAAAGGGAAGACTGTTATGTTCCAGAAGGTTGCTTAAGCAAACAAACTTTTTGAGTGATAATTAGGTGACAGGACTATCTGAAGTGACGGGAACGTTCTGGAGTGCCCTGTGAAGAACTCATTAAACAAACTAGAAGTTCAGTAGAGACCTTAATAGCTCAGCCATCAAGCCTTAGGCTTTCATAAGGACCACTTCAATGTGGTATAGTGAAACACGGAAATACTAATCTGTTCACCTAATAGAGCAAGAAGCATCACCCAGAGAAATGATAGAAGCACCAAGGGTTCCTGAGCGCTTGTGCTTCAGGCTATTCAGAGAATGGCTCTTTACTTTCTCCAGTGATGTTCAGTGGTGAGCAAGAGATATTTAATGCCAAGAAGTTTTTGCGACCCAGTCTGACAAAGTTAGTTTATATATCTCCTTTTTTAATCACTAAATTTTCTACATGTAGAGTTGTATTCTCAGTTTACTCCTTAGCAGTGATCCAAGACCTCAGGGCATGTGTGTTAGTATGTTAACTTTATCCATGTCTTCCCTTTCTATGCTACCATGATTATCCCTTCATTTTGGTTTTATTGTCATTGTTTTTATCCTTTTGCTTTATATACATTTCCATAATTATTTAAATAAATTTTGAATATGGTAGGATACCTGTGTCTAATGTCTAATGGTGTGCTGGTAAATATTAATCACACTAAAAAGATATCTATATATTTGTATCTATATCTATATACCTATACGTATAGTCTTAGTTCATTTCATGCTGCTATAACAGAATACCTGAGACTAGGTAATTTATAATGAATGAAAATTTATTGGCTCATAGTTCTGGAGTCTGGGATGTCCAACATCCTGGCTCTAGCATCTGGTGAGGACCTTCTTGCTGTGTCATCCCATGACAGAAGGCAGTAGGGCAAGACAGAGCAAGAGAGAGAGAGAGAGCAACAAGGGCCCAAACTTGTCCTTTTATAAGGAAACCACTCCCACAGTAACAAACCCACTCTCATGATAACAACATTAAGCAATTAGTGAAGGCAGAACCCTCATGGCTTAGTCATCTCTTAAAGGTCCCACTTCTTAACACTGTTGCATTGGAAATTAAGTTTCCAACACATGCTTTTTGCGGGACACATTCAAACTATGGCGTATACACACACACACACACACACACACACAAACACACATATATATGTATGTTTATATATATGCTATATATACAGACTGTATATGTAGGTGTGTGTTATATACATACATGTATCTATATGCTTTATTATAAATATTAGATATACAGATGTGTAGCACACATTTATAAATAATAACATATACAATACATTTTATTGTAAATTCCATATATCCAATTGATTCTTAAAGAATGCTTTTGCTGATTTTTGGTGAACTCTTGTGTCTTTAGCCAACTTACGATTGCAACTGCTACCTGAGAAATGAAATTTCTTTCCAATCTGCTAACTCTTTTCCTAGTACAATCTATCATCACTACATTTGTTATGTGTCTTATAATTAAACTATTTCTCATCCTTATACAAATTACATTTATTAAGTAAAAATCTCTTTCAGCTTCAGGACTATGTAGGAATGTCACTTATTTAATGATGAGTGACTTCTTTGCTGAGCCAAATAATGATTTTCAAATTGAGGAAAAATTTTTAAACAGATATTTTGTGTTATTTAGAATGCATGGCTACAGATATATACATTTTTAAGTTTATCTTCATTATTAACATTTTATCCATCTCTTTCTTAAGCCCAGGCAATCAAAAAGATAAATAAAACCCTGGTTTTTAGCTTTTGTTGATTTCCATAGTATTAATACTCATACCATGTCTGATTTCAAGTTACTAACATGATGTTACTGAAAGAGGAACTGGGAAGAGGAGTACAGCAGCACACAATTTTATAGTATTTTCATCATACAGATAAAATGCGTGTCTATAACATCGATAGCATAGATGATTGTAAAATATAGTAAAATAAGTAGTGAGAATTTTGAGTATTATCTTTCCATTTTGATATA
Organism: Homo sapiens; assembly: GCF_000001405.40. Lineage (NCBI taxonomy): Eukaryota > Metazoa > Chordata > Mammalia > Primates > Hominidae > Homo > Homo sapiens. Next base: position 219,715,774 of record NC_000001.11, on the reverse strand, counting down.
ATGCATTTCATTTTAAGCTTATATAATTTAATTTTTAAAATGGCTGTGTTTAACATGAGCTCGCAAATCTCTTGACACTTTAACAAGTGGTTCTTAGACAGCCTGAGTGAGCCAGCTGCTGCATCACACCACTGCTAATGTCACTGTCAGAGCCAGAGTATTGGGTTAATTTTGGTTTATAAGGGCATTTCAATTTTCTCAAGCCAAATTGTCAAGAATAAAAAAGACTTTAGGTTTTTCCATGTTGAGGTTTATTTACCTCTTCCTTTATACTCTCATAGAGGGTAGCACTGGGTGTATTTAGTTTCTTATTCCCCTCTACTTCCTTCTTATATTTTACGCCTTTTATTTTTTGTAAATAATTTTCCTGAAGTAATAAGCTATACATAGGCAAGCGAACGCTGTAATGGTGACTCCAGTAGCAAAAGACAATGGTGGTGTCAGAGAAGAGTCCTTGGTCCCAGAACTCTCCCAGGGAATGAAAGCCTTCTTATCCCTGCAACCCCTGATTGGAGTTAGGATGGCCTGTTAGGTCTTGTGAAATGTAAAGTCTCAGGAGGGTGGCAACATGTTTCTCCGGTTGATGGGTTGTTTCTTCTGATATCTTGCAATGCCAAGGCTTTGGCTGTCCACTCCATGCGAGACTTCAATTGAGTTTTCTGAGGCTCTCCCCTTGGAAATGCTTGGCATATTAGGTAGAAACTGCTGATCTGGACCACTTTCTTTTGCCGTATCTATAGTTTGAAGTCACTTCCTGAGAGGAAGAGGCCACTCTTACCAGTAGCCCTTGCCTCTTGCCTTCTTAGCAGGCATAGACTCCCCTGGCTACTCTTACAGTTGCAAGACAACCTCTTCTCCTATTGCTAGTGGTGACATCTGTGAATGACCTCATGGAGCTCAACCTGAGGTTTTCTTTTTATGTGATTACGTGACTTTTATTCCGTCAGCAAAATCTGTTGATCTGATCCAATGTGAAGGGCAAAGAAGGTTACCAAGAGTGAATTGGGAAATACAAAATACAATTAGGAATGATATAGAAGGGATATGTAAAAATGATTTTTTGACTAAGAAACAAAAACTGGCACTATAAACTCTTTTTCTTTAGGCTGTGTTGAATTTATGGCAATTAAGCGAAATTAAAGTACTTTACTGTTTTTGAAACTTAAATGACAAGAAAACAGCCTCAGGAGTCTTTTTTGGTCCTTTTTGATCTTAGAAAGAAACACAATTTAGATACAGAAAAAAAATAGGCCTAATTAAGAGAATTCACAAACTATTTTTTTCTTTCATTCACATGAGATGTCAGTGTGTCTAGAAAAGCAGTTTGATGTGTTTTCTCTTGCCTATTCCCATGGATGTTATCCCATACTCTTAGAACTTAACACTTTTCTCCTATAGCCCTGAGGTCTAGTTTCAGCTCTATTGTCTCAGAGCCAAAAGCAATACATACTGAAAAAGGAGCAAACAATTGCTTTTATTTAGAGTGCTGAGTCAGGGACAGCAGCTGATGTAAAACTAGAAGTGAGGGCTAGCAAGATCAAGGGAAGCCTGCGAACCACGTCCCAGATAAAGTCACATAGATAATTCAGAATGAGGAATGGATGAAGAAGATGGCAAACAATTTGCCAAGCCACAGAAACAATCCTCACAAAGAGAGAATGTATTAACAAGAAAGGGTCTTCTATAGGGCCTGCCTTGGACGAAAGGCCATCTGTTTAGATGTTCTAATGATTGTGTGCCTCGTGAGATGGCCAGTGCCAGGACAACAGTGGGGAAGCTGTGTCTTTTCCTAAGCTCTGGCAGTCTTGACAAACAGAACTCAGTTACAGCAGAACCTTTTAGGAAATGGTTCAATATTATCAACATTATGACATTTTCTAATCTGTGGCTGTCAATTTGGGGGTTTGCAAAGTACTTGGTGGGATCACATTATTAAAGACAAGAATGCCCCGTTTTAAAGTCAATACATAAGCCATTATTTTTTTTTTTCCTCTTCAAAACAAGTCAGTATGAAGGATGCTGAGATGGACCTAGTGAACATGTGAGCGAGCCTGTTAAGACGCTGCTTGTGATTTTATCACTCAGCTAATTTATTTCTCAGCCAAACACCTCTTTCCCTTGTGGTAGTATAATTACAAATAATTTTTATTCTTGCTCACATATTTTAAAATTTGTACCCATCATAAATTGTTGGTTAAATATGAGATCATAATGAACATTGATGCTGAAACGTGGGTATAATTGTGTAGGTTAATCTCAAGATAATCTTCACTAAAGATCAAGATGATAAACTGTTTAACTTTCAATTATTTAATGGAAATTCTTTTATGTTTTCAGTTCTTAACTAATGTTTACAGAGGAACTGTTATGATGATTTTATCCACTTTACTGGGAACAAAGATGATATATCAGCAATACATTATTTGTGGAGAGGGTTTACAAGTAAAAATCTAAAGCCTTTTTTTCAATTAGTTTAGAACTAAAATGCAAAAGTTATGAAGAAGTCTATTTTATTGTCATAATATTTAGTTAAATTTCAGTCTACATTTACATATACATTTATAACTTTTGCACCTACATATATATTTTCATGTATAAAATTATATAATATATATTCTATGGTCTCCAAACTGTACATACGCCATTGTAACCTTTTTTGTAAACTGTTTTATATTACAAAATTAATGTAATGGAACTTAGGTGGAACTTTTCATATATTATGGCTATTATTAATGATAATAGGGCTTTTATAACACAGTCAATATTATTCCAGTTTAAAATAAAAGTGAGTCTTTATTTAAAGTGATTTTTTAAAAATAATATACCACTCAGTAGTTTACAAAAATGTCTTGCGAGGGTTTTGGAAGGTTTATTTCTGTGGAAGGAGTTCCTCGTAAGTTATATCATGTTGGAAATTCTGAGATGCAATATTGAAGCCGAAGGAATCCTTTAAGAACATCTGGGCAGTCCCCTGAGTTTCATAGGTGAGGAATAATGCAGCTGAAACTTCAGGCATTTGTACATGACACAGACCAAATGTTGTGCCTGGGACACTGCCATGCACTGTGAAAGTCTGAGATAATGTGACTTGTTAATAGCACAGATGGCATTCGCAAAATCTTGCCTTCTGTGTTTTTCTCTTCTACAAACAGCATGGGACAAAATTCATTGTTTTTCTAAGAAACACTGAGGAGGAAGCATCAACAAAATTAAATATTCTGGCTTGAAAAACAGGGGCCCACCTCTTTGTTAGTGGATGCGATCCTGCAAACAATGAATGGAGAGCCAACTTATTGTCAAGTGGCAAAGGCATACATTATTTGAAGACAATTTAAAAAAATGAATATATTAAAAAATTGGTAAGTGTAAATATCAAGTAAGGAAAGGTTAGTTTGAACTTTTACTCTGTAGTTTCTACATATTGCATTTGCTTTTGGGATAAGTATTTTCCTCATTCATTTCACTCTAATCTAATGGAATAGAACCTGGGTATCCTCCACCCCTCTAGCCTGTGGGCACTTGTGGAATTATATTAAAATTATATCTCCAGCAACTATGGAGACTTTAGGAGTCCCTACGTGTTGTCTATGGGCTCACGTGCAGTTTTCTTTATTTTACTTCCTGCCGATATCCCCTGCCCATTGGCTACTAGTGGGAAATATGTGGTGGCCACTGTTACAGGGGCTCTAGGGAGAGAGCTGCTTCCAGGCCTGGAAACTGCCCTGGTGGAGCCCATAAGTACCCACTGTTGTTCCTCCTGGGTCATCTCCAGTGCCCAAAGCAACACTGTGTTTTCCTGTAAATATATCCTCACTCCCCAGCTGGATGGATTTGGTCCCTTGGGTCCTGGAGTAATCCTGATTGATCCTGAGAGATAAATTCCACTGGAAACAGTGTTTTTGGCTTCTGTCTGCAGCCTCCTTGAGGATAGGGCTGACCTGTCCTCCAGGCCTGGGCTGGGATAAACAAACACACTAAGCTGTCCTCTCCAGGGGCCATTTCTCCTGCCTTCCTCCAAGATACCACAATTAAACTTCCTGCCTCCTTTCTGGACCTCTTTTTGTTTATTTACATCCACTCCTAAAGGCCACACTTCTTAATCAGATTGTACTGGGGATTCAGTTTCCACATGAATTTTGGTGGGGACACCATGATTCAAACCATAGCAAGGTGCTTAGGTTTAAAGTGTTCTCAACACACCCAGACTTTCTTGAGATCGCACAATTATTGTTCAGCTGTGTTACTCTAAAGAAAGTTTGAGGCTGGGCACGGTGGCTCACGCCTGTAATCCCAGCACTTTGGGAGGCCGAGGCGGACAGATCACGAGGTCAGCAGATCGAGACCATCTTGGCTAACACAGTGAAACCCCGTCTCTACTAAAAATACAAAAAATTAGCCGGGCTTGGTGGCGGGCGCCTGTAGTCCCAGCTACTCGGAAGGCTGAGGCAGGAGAATGGCGTGAACCCAGGAGGCGGAGCTTGCAGTGAGCCGAGATCGCGCCACAGCACTCCAGCCTGGGCTACAAAGTGAGACTCCGTCTCAAAAAAAAAAAAAAAGAAAGAAAGTTTGAAACACAGAAGTTGTATTTTACAGGTGAAAAAGTATTTTCTGCTGCAGTAAAGATCACTATCTCTGGAAAGTTTTGACCGCAGTGTTTTGAGTCATTAGTTCTGTTGCCTGGGCAACTTAGCAAATGTACCAACTCCATAGTATGTGGGTGGCCATTTACTTTTGTTTCCTGCTTCTGAAAAGGTCTTTGAGGATGTGGATCAGGATGCTAGAGTAAGTATTTTAAAGTAGAGAAGTTCTTTCATGTGGTAACTCCAGAAGTTTGTAGGATGACTAGGATCCCCTCTCACTGGTCCCATCTGTGTTAAAGGAATTGAGAATTGCCTCCTTTGGATCTGAGTACATTGGATGACTCAGACTGAAGATCAAGAATTTGCCTTACAAGTATTTCTTTTATGATGATATAAATGTTACTCCTGATCCCCGGCTATTGGGAATGAAAGTGGATGAGGTGCTGGTGATTGTGCATTTCGGAGTCACATGACTATGACGGAAACTTTTTCTATCTGTGACAGAGGATGGCACAGTGCATTTCCTTAGGAAGCTTCCTTTCATTTCCCTAAGAAAGTTGGGGGGAAAAGTAGGGTGGGAAGGATTTCTACTTTATTAGTTTGGCTCGATCAGAGAAGCAGAGCCACAGTGAATGATCTGAAATAAGGGGAGTATGATACGGATCCTCCATAACTGTGGGATCTGATAAAGAATTCTATGGGATGCTGTGGTCTCTGCACCTGGTGTGGGCTTGAAGTTGCTGTGGATGGATAGGATGGGCTGTCAGGAAGGAAAGCCAGATGTTAAGTGGGAAAGAGCAAAACCCACCTGGAACCCATGAGGTTAAATTAAACCCCTCCAGGACAAACTGGCTTGGACTTGAGGAAGCTGAAGGGAGCTGTCTGGTGGGAATGAGAGTAGCTACAAGCCTGGAGGGTCCCGTGTCAACAAAATGAGCCCACAGATCAGTCACAACATCCAGGAGCTGCAACCATGCCTCATGCCCTTGACATACCTTCAGTGTGCAATGGCTGCTACTTCGTTCTGCTTTCCAAAACTTATGAACATTTCTCTTGTTGTCAATCCTAGCCTCGCCCCATGCAGGGAAGGAAATTCTGAGAGATGTAGTCCAGCTTATCTAAGAGGGCACAGGACAAAGCCACCAACCACATCTTCATAGGAGCCCTTTTTCCCCTAGTCCTTTAGATGAAGCCCCAGAGCTGGGTTACTCTCCCATGTTTCCCAGTGAATTCTTCTGTGCCCCTACTGAAAGAAAGAAGAGCATCATCTTCTATTTCAGTTGATGTTTAGCACTAGAATGTATAGATCAATGATATTTTGTGGCTCTTCTCACTATTCCAACAACCCTGAGAGGTAAGCATTGTATCATCTACACTTTACAGTGAAGAGTACTGGAGTGTTTATTCACCAGGGAAGCTAAGTTTGGGAAAAAAGCAAGATCAATAACTATCACAAAAAAGCGTAGTTTGGCTTTTAGGTCAGTAGCGATAAGTTGATAGTCACGTGTAAAGTCTGAAGGAAATTACTGCAATTGGGCAGTGTTGCTTGGAGCCACCCTTTCTTGGATAGAGGTGCTTGAATGAGCTTCCTTGGAACTGGCTATCAGCTATGATGTTCACTGGCTTCTCAGTGAGCACATGAGTGCTTTCCGGGTGAGGATGGACTTCTGGCCATACTCATTTTGTTGTCAAGTTCATCTGAGAAATCGAAAAATTGTTCTGGCAGCCTCAGCTTTCCTTTTTGTCTTTTCACCACTTCAAGAGCATTCCTAGTGTTTTAAAATATGAGGTTATGCTCATTTCAATCATAACTTGAAACAAAAACGTTGACATTTTTCAATGCATTTATAAAATCTTCACCTTCTGGAATCTCTCTCTTCTTGCTGATGAGAACCATCTGATTCTGGAAGCATCAGTTGACAGAAAATTTTCTGGCAGCAAAAAGCTCAATAGTCTATTGGGCACTTAGAAGTCGATTTCACAGAGTAGCCATTTTTTTTTTTCTTTTTGGGATGTTTATCACTTGAAATGCCAGCACTTTGCTTAGTCATAGTAGTAGTTTGAAAGCTTACCTCTAGGAAAAAAGGCTTGGGGGAACAGAAAGAAACCGCTTTAGTTTTAGAAAAATGTCTACAAATATAAAAATGATGACCAAGGGAAATTAACCCAACAACCATCCAGGATACTTGGAATAAAGATTCTTGGATCTTTCTCTTCCTTTTTTTTAGCTCTTTATCAGTTCGGCTGGGCACCATCACTGTATTCTGAGAATTCGTAGGTGAGTAATCTATGTTTTCTGTTCCAAAGGGATTTTCAGTCTCATAGAAAAAGGCAGGAATGTAAACAAATTAAGTATTCAGAGTATTACTAAAAAGTTTTCCAGGCAGTTTTGGGGTCACGAAAGTGAAGAAAAAATTTTATAGAGAAAGCCACTCTCCAGCAAGACTCAAATGTTGAACTAATATTTCCTAAGCCAAAGTTCCCCAATCTCGGTGACAAGCTACATGGATTAGAGGTGTGTTAAATTATTGAATTCCTCAGCTTTGGGCTCTTGGAGCTCCTCTTTATATTCTGGCCTGCTGTATAAGTATTATTTTAAAATGCATGCCATGACATAAAAAAATTGGTGATCACTGCTAAGCGAAAACATGGGGTGGGGAAAGAACAAAGGGAAGGCTCAGAGCAAAGAAACTGAGGTGTGAGCTATTTCCATATTTGTAGGCACATAAAGGGTTTGGAACAGGGGAGGGACATGCTCAGATTTGTATTTAGAAAGTTCGCTCTTCTCAAAGTATGTATGTTGGATTGGAATATAAATGTACCTCAAAGATATTGCAGGTTTCTATTTTAGACAACCACAGTCAAACAAATATTGCAAAAAAGTGATTCACACACATTTAAAAGTGAATATAAAAGTTATGTTTATGCTACATTTTAGTCTATTAAATGTGCAATAGCATTATGTCTGAAAATATACACACTTCAATTTAAAAAGTACTTTATTGTTAAACAAATACTGGCAGTCAACTTAAACAAATTTAAAAGAAAAAAAAACAACCCCATCAAAAAGTGGGCAAAGGGTATGAACAGACACTTCTCAAAAGAAGACATTTATGCAGCCAACAGACACATAAAAAATGCTCATCATCACTGGTCATTAGAGAAATGCAAATCAAAACCACAATGAGATGCCATCTCACACCAGTTAGAATGTCGATCATTAAAAAGTCAGGAAACAACAGGTGCTGGAAAGGATGTGGAGAAATAGGAACACTTTTACACTGTTGGTGGGAGTGTAAATTAGTTCAACCACTGTGGAAGACAGTGTAGCAATTCCTCAAAGGTCTAGAATCAGAAATACCACCTGACCCAGCAATCCCATTACTGGGTATATACCCAAAGGATTATAAATCTATAAATTCTACTATAAAGACACATGCACATGCATGTTTATTGCAGCACTGTTCACAATAGCAAAAGACTTGGAACCAGCCCAAATGTCCATCAACGATAGACTGGATAAAGAAAATGTGGCACATATACACCATGGAATACTGTGCAGCCATAACAAAGGATGAGTTCGTATCCTTTGCAGAGACATGGATGAAGCTGGAAACCATCATTCTCAGCAAACTAACACAGGAACAGAAAACCAAACACGGCATGTTCTCACTCATAAGTGGGAGTTGAACAATGAGAACACATGGACACAGGGAGGGGACCATCACACACCAGCGTCTGTCAGAGGGTGGGGGGCTAGGGGAGGGATAGCATTAGGAAAAATACCTAATGTAGATGACGGGTTGATGGGTGCAGCAAACCACCAATGCACTTGTGTATATATGCAACAAAACTGTATGTTCTGAACTTGTATCCCAGAACTTCAAGTATAATAAAAAAAAAAATGCTGACAGTCACCTGAACCTTTAGCGAGTTGTAATCTTTTTTGCTGATGGAGGGTCTTGCCTTAATGTTGATGGCTGCTGACTGATCAGGGTGGTGGTTGCAGAAGGCTGGGATGGCTGAGGCAGTTTCTTAAAATAAGACAAAATTGAAGTTTGATGCATCAATTGACTCTTCCTTTCATGAAAAATTTGTCTGTAGCTTGTGATGCTATTTGATAGCAGTTTGCCCACAGTAGAACTTTCAAAATTGGAGTCAATCCTCTGGAACCCTGAAGCTGCTTTATCAACTAAGTTTATGGAATATTCTAAATCTTTTGTTGTCATTTCAACAATGTTCACAGCATCTTCACTAGAAGTAGACTGTACCTCAAAAATCTACTTTCTTTTGTTTCTTCAACTTTTATTTTAAGTTCTGGGATACATGTGCAGGATGTTCAGGTTTGTTACATATGTAAACGTGTGCCATGGTGGTTTGCTGCACAGATCATCCCATCACCTAGGTATAAAGCCCAGCAACCATTAGCGATTCTTCCTGATGCTCTCCCTCCTCTGGCCCCCAACCCTGTGACAGGCCCCAGGGTGTGTTTTTCCCCTCCCTGTGTCCATGTGTTCTCATTGTTCATCTCCCACTTATAAGTGAGAACATGTGGTGTTTGATTTTCTGTTCCTGCATTAGTTTGCTGGAGATAATGGCTTCCAGCTCCATCCATGTCCCTGCAAAGGACATGATCTCATTCCTTTTTATAGCTGCATAGTATTCCATGGTATATATGTACCACAGTTAGACAATCCAGTTCATCATTGATGGGCATTTGGGTTGATTCCATGTCTTTGCTATTGTGAATAGTGCTGCAATGAACATATTCGTGCATGTATCTTTATAATAGAGTGATTTATATTCCTTTGGGTATATATCCCATAATGGGATTGCTGGGTCAAATGGTATTTCTGGTTCTAGGTCTTCAAGGAATTGCCACACTGTCTTCCACAATGGCTGAACTAATTTACACTCCTACCAACCGTGTAAAAGCATTCCTTCTTCTCTGCAACCTCACGGCATCTGTTGTTTCTTGACTTTTTAATAATCGCCATTCTGACTGGCATGAGCTGGTATCTCATTGTGGTTTTTATTTGCATTTCTCTAATGATCAGTGATGTTGAGCTTTTTTTCATATGTTTGTTGGCCTCATGAATGTCTTCTTTTGAGAAATGTCTGTTCATGTCCTTTGCCCACTTTTTAATGGGGCTTTTTTCCTTGTAAATTTGTTTAAGTTCCTTGTAGACTTTAAATATTAGACCTTTGTCAGACAGATAGATTGCAAGAATTTTCTCCCATTCTGTAGATTGTCTGTTCACTCTGATGATAGTTTCATTTGCTGTGCAGAAGCTCTTTAATTTAAGTAGAACCATTTGTCAATTTTTACTTTTGTTGCAATTGCTTTTGGCATTTTCATCATGAAATCTTTGCCCATGCCTATGTCCCAAATGGCATTGCCTAGATCAAAAATCTATTTTCTTTCCTCCTTCATAAGAAGTAACTCCTCATCCATTAAAGTTTTAACATAAGATTCTAGCAATTCAGTCTCATCTTTAGGCCCCGCTTCTAATTCTAGTTCTCTTGCTATTTCCACTACATCTGTAGTGACTTCCTCCACTGAAGTCTTGAACCCCTCAAAGTCACCATGAGGGTTGGAATCAACTTCTTCCAAACTCCTGCTAATGTTGATATTTTGACCTCTTCCCATGAATCACAAATGTTCCTAATTGCATCTGGAGTGGCGAATTCTTTCCAGAGGTTTGCAACTTTCTTTGCCCAGTTCTAGCCGAGGAATAATTATCTATGGCAGCTATACGCTTACAAAATATATTTCTTAAATAATAAGACTTAAAAGTCAAAATTACTTCTTGATCCATAGGCAACAGAATGGATGTTGCTAGTAAACATGAAAACAACATTCATCTCCTTATACCTCTCCATCAGAGCTCCTGAGTGACCAAGCACATGGTCAATGAGCAGTAATCTTTTGAAAGGAATGTGTTTTTTATTTTTTTTCCTGAGTATAGGTCCTAATAGTGTGTTTAACATATTTGGTAAACTATGCTGTAAACAGATGTGCTGTCATCCAGGCCTTGTTCCATGTATAGAGCACAGACAGAGTAGATTTAGCATATTTTTTAAGGGCCCTAGGATTTTCAAAATGGTGAATATGCTTTGGCTTCAACTTAATGTCACCAGCTACATTAGTCCCTAATCAAAGAGTTAGCCCATTATTTGAAGCTTTGAAGCCAGGTATTGACTCCTCTTTATCTGTGAAAGTCCCCAGTGGCATCTTCTTCCAATAGAAGACTGTTTTATCTGTGTTGAAAATCCGTTGTTAGTGTAGCTATCTTCCTTAATTACGTTAGCTAGATCTGGATAACTTGCTGCAGCTTCTCCATCAGCACTCACACTTTTATGTTATGGAGATGGCTTCTTTCCTTAAACCTCATGGACCAACCTCTGCTAGCTTTTCTTCTGCAGCTTCCTTGTCTCTCTCAGACTTCATAGAATCTAAGAGAGTTTAGACCTTGCTCCAGATTAGGCTTTGGCTTAAGGGAATGTTGTGGCTGGTTTGATCTTCTGTTCAGACCACTAAAACTTTCTCCATGTCAGCAATAAGGCTGTTTTGCTTTCTTATCATTTGTGTGTTCACTGGAGTAGCACTTTTAATTTCCTTACAGAACTTTTCCTTTGCATTCACAGCTTGGCTAACTGTTTGACAAGAGGCCTAGCTTTTGGCCTATGGCCTATCTCAGCTTTCGACATGCCTTCCTCACTAAACTTAATCATTCCTAGTTTTTTACTTAAAGTGAGAGACGTGTGACTCTTCCTTTTACTTGAACTTTAGAGGCCAATGCAAAATAATTAATCGGCCTAATTTCAATATTATTGTGTCTCAGGGAAAGGGAGGCCTGTGGAGAGGGAGAGAGGGGAATGGCCAGTTGGTGGAGCAGTCAGAACACATACAACATTGATTGATTTGTGTGGTTTGTGGGGCCCCAAAACAATTACAATAGTAACATCAAAAATGACGGATTACAGATCACCATAACAGAGATAATAATAATGAAAACGTTTGAAATATTTTGTGAATTACCAAAATGTGACACAGAGACATGCAGTGGGCACATGCAGTTGAAAAACTGGTGTCTATAGAATTGCTTTACACAGGGTTGCTGCAAATCTTCAGTTTGTAAAGCAAAAACAAAACAAAACAACAACAACAGAACCTCAGTATCTGGGAAGTGCAATAAAAAGAGATGTACCTGTATCAGGAGAGCAGGTGTACGAAGCCTCTGGGAGACCTCTGTAATAGACAGGTGAGAAGTTGTTAAGCTGTGAATGAGGAGAACTAGGGAAGGAGAAGCAGAGATAAATATGAGGGATGTTAAGGAGGTAGACTTGGAAAAAAAAAACTTGGCTACATATTGTTTGGAGGAAGAATACAGTATTCATTCATTTATTCATCACATATTTTTTAGTTAGTTACAATGTACCAGGCACTATGCTATGCTCTGGAGAAGTAATGGTAAATAAAACAGAGGTAGTCTCTGTTCATGGATATTATATTTTGGTAGGGGACTTAAAAGTCAAATAATCGCAAATAAATATAAAATCATAAGTGGTCTGAAATATGGGGGCAGGATGGTATGGATTGTGTATGTATAACAGAGAGCCTCACCTAGTCCACAGTTAAGGGGAGATTGCTGCGAGGAAGAGAGGTTTAAATTGGGATCCTAAGGGTAGACGGAAATAAAATCGATGCTGGAAGGGTTGTTGTGGTGGAGGAGAGAATTACAGGCAGAGCCAGCATGGACAAAGGCCTTGTGGTTGTGGGAAGTACAAGAGTGAGGAACTGAAAAAAGAACAGAGGAGCTGGAATATAAAGAAAAAGTAGGGAGTGGTGTGAGGGACAGCTGGAGAGGAGGTAGAAGGCAGCCACACAGGGCCATGAAGGCTGTGCAAAGTATTTTGGCATCTATCCTCAGGGCAAATATGAGGTTTAAGCAAAGTGGTGTGTGTGTGTGTGTGTGTGTGTGTGTGTGTGTGATCTGACCTTATTTGGACTGTATTAATTTTATAAAGATCACGTTGGCTGCAGCATAGAGAATGGATTGGAGAGAACGAGAGTGGAGCCTTGTGGGAGATCCATCAAGCCTGCTGTGGTTGTCATGGTGAGACTTGGGCAGCTGGAGCTAGGGTAGTGACATTAAAGACGGAGGGAAGTGGATAGCTCTGAGAGACATCTAACTGTCAGCATTAATAGGGCTTGGTGATATGCTGGGAATGGGAAGTGAGAGAGAAAGAAAGGATATGTTTGTAGGTATCTGGTTTGGATGATGGGTAGATAACTATTTTATATTCTCTGAAACTGGAAAAACAGGAAAATGCATGGGTAAGGGAGGAATGTCTTCAAGTTGAACATGATATGTCCAGTAATCATTTAGAGTTCCAGAGTATGATCTGGGTAAAGATATAGACTTGTGAGTCATCAGTCTATAAGAAATGACCACATATGTGGTAATGTAATATACCTGATAAGCAAGGAAGATTATGCAGTATAAGAAGAGAAGAGATTGAAGGCAGAAGCCTAGGCAGAGATCCAGGAAGAGGAGCCATCCATGGAGGATGGGGAAAAGGAAAGTCATCATGGGCCAAAGCCACTGATGACATCAAAGGGGACGAATTTGTCAGTCTCAAGGAGAAAAGAGAGAACCATTGAATGTTGAGTCTTCAGAAAACATCTATTTCTCTTTAAAAACCAAAGGCTGAAATATACTGTATTTTTATGAAATAACAAAATAGCTTATTAAAAATTGAGAAAGTAGGTGCTCAAACATCATCACATCCTGCTGGACTTGTCTTTGTCCCTGAATATACTACTTCCTTTTCCCCCTCTAATGCTTTGGGTACAGCATACTGAGGCTGAATGCCGGCCCCACCCAAATATGTTGGACTGAAATCAGAAGAATAAAAGAAACAACAACCCACAAGTAAACATAACAAATTTAATCAAACAATCAATTCTTATGTCTTCTTCTTCCTGCCTCTCCACATATAAAGAGAAGATTTTTCACTATCCACGTGTACACAAACTGATTTGGACAAAAGCCTCTATCAGAAGTGATTGGGAATGTCAGGGCTTCCAAATTCCTCCCCAGCAGCTTGCTAGATGCTCAGGAAGGCACAGTTTCTCACTGGGGACATGTGGGGTCCCAAAACCTTGAAAGGATGTTTAATGAATGCTTCCACTAACTAAAATCTTGGGGATGTTGCCCTTGGTAATTTATTGTGAAGTGTATGAGTCCTCATTAGCCCCCTTTTCAATCAACACATAGTTATTACGTATCTATTATTTGTTAAACACTGGGGTGGCTCCAAAGGAATATAAATTCTGGCTTCCTTCCAGCTTGGCCCACATTCCCTTTACTTCAAGGACTCTCTTGACGCCTCCAGCCCTCAGTTATACCACCCTCCTTTGTACTCTTGTTGGCCTCATATGCTCTTGTAATATCCAGTTTTAGCAAGATGATGGCTCAGAGATGGCTTGGACTCTGCGGTTCTGAGACAGCGCTTGGCAGGTTAATTGTATATTAATCAGGGCCAGATGGATGTAATCAGACTTGCAGAAAGATTTTAAAAGGTTCTGGACTCACCAAAATGTTCACCAGCCTGGAAACATTCTGATAAAGATAACAAAGGTTAACAACCCTCAGGAGGATTCTACATATTTATAGGATGGGACCCAAAGCATTCTGATGTAATTGAATAAAAATATTGACCTTCCCAATGGAATAGAGCATACTTAGGCCTACATGTGGAGTCATATCTCTCCTGTGTTGTATCATCCAGTTCTTGCTGCAGGATCTGAACTCAGTTTTCACAGACTGCCTGTGTTCATCTATCTTGTATAGTCTTGGCTCACACACAGTTACAGAGGAGGTTTGCCTTTGAGGTCTTCTTCATGCCATTATGTTCATTCTCTACCCAAGGTGCTAATGCTCTCCTCTGGATTCTGGGCTGAAATTCTTCCCCTTTAGCCATTGTCTGGGTGCATTGCGATCTTCCTGTAGGGAAGTTTGTACAGCATCTCATTCCCTCGAAGCTCTACTCTCCATTCTAAAGTGATCTCTAGTTATTTTTGATACAATAGCCTGTGTTTAGTTTATAACAGCTGATAACGGGTTAATGTGCTACCCTTCTCTGGGATATATAGACCTAGAATCACAGGGCTCAAAACAAAGAGTGAAACAAACAAGATTTCAGAAACTTGATGGGGAGATACCACGGGCTATAAAGCTGGGCTTGTTCATTGTGGCTGATGTCTCCTGAACAATGGATACGTTTTGATATGTTTTCTTTTCTCAGAACCAGAATGTTAAAAATTAGTTAATGACTTTTGAAATAAATTTGGCAATGTGAGATTCCAAGGATTAGAATAATACCTGCTTAACTTCTAAGGACAATCTGTCTTGCATGCTAGAATTTTGTTCTTGCTAATGACTTGAATTGCTAATCTAGCCCATCAATCAGCAGGCTTTGCATGGTACTATGACTTAATTAGTATACATTAATTATATGTATGCATTAACTTGTATTTAATTATACTAATTAAGTTTAGTTTAATGGCAGACTGTCTAGACTTCAGTGTCCTGCCTTTTCTGATTCCAGGCACCTAATATAGCTAACATCAACACACTTGGTTTCTCCTTGCACCCCATTTTCTTTTCAATAAAAAATTATTATCATTATTATTAATTTTTCTTTGTAGAGATAAAGTGTCACAATGTAGCCCAGGCTGGTCTTGAACTCCTTGCCTCATGTGATCCTCCTGTCTTGGCCTCCCAAAGTGCTGGGATTGCAGGTGTGAGCCACAGCAATTGGCCCCAATTTTCTTTTATGTTCTCCGTTTTTTTCTTAATAGGCTCTGTCTCTTCCTCCCCTTACAGGGTGCTCTGGCCACAGGCTATGGGTTGTGTAGCTGCTGCGTTATATCAGAAATCCTGGCAGGACTGGGTCAAATCAGGGAGTGGGAGGCCCTCACTCAGAGAAGGCTCCTTTCAGCAGCGTGATGGGGATGGAGCACAATGGGTCAAGCCTGGAGCTCTCCTGCAGGGCAGCTGTGTTCCCGCTTCTCCCCTTACTCCCTGTCTGTCCTCACCCCAAGCAAAACATTCACCAAGTTATCTCCTTGTGGTTTCTCCACAATCTGTTCACATCATCATGTTAGTCATCCTTCCTTTGGTTTGCTCTTGGACGGTGTTTATCAGTTACCTCAGCTAATCCCACGGAACATGTTTCCTGGATTCCTACCTAGATCCTCCATTTACCCTACTATGTATTTAGAAAATAGGCACTGGCATAAGTGTCTATATGCATTTTTTCATTTAATCCTCATCACAACCCTGACACTTATTTCATGGTTAAGCAAACTGAGGCCGAGGGAGATGAAATAACTTTCCTGTTGCAATGTCCCACTGCTTCAAAAATGTTGTGTTCCTACATATTGTCCTCTGTTTTCTTCTTTCCCAATGCAATGGTGCCCACATCTTCTCTCCACTTGCATTTCCACAGTTGCCTCAGACCTGGAAGTCTACAAAAGCCTTCTGTCTCTTCACCTCTCACTTCCTACCCTCTTGGAGCGTGAGGGAAAGCCTCAGGGAAGGGAGTCTGGTTGGACTTCCAGAATGAGGATGATAAAACTGTTCCTGAGCCATGAAGGTCCTGAGATGACTGCCAAAGGCACATAGTGGGTGCTTAGTAAGTGATCATTGAAAGAATGGGCAAATGAACTGGACAGTGATGAGTACAGTCTTTTATGTTTGGTGTGTGTATTATGCTATGATATGATACATTTAGCGGCTCCTAACCATGATGTTTACCCACAACACTGTGTAGCAAACCATCCTGAGGCTTTTTCACAAAGAGTTAAAACAGCTTTCCAATAATTTATTACAAAGATAGTTTACAGCCCAATTCAAGGCCATCACTGAGAATTGGATAAACTTTTCTTGAATGGGAAGAAAAGGTTAAGATAACCCAGAATCTGTCTGGTGTTTTCACAGCCTGAAGTGAGAGATTTTTAAATCTCTCAGAAAGTTTGCTGCACTCTTTGTTATACTTCTCTTCCAATTTGAGGGTGAATTTTTTTTTTCAAAATCTGGCTCTGCCCATAACATTAAGCATATTGTGGCAAAGGCAGTGTAATGTGCTTATAGGGAGTCACTAAACTGTTTCTTTTCCCTATGTGGTGCACGGAAAGACTATGTTTCCCAGCCCTTGGATCTAGATAGGATCATGTGACTAATGCACACCAGTGAAGTGTGAGCAGGAAATGTGTATATTACTTTTAGGAGATCATGAGGTATCTGGTGTACCTTCCTTACTCTCTCTTCTCTTTCCTGTTTGCTTGGGACAAGAAATGGAGGGTTCCAAGATGGCAGAGCAGCATGATGAAAAGAGCCTGAATCTCTCTTTCAGGCTGTTTCCATCACCACTCAGGGGAGAGCTGTGAAATCAAAGCAGATTGTGATTCTCAGATTGTGATTTCTCATTCATTAAGAGAAATGAATTGTTATTTATTAGTGTTACTTCCCTTGACTAATACTTATATAATGTATATCATGACAGAAAGGTCAAGAACCACTGGCATTTATTTTAACTCTAAGTTTACTCAAAAGTATTTCCTGACATTGACATTTGAGAGAGTTTGGTTCACACCTATAATCCCAGCACTTTGGGAGGCTGAGGTGGGCAGATCACCTGAGGTCAGGAGTTTGAAATCAGCCTGGCCAATGTGGTGAAACCCCATCTCTACTAAAAATACAAAAATTAGCCAGGCGTGGTGGTGCATGCCTGTAGTCCCAGCTACTCAGGAGGCTGAGGCAGGAGAATAGCTTGAACCTGGGAGGCAGAGGTTGCAATGAGCTGAGATCATGCCACTGTACTCCAGCCTAGGTGACAGAGCAAGACTCCATCTCAAAAAAACAAACAAACAAAAACAAAAACGCGCGCGCGCGCGCGCGCGCGCGAGAGAGAGAGAGAGAGAGAGAGAGAGAGAGAGAGTTTATTCTATTTTATTTCTATTTCTAAAACATCATTGTCATTGTCATCGTCGTCATCATCATCATCATCATTGCCTTAACAAATTGAGCACTTACTGTGGGTCCTGTAGAATCCTAGGGTACTCTCACATAGCCTGTTAAATCAGTACCTATCATCTGCCTCTCCCTACTATGCCCTTGCCACACAGCCAGATTATTTGATCCTTGGAAATGCCAAGCATGTTTCTACCTTAGGGCTTGACATTTGTTTCATCTGGCTGGAATATTCTTCCCCATATCTTTGCTGGTTGTCTCATATGAATCATTCAGTTGCATATAAATTATGACCTCCACAGCAACACATTCCCTGATCATTCAAACGAAAGTATCCATCTGGTTTCTCTCTCTTTGTAGCCCTGTTCTATTAAATTCATGGATCATTTGAAATTATCTTGCTTCCTTATGTATTATTTATATCTTCCCTGGGTCCCTTCCTCCTCACCACTGTAGCCTCAGCCCTGGAAGGATGCCTAGTACACAGTAGGTGCTCAGTAAATACTTGTTGAGTGAATAAATAAATAAACCTTACATAGTAGAAACTATGACTTTTTTCTTTCTTTTTAAAAATGATACCTATTATATAGATTGTGCCTGTGACTACAGTGAAAAGTTCGGCCCACCAGCTAAGCTTTTTTATTTAAAGAAAGCCAAGTATCCAGATATTTACAAATGGTAAATGTTTAGAATAGTGTAGATTCTGCTATTTGACAGATGGATTCAAACCGTTTAGATGGACTTAATACCTAAAAGATACCTAAAAGTATTAAAATCAATCCTTTGATGCATGTTTGAACCATGTTCACTATTTTAAATGTCTAGGTCTTGCAAATGCATTTATTTTTCTTCAGAAATGCAAACCTTTTCCTTCTGAGGGACAGTATTTCTTAAGTTTTGGAATTGTACTCATTATAACTCTGTCTCTCAGATTCATTATGCTCATTAGCATAGGTAAGGCTTTGAGAAGTCCTGCACTTAAGAAACCTGTTTAATTTTATTTAATCCAGTATTTCCCGAATTATTTGACACTGGGCTTTTTTTTGGTCCACGTAATGACTATTAATATTTTAAACAAAACTCACTGGGAAACACCGCTCCAGAGTATGCTAAAAATTTATAGTGATTTTAATGGTTGCTACAAAGAGGTTTGCTTCCCAAGTTTGCAGCTCTGTCTATGTTACAAAAAATTTGTCATTTTGTTTCACAAACTTCTAACACATAAAAGGAAATAAACTATGCATTGTTATATATTTGCAGCTTTCTGTTTTGTTGAAAGGATCTTTTATTTATTTATTATTTATTATTCTTACCTTCCCAATAGCTCATTGATATGGTCTAATCAATCTTCCTGTCACGGATAAGAGCTTTCATGGCTGTGGGGTTAACATATTTTCTTTAAAAATGTAGCACTCATCAACTATGTTCTCTTATCTTAATCCAATTCCACAAATGTGGAAATATCTTTTTCATAAATTCAGAGATGAAGCGTTGACTGAGGAAGAATATGATCCAGATATAAGATCATCCTAACAAAAGATGTCTTTTTCCTACAGGAATTTTCTGAATTTTAGGTTCTCAATTAATCAAGCAATCATCAATACTTATGAATTCACTTAGTATGTGTTCAATTTTATATTTTTTGCTGAGGCATCTGAAGAAATATGAGACAATGTACCTGTCCCAGTGAAGCTTACTGTCTCTCTAGAGAGAGATCATGATTACTCTCAGAGCAATTACAGTAGAGCTGAATCTATAGACTATAGGGTCTGAAATTCATAGCAGAGGAAAATCCTTTAATTAAACATATTTCAAGCTTATTGATGCAGTTATCTCTTTGCAGAACTCCTACTCACCTGCCTACCATGACCAATTTAAGTACACGAGGAATTCTTATTGTGTAATTTAAATTTATGTGTGAATCTGTTAAGGAAAAATTAGGACATTTTGTCCAGTCATAAACATTGGTTTGGTCAATTTGGGGGTCAATTTTTCCCTTTTCTTTCTTTTTTTGGAGACAGAATCTCACTTTGTCACCTCAACTGGAGTGTAGTGCCTTGATCTCGGCTCACTGCAACCTCTCCCTCCCAGGTTCAAGCGATTTTCCTGCCTCAGCCTCACAAGTAGCTGGGATTACAGGTGCCCGCCACCATGCCCAGATAATTTTTGTATTTTTAGTAAAGGTAGCGTTTCACCATATTGGCCAGGCAGATCTCAAACTCCTGACCTCAAGTGATCCACCTGCCTAGGCCTCCAAAAATGTTGCGATTACAGGCATGAGCCACCGTGCCTGGCCAATTTTTCATACCTAATATATAAGGTGAATTATCTCTCTTTCTCTCTCTTTAGAGACAGGTTCTTGCTCCGTCACGTGGGCTGGAGTGCAGTGGTACAATCATAGCTCACCACAGTCTCAAACTTTTGGGCTCATGCAATCCTCCCATCTCAGGCTCCTGAGTAGCTAAGACTACAGGTGTGCACCACCACGCCTGGCTAATTTTTAAATTTTCTGTAGAGTCGAGGGTCTTGTGACGTTGCTCAGTCTGGTTTTGAACTCTTGGGCTCAAGCAGTCCTCCTGCCTCAGCCTCTCCAAGCATTGGGATCATAGGCATGGGCCACATTGCCCAGCCTGAATTTTCATTTTTAATTCTCATTTTCCATATATTAATAGATTTGGATTTTCTTGGGTCAATAACTACAGGAATATTTTTCCTTTTGAGTTTTACTTAGGCTGCATAAACATGTGAATGTGGTTTAAAAATTAATGTAAAGTTAAATATTTTAAACCACTACACACACACATGTTATTCCATGGACAGATTGGAAAGATGCTGGGCCTATATCCCCATAAAGTTGGGGAGCTTGAGAAGCACCGTGGCAGAAATTGATAAGAGGTAGGCTAGTTAATAACCTGAGCTCCTTACATGGATGGCAAGTGTCCATGAGTTTCCTTGGACTCAGAATATGAAGCAAAGACATTAGCTGTGAACAGGATCCAAGAGGCCACTAGGCAAAGTGAGCACACTTCATGAATGAAGTCTATGCAGGAGACTGATCACTGGTGGTGGGGGCTGTGTCCATGCTACCATAGGATCATTCAGGCCAGGAAGTTGCACAGAGACCCAGTTGGGTGGCTATCGAACACTACTTGCCTGAGTCTGTATCAGGTATTTATTCTTTATGTACAGTCAAATGCCCATGTACCTGAGAAGATGAGCAAAATCATACCAAGAATGAGAATATACTACCCCGCTCCCTGTCTTGTTCACCATATACTTACTTGTTGTACCTGATTGTCCAAATTTTCCATGCCTTCCATAGAGTGTGATGTGAGTGGGAGTGCAGAATAAGCTTTGAAAACTCCTTTAAAAAATAACTGAGTTTAAATTGAGTTTTGAGTTAGATTATGTTGTACTAGATTTTTCTGTTTCTGAGCCGTAATGGAGGAACCAGAGTAGAGATCAGTGGTAGAAAATAGAGCTTTACTTTTGCAACATTGTAACCAAGAAATCTCATATCCACTACACACACAATGAGCTCATGTATTCCCTTCTAACTCTCACCAAAGTGAAATGGAAAGAACCGATCCACTCCATTTACACAGATTCCTGTGTCAGGAGATATATTGCTCTTTTGTGATTTTTTTTTCATCAAAGATGAATCTTGATATACCTTTGTATAAAAGGAGGCATACAGGAAGGGAAACGTGGAGGAAAGGAAGGGAAGAGATCCTACAGATTGGTTTGCTCCAGTAGATACTCTAGCAATATTCATCAGCAAACTTCCAGGGTTGCTACATACAATATTCATTCATTTATGGAATTTTTTCCATAATATTACCATTTGGAGCCTGATCTTAGGGAGGATTTTCCTATAAGAGCATAAAGTGTTAAAAATGAGTTCTGGCTTCCATAGATATTTTAATAAATCCCAATAGGCAACTATAATTTTAAATTTGTTAAAGCATTTTCAAAGGCTAATGTCAATAGCAAAAAAATAAAGAAGAAAAAATATCCACATGCAGCATAAATATGACATGGCTCACTGAGTCTTCTCATCTCTTTGACCTTTTCCTGTGGTAATGTTGGCATTCTTTCTATTAAGGAAACAATACATGGCATTTTAAAATGAAATTAGAGTTAAATGGAGTTGGGGAGATTTCATCTGGGAAGTAAGATCAAAGTGTTGTTTTAGAAACACTCATCTAATTTTTTTTAGTGCAGTGTCTTTGGAAAATGTTATTAAAATACAAATACATTTAAGAGCAAACTGGAGGAGGGAGATATAGGAATCTGGGGAAAATATTTTGTAATTATGTGGTAAGTCTATTATGTAGCAACCCTCTTTCAAGATTAAACAAATGGTAGGTGGTCTGTTGGGCACATGCAGGAGCCGACAGGATCCAGTTATACCTGAGAAGCAGAAGTTTGGCCCTGGAATACATGGTATGGAGAACTATGTTTTGGGGGATGTTTTCGTTATCCTCAGACGTAAGAAGAGGTAATGCATACTCAAACAGCTGTAATTTATATAGTAGAAATCTCAGCTAGAGAATACAAGCTGTTTTTCACCTTAGCATTTAGATGTATCTGGCCATTTTTTAGCATATCAACTGGGTTAACTAGTGTTTTACTTGCAGAAGGGATTGTGAGAAATTATCACAAAATGATCCCTATTTTCCATCCTTCCCTTCAGCCACATCCTTTGCAAAGTGAGTTTGTAGCTCTTCTCATCAGGGATGGAATCTAGTTCCTCAGCTCTGGAATTTGGGCTGGTCTTTTGACTTGCTTTGGCCAACAGAATGCAGGGGGAATAAAATTATGACAGTGTTACGCCTAGGTCTCAGGAGACCAAAATGCTTCTGTTTTTCTTCTTGGAATCTCATCACTGTCATAGAAATCAGCTTGCACTGGCCTACTAGATGATGAGCAACACTTGGCCTGGTCACTGTTGTCACCACAATGGACAGTCAGTCAACCATCAGACACGTGAGAAAATCTGGGATCAGCCAGCCTTTGGCCAGTTGACCCCAGATGCATGATTAAGCCCAGCTGGATATCAACTGAATTGGCTCAAATCAGAAACATTTTGCTGAATCATAGACTCATTAACAACAATAATAATTTTTTAAATGACTACATTTTGGGATGATTAAATCCCAAAATGCAGCCAAACATACTGACAGAGACCAGGGTATCCCCTGGGAAAGCCAGTACCCTGAAGGTAAGGGCCACTAACAAGCACTAATTTGGTACAAAGATAATGGGCCATTTCAGAGTGGAGGATGAAATAGAGCAGTGGTTCTCAAAGCTTGGGTCTAGGACTAGTAGCATCTGCGTCACCTAGGAACTTGTTGGAAATTCAGCCCTTTAGCTGACACCTTGGACTCACTGAATCAGAAACTCTGAGGGTAGGGTCCAACAATCTGTGCTTTAACAAGCCCTCCAAATGATTCTGATTCATATGAAAGTTTGAAAACCACTGAGATATATTTAAAAGGCCTGGGATAGGAATAAAGTTTCTTATACTTCTGCCCTGGCAATTCCTCAGGTGATACAATTTGGTGATTTTAGAAACACAAAATTAAGTGACCCAGATAAATACAATTATTTATAAAGGATAGGGATTTCAGGCAGTTTGAAGGCAAATCATTTCTATTCAACTTGATGCTACCTATTTTGTTTTGAGTATCAGAAACTTAGAATCCGTCTCAAAATCTGCAATAATGGTGCTTAAAAATCAATATCCACAGTAGTTTTTGAAACACTGACTATGAGATGGATACTGCTGGCACCATGACGATGCCTATTACTAGCACATCACCCTGGTGCCACCGCTATCGTCACTATAGCCAACTCCTTCCTAAGTGCAGGCACTGTGCTTAATACTTCACACTAATCAACCCAGTTGCTGCTAAAAACAATTCAGTGAAGCAGGAATTATTATTTTTATTTCAAAAATGAGGACGCAGAGGGACTTAGAGGGATTAAGTAATTTGCCAAAGGTAGTACAGTAGAATCTCTGCTAAGCAGGAAGTTAATGTTTCTCTTTTGAAACGCAATAGGAAACAGTGATACACTGCAAAATATTTAACAACTAGCTTTCTGGAAAATAACAGCCACTGAACACCCCCGCCCGACCTTTGCTTTTTTAGTGTTTGCTAATTTCCATGGTATAAATATTGATACTATAACTGATTTCAAGCTACCATTGTGAAGAAACTGTTTGTGGAGTTGGGAAGAGATGCACACAGTTGGCTCTTATGACCTGATATGAGCCAGCTCCACATCATTGAGGGGAAACATGAATGAATCCTACTTCCTGGGGTCCATAGATGTGATTATTTTAAATTTGATCTTTAAAGTAAGTAATTATTTTCAGAGAGGACCATTTCATCACTTTCCGGTATAATCAAAAAAGACATTAAAACCATTCTGTCTTAAGTTTGAATTTCAGCCCTGACTTTACAAAGAAAATATATTTAAAAAAATCATCTGCTTTCATGAACTTTTGGGAGATACTCATTTTATGGAGTTAGAGCTGGGTGGTAGAACCTTATGAAAACATTTTTTCTTGCCCCCATGACTTTAGGGAAGGATGCTTATCTAGTAAAATTGTTTTTTAAGAGATGGGGTCTTGTTCTGTCGTCCAGTCTGGAGTGCAGTGGCAGTGGTGTGATTATAGCTTACTGCAGCCTCAAACTCCTGGGCTCAAGTGATCTTCCTACTTTAGCCTCTCAAGTAGCTGGAACTACAGGTGCATGTCATCATGCCTGGCTGATTTTTTTTTATTTTTAGTAGAGACAGGGTCTTGCTAGTTTTCCCAGTCGATTTTGAACTTCTGGTCTCATGTGATCCTATTGCCTTAGCCTCCAACCTTCTGGGATTACAGGCATGAGCTTGCACCTGGCCCTATTTAATTTTGTTGATCTCTAAGCATAAAGGCTTTACCACATTTCTCAGTATTCTAAATGAGTGCTTTATCAACCTCAAGAAGGCTCTCTCCTAGGTTGATACGAAAGCGCTTCAAGTGTAATTTAAACCTCTTCCCTTTGTTTTATCACTACAGACATGAAAAGTGATTGACTGGCATTCACCTCTTAGAAACTCTCCTACATTGACAAAAGATGTTAAAAGATTACTTTAGTATCTAATTCCAACTTCTTTAAAAATAACCTTTCATCATTACATAAAGAGGAAGATTTCCAGTTAGGCAGGCTGTCATTATTGGTTCCTTAAGAGTACATTCTTAAGACCTCTCAAATTACGAAGCAAGAATGTCCTGACCTATTTTTGACATATACCCTTCTTCATTTCATCCAATGTTGGGATATTTTTTATTGTGGTAAGAGCACTTAACATGATATCTATGCTCTTAACAAATTTTTATGTGTATAATACAGTATTGTTAACTATAGACATGATGATGTACAGCAGATCTCTAGAACTTATTCATCTTGCATAATTGAGACTTTATGTTAGATTTTTAAAGAGAAAAATGCACCAGGCATACACTTCCAGTTCTGTAAATGGCTTCTCATTTATATTTCACTGGGTTCAGCTTCAAGAGATTAATCCATTTGGAATATCTTGGCTGTAATGCTTTTAGAAAAATAGGAAAAGTAATACTGCCTTTAAGTGACTGTACCTTCTGCAATAAAGAGGGAGATAACTTTTCCTATAGAAGTTTGATTTCATGTGGAAAGGCATAAGATACACTATAAGGTGTTGAATTTTTTCATTATTGCTCTTTCCCACCTCCACCACTCAAGTAAGAGACAATGTTTAAAAATATATAGGTAACTTCTTTATTAAAATGTATGGAAGGAAGTTATTTAAAAATGTGTTCTTTTGATATCTCTTAGCAGGAACCCTCTTCCTACCCTCTCTCACTGCATATTGGTTTGGCTTTGTATTTTTTTTTGTTGTTGTTGCTATGGGAAAATCTGATTCTGAGTTTTTCACTTCAGTTTGAGTAGAAGCAGAAGATCCTTGGGAAAGTTACAGACCCTGACCTTTATGTCCCTGGCAGTGACATCCCAAGGATAGGAAACGGTGGGGAAATCAGGTGCCAGTTCATGAGCTGACAAAGCATGCTAGAAGGATGAACAATAAAGGGCCTGGTAGAGAGGAAAAAAGAAATTCAAGAGTTAAAACGAGCAGGGTTAAAATTATGCTGACCTTGCCTTCCTAACTTAGCTGAGACTTTGGAAAATCATGTAACTTCTCAGTGTTTTTAACTATAAAAGTTAGGCCAGTGCTGTATACTGCAAAGGATGAAATAAGTTAATGTACATATTACCATCTAGTTTAATGTCTGGTACATAGTAAGTGTTCAAAAATGCTTGTAGGTCATCTGCATTCAGACTGCTTAGGATTTCCAGGATACACTTGAGCAAATTTTCATATATTTTCCTTTGTTGGTAGAATAGCATCATTTCATGTAATTCATGGGTCTCTTTGCCTTCTTTCCTGGTTGCTGATCTTTGCTTGTGTTGCTGAAGTTTTACATTGGCACGCCTAAACTTCTATATAGCATAGAAATGGAGTATTAAAAGTAAGGTTTTTTTTCCTTTCTTCTTTTATTTATTTTTTTCCTACCTAAGCTATTCTAACTAACTCCCTCATGACAGCTGAGTGAAATTTTAGTATTAGTTTGCTGGACAGAATTTTTAGGGAAGTCAGTTCACTATGACTTCTGCTCTCTGAAACCTTGAAATGCAATTCAAATTTAAAGAGGCAGAATCAGCTCATAAAGTGTGATTTCAGGATTAGACTAGCTCTTCGAGATAGCAAAACTGTGGTCTCCTGAAATTCTAGAGCCAATGCTTATCTACATTTAAGATTTTATTTGGAACTGTCACTTTGCTCAAATTCTAAAGATCCTGTAATCATTTTATTATTCATGTTATCTTTAACTCTTAAACTGTGCTTATCAATTCTCTCAAGACATATTGATACTTTCCTCAGCAAAATATGAAATACACTATGTTTGAGGATAAAAAAACTACGATCACCTTACGTAATATAGAATTTGATATCAAAAGTGATGTGATAGCATCAAAGTCAAAATATGTGACACTGACTTAGCATTTGGTTTCCTGGCAATGGGCAGTAGGGTAATTGATATTGGAATCTGGAAAGATAAAGACTCATCCTATTTGGTGGCAATGCATTTGGTAAAGCCATTATCCTATGAGAGCTCGGAAAACAGACAAAGTGAAGACAAAGTATACAGCTCTAGGAAAATAAATTGGAAAATGGAATATTATTAGAGTGTGTTAATTATTGATTAGTTATTCAAAGAAAGATATGAGCTGCGGCAAGAACTGGCTGGTTAACAAGCAGAAATTTTAAAAAAAATGTAGGAACAAAATGTGGGGGCTTAAGACATTGTAAAGGCCAATTGCTTCTAGACCCGGTGTCTAGAAATTTGAGAGAAATAGGCATGGTGAGGAGAGGGAGGGTGGCAACAAGTCAGAAAGATAAAGCAGGTTTCAGAATTATATCTAGCAAAAACAAATTTGGGTGTTTACTGGCACACGAACTTGTCTGGAACAAATAGATACAAAATCTACTAAGGGCCAGGCACAGTGGCTCATGCTTGTTATCCTAGCACTTTGGGAGGCCAAGGTGGGAGGATCACTTCAGCCCAGGAGTTAGACATGAGCTGGGGCAACAAAGCGAGACCCCGTCTCTACAAAATATAAAAATAAAAAAATCAGCCAGGTGTGGTGGTGCATGCCTGAAGTCCCAGCTGCTCGGGAGGCTGAGGTGGGAGAATTGCTTGAGACCAGGAGTTTGAGGATGCAGTGAGCTATGATTGCACCACTGCACTCCAGCCTGAGTGACAGAGCAAGACCTTGTCTCTAAGGAAAAAAAAAAACCCAATAGCCTATTAAGTTTCAAGAGAATTCTACTGTTAAAGAAATCATAAGTCTGAACTAAAAAGCCTTAATGATTTACATCTTAGAACTCTTGGGCTGCCAAATGGGAAGTGAACTGTGAAAATTGTACTGTCTCTAAGAAGACCAGGCTCTCCTACTTCCTGTGTTGTTTTGGAGGATAGCATGTATGGAAGTCCCTCTCTGAAATCAGAGACAAGGCCTACAAGAGCAATGGAAAAGGGAGTTCTCTCCAGGGAGTGTCTCCTGGGATTGCAGATGGTTGAGTTCTGGCAAATAGAAAGTGGGTGGATCTGATGTATGCACATTTCCAGGTGTGGCTCAGAAAAACCACCCATGTGCAATTCTCTTTTTCTTTCTTTATCTGCTGATAGGGAGTCACTGGCCAAGATAACCTTGGAAGCCAATAAAATATCAGGGTTTTTGTTGTTGTTGTTGTTACAGCAGCTATGAATGACCTAACTGGTACACAAAATAAACGCATTAAATTGGCCGCATTTAAGCACCACTCCCTTAAATAACAGCATCTAGCCTGATTCTTAGAGCCAAAGTCTTTGTTAGTTAATTTCTTGCTAACTATAAAATGTTATAAAGTGAAAATCAACTGCAAAGATATCTCGAGAGCCTGGCAATGTTGAACAATAAGAATCAAGAGAGAAAGGGACCTTGTTACTCCTCAGTTTAGCAGGAGGGTTCGTGAACATTCTCTTTAGAGAGCTGCCCCTTAACACTCCAGGGACTGAGGGTCTGTGTTTCCCGCCATTGCCTTTCATATTCCCAGAAGAGACAAACTCATTGTCTAAGGAACAACCAGTCTAGAATTAGGCTGATCCTTTTTTTTTTCTTTTTTGAGTCTGTCCACAACATTTGATTGCTACTGCATATATCCAGTTTTCAAGTTAAATTTGCTGAATTCCTTTAACCATCCTTTTCTAAAGACATTTTCCAGACCTTTTTCACCATCGAGGTTGCTTTCTTCCAAATACAATCCATTTTGACAGTTTTCTTAAAATGTGGTACTACAGATTGGGCTGAGTGGTGCAGAGGATACGGAGCTTCCTTCCTTTGATGTGCTAATGGTACCTCATATTCTATTAACTGCCATGGCCTTTAATAGCCAGGTCAAACTTGTAGGCTAATTTTGAAATTTGAGTCAACTCATTTTAACAGTCTTCCTTTTTGTTTACTTTTTAAACACTCCTTTTCTCCCTCCCTTTCTCTCTTGCTCTCTTTGTCTCTTGAATACAAACTTTTCAGCTAGAACTTGCTTCTCTTGCTGTTTTGCCAGAGACTTCTCTGAAGCATACGTAACACATAACTTTACATTCATTGGATTTCATTGTTGTTTTCCACTCACTATTTCAGTTTATATAGAGTATCTTTATTTTTTAAACTCTGAAGGCTATTTCTTTAAATAAAAGTTTTAATTTTTTAATTTTAATTTTTTCAAAAAATGAGATGGGTTCTCACTATGTTGTCCAAGCTGGCCTCGAGCTCCCAGGCTCATGTGATCCTCCCATCTCAGCCTCCTGAGTAGCTGAGACTACAGACATGCATCACTATGCTCAGCTTCTTACAAAAGCAATTTGCTGTACATTTGCAGAAACTTTGGAAATACCGAGACATATAAGAAGAAATTAAAAGTCTGCTACGTAGTCCCATTTCTTAGGAACAAATAATACTTCAGTGTACTAATTACTTTAATGTACATGTCTCAATTTCAATAGCAGCACCCTGTGAGGCTATCATATTTTGACTTGTACAGTCATTCCGCTCCTCATTTATGAGCCGACATGAATCTATGAATAGCTCCACAGGCTTTTACATAGTTTTGCCAGTCTCTGCTCTGATAACAGATGCATTGAGACTCCAGAGAGCCCCTCAGATTCTTTATTGATTCATCATCTTCAAACACCAGAAGGACTAATGGAGAAGCAGAAACATCTAACAATCAACCAGTTGTTCTGTCTCCTTGATGCAAAACAACTAACTTCAGAGTTTTTTCCTTCCTTAATTGATGAGTTATTTGAGACTTATTCCCAAGCTCAAGAGACTCACATCAAAATGCTCATGGTGGGAATCTCTCAGTCTTGCTTATACAACCCTGTTTATATGCATTAAGGAGTTATCTGCTGAATGAAATTCCCCAGGTCAGCGAGGACTCAAATCATTTTCAAATTGGGTTAAATTTGCCATTTCTTTGGCTTTCGACAGAGAAGAATGGGAGGTCTCTGGAGCCTGCAACCTGATCGGCTCTCATCCTCTAGTGTTTCCTTCTAACAGACAGGGTGTGATCCATGTGGCATTACCTCATGTAAAGCACGAGCCCACTGTGTTCTTTAGTCATCTGTGGGGCATGATAGTGTGTTGAGAGACAGGGGTCCTCGTTTTGTTGAATTCTGAAAGTTGATCTTGGAGTAATAGTTTTTTAAATGGCAAACCATAAAGTTTATTTGCACAAAAATCAGAGCTTGGTGACTTCTTTACAATGAGCTAATTTTGGCTCTTTTCCAGAACAAAAGTGAAGTGGTGGCAAAGTGCTGGACCAGATGTTAGAAGTCTCCAATTTGCTCTCGACAACAACAATCCACAAGTAACCCTGAGAAAAGTCATCTCTGTTTCCCCACTGGTAAATAATGGTAAGAAAAATAGTGCCTAGTGGGGCTTACGTAGAGGACTGGGAAGCTGAACTGTGAAAAATGATTCCAAGGTTTCTGGTCACCATGGCTACTACTCTTTTGTACCCAGTTCTTTGCTCCTCAAGGAGCCTTGTTTTCTATACTTGTGAATATTTCAACCAACTAATAAAGATTTAATGGCAATGTGTAAAGTTACTTTTTCTCCCTGGACATCCATTTCTTCATTTTGTGAAATCAGAACATCAGACTCAGTTTGACATGAACAGACTTTTCTCAAAAGAAGACAAACAAGTAGCCAACAAACATGAAAAAGTGCTCAACATCACTAATTGTCAGAGAAATACAAATTAAAACCACAACGAGATACCCTGTTATACCAGTAAGAAGGGCTATTATTAAGTCAAAAAACAACAGATGTTGGCAAAGATGCAGAGAAAAGCAAATGCTTATACACTGCTGGTAGGAATGTAAATTAATACAACCTCTATGAAAACCAGCATGGAGATTTCTCAAAAAAACAAAAATAGAACTACTATGGAACCCAGCAATCCCACTGCAGAGTATCTATCTAAAGGAAAAGAAATCTTTATGTAAAAAAGTCACCTGAATGCATGTGTTTATCACAGCACTATTCACAATAGCATAGTCATGGAATCAACCTAAGTATTCCTCAACAGATACTTTGATAAAGAAAATGTGATATCTACACACCAGGGGATACTACACAGCCATAGAAAATGAAATCAATTTGTTATTTTTAAGGGTTTTCTTTTTAAGGCTGTGAAGTTCTTTCTTCAAATGAACACTTTCATTTGTCCTTCTTTGTGTCTCTACAACTTGTCGACATTCTCCACCGATGTTACCACTCACCTCTCACTTGCATTATGGAAGAAGCCTCTCAATGGACACACACTACAATATAAATGAATCTCCAAAGTATGCTAAGAGAAAGAAGCCAGACCCAAAAGTCTACATACTATGTGAATCCATTCATATGATAGTCTGGAAAAGACAAAATTACAAGAAGAGAAAATAGATCAGTGGTTTTCTGAGGTTGGGTATGGAGGGAAACAGTTGGCTACAAAAGACCACAAGGGAAATTTTTGTTGTGATGGAAGTATCCTGTATCTTAATTGAGATGGTGGTTACATGACGGTATATACGTGTCCCAATTAATAAAACTGTACAACTGGAATTGGAAAACTCTACTGCATATAAATTATATATGAATATGCATGACTTTAAAAAGGTCGTTCTTTAAAGGTCAGGTCTTTCAATAGATGATTAGAGGGTACAAATATATAGTTAGAAGAAATAAGGTCTAGTGTTTGATAGATCAGCAAGGTGAGTATAGTTAACAATATAATACATATCAAAGTAGCTAGAAGGGAATTATTCAAACATTCCTAGCATAAAAAAACAGGTAAATATTTAAGGTGATGGATATGTCAGTTACCCTGATTTGATCTTTACACATTATATGAATGTATAAAATTATCACATGTACTCCAAACACATTTATATCTTTTATTTATCAGTAAAAAAATATATAGAAACCAAATTGATAGAAAACACATACTTCCCTTTTCTCTAGAGGGAGACAGTATCTCTATATTCCAAGAATATGCGCGATATAAACATCCTTTGAAAGATAGGAGAAAGGGTAGTCTTGTTAGCTTTACTTGCAAGATTTGTGGAGATGCAAGAGACTTGGGAAGATCCTTTCCCCAATACAACTCTCCAAACCTCTAGTCTTTTTTCTTCTTTTTATAAGTTTCCACACACAGCATTGACAAACCTCTAGTCTTAATGGTTCCTAATTTGTTAAGTTGGCCTTTGTGTTTATGAAAGTTAAGAAAGTTAATTTTATCTCAATATTTCTGGCAAATTGTCTGCTGCCTGTGTGCAGAAATGTCTTTTTTTCCCCCCGAATGTCCTTTTTCTTTTGTTCTGCCTAGAAACCATGGAAGTAATTATTTAGACTTTTTTTTGGCTTTAGGGTGGAAAGAATAATTTCAGTCGAGCAGTATCTGAAAATATCCCCAAATATGTAAAAATCACTGACTGCACGTGAAAACTGATGTGTGGAGACTATGTTGAACCTAAATATATAGTTACCTAGAAAAGAATGGGCTAAATAAGAAGTGTCTTGCACAGTACTTTCATTTTTACATAGAAAATATTTGTAAATATGTTTATTAGTGCATACATACATTCTTAAGAATGATAAATTATCTAAAGTTTGGTAATACTATCATTTTGCTACTTTCTATAATAGATGAATAAATCTATAATCTACATTAACATAGTTATATAGATCTAATGCCAACATTATATTACTACTGATTTCCTAGAAATGGAGAAAAACAGGTACAAGATGTGTGTTTTTTTTGTTGTTGTTGTTCTGAATTTGTTGCTAATGGCTCACACCTGAAAACAACAGGAATTACATCATCCTTCACATTCTGATTAGCCTTCTTTGCAGTCAGACCCAGTTACTGATTTGACCACAGAACCTGTGAAAGGAAAGGCTGAGCCAGCTCTTCTTCCTCCACCCAACATGCCAGCTTCCTTCCTCCTTCCTACTTGCAGACTGTGAGGAGGGAAGAGAGAGAGGAACTGGGAATGCAGTGTTTACAAGAATTTATCTTCTCCCTTTTTTTTCATGGGGTGGATAAGCACTCATTAAGATTGGAACTCTAGGAGAGGGAGGCTGTTTTTTTGTTTCCTGGGTGATGTATGCTGTGATTAGAGCCCATAGACCTATCCTGGAAGTCTTGGGAGTGCCGCTGAGCATGGGGCTGACTTAAGTTGGGGCATGAACTTGGAGTCAGGTGCCTGCATTTCACCTGCAGATCACTAAAGGTGGGGATCTTGATGAAATTAGCTATATCAATGCAAGAGAAGGTACTATGAAGCTGTGCATGGGAAGAAAAGGTGTCTTTTCATCCTTCCCAAAGCTTTTGGAGGATCTCAGTGATCCAATGGATTCACAATGAAGGGGCATGATTTTAACAAGATTAATAACAAAAAAATGTATCATGAGGTTAAGTAAATTCTAGTGAGTTGAGTCTTGGCGAGGACTTGTAATGGAAGGGAGTTGGTTTATATTTCTAAATTCAATTTCAATTATAGGCCAAGTGTAGATTAATCAAGTGTCATACCTCTGTATGAATTTATACAAGGTTTATTATATAATATATACATACATAATATATATACTGTATACATACACACATGTATAGGTTTGTATTCAGAAACATGTTCATATATTTTTAAGCCAAATTTTCCCATAGTTTAAGGATTTGCAGAGAGGACGTTCTTGGTTCCGGGGAATCCAATTTTTGTGATTTCCCATTTATTGATCTTGTTTTACTAGATGTTTACTTCCAGTGTTGGCTGTTTTCTGTTGTTCTGAAGTACTGGAATTAATCTCTTGTTAAGTTATTTTAATAACCGTTGGACAACCCAAGTTAGAGAGCTGCCCTTGGTAACCATAATTGCCTCTTTGTTCTCAACTTCAGTGTGTCCAGAGAGAAATGGTGTCATTGTATACCCTATCTAGGATGTTATCAAGTAGGAGTCCCTGAGATAGGATATGTTGGCTAAATATTTTCTCTACAAACTCTGCAAGGCCCATAATTAGAAATAAGAGCCCACACTTCTTTCTAACTAGTGTTTATTTAACCTTACAATAAGGAGCACATACAATTTTTTTCTTTGTTTCAAAGAAAACATTTTATCATTTAGATCAATATAGCCTCATATAAAATTACTCTTTTTGTTTCTTTTCAATGGCAGTGATTCTCTTGATGCTAGTCAATCTCCTTTTGTGTCTTCTACATGGAGCAATATGGAACTTGATCTATTACAAATTTCAAGATGATAGATGTCATAAAATATTCTTCTCTAAGCTTCCCAGTTTTTGGGTAGTTTTTCAATAATTTGAGGCATGGATTTATCCCTTACCAATCATGTGTGGAACATGCTCGTAAGCTCTGATAAGGGCATATAAGGAAGAAAAAGAAAAGACCTTGCTGTTGGAAGGTCTTAGACTAAAGAAGAATATGCGAGAGATAAAAGCTCCTTCTCATACACACTTGTTAGGGACTGAATATTTCTGTCTTCCCAGCATTCAGATGTTGAAATCCTAATGCCCAAAGTAATGGTATTGAGAGGTGAGATCTTTGGGAGTAAGTGAGGTGATGGGGGTATAGCCCACATGAATGGGAGTAGTGCTTGTATAAAAAAATACCCCAAAGAGGTCTGTTGCTGTCTTTCCACCATGTGAAGATACAAGAAGTTGACTGTCTGCAACCTGGAAGAGGGCCTTGCCAGTACTGAACATGCTGGAACACAGATCTCACACCTCCAGTCTCTGGAACTGTGAGAAATAAATGTCTGTTGCTTAGGAAGCCACCCATTCTATGGTGCTTTGTCATACAGCGTGAACTGACTAAGACACCATTCCCCACTAAACCTTCCTGCAAGAACAGATACAATCAAAACTTACTAACATAAATTTAAGTCATCAACATCTGGTCTATCCAAAATAGTCATGAACCTTTCAGCACCATATTAATTCTCTAAGTTAGGGCTATTGGGACCAACTGAACTAAGGGCTCTGATGCAGATGCGAAGGGGAAGGGATTGAATGAATTCAAATGATTGAGTTTGAATGGAATGATTGAGTTTGGATGCATTTTCTGTCCCTGACTTCCAAAATCAAATAGAAATTATTTTTGTATTATTTGCTGGTTTTATTTGAATCTGTCTGTTCTTATATTATTTTATTTCTTAAGAGTAATTTTTTATTAGAAGGTGAATATTGTGATATGCAAAAATTATATAAAAAGCAGAGGTCAAATTGTAGGCACCTTATTTTACAGATGAGGAAACCAAATTTGAAAGGATCAACTAATCCAAAGAGCCAGCACACAAACAGAGGTGTTCTTATCTCCAATCTGTTGTTCTATTTCCCTCAGAATGGACAGTGTAGATTTGAACACGTAGTGGCATGTACTCATTGAAATCTATACTTTCAAAAAATAGGCACATTAGTTTATGTCATCATGTTAGTTTGTTTTCTTGAGAATAGATAAGGTGTTGTTTTTAAAACAATTTTAGGTAGATGAAAAATTTTGGTGAATTATACAAATGAGACTTACTAAGACAAAGATTGCTTCATTTTCTTTCTATTGACATTTCTTTGGCTTCTTTTGGGAGGCTTAATTATTTTTTATCAAGTCATTAATTGATAATTATTTCACCTAAAAAAACTCCTTGGAGTGCTATTATATATCAAGCACTGTGTTAGGTACACAGAATGTAGAAATAAATAGAATTAAGTTCCTAATGCAAAGATCTGTGTGGTCCAGAGAGGAGAACATGACCAGCTTTGGTGGCTGAGTATTCTGGAAGGCTTCATGGAGATAATGTTAATTTGCTTAATCTCAATTTAGAAGGATGAGTATGATTATTTTAGGTAAGTGAGGGGCAGAAAAGCTTTTAGGGTAGAAGAAACTGCTGGTAAAAAGGCAAAGAGGAATGGAATTTGTATGTCATGTTTGGGTAATGACAAGTAGTTCGGTGGTTCTGGAGCATGGGGTATAAGGAACTATTTAAGGAGATAAAGTGGTATGGATTGTGAAGGGCCTGGTTCACCAAGGGTATTAGTTTCCTAGGGTTCCCATAGCAAGTTACCAATATCTGAACAGCTTTAAACAATAGAAATTTATTATCTCACAATTATGAAGGCCAGAAATCAAAAATCAAGGTGTTGGTAGGGCTATGCTCCTTCCAAAGGCTCTAGGGAAGAATTCTTCCTAATCTCTTCCCACCTTCTGGTGGTTGCTGGCAACTCATGGTGTTCCTGGGCTTGTAGCTGCATCACTCCAGTGGCTGCCCCTGTCTTCAAACGGCCTTCTTCCCTCTTTGTGTCTGTCTGTGTGTCCAGATTTCTCTCTTATAAGGACAACAGTCATTGGATTTAGGGCCCACCCTAATTCAATATTATCTCATCTAAAACTTGATTGTATCCAAAGAGACACTATTTTCAAATAAGGTCACATTCACAGGTTCTAGGTGGACATGATTTTTTACCCCTTTTTTGTACATATTGTTGAAAACCATTTTAAAGAGCAGTTTTAAGTTCACAGCAAAATTGAGAGGAAGATTCAGAGAGTTCCAAATACCCACTACCTCAACACATGTACAGCTTCCTCCATTAT
The DNA here is from genome assembly GCF_000001405.40 of Homo sapiens. Lineage (NCBI taxonomy): Eukaryota > Metazoa > Chordata > Mammalia > Primates > Hominidae > Homo > Homo sapiens. The sequence goes on along the minus strand of NC_000001.11, from coordinate 219,679,377 downwards.
CAGCACCCCCTACCAGAGTGGTACATTTGTTACAGTTGCTAAACATATGGTGATATACCATTATCACCTAAAGTCCATAGTTTACATTAGGGGTCACTCTTGATGTTGTGAAAATTCCTTGGGTTTGGACAAATGTATAAGGACATTTACCCACCATTATAGCATCACACAGAGGAGGTTTGCTACCCCAACAATCCTCTTGGTTCTGCCTATGCATCCCTCCCTCTCTCTTAACCCCCTTGGACTGTCTAGTTGCAGGAAAATAAGCTCCGGGTTCCCACTGTTTCTACATTATAATGAGTTGTATAATTATTTCATTGTATATTACAAGGTAATAATAATAGAAATAAAATGCACAATAAACATAATGCACTTGAATCATCTTGCAACCATCCCCCACCCCACTGCCCTGGTCTGTGTAAAAATTGTCTTCCACAAAACTGGTCCCTGGTGCCAAAAATGTTAGGAACTGCTGATTTAGGAGATCATCCTAGTATCGGAGGCAACAAATTATATAGGTTCATCAAAAGTTGGACCTGACCCCTTCCTTCTATTTCCCATATACTTATTCATTGTAATCCCTATTGTCTTCTCCTGACTTTTCAGTTTTGGTTAATTTTGATTGAAACCAATTGTAAATGCTCTTGATATCAGGTTTCAGATGTCATTGAAAAAAAATATTTAAGGAAAAAAGAATTTTTTCTAAAATCTTGCAAAGAGATTTTTTTTTTTTTCTAGTTAGCTGTTGTGCTGTATTTAGTCCCAAAACTTCCCACAGGTAACACCTACTGGTTACAAGCTTTCTTCAACAAGGTGGTATAAATTTGAGCATGCCTTTACTGTTTTTTTCCCCCTTTGGTATAAATGCCTAAGTTATGGGGATGCCATTTTCAAGTGAAGCTGGTAAACTGATGCTGATACAAGGAAAAGTCGGGACTCTAAAAATTAATATTCAGCATTTGTATGGAACTTTTGGTATTACGGCACATTTTAAAAATTGTGGTATTGTATACCTATGTAACAAATCTGCACATTGTGCACATGTACCCTAGAACTTAAAGTATAATAAAATAAATGAAAAAATAATAATAATAAAATAGTGGTAAAATACACATAGCATATAAAATTTATCATTTTAATTTTTTTTATATCCTGCTCGCCATCCACTATGGCCCAGGACCCCATAGCATATTGTGTCCTTCTCCATCACCCCATTTTAACCATTTTTAAGTGTACCATTTAGTGGCATTAAGTACATTGTTCAAGGTTGTACAACCATCACTACTATTTCCAGAACTTGGTCATCATCTCAGAAACTCTGTACCCTTTAAAGAAAACCACCCATTCCCCCTTTTCTTCAGCTTCAGTACTCTCTATTCTACTTTCTGTCTCTGTGAACGTGCCTATTTCTAGGTACCTCCTATAAGTGGAATTATACAGTATTTGTCCTTTGGTGTCTGATTTATTCATTTGGCATGATGTTTTCAATGTTCATTCATTTTGTAGTATGTGCTAGAATTTTATTCCTTTTTAACATGGAATAATATTCTATTGCATGTACATACCATATTTTGTTTGTCCATTCATCTGTTGATGAATATTTGGGTTGTTTTCACCTTTTGGCCATGTGAACAATGCTGAGCTGATTATTGGTGTACACGTATCTGTTTGAGTTCCTGCATTTAATTCTTTTGGGCATGTACCCAGGACCAAAGTGTTTTTGCACAGATCACCTTCTTTCAATTCTGTGTGGTAGCTGGGTCAGATGCTATTATTTCTACTTTGCAGACATGCAAATTGAGGGGGATATATTAAGTGACTTGCCCAAGGCATCCAGAAGCTTAAAAATAGAATTGGGAGGAGAATTAGCGCATCCTAATTCATCCAGTGCCTTTTCCACTATATCTTGCTACTATCCCATTGAGCTGATTTGTTGCTGAGGCTGAATTTTAAAAAAACTTTATGGCCTGTTGAGTATGGTAGCTTCTGTGAAATTTCTAAGGAGCTACATCTCACATCCTAGTGATAAACCATCCTATCTAGCTGCACATTGCTCTGCATTCTGTGTATCAAGCCCATGCCAGGAGCTTTAGTTTTAGTTTGTTTCTTTTTAGCTGCTCCTGAAAATGTTTCAAGTTGCTGTTTACACCATGTAAACTGTTGCAAGGAAACTTCTCTTAACCCACATGCATCACTGCTGAGCTGCCAGAAGCATAGCTATTGTCTTCATGATCTGAAAACAACCAGTTAATTCACTCAGTTCAGAGCATGCACCACTTAAAAGTTGTTCTAGAAGTTTCTAGATCAAATAAATGTTAATGAACTACTCTTGTGTTCACACAGTACCCAAAACCTCTGGTGACATCTCTTAGAAATGTAATGAAAAGATTTGCAGAATCACAAAGATGCATTGTCTATACAGGCTGGTTTTGGGTAAGGACCATTTTTGTTTTACATTTGTTTTGGTCGCATGGTAAAAAATTCTTAACAGCTTTGGCTAAGCGTCCCATTAATGTAACCTGGAGATGAGCATTCCATATCATGGAACTGTAGGAGATTTTTAAATGCTTTTCTGTTTGCCTTTACAGGGACTGCACACTCTGGGCTTCAGGTCTTGAGCAAGGGTCCCGTTTATTCAGAGAGAATTCTCTTCCCATCTCCCATAGGAATTTGGTTTTCATCTATGACTGAATAATGTTGCGAGTTATCTTTCAATTTCTGGCTACCACAGCCAGAAAACTCTGTTAGCTAATGCATTTTTGTCTAACTACGAACCCAGAGGCACTACAAAAAGTTCAGATCTGACACATCAAGGGGAAAAAGAAGAATAAACAAGCAAGCTGTGAGCTTTCTACTGTGTGAGGGTACAGACTCACTAGGGTTCTCAGCATCTTTTATATACCATGGCCACAGTTTGAGAGGTCGCCAAGTTTGACCAGAAGTTAGACTTCAGAAGTATCACGCCTCCCTCAAGAGCATTGTCACTGATCTAAGATGCAGATTGCATTTGAACCGAGTTATCTTTGCTATGTGTCTAAATTTGAAGCAGAGAGAGAGATAATCACTTTGCTCCTCCTCCGAGCAAGGCTTCCCCTTGTAATGATGAGCTTTGTTCTGGGGAGTACATTTCTCAACTTCACTCTCATTCTTGGGTTGCTTGGCAGGTTTTCTGATGCTTTGGGGCAATCTGAATCACACCTGAAGCTGATGGGTTGCTGACATACGGAGCTTTAATTAAACCAAGCTGAAAAGGGAGAGCATCTGGAAAGCAGGGCTGGGCCTTGGAAGGGCCTGGGTGGTGCTTTTTTGATTATGTTTTTTTTCAGAGACCATGTTTATCTTCTCTACCAAAAAAAGTTGGAATAATATGAATAAGCAGATTGAACTTGGTCAAAGTGTTGTGTCAAGAGAGATTTGTTTTCTTTTGTGAGTGTTATAGGCAATACTTGAAAGAGTTGAAGTGGGATTTGGTCATGGAAACAGTTATTTGAAGGGCACATTGCTTCTTTGTCTCAACAGAACATCTCCCAAGGTTAATTTTCACTGGCCCTAAGGGGAGGTGGTGGAGGACCACTGAGTCAAAAGTGATCCAAAAGCTCATACCAGGAGAAGATTTTTCAATTCAGAACTTGCAACTGATGACCGGTGTAAAAGTTTGGTGAGGCAAAAGGTACCTCCTTGTTCCTGAACATGAACTATCTGTTTATAAAATGCAGTCTATTATTGCCTTTGACTATATGAAACATTAATCATAGCTTCTAGCTGGGTCAAAATCAGATTGTTACTAAATTATAAGAAGGAATCAGAGCACATTTCCATGTAGTAAGCATTTATTCTGATCTAGACACTGCACTTGACTCTAGGGATACAAGTATTCATTTATTCATTCATTCACTCATCCAGCAAATACTTTCTGGGTGCATATTATATGCCAGGCACCATTTTGAGCACTGGATAAAACAACGAACCCAACGAAGTCTCTCTTCTGGTGGAGTTTGCTTTCTAGAAGGAGAGTCAAACAATAAAGAAGTAAACAAGGAAAGTTATAATACAGCTTGAGGGAGTTATTAGAGATCTGAAGAAAAACAAAATGAGGATAACATGCTGCATACACCTTTGTTCATTTGCTCATTTACCCAACAAAATTTTATGGAGGCCCTCCATGTGCCAGGAAGGCAGTCAGGAGCCAATGAAGACTCAACTTGTCCTGATTGCTATGAAGAAAACAAAGGGCTGATATTGACAAGAACAAATGGCTGGGATGGAGGCCTGTGTGGGCCCAGAAGTACTGAAGGCTGTGGGTCAGGAAAGTCTTCTCTGAAGACCTAAAGTACGAGAAGGAAGTGGCAGTGGGAATGGTTGTGTTGGTTGTCTTTGTGTGTGTGTGTGTGTGTGTTGGTGGCTTGGGACTATAGGAGAGGCAAAGAAGATTATTGCAGGTAGGAACAGCAGTATATTCAAAGGCTCTGAAGCAGAAAATGTTTGGTGAGAGTTGGTCACGTAAACAAAATTTGTTCATGTTTTTAAAAACCTGGATAATGAGTGTGGCTCAAGATGAGGCTGGGGCCAGATCATTCAAGACTTCAAAGGCCATATCAAATTTTTGAAGTAGATTCTAAGGATAATTCAAAGACACAAAAACGTTTTGAGGAAGAGTGTGACATGATCTGATGCACATTAAGATCCCTTTTACCACAACTCAGGGAATAGATTGGGGTGGGCAAAAGTAGGAGCTGGGAGAGCAGCATGGAGGCTTTTTCAATAATTTGGGCAACAGAATTGGAGGAAGAATCCACTGGTAACCTTGTGTGCAGTAAACACCTCTCTGATAGTCTTTCTCATGTCCTTCTTAATTGGATCAGTGAGAATAGACAACTGTTCCCGACTCTTGCCTCCAGGCCATTGAATGTCTAGACTAATTTGAAACCTCTGGAGTTTGAGGTACCTGGAAAGACAGGTCCTATTTTAAACTTAATTTTATTCAGGGTGTTTCCTAAGAAGTGTAATTCCTCCTTTTGATGAGAGTCTGACATTAACAACAATAATAACCCAAGCCTATAACTCCTTAGTATGTCAATCAGAGTTTGAGTTTAAAAACTAAGGATCATATAATGTTCTTTGGAAATAATATTACAGCTTAATTTTTTTCTCTACCAGCATTGTTGGGAAGGACAGATAAAATAAGACAAACCATGCAAATGATTTTTGTATCAAATTTGACATCGCAGCTGTGGTGGTACGAGGTGAACCTTATAGACGAACAGACGTGAGTTTAAATATCAACTCCACTGCTCAACTGACTGTGTGACATGTGGCAGAAGCCTGCAGTTCTGGAGTGTGCGTTTCTTCAGAAAGTGAGGTGATATGGACAAAATAATTGGTACATGATCGATATTCATGATACGGCAGTTTCTGTTACTGCTGTGGTTTGAATGGGTCCCCCTCAAAAGCATGTGCTGGTAATTTAATCATCAATGCAACGGGGTTAATAGATGGGGCTTTTGAGAGGTTAGAAGGCCATAAAGACTTTGCCTTCATGCATAGATTAATGCCAATTATAAAATGGCTTGAGGAAGTGAGTTTGATCTCTTTTTCACCTTGTCTTTGCCTTTCTGCATTGGGATAACACAACAAGAAGGCCCCCACTAGATGACAGCCACTTGATCTTGGACTTCCAAGCCTCCAGAATCATGAGCCAGTGAATTTCTGTTCATTATAAATTATGTGGCTGGGCTAGGCATGGTAGCTCATGCCTTTAATCCTAGCACTTTGGGAGGCCAAGGTAGGCAGATCACTTGAGCCTAAGAGTTTGAGACCAGCCTGGGCAACATGGCAAAACCTTATCTCTACAAAAGACAAAAATTAGCCAGGCATGGTGGCACATGCCTGTGGTCTCAGCTACTCAGGAGGCTGATTGGGGAGGATTGCTTTACCCTGGGAAGCTGAGGCTGCAGTGTGCTGTGATCGGGCCACTGCACTCCAGCCTGGGTGACAGAGCAAGACCCTTTCTCAAAATATATAAACAAATAAATAATAAATAACCAAGTCTGTTATATTCTGTTATAGCACAGAACAGGACAAAACAGACTAAGACACTTGGTTTCTTCCTGGCTTTCCTCTTCCCTCTTCTGAAGGGCATCTAACTTCTCTTGGCTGCAACACATCCTAAAGATGTTCAGCTAAATTTTCTTCCATCATCACAGAAATATGAAGAGGATAAAGTAAATATTTTTTCCCTCCTTTTTGCTTCTCTTCTGTTTCTCTTCTCCTCCTCTCTCCTCTTCTCTTTCTTTTTGTTTGAAGGAATATTACAGGTTAGCAATTATGTCCTGACCATAAAACCTGGTGTCTGGCACCATACTGGTTACTTTCTAGGCATTAACTTATTTAATTTTCACAAAATCCCAAGAGGAAAGTATTAACATGATCTCAATTCTATAGATGGAAAAACTATGGCTTGCAGAAGTTTACTTACCCAATTTCACACAACCTGTAAGTGGTGGCACTGGAATTTGAATCCAGGCAATCTGACTTCAGAGATTTGTTAGTGCATTTTTTAGATTTCTCTGTCCCTTTAGACATTTTTACTGGGTGTGGAATGTGGGGACATTGGTACTGTTGATGACCTTGGTGGAGAGGTGGGAAGTCCTGCCGGGAAGTAAAGAGGATTTGGTGTTTATGAGTGCATGTATCTATGTGCCTTATTAATGAAAAATGGTTTCTCCCCTTTTATTGTCCACCATCTGTGTCACACCTGGAGGCACTCAGTATTTTTTAGAAATATAGATGATTCATACAACTATTTTCTTATAAAGTCTAACCTCCCAGAGGAGGAACTGGAGGGGAAAGTTCATTTACAAAGATCATCTATGCTTATAAAGGCATCTTAATTTGGTGAGTTGGAGAAAGCCCGGCTGCTAATTGATTAGCTTGTTTCTTGACCCGCTAATTGAGACTTGGTCTTTATTCACATGGCTCCTAGGCAGTTTTGACTTCAGTTGTGTGTCCTGATCTAAGCTTGCCAAAATCAGATACTGTGGGGTGTAGAGTTAACAATCTGGCAGAGCATCTGGAGATGTAATGTCAATGCCGTTATGGAAAACTGAGGAACTTCCCTCCCAATTAGAGAAGATTGTTCTGGTGCTTACTCTGTTGTTACAAGCTTGTTCTCTTAAATGCCTCTACTGTTACAATTCTAAAATATAAGACACAATTTTTTTTCAATAAGGGAAAACTGTGTATATTTAAGTGTTATTTATATTACAAACTAATACTCTCAAGTAAGTGCTTGGCAGTCACAAGTTGACTCAGTTAAAATAGTCCATCTAGGACTAGCTTGAACAACAGGGGAAGTTTCCTGTGGATCTTAACCACCCTTTTTGGAGAGTTAAGAGGTGCAATACAGTTTGCATAGAGGGAAGCAGGATCAGTAAAAGGATTTCTGACAGGGCTTCAACCTTTGTTGAGCTCCTTGGGTCTCTTGTGCACTCTGATCAGGGGTAAGCCATACTCTGTATTCTCCTTGGTATCTTCCTCTGAGTCCTTGTCTGCTGGGTGGTCAGCTGCCTCACTCAGTGCTTTATAGACACAGGGCCAGTCATAAGGCAGAAAGCAGGCCGGGTGTGGTGGCTCACACCTGTAATCCCAGCACTTTGAGAGGCCGAGGCTGGCAGATCACTTGTCAGGAGTTCGAGACCAGCTTGGCCAACATAGTGAAACTCCATCACTACTAACAATACAAAAATTAGCTGGGTGTGGTGGCACATGCCTGTAATTCCAGCTACTCGGGAGGCTGAGGCACGAGAATCACTTGAACCTGGGAGGCAGAGGCTGCTGTGAGCCGAGATTGCACCACTGCGCTAGTTCTATGGAACTAGATTCCAGCTTGGGTGACAGAGCGAGACTCCATCTAAAAAAAAAAAAGCAGTAAACATTTGTTTTCCATTTCCAAAGCAATGTTTCCATAGTATAAGAAGAGAAGAGAAAAAAGCCACTCAAGCCTTCTGAAGTAATAACAAACCATGAAGGTTTTTTTGTTTGAAAAAGAATATCTTTCTTTGAGGACTGACATGAAAATATCTTTAAAGCATAGAGTATAGAGCCTAGTCCTCAATAAATGGTTATGACCATTTAATTCATATTTTAGTACATTTTTGCATGCTTACCTGTTTGTCTTTCCCTGCTCTTCTTCCAACCCACCCTCCACTTCCTTCCCTCTGTCCTTCCTACTTTCCAGTATACAAGCTGTAGCCTACATACAACTTGGTAACCAACTTATCATACAATATTTTGTCTATTTAAACTGAGTAATCATTACTGAGAAAGCAGGGCCCCACACCCCATTCACTTTTCTTTTTTTAGATGACTACTTATCATTGTGTTCCTCTGTGTGGAGTCAGGAATAGAACTAGAGCTGGCAGCCTGTCAGCCCTCTGTCCTTATCGCCCTTCCTCATTTCCTCCTGGCTTTCCAAATGGCCGACAACTGGAAGCAGCCAAGTCCAGGAAACACACCTACTAATTTCAAAGGACGTATTTGACTGGGAAGTACTTGCATAAGCAGAATATTCTTGGAATTATACAAAATGAAGCTGGCCAATATGTGGTTGAGACCTCAGAGAAATAAAAATGTCGTCAAAATTGGACCTACCCTTTTGCTCCCTAGTCTTCATTTCTACTCCAGCTCTCTTCTTATTTGGTTAAGCAGTTGAGTCACAACTTGATCTCGATTTTATAGATGAAAAAACTATGGCTTGCAGAAGTTACTCACCCAATTTCACACAACCTGTAAGCGGTGACACTGGAATTTGAATCCAGGCAATCTGACCTCAGAGATTTGTTAGTGCATTTTTTAGATTTCTCTGTCCCTTTAGACATTTTTACTGGGTGTGGAATGTGGGGACATTGGTACTGTTGATGACCTTGGTGGAGAGGTGGGAAGTCCTGCCGGGAAGTAAGGAGGATTTGGTGTTTATGAGTGCATGTATCTTATTTGGTTAAGCAGTTGAGTCACAGCTTGAACTTCAGGATCATCTTGCTCAGAATCATTTGACCTATGAAATCAATGAGTTAGAAATCAGGTTGGGGTGAAATGATTTCTTATTTTCTTATTTGTTTTCCAACCCTGTGATTCTGTGAATTTTATGAACAGAAGGGGAAAACAATGCCATCAAATGGCATTTACTTTTGAAATTTTCCTGAGAGCCGCACAACTTGAAGTCTATTTATTCAATTCCTCTGAAAGTTGGGTAGTCTTTAAACACATGTCAAGGCAGCCAGACTTAATGCCTGTATATTTTACTAAGAGGTTGGTGGGCTTATTTGATTTAGCTCATGTGAGAAGTTTAATTGTTTTCTTCTTCTTTCTTTGCTGGCAGTGACTATATCTGGTAAAATAAAGCTTTGTCCAGCCACCCCCTTTCATTCTTTACACACGAGAGATGGGAACTGTGGATGGCTGGTGTTTTCTTGAGGTTCCCAATAGACCATGTGTTTCACATCAAGTGAGCTAATACCTTTTGAGCTGAAAACCTTTCAACGGCCTCAAGTTTCTAGACCAGACTTTACCTCTGGGCTCCAAACAGATCTAGTGCTCATGTTGGTTCACCCTTAATATTGGCACAGTACATGCTGATTCATGAAAGTAAGTCCCAAGACTTGTTTGGTATTATGCCTCAAGTCTTACACCCATTATTTCCCCCATCCAAGTCCTGCCAAACTGTTATGGGAGGCTCTATGCATGTTGATGATATTAATGGCACTGTGAATAATTATGCCCCCAGATCTTCGTAAGAACCCAATGAAGTAGGTATGGCTATTATGTGTATTTTACAGACAAGGAAGCAGGCTTAGGGAGATAAGGTCATTTGCTCAAGGTAGAAGAATTAGCATGCAGGTAAAGATTAAATCATGCTCTTTACCCCCTAAATCACACTTTTTCTGCAGCAGGAAATGTAAGTGCCAAGCCATGGGAGGGTAAGACGTTATTTTCTTCTTGTTTTGGTCAAATTAATTTAGAGCAAAAGTGATCTTTGAGATCAACCCCAATCCTACCTTCTTTATAGATGAAGGAGACAAGATTTGTGATGCTGAGTAATTTGCTCAAGGTCGAGCTACTGGCAGTGGTAGCGCCATAAAGAACAAAGGTGACCTGTGCTCTTTCCGGCACAGTATGCTGGGCAGGGCAAGAATCTGAAATTACAGAGGAGTGAGATGGTGCTGACTAAGAGTTAAGAGAGCTAAAGGTTTTTGTCCTAAATTAAAATGAGATTACACTTTCTTGAAATACAAATATAAATTAAAGGATCCTACATGTGGATGAGATCTGGAAAGCTTTCCTGATCTTCTAGTACCTTAGTAAAATCCACACTCCTTTTCAGGATCTCCAAGGCAATGCATGATCTGTCTCTGGCTGCCCATCCCAAGCTCTCATGGTGCTAGCCTCTTTTGAGACTTAGAGCCCAAGCTCTTTCGCTGCCATCTCATCTGCTGCTTGACCTGGTCTTTGCAGGGCTGGCTTCTTCTGCACACCTCAGTTTAAATACCTGCCCTTAGAGAAGTCTTTCCTGATATCGCTGCATGTATGCATGTCCTCTGCCCCATCTTTTATCTTTTTTTCTTTAGCCTTTACCACTATTTGCAATTATTTCTTTATTAGTCTGCTTGTTGAATGCTTGCCACTCCTTCTAGATTCAAAGTCCAATAAAGTCAGGGTCATGCTTGTGTTGTTCAACATCGATATGCTGGCACATTTGTTGAGTGATTGGCTGGCTGGTTGGCTGGTTGGCTGACTGGATAAATGAATGAATACATTTCCACCTGCCAAACCCCAAGTATACAGTCCTGAGAACAATATTGCCTGAAGCTCCCAATGGGGAGAGCTTTAACTACTCCAATTCCAATTCCAATTTATTTTCTAAGACTAGTAAAGTTAAGTTACTAACACTTCCTTGCATATTTTTTTTTCAAATAAACTAGCCAGTTGCTTAGCAAAATACGAAGCGAACAGGGTAGAAGGCGGGCAATATTTTTAGAGTAGAGGTGAAGAATCAAGAACTGTCATCCAAGGTACTGCATGTGAGCACCGTGTGCATACATGGGCCTGCATAAAACTTCCTTTTCCAAATGTTTAACAGTTTAAAAAAACCTCTAAGCTTCACTTAATGTCCACATACTCCTTCCTAAATCAAGATCCTCCTATGCCGAGCACCTTTCTCTACTTGAGAGACTCTCTGATGCCTCCTGGTGTTCCCTGGGCCTTGTCCAGTGCCAGGCACTCCACTGATGTTTGTCAGACTGGCTTCATACAGGAAATTAGTATATTTTAGAATAAAATTAGTCCAGAGGTATTATATAAATATAAAATTAATGATGATAACAATATGAATAATGATTATTGATTGAGTGCTTACCATATGCCGGGCATCATGTGGCTTTGCTTTCAATGTTATTTAATTCTTATAGTGACCCTTTGGAAGTAGGCATTTTTATTATTTCTGTTTAATGGATGAGGAAACTGAAGTGAAAGTAATTAAAAAGCAAAACAGGTTGGGCACTGTGGCTCACACCTGTAATCCCAGCACTTTGGGAGGCCGAGGCAGGTGGATCACTTGAGGTTGGAGACCAGCCTAGCCAACATGGTGAAACCCTGTCTCCACCAAAAAAAAAAAAAAAAAAATTGTCTGGGTGAGGTAGTGCATGCCTGTAACCCCAGCTCAAGAGGCTGAGGTGGGAGAATCGCTTGAACCTGGGAGGCACAGGTTGCAGTGAGCCGAGATCGCACCACTGCACTCCAGCCTGGGTGACAGAAGAAGACCCTCTTTCAAAATAAATAGAGAGAGAGAGAGAAGGAAAGAAAGAAAGAAAGAAAGAAAGAAAGAAAGAAAGAAAGAAAGAAAGAAAGAAAGAAAGAAAGAAAAGAAAGAACAACAAAACAAGAAGACCAAAAGTGCCGAAGCTCACACACCAAATTAGTGCAGAGCTAGCATTCCAAGCTGGTCTCTCTGATTCCAGAGCTTCTGCGTCTAAACACTCTGTCATGAACATGAGTCTTGTCGCACCTTCCCTTTTTCCTGATGACGTGGGCTAGACACATAAAATTCAGGAATGATCTACCTGATGGTGTATTCTGAAGGAACCACAGCAAGGAGGCCCGGTGGCCTTTGGGTATGCAGGGAGCTGCAGGGACTTCTCCCTCCTGTAGCCCTGGCTGTTCGATTCTCAAGGAACTTTGTACCACTCTTGGGAACATGGGACTCTTTCAAGGAGAGCACCAGGACCAAGTTCCTTGCTAATGTTCCCAGCCGATGGGTAGTGGAAAGAGATCAGGCCTAAATGTGATTCTGAATTTGCCGGCTTTGTGATTTGGGGCATAGCACTGAACTCCTCCGAGGTTGAGTTTTCTCATCTGTGCAGTAAGGACAAGAGTAGCGGCTACCTAGTGGAGCCGTTGTCAGGACTGAAAAAGAGTAATTCATTTGCATGTGTCTTGTAGGCAGCACTATCTTTACAATGCAAAATTTGTTACTAGTGACCGCCCTTTCAAGTGAAAAACTTGATGCCATTTGGACCTGGCAAAGTGATCAATAAGTGTTTGCTGATTGATTGACACAACACCGAGGGCCCAAGAGTCCTGAGGTCCATGGCCTGTTGTCCAGACTCCAGTTGAGTGGTGGGTCCCAGGCTTCCAATGCTATGGCCCCTGCAGTGGCTTCCATTTTTGAGAAAGATAAACGAGGCCAGGCCATAGGTTCCCAAAAATCTGAGGTGTTGGCTCATCAGAGCTTGCTGTGGAGCATAACTTGTGTACTTTAGTCCTGCTCACTGGCACATTTGTATTCATTGAAAGCAATTGCCCCAAATGTAAAAGTCATAATAGTGATAGCCAAATACTCTGTCCTTTACTGACAGTCAGCCAAGCCTTGCATAATGATCACACCGGAAAATCACCATGGAGCAACAAATCTGCTGGGGGAAGAAAGGAAACACTTCCAATCATTTCTGAGTCAGCTTTCTGACTTATTGGTTTTGTTCCTTCCCACATGAAGCATTTATAGAAATGTGCTTGGCTCTGAGAAACGGGCTTCCCTGAATGGAGAGACGCATGCCTCAGTTAGGGGTGTTGAGTGGTTCAAGCAAAGTTCTAAAGTGAGAGATGAATGGTTTCGTGTTTTGTGGTTCTGAAAGTTGGGGGGTAAGACTTCTTTTTCTTTAGAAGGAGGGTTGAGTGAACCAATCAGACTGAATACAGAATGCTTCCCCTTAGCAGGTCCAAACCAAACCACTTCTAACTTAGATTGGAAAGCCAAGCTCTGTCCTCATGTCACTGTTTATGAAGCTGTTGCATTCTTTGGCAGGAGAATATGGAGGCAAATCACAAAAGGAAGCAGAAATCATATAAAATCTTACTTTCAGTAGTGAGGTGTCTACTTTTTGTTGTCGGTCCTGGAGGAGCTGACAGTGGCTGCAACCTTCATCACCATTTTCATAACGACTCTTGGAGAAAAGAAAGGGAGATATATGTTGTATCACTAAAAGTAATCAGGATGCTGATGACTCTCCTTCTCTGCACAAGCAAGGCTGCTTCTTTTTCAGTCTGATAATTTGGTCTTAGCCCCACGTGACCAAAATGCTGGACTATCCTGGCGTCGTGAGCTTATAAAGCAAACTCTCTGCAGCAAAGCAGTGCTGGGCAATGTGCGGCTGTGTCCATGTCTGTCAATGGCTTGACTTTCAATATGATATTTGTTCTGAGTATTTATTCAGAACTTCAAAGTCACCAACAGCAAATGATCCCTTATACAGTTTAGATGACACATGCTCTTGTAGGGTATGGTGTATACATTTTCTCTAAAAAAGAGAAAAATATTTCCTCAGCAAGTCTGGAAACAAGAAAATAGTTAATTTCTGGGGTCTGACAGTTTTTTTTTTAATGAGATTCCCTGAGACCCCCTGAAACTCATCTAAAAATCCCATCAGGGTCAGCATTGTGTGTGAGGTGTGTGCATCCAGAAGTGGGTACCTGTGATCCTAGCTGAGTCAAAAACTTGGAAGATGTGGGAGTTGAAGCAACAGATTAGAAATCTGATGACTATGACTATTTATGTATATACGTATGTAAATATAGCATCAGAACATCTGGATTAAAAAATAGAAAAATGTCTACATAGTTATCCATAGATATGGATATATAGATATAGATATAGATATATACTTATAAATATATAAAATGCTAAATATCTGGCTGAATAGTTTATGTGCTTTCTCAGTTTTATTTGGACTTAGACTAAGTGTGGACACAACATGTGAGTTCTGATATCAGTTATGTAAATAAGACTCTGTTTGTTCATAATTCGGGTTCTAGGTCTTTTTTCTTCTTAGGAAGCAGCTGGTAACATCGGTGACATTTCTAATGCACTTGGACACACCTGACAATACCCTACCTTGATGAAACAGGTGAATGCCTATGCCTTTTAGGGAGCAGAGCCAAACTTGAAAGGCACTACCACCACTGTACAGCTAGCTGGATCTTCCTTCACAGATTTGGAAATGTTTACTTAACTGAACTGTGTGGCTGCAGTTTCTAGGTATTTGATAAGGAAGAAGAGGAGTGACATGCCTCTCCTCAGAATGAAGCAGCAATATAGTCTTGTGTATTCTTTATGTTTTGAAGTTACACCTAGACCCAGGGACATGACAACATGGTTTGGGGATCACTAGTAAACCCCTGGGCACCTCTTGGTTGTCCCCAGGACTGCTTTCTGAGGTATTACAGTATGACGCTGTGTAAGCTTTGGTTTCTGGTATGAATTAACTTGATATATTTATTATATTACTTATGATTTTTAATGAAAACCAGACATCATCTCGTTGGTGTTTCACCAAAGCACTGCCACATTTACTTATTTATTTACTTTTGTGGTCAATGAGGTTTTGGGTTTTTTAAAAATCTCACTGATATTAGGTTGGTGCAAAGGTAATGGCAAAAACCACAATTACTTTTGCACCAGCCTAATACTATCCATAGACAAAAACATTGTATCTTGGTTTATTCTACATTTTATAGGTTGGTGCAAAAGTAATTGTGGTTTTCACCTTTTTTTTTTTTTTTTTTTTTTTTGAGACGAATTCTGGCTCTGTCACCAGGCTGGAGTGCAGTGGTGCAATCTTGGCTCACTGCAACCTCCACCTCCTGGGTTCAGACAATTCTCCTGCCTCAGCCTCCCGAGCAGCTGGGACTAGGGGCATGCACCACCATGCCCAGCTAATTTTTGTATTTTTAGTAGAGACGGGGTTTCTACTACGATCATGTTGACCAGGATGGTCTCGATCTCTTGACCTCGTGATCTGCCTGCCTCAGCCTCTCAAAGTGCTGGGTTTTTACCTCTTTTTAATGGCCAAAACTGCAATTACTTTTGCACCAACCTAATAAACAATTCGATAAACATTTCTTGAGTTCATCACACACTTGGATGAGTGCTGCAGCTATCTGGATGAAAAGCTATGATTCCTGCCCTTAACAAATTCATAGCCTAGTAGAGAAGACAGAGGACAAATAATTGTTTTAGAGATTGTAAAACCTGGTGATTTAGTGACAGGCTTGGAATGACATCCTCTGGATCTGAATCTTTTCTCTTGCCATATACTAACTGTGTGCTCTTGAATAAGTTTCCTAATGTCCCTTTATCTCAGAAAGGATAATCAACATCTAAATAAGGGTAAAAACTGTACCCTCTTATAAAGTTATTGTGATAATTAAAAGAATTAATACATGTATGAAGTGTTTCAAACAGTGCCTGGCAAAAAACAGAAGTCTAATAAATGTTAGCTTCTACTGTGATTCCTCAGAATTATGGCGGCAATAAAATAAATGCATTTGCATCAAAATCACCTGGTGATGGGGGAAGCTTAGTAAATGCAGATTCCTGGGCCTCCATCTCAGAGTTTCTAATTTAGTAGGTCTAGGTGGAGCTTGGGCTTCTGCTATTTTAATAAGCACCCGGGTTGGAGGTCTTTTTAAAGGGGTGGTGGCTGGCGAAAAGTTGTGGGTGATGAAGTTAGAAAGTGAAAGTAATTTCTGGAGAGTACCTGAGACCATCTAATTAAAGCATTTCAGTGAATAAATGGGTCAAATTGGTTTCTGATTTCATGTGGACAAAAATGAGGGATGGAGTAGAAGTTCGATCTTGCAGTTTGTCATGGTGGTGATAAGTAGAAACAGTCAATACTGTGCTAGTTAATCATTATGTCATATTCTCTTCTGATAACCAGCACTGAGCATTTCTAGGGAGAATTCAGCTTAGATGCTGGTAGTGGGGATATTTAGACACAGCAATGAGTTAAAAATAAGGATGTGAGCTCTCTCCCTCTTCCTCTTATGAATATCTCCCAAAAAAAGGTAGGCTTTTACCCATCTGAGGTGTTTAGATATTTGGGATATTTTAGATATTTTAGATTTGGATATTTGGATGCTTGGGAGTACTTAGGTAATGCCTCAAAATATCTACTCCATAAAATGAGAAGGGATCTTGGGGAAAAATGTTACTTTCTCTTTCTGTAGCATTAATAAAACTATGGAAATAGTGAGGGAATAGTCAATGGTCTTATAGTACAGATAAATAAATGAATTTCCGGCAGAATACGTGATTTTCTTCCTGCATTGTTTTAGACGAGATCGGGTGCGTTCAGGGTGGTATGGACGTATACCTTGCATTGTTTTAAACCAAGGGGATTTTACAGTGAATTTGAACAAGAAGAAAGTTCCAAGTGAAATCTGGCCATTGCTTTACATTTAATCTTTACATTGCTTTATGGTAGAACAAAACTTTTTGTCAGTTGTATGGTGGATTCTATGATTCACCTGATCCAGCAGGGGAAAGAAGGAGATTCTTTGGGAAACCTTGTTTGGTGACATGCAGTTGTTGGTGAGGTAAAGGGAAGGGACTAAAAAGGTAGTCAGAAATTGATTAGTTGTCAGAGACATTCAAGGGTCACCTTTGTTTTTTCTTTCTTTTTAAAATTGTCATTCTTCAGACATTCTATAGATGCTGTTTATTTATCATGCTATTAGCAGAAACTATGCTGCTCTAAAAAGTTACATAATCAAACCAAATCCTTATCCAATTTCACTGCAGTGGGACTCTGCCCACTGTGTGCTGCTCCATTATTATTGTATCAGCTTTTTAGCAATAATTGACGTCTATCTGATATAAAAATTGATACTTGGCAGAGGAAAAGAAAACCTGTTCTTTTGTGCTTAGGGCAAGTGGATGGTAACTTGCTTAAAACCCGTTTGGGAGTCAAATTGGAATATCTCTCAGCAACATTTCCCCACTTAGGTACAGTAACCGGAAGGTAGCATCCAAAAAATGTAAACCATTGTTGGGCTTCTGGATGTCTCTGAGAGAGCCTGTGTTTAGATTAATGGACGGTCGACTGAATAGGGGGTCATGATGAGTGGCCAGACTCTTTGCAACACAGTAGGCCTATTGTACATCTAACAGCGACTCAATTCAAAGCGATTCATGGCTTGGATGCTTCTGTAAATATACATTAGCCTTTAAGCAAACCAGGAATTATACCAGCTTTTATTTTTTTCTTTAAGAGAAGAAAATAAGAGAAAAAAGAATGAAACAAACACCAGAGAACTTTCTTTTGCAACAATGCCTTCTTTTCCTTTTGACATTGTTTTTTAAAGTTGCGGCAGTCCTGGGTGAATGAATATGGGTTTTTATCCCTTGAAACAGAGGCCTGCTGTCTGATGCAGGCTTCTTTTTCCTGCTTGATTGGCAGGACTTTCTGTCTCACTCCCATTAGAGAAGAAATACTGTTTAGATTTCGACACAAGATATTGCCAGTGGAATAAATAGTGCCATTTTCATGATAAAGTGGATGTTTAAGATTAAGGGTTTATTTAAGCCCACTGGTGAGCGACATTCCACTTGAATTAGGAGACACTCCTACAGGAAACAAATTTTATCAACCTAATTTTGTATTTTCCAAGCTTTTCCTGAGCAGCAGACAGAAGCAAAGATGTCGCCATAACCTTCTGTAGATGTCGCCATAACCTTCTGTTGATAGCGGAAAGCAACACCCAGGAGTAAGCGCTTGCAAGGTTAAGACAAAGAGCTCCCATGTACACGGCAGAGGGCGCTCGAGGACTGGCTGCGAGGAGTAGTTGGAACCGACTTCCCCGCTTCTTTCCTTCTCTTTTAAATGTAGGACAGGAAAAATAAAAGGATCATCAGCCAGAAAACAAAGGGCGCCAGAGAGCCAAATGTATGCAGCTGAAGAACTTGAAAAAAATTCTGGGGACTCAAGAGAGGAACCCATATTCTCATTCTCGTTGTCAGTCATTTTGCAGCTGTCCTGGCCTAGTATCACCTTCTCTTCTCCAGCCACATCCCCCACTTCACACTCCCTCAATTTGGCCCTCCGAGATTTGGTCCCGTTGGCCAGAGCCATAGGCTGCCTTTAGGAAAACCCCTGGCTCGCATGACGTCACCACGCTCATAGGGAGCGAAACTTCCCAAGCACCCCCACGGATGGTGCTAACAAAAGTTAAGCAGCGCCCCACCTCCTGTGTGCAACAGGGGTATCCTCCTCACCCCCTTTTTTTGTAAGGGAGGTGAGGTGGGAGGAGCTGACGTCGGGACACCTGGTTCTCAGCCCAGCGCTGCCCCCAGGGGCCTCCCTTAGTCTTTGTATTCCTGTTCTTCATTTGTAAAATGAGGGAATTGGGCTAAATGGTCTCTAAGCGCTCAGGTTATGCCGTTTGTAAAATTATAAGTGAGAGGTTGAGTCACCCCAAAGCAAGATTTTTAGTGCAAAATTTTGAGGGAATTGAGGCAAAGTGTTTTTTTCCTCTCTTCTTCCTGGAGTGTGAATTACCTGATTAAAAGTCTTGACTATTTCACTTCTATCTCTGTGGTGTATCGATCAAAAAGTTTATTGAACTTTTACCCTATGATCAAAATGGAGACGAGCAGATTAGATTATACCTTAATTAGCAGTTTTCTTTTTGCTAATGGTTTATTTATGAGTTCACAGCAATTTCTTAATATTAAGTTAAAAATATTGCCTGATAAACTGACAGATTACACTTGCATTTTCTCTTTTGTTCTCAGAATAAACGTTAAATATTCTTTTTTGGGGGGGATGTTCTAATTTAATTGGCCCTAATGAGAGCCAGATTGCTCATTAGAATAAAAAGGAAAATGACAATCTGTGTCACGTTTATCATCCTCAGTGATGGGCAAGGTTGTACTAAGGTTTGGAATAAGTAGACAGATGTAGAGACTAAGAGGGGCTCTGATAAACAGAGATATTGAATGTAGATAATAAGCCAATCTTAAAATTAAGCATGTGTTTACATTGTGTTCAAAGACTATGACGCCATTGGGAGACAGAATGTGGGGAGAGTTTAGCAACAGCCCTCTCAGCTGGTGACTTCAGGACAGAAACTTCTCAGTTCTCAGCAGGGGCTCCCTAAACAGCAGGCATAAGTGGATAAGTCAGTTTTGTCAAATATAGGAAAGTATATCATGTTTCAGAAGAAGACCAAAACATTATTTCAATATGAGTAAGAGTTTTCTCTTTTACCTAATAAGTGAAATGCTCACCAGTTTTATTCTGGAATGTCAGTGTGGCCCATTTTCCCTTAAATATTTGTGCCAGCAATTTCATAGTTTCCTTGGGGGCATATTTTAAAATCTATTTATCTCCACAGTGTCTACTTTGCATGGGGCTTTTGCAATAAGAGGTGCTCAAAGGCAGTTGTTGAACTGAATGTTCATATTAATTTTTTCCTCTTTAATGCAACAGAACAGCTACAGAAACAAACAAACCAAAAAAAAAAAAAAAAAAGAAAAGAAAAAAGAAATAGCCCTGCATGAAGTCACAATTTGGCTCATGCTAGGTGCTGAGTCCATTTCCAGCTCTAATGACTGGATACTCACCACCAGCTTTATCTAGGCTGCTGGGAATGAGCTGCACCAGTTGGAAGACACACTACTTATTGTTCAGATCGTTAAGCATGAATGTGCTAAGCATCAAAACTCAGATTTAGTGCAAGCTTAAAGTGGCCATTTCTTAGATCCAGCATTCTGAGTTTCAAAAAAAGAATGTTTTTGTATGTTAATACTAATGCCACTTTCTATTTGAGTCACTTCTGAAAAACAGTTCTGTGCTAGGGCAGTGCAATATATAGTTCTGTGACATTACTTAGTGAGAACCAGCAGCAGTGTGGCAAAGTGCTTAGTTGAATCAGAGCCATACAGAATCATATTTATGCTTACATAGGCGTTGTTGCATTTGGGAGAACGTGTTCACGGGAAAGGGTGGTGATGATGGTGGTGGTGGAATAGTATGTGATGTGGTTAGAAACCCTGTTTTTCCATTCATTGTTTAATCTTTGATTCTTCATCTATAAAATGAGACCTCTTGCCATTGAGTTGTTTGAAGGCTGAGAAAAATATATGTAGAGTCCGTAAACATATTCAAAAGTAGGCATTCAAAAATAAGCTATTTTTGTTATTTAGGTTCTAAAAAGCTCTTTTCTTCCCAACTATATTTCCAAAGAGCTGTCAAATAATGTACTTAGTTTTTGATTAAGACTGATGCTTTCCAGAATTACTGGGACAGAAACACTAACTACTCATTAAAATAATCCTTTGTGCCTTCAAGGGTTCAGTTCTTTTCTTCTTTCTCTATTTTCATTCTACTTCTCTCCTCAGAACAGTTTCTAAATTCTGCTTCCATCACATCTATTTGATAATAATCTAATATGCTACTCTTCCTGAGAATATTTCATTATTAGTAGGGAACAAATCTATCCACTAAGAAATAAAGTATGGAATGGGAATTTTAAGCGTTGGTGAACACATTGGAACATGTTTTTTTAGAGTACTAGGAAGTTTTCAGTGTTTTTGAAATTAAACTCATTGGTGGTAACTATGGCATGAAACAGATCATCTATTAAATCATCAGAAATTAAGGATTAAATAATTTATCTCACCAGTTACTTATCTAGAAAGGCAATGAGGAAAAAACATTTACATTCACTCATTTATTTAAATTTTTTTTTTTGAAATGGAGTCTTGCTCTGTCGCTCAGGCTGGAGTGCAGTGGTGTGATCTCAGCTCACTGCAGCCTCCACCTCCTGGGTTCAAGCAATTCTCGTGCCTCAGCCTCCCGAGTAGCTGGGACTAAAGGCACAAGCCATCATGCCCAGCTAATTTTTGTATTTTTAGTAGAGATGGGGTTTCACCATGTTGGCCAAGCTGGTCTCGAACCCCTGACCTCAAATGATCTGCGCACCTCAGCCTCCCACAGTGCTGGGATTACAGGTGTGAGCCACTGCGCCTGGCCAATATTCAAAATATTGAATACTAAAAATATTCAATATTTTTAAGTGATGGATTATTATGAGCCAAGAACCATTGGTGCTGAAGAGTCAAAAGGCTTGAGGCACAGTCCTTATACAGAGAGTTCCCAGCCTAGAATCAGAGAGAGCAACAGCAATGCACTGATAACCCGGAGGCAAAGTGGGGATGACTGAAAGAAGGTTGTTGAGGAACCAGCTCTGACCACCATGGTCTTCAGAAAGCACACTGCCTCCCTCTGGAATGAGAAGGCTGCACAGGCCATGCCAGGTATAACCTGGGCAGTTGAGAATTTCCACTGGGGCCATGTATTTGTCCATGGACAATGGACTGGATCTGTCTAGAGAATTATTTTTTGAGCAGAAAATTCTCTCAAAACATAAGCAAGATTATGGAGTCAGTGGAAAGTGATGTGACCTCTGTTTAACCTTGGGACTATTTATAATTTTAAACTTTTTCACTGCCTAGGAGAACAGGGGAAAAGTCTTCTGTTTCTACCCTTATATCTTCTATTATACTAATTGCAGGAAGAAGGCTTCTAAAGTCCACCATTAAAAGCAGTAAGGAAACTCTACCCATGACATGAAACACTACACCAAGCCAATGTAAAATTGAGTTACAGGCTCACAGGATTGTGGCCTTTATTTGAAGTTGTCAGCTGTGCTATTGTGGGTTAACTATTCTGAAAGCATACATCTTTTTTTTCCTAGGCAGTAAAGCTGTTTCTGTAGCCTTATTTTATTTGGGAACTATGCTGTGCTTAAATATAGTTTGTGGGTGAAATTGTTATAAGCTGGCATTTGTACTTTATATGATTTTGTATTAGGAAATTTTAGTTAAATAAAAACACTCACAGGAACTCGGGCAAATGTCTCTTATTCAGAGCATGCTTTGTAGGTTCTCACCGTGTTACATTCTAAAACCATAAGTTTCCTAAGAAGCAATGCAAATAGGAAACAGTAAACAGGGTGGAACACAAGAATTCAAAGCACCATGGGATCCAATTAGTCCTAGCAATTTGATAAAAATAAATTTTAAAGTCATGTACCTCCTTGTTAAGTATTGTGACAAATGTTCACTTATTCTGATGACGCCAATATTGAGGGGATGAACTGAGGAAATATGAGGGAAGGCTATCACTCAAGGAGCCCTATGTATACAGAAGCCTCTCAGAATTTAAGGTGCAGTCATTGTCAATTTTTTTTTTTACTGTGTGTATTTCAGTTAATAAGGTATCAGACATTAAACTTAAACATTGCATTTAAGTACACGATTATGAGATATGCAGTGCAGACTGAAGATGTTACAATTAGCCAAACCTATGGAGAGAAACAGAACATAAGAGAATGAACTGAAAAGAGTATCATGGCAGGAAACACATACACAATTTCATGACAGCCTTTCAGGGCATTTTCTCTGTGGCTATGTGAACTTGCTGAATCAGTGGGCTTCTATTCAGATCACCAAATGCGGAGACAAAGGCAATAGCATTGGTAGCTGGATGGCTTTTCCTATTGCCTTCAAATAGGGCTGAAAGCTGAGGGCAAAGAAGCATCAAGCATTTCACTTTCTGAAAAGAAAAATGAACAACTGGTACAGGAAACCTCTTTTAGGGCTTCTAGGTTCTGTTACTACCATCTCTGGGCTCTGCCATCTTGCTTTTCAAGGTCATCCCGTCAGCACATGCTGCTTTTACTCATCTTCCATTGGCTAGAATCAGTCACATGGTTAGCCTGACAGCAAAGAGTCAGAGAAATGTAAAGAAGTGCATGGAAATTAGTGAGAATCAACATTCATTGTGGTAGACTTATTGGCATATTCGGAAGCACACTTGCTTTCTCAATACCAAGTGAATGAGGGCTCCAAGGATTCGTGATTAGCGACTGAAGATAATTGAAAAAAGGGAAGACTGTCTCTGATAGGTCACCTACTTAGGCAATAAACTTACTGAAGTACTCCTTGTGTATATCTTAGCAGAGAAAAGACAATTACTGAAGACCAATAGCAAGACAAAGAGAGGGGATGGCATTGGAGTACTCCACACTCACACTGGTTGGAATGTCAAAGATACAGGAAATAACAACAACAGCCACAACAACAACAACAGCAACAAAGCAGGATCTTTCCATGGGCCAAATGGACTCTGAAAAAACTTGTAGTGAAGTCACTGAGGAGTTCCCCATTCAAGAATGTGGGCCACAGTGAGAAGGGACCAGGAATCAAGAGGCTGTGGGATGCTCTGCCAGGACCAAGAGCTATGAAGAATTACAGGATGTCAAGCCACGGATAGAAATCTTACAGAGAACGGTGCAGCATAGATGGCCTTGCAGAATGCTCCAAAGAACGTTCACATGTGTCTTGTTAAAGAGCCAATATTGAATGCTTGATCACTCAGAGGATATTGATGCTGGAGAACAACAGGCATATCTATCTACCTACCTATCTATCTATCTATCTATCTATCTATCATCTATCTATCTATCTATATCAGAACCCAACAGAGAAAAAAATTGCAACAGACAGAAGATGGAAATTAAGCAAGAGGCAGGTGTTTCTTTCTTACCTGTTTACCCTTCCAACCCTCAACATTAGAGGAGTAAGGGAAGAAGAGAGCAGGAGGAGGGATGCCAAGTCCAGAATAGACTTCCCTAAGGAGGAAGGGATAGGAATAAATAAAAGCAAATCATGCCTTCTGCACTCCAGCTGTGTTGGAGGAGAAAATGTGAGTTTAAAATTCAGCTGGATTCTGAAAATGACAGCACAAGAAAATGATGGAATCTTCTGAAGACATTGTTTGAGGAGCAGAAAGAGAGTTTCAACATAGCAGGATTGAAAGCAGTAATTGGAGAATAAATAAAAGCAATTATTCATTGAAACTTCCACTGAGGTGAGCTGTTTTGATAAACTGGCTATAGATTCATCTGACTTATTAATATTGCAATCTGACTTATTAATATTGCTCATGTTTTGATGGGTTGGACCAAAGATTTA
The DNA here is from genome assembly GCF_000001405.40 of Homo sapiens. Taxonomy (NCBI): domain Eukaryota; kingdom Metazoa; phylum Chordata; class Mammalia; order Primates; family Hominidae; genus Homo; species Homo sapiens. The sequence continues at coordinate 219,655,007 of NC_000001.11, read as the reverse complement.
AATCTGACTTAAAAATATGAGAGACTGATAATGTGGAGTGGAAGTGAGATGAGGTTGGACTTGTGACATCAACAAGACATGAGAGCTGGGGTGTTGTGTTTACTGGCTTGACCCTATCATCTTTCACATGAACAAAACAGGGACCAGAGTTGGCATATGATTGGCTACAGATAAAATGACTGCTTCATAATCAAGATAGCTAACTTGATAATATCGAGAATACTATTAAAAATAAATGCTCCAATTCTTATTTTATATGTAAACTGATTCATCATTTAATTTCAAAATAAGTAGATTTGAAGATGAGAAGATCATTCTTTTTATGTTGGTCCTCTGCAATTTTGAGGCTACCTAAAAAGTAGTGACTTGAATTTTTTCTAGATCCTTTATAATCCAGAGTGCACATTGCTCAGAATTCTTTGTGATCAGAGTCCCTTAGAATAGTAACTAAAGAATAAAACATATGTTCCAAATGTTACTGGGCTTCCGGGATTAGCTTATAACATTGTCCCTTTCTCTTTATTTGAAGTAGGACTTACCTCTTCATCAAATCCCCAAAGTCAATCCAGTTCTACAGAACATTAGAGAGTAATGTAAATTTTCCTCAATATGTCATGGGGTAACACCATCCCCTCTTTTTAAGCATTTTACGATACTTAGTAAAATTCCCAGTCAAGTACCTTGCCCCCTCCTGTGCCTCTCCAGTCATCAGCTGCTTCTTTTCACTCTTAAGTGCTCCTAACCTGTAGCCTTTTCTTGCCTCCCAGAAATTTTATGATCCCTTTTCCATGTAAAGTAATTGACTCTTCTCTTAGCTTCTTTCATCTTGCACCTTCACAACATCATCTCACAAGGCAGGCCCCACTTTGGGGACAGTCTCCTTAGAGAGCTGAGGGGGATTTCAAATAAGAAATAGGAAGCAATCTAAGGGTCCATCAACAGATGAATGGATAAAGAAAATGTGGTACATAGACACAATGGAGTACTATTCAGCCATAAAAAGAATGAGATCCTGTCATTTGCAACAACATGGATGGAATTGGAGGTCGTTATGTTAAGCGAAATAAGCCAGACACAGAAAGACAAACATTTCATGTTCTTATTTATTTATGAGAGCTAAAAATCAAAACAATTGAATTCATCAGCATAGAGAGTAGAAGAATGGTTACCAGAGGCTGGGAAGGGCAGTGGTGGGGAGGTCAGGATAATTAATTGGTACAAAATAATTAGAAAGAATGAAAGGGACCTATTATTTTATAGCACTGGAGGGTGACTATAGTCAATAATAACTTAATTGTACATTTAAAAATAGCTGAAAGAGCATAATTGGAATGTTGTAACATGAAGGATAAATACTTGAGGGGAGGGATACCCCATTTTCCATGATGTGATTATTATGCGTTGCATGACTGTATCAAAACATCCCATGTACCCCATAAACATATACACCTATTATATACTCACAAAAATTAAAAATAAAAAACAAACAAAACAAAAGAAATATTTTTTATCTAAAATAAATGTAGCAACTTCAGGCAGTATAGTATTTTTTTATCTGAAATAAATGTAACATCTTCAGGCAGTAGAGTATTCTTCATGTATCTCAGTTCATCATGAGCAGTTGATGTTTGTAGATTCCCCCTTACTTCTAGAAGTTCAGTCTCTGCCCTCAAAGAGAGTCACTCAGTGTTGGATGTGGCTTGTAGAGACCTGAGCCTTTACAGTTGGTGTGGGTTACCTATGTATGGCTTTCTCTCTGGGCTGACTTCATGTTCGTGCTAGTGTCTGTTCTTATGTCTCTCTTCTTCGGTCTATATCAGATCTGAATATGGGCTACTATGCTAACTTGATATCAGGCTCAGCCCTGGCCCACCCTTCTTCTTACTAACGTCTCATTACATGAACCACATTTTAACATCCTTTCCTATTCCCCCACTGCATTCAGCATTTGTCCTTCTCCATGTTTAGAATGTGACTCCTGTATCAGCTTTGAGAACTGACCTTAGTTGTTCTGTCAGAGATACAACTCCCAGATCAAGCAGAGAGAATTTGTTGGGTTTCAAGTCACCATTGCTAATCTTAGATGATGTGAAGAGAAACTTTCATGTCTGGACTAACATATCCCTTTGTGCCACTACAAGATGAGATATCTGGCATATCCTGAAAGAATATATACACACACACATATATATATATACACACACACATATATACATATATATGCAACAATTTATATCACTATCTAAAGGATCATATACATGCAGAGAAATCCATTTCGACTTTTGGTTGAAGTTTTCCAAGGGTATAAATAGATGCAATTCCATGAAATTGTCAGTACCTTCTAAAAAGCTTACTCAGAGTTAGTTCATGAAACAGGCAGGCATTTGGACCTCACAGTCTGAAATCAAGAGTGCTAGAAGACCCGTGGCATGGGGTTTTGGTGAAGTAAGAATGCTGATCTCTCTGCTGTTAGCCACCCAGCTAGTGAGGGAGCCAAGTTCACTGCCCAGCATCAGCCTCTCACTGGACTCGCCTGTCATCTGCTCATCACTACAGGGATTTTTTTTTGTGAGGTAAATTATACACTGTTCTTGAATTTGGGGGTTCTGGACAATCTTGGGTTTTTATCTAGATTCTCAAGCTCTTACTTTGTTTTCTTAGTCACTCCCAGCCAAGGCTACTGTTTGTCACATGCTACAAGGGAGACATCTCCTCTCCCTGCCTGGGCCATTTCAATCTGTCTATTCAACCTCTCAAAGTCTGTAATTAGCCTCTCTCAGAGAACAGGATAAAACACAGAACCTGAGGTGAGGAAATGGGATGTGAGTCTTGGCTCAGAAATATGCCCATTCTGTGACCTCGCAAAGGCACATTTCTTCTCTGAAACTAATTATCCTTGTCAGTAAAATAAGCATAAAAATACCTTCCTCATAGAGTTGCTCAAGAACTTAAATGAGATAAGATACAGGAAAATGCTTTCTAAAGTGTAAAATTCTTACAAATGCAAAGTGATATTATTCTCTGGCAATCTATTTGTAAAACTTAGCATAAGGAATTTGTCTACCTCATATCCTCTATGGAACAAGGTAGAATGGAAATACAACTGGTTATTTCACTCTAACTTTTTCTTGTAACTTTCATATGTTTTTGAATGGTAATTCTTTTTATTGGGAATTTTTGTCAACCTTTCAAAATGTCAGTTTGAACAGTAAAAGTTATCATTCTTCATTATAATAACCCAAATACAGATTGTGTTTTAGGACATTAATATAACATGACATTATCTATAACTCATTTATTTACCTATTCCACCAACAAACTACTGGAATCACAGTGGACACTGCAAAGGATACAAGAAGAAATGGGGAGGTATTCTTCTGATCTTACTGCTTTCTAACAGGGAGGCCAGAACACATGAAACAATTAGAAGCAAGAGAGTTACTCAAAGATTACTTGATTAAAATAGCTATATATGGAGAATTTTGGAGGCCACCTTTTTACCAAACTCTCTGTGCCTTTTAAAAATGTCACCTAATTTTTTTATCTCAATTCAGAAATCGATGCAACTATCAGGCGCCACTCACAATTTATTATATGTCTCTTTAGTCTCTGTTTGTGTCCCACCTTAAAGATTTATAATGTGTACAAGCAGCAATTTTCTGTATTCATTACTTAAATTTCATTTTTAAAACCCCTCCTCAATTTTACCTCTTTATGTTTTAATTTTGAGATTGCAACTTGACTTGCAAATTTTGCTTGCAAAATCGCACCACAGATAAAGAGTAAGAACACTTCTAAACCTCTAGTCTACTGGAGCTGAAGATGCTTTCTTCTCAGCCACCGTGAGAGTAGAAAGGGTTAATGAATTAGTCAGTTCTCTGCTCTTTGCTCAGTTTCCGGTGGTAACCTAAACCCAATGGAACCACACAGACCTGCACTCAGCTTTTCCATCGTTTATATTTCTGGTGCCTGAAACAATGTCCTTAAAATGAAAGGAGCATTCTTGGCAAAAACAGACACCTGCTGTTTGGGTGAACTTGAGAATCCTTTGGTTTGCCTTAACAAAATAAATATTTCAGGGAAGAGCAAGTTCCAGGTCTGAAGATGACCTAGGTTGGGCTGGCTCCATGGAGTACTAGCCAAGGCATTGAGGATAATGGAAATAGATGGTCTCTGTAGGAGGGAAGTAGGAAAGAAGTGAAAGGGAAGCTCTGGATGAGATTATTACTTAAAGTATGGTTTGGCTGGAGGAATAGGAGCTGTGCTCCCTAGATGGATGCAAGAATCGAATATGTGGGTAGCTGTGGTTCACTTCCCAGAGGATAGTCTAGACTGGAGTCACTGTTCAAGTGTTGCTTCCAGCAAATACTAATTACAGACCTTCAGAAAATTAGGAGGCTGTCCATATAGAAAGAATGTAGATGAAAATATTCAAATAAACATTAGTGTCAGAAAAGGGAAGAAGAGGTGATAAAAATTTTTTATGCCTGCTATATGCCCAATGCTATGCAAATGTTTTTTCATTTACTCCTTTCAACTAACATATGAGATCTCTAACTATTGCCATCTTACATAGGAAGGAACTGAGATTATGGGAGCTTATGTTACTAAAGGTGGCAGAATAAAAAAGTAGAAAAACCAAAATTTGAATCCCAGTCTGTCTGACTCTGAAGTCTAGATTTTTCTCTCCTACAGCATTTGGCCTTGCAAAGTCTGTCCTCCGTAGGATCATGCTCCTCCTGGCTTGTCATGATCTCTGCTATCATTTACTGAACACTGTATTGTACATTTTATATATATATGCTCACAAAAACCCTAAACATAAGTTTTATTATTCTTATTTTACAGATAAGCTGAGGGGTGGGTAGATTAAGTTGTACTGAAAGGCGTACAGTGGGTGGAACCAAGAATCGCACCCTGGTTTATCTCTCTCCAAAGTCCACGTTGGTTTCTGTTTTTAAAATAATTATCCTGAATACAATGAAGTGAAAAAATTATTCCAGATCCAATGAATTTGTTATGTTAAGTGACTTCTTACCGTAGTACTTTGGGACACCCTACCAATCATGAGTCACCATGTTAGGGTGGGCTGTTTATATGTTTGTCAAGAAGACAGCAAGAAAACAGACTGTATTTCAGTCTATCTATCTATCTATCATCTATCTATCTATCTATCTATCTATCTATCATCTATCTATCTATCTATCATCTATCTACCTATCTCTCTCTCCATCTAGTCTACCTATTATCTATCTATTAATATGATCTGTCTATCTATCTATCTATCTATCTAATCTATCATCATCCATCTATCCGTCTATTTATCTACCGTGTACCTATTTTGCCATGAAGTAGCAATATAGCAATTCTGTCCCTAAGTTGAAGGTATAGGTAACTTTTAAAAAGTCTTAATAAGCTCAAAAACAAAACAGCAACCTACCAAGAGATGGATTCAGGGGTAAAATGAAGGACAAAGCCAGAGGCAGAACAGACACAAAACTGTTCTTCTTTTCCAGGTGACTTCAATCCTCTCCCTCCCAGTTGTTAATGTGCTACTGAGAATCAGGGCTTCAGCTCTTTCAACACCAGATCCTACAGTCTTGCAATAGGATTTAATTCAATACTTATGTTCCCTTGAGAAACAATTATTGGGAGCTTACTATATTCTGGCACTGTGCTAGGCACTGTAGACACACAGCTTTGCAAGACACATTCTCTGTCTTCAAGGAGCTCACAGTCTACAGGGGGACATAGATATATAAACTTAAATTGTGAAGGATGCATTCTTGAGAAGCTCTCATAATTCAAAACACCAGAATTCAAGAAACTACCGTATATAGCCAGTGAAATATATTACTGGCACCTTCTCCTCTTGCCTTTGGTATCCAGTCAAATGGAAGCACATCTATGGAGTCCTATAGGTCAAGAAAGAGTCATGATCCACGTTACCAAGTTGTTCCTGTGGATGAGAAGATATTCTGAAACTAAAGTTCAGTCAAACATAAATGCTATCCTTCCAGTACAATCCATACTTTAGTGTAATCAAAATGTTGATGAGGAGAAATTTCTCTTGATAGATATATTCCAGCTAAGAAATGCAGCATGAATTATAGAATTATGCATTGATCTTACTTGGATTTTGCTTCAAATGAATATACTATAAAAGCAAATAAGCAAAAACAAAACAATAGCTTGCAACTAAAAACAACTCAAATGGCCACCCAATGGGTGAGCAGTTCAACAAATTGTGGTATATCCTTATAATGGAAATGATATTCATCAATAAGAAGGAATGAACTATTGATTCACATATGGAATGAAGGAATCTCAAAATAATTATGCTGTATGAAAAAAGCCAGTCCCTTCTCCTCCTCCAAAAAAGTATATATTGTATTATTTTATTTATGTAAAATTTTAGGAAATGCAAACTGATCTATATTAATAGAAAGCAGGTGAGTGGTTGCTGGGAGATGAGTGGGGCAGTTCAGAAAGTGTAGAGGGAGAATTACAAAGGGATCTATGCAAACATTTGGGAGTGATGCATGTATTTATTATCTTGATTGTGGTGATGGTTTCATGAATATATGTATTTGTCAAGAACTAACAAATGTGTACTATAAAAACCTGTTGCTAGTTATATTTCAATTATATCTCAAAAGTTTATTTTTTTAAAAAGTGTAACAAAATCCTTTCCTATTATGCATGCATATTTGACCTTCAGTTAACTTTCTAGCTGTGTTCCTCTAGCAGTTGCATAGGGTAGAATGATACCTATGTTGCCAGGCAACACTGGTTACGGCAAAAATGATCCCTAATTAGAAAACTGTATTTGGACTTGGCGGAATTAAAAATACACTATAAATACCTGACAGGGACATGAAATAAAAAACAAAATTCAAGACAATTTTCCCCATAAAATTGGCCAAAGATGGCAGTTCTTTCTATTTACCAGTCTAAGTGGCACTGTCACTTGTTAATGTTAGAAATATGAAGGATGATGATTTTGAAATTAAATAACTCTTGATGAATTAAAAAATTGATAATGTACATTATTTCAAATTGGATGAATAAGTAAAATTTTATTATGTTGGATTACATTTCAAAGTTGCATATTTCAAAGTACCATCAAATGTGATTACCACATAAAGCAATATGATGAATGCAATGACAAAGGTAAGCTCAGGATGCTTTGGGGGCACCTGTGTGTGTGTGTGTGTGTGTGTGTGTGTGTGTGTGTGTGTGTGTATGCAGAAGGCAATCAGGGAAAACTTCCAGGAGTTCCGTCAAGTTTGGGATGAAGGGACAAATGCGGAGGACATCTCAGACAGAGGACAGACTGTGTGAAAGGAGAAAAAGTAAGAAGTAAAGTGGTGACTATGGAGACCTGAAGGCTGTTTGATGTTGCTGATGGAAAGTGAGAGATAGTAAATAGAGGGGCTAGGTTGCACATGTCAGCCCAGGGCATCTTGTCTAAGGTGTTAAAAAAACTTAGACCTGAAGTAGAGGGGCATATCTTCCCCCAAATCTCCCCTTGTCTCCCTCTCTCTAATCATTTTGCTTACCCCATAAGTTATTTCAAAAAGGCCATCTCTGAGCAATCAATCTACAATGATACTTCTTGACATCTTGACAACTTCTATTTCTTTTTTTTTTTTTTAAGAGACGGAGTCTCACTCTGATGCCCAGGCTGGTGTGCAGTGGCACGATCTCAGCTCACTGCAACCTCCGCCTCCTGGGCTCAAGCAATTCTCCTGCCTTAGCTTCTCGAATAGCTGGGACTATAGGCACACACCAACATGCTCAGCTACTTTTTGTATTTTTAGTAGAGACGGGGTTTCACCATATTGGCCAGGCTGGTCTCGAACTCCTGACCTCATGATCCTCCCGCCTCGGCTCCCAAAGTGCTGGGATTACAGGCATGAGCCACCGTGCCTGGCGACAACTTCTATTTCTTTACCTGTTTTTTTTTCATAGCACACACCGCTTCTTGACAGAAAATTACCTATCTATTTGAAAAATTGTATTACTATTGTCTTCTTCAGCAGAATGTAGTTCTATGAAGACTAAGTAAGGCTCGTTTTTTCTGTTTCCCACACCCTCAGTAACCTCAGTTTCCCAGCCTCTGGTAACCATCTTTCTACACTCTATCTCTATGAGTTTAATTATTCTAATTTTTAGCTCCTGTAAATAAGTGAGAACATGCAAAGTTTGTCTTTCTGGGCCTGGCTTATTTCATTTATAATGTCCTCCAGTTCCATCCCTGTTGTTGCAAGTGATAGGATCTCATTCTTTCTCACGCTGAATAGTACTCCATTGTGTATATGTATCACATTTTCTTTATCCAGTCATTAGTTGATGGACACTTTGGTTGCTTCCAGATCTTGGCTATTGTGAACAGTGCTGCAACAAATACTAGAGTGCAGATATCTCCTTGATATACTGATTTATTCTCTGATGATTAATGATGTTGAGCACCTTTTCATATGCTTGTTTGCCATTTGTATGTCTTCTTTTGAGAAATGTCTATTCAGATATTTTGCCCATTTTTAAAGCAAATTATTAGATTTTTTTTCCTATAGAGTTGTTTGAGCATTTTATATATTCTAGTTATTAATCCCTTGTTAGATGGGTAATTTGCGAATATTTTCTCCCATTCTGCAGGTTTTCTCTTTACTTTGTTGATTGTTTCCTTTGCTATGCAGAAGCTTTTTAACTTTATGTGATCCATTTGTCCGTTTTTGCTTTAGTTGCCTGTGCTTGTAGGGTATTACTTAAGAAATCTTTGCCCAGTCCAACGTCCTGGAGAGTTTCCTCAATGTTTTCATTTAGTAATTTCATATTTGAGGTCTTAGATTTAAGTCTTTAATCCACTTTTGTTTCATTTTTGTATACGGTGAGAGATAGGGATCTAGTTTCATTCCTCTGCACGTGGATATGCAGTTTTCCCAGCATCATTTATTGAAGAGACGGTCCTTTCCCCAATGTATGTTCTTGGCATCTTTGTCAAAAATGAGTTCACTGAAGATGCATGGATTTATCTCTAGGTTCTTTATTCTGTTTCACTGATCTATGTGTCTGTTTTTAGGCCAATACGAAGCTGTTTTGGTTACTAAAGCTTTGTAGCATAATTTGAAGTCAGGTGATGTGATCCCTCCAGTTTTGTTCCTTTTGCTCAGGATAGTTTTGACTATTCTGGATCTTTTGTGGTTCCATATAAATTTAGAAATATTTTTTCTATTTCTGTGAAGAAAGTCATTGGTATTTCGATAGGAATTGGATTGAATCTGTAGATTGCTTCAGATAGTATGGACATCTTAACACTATTGATTATTCTAATCCATGAACATAAAATACCTTTCCACTTTTTTGTATCTTCTTCAATTTCTTGCATCAATGTTTTACAGTTTTATTGTAGAGATCTTTCACTTCTTTGGCTAAGTTAATTCCTGGATACTTAATTTTATTTGTAGCTATTGTAAATGGGATTACTTTCTTGATTTCTTTTTTAGCTTGTTTGCTGTTGGTATATAGAAATGCTATTGATTTTTTTGTATATTGATTTTGTATCCTGCAACTCTCTCAAATTTATTTATCAGTTTTCATAGTTTTTGGTGGAGTCTTTAGGTTTTTCCAAATATAAGATCTTATCATCTGCAAATAAGGATAATTTGACTTCTTCCCTTCCAGTTTAGATGCCCTTTATTTCATTCTCTTGTCTGATTGCTCTAGCTAGGAATTCCAGGGCTACGTTGAATGGCAGTGGTGACAGTGGACATCATTGTCGTGTTCCAGATCTTAGAGGAAAGCCTTTCAGTTTTTCCCTGTTCAGTATAATATTACTTACAGGTCTGTTGTATGTGGTTTTCATTTTGTTGAAGTATGTTCCTTCTATACCTAGTTTTCTGAAGGTTTTTATCATGAAGGGATATGGAATTTTGTTGAATGCTTTTTCAGCATCAACTGAAATGATCATATCATTCTTATCCTTCATTCTGTTGATATGATGTATCACATTGGTTGATTTGATATGTTGAACCACCCTTGCATCTCTGGCATAAATCCCACTTTGTCACGATGAATGATCTTTCTAATGTGTTGTTGAATTCAGTTTGCTAGTATTTTGTTAAGGATTTCTGCATCAATATTTATCAGTGATACTGGCCTTTTCTTTTTTTGATGTGTCTTTGGTTTTGGTATCAGGGTAATACTGGCCTTGTGGAATAAGTTTGGAAGTATTCTCCTCTCCTCTGTTTTTTTAGAATAGTTTGAGTACGGTTGGTATTAGTTTGGTAGAATTCAGCAGTGAAGCCACTGGGTCCTGGGATTTTCTTTGCTGGAAGACTTTTTGTTAAGGTTTCGATCTCATTACTTGTTATTGGTCTGTTTAGGTTTTGGATTTCTTCCTAGTTCAATCTTGTCAAGTTGTATGTCTTTAGGGTTTCCAATTTATTGGCATATAGTTGTTCATAGTAGCCAACAATTATCCTTTGAATTTCTGTGGCATCAGTTATAATGTCTCCTTTTTCATTTCTGGTTTTATTTATTTGGGTCTTCTCTCTTTTTATCTTAGTCTGGCTAAAGATTTGTCAATTTTATTATCTTTTATAAAACCAACTTTTTGTTTTGTTGAGCTTTTGTATTGTTTTTCTCATTTCAAATTCATTTATTTCTGCCCTGATCTTTATTATTTATTTTCTTCTACGAATTTTGGGTTTGGTTTGCTCTTGTTTTTCTAGTTCTTTAAGATGCATCATTAAGTTGTTTATTGAAGTTTTTCTTCTTTTTGCTATAAGTGGTTATAGCTATAAACTTCTCTGTTAGTACTGCTTTCACTGTATCCCATAGATTTTGGTATGTTGTATTTCTATTATTGTTTGTTTCAAGAAAGTTTTCAATTTCCTTCTTAATTTCTTCATTGAACCACTGGTCATTCAGGAGCATATTTTAAAATTTCCATGTGTTTGTATAGTTTCCAAAATTCCTCTTGTTATTGATTTCTAGTTTTATTCCATTGTGGTTAGAGAAGATGCTTGATATTATTTCATTTTTGGGGATGTTTTAAAACTTGCTTTGTGACCTAACATATGATCTGTCCTTGAGAACGTTTCATGTGCTGAGGAAAAGAATGTGTATTCTGTAGCCATTGGATGAAAATGTTTTGTAACTATCCATTAGGTCCATTTGATCTATAGTGCAGATTAAATCCAACGTTTCTTTGCTGATTTTCTGTCTGGAAGATCTGTCCAATGCTAAAAGTGGGATATTGAAGTCTCCAGCTATTATTGTATTGAGGTCTATCTCTCTCTTTAGCTCTAATAATGTTTGCTTTATATATCTGGGTGCTCCAGTGTTGGGTGCATATATATCTACAATTAATATAACCTTTCGCTGAATTGACCCCTTTATCATTACGTAGTGATCTTCTTTGTCTCTTTTCATAGTTTTTATCTTGAGATCTACTTTGTCTGATATAACTATAGCTACTCCTGCTCTTTTTTGGTTTCCATTGGCATGGAATATCTTTTTCCATCCCTTTATTTTCAGTCTATGTGTGTCTTTATAGGTTAAATATGCTTTTGTAGGTAACAGATTATTGGATCTTGTTTTTTTTTAATCCATTCAGCCACTCTATGTCTTTTCATTGGAGAGTTTAGTTCATTTAAATTCAATGTTATTATTGATAAGTAAGGACTTACTCCTGACATTTTAAAATCTGTTTTCTGATTGTTTTGTGGTCTTCTCTTCCTTCTTTCCTTACTTCCTGTTTTCCTTTTAATGAAGGTGATTTTCTCTGGCAATATGGTTTAATTTCTTCCTTTTTATTTTTTATGTATCTGTTGTATGTATTTTGATTTGAGGTTTTTTTGATGAGGCTTACAAATACTATCTCATAATCCCTTATTTCAAACTGTTGACAACTTAACACTGATTACATAAATAAACTAAGAAACAGGAAAAGAGAAAACTAATAAAAACTCTACACTTTCACTCTGCCCCTTCCATTTTTAAACTTTTTATTGTTTCTATTTATATATTTTTATACTGTCTATGTCTTGAAAAGTTGTTGTTATTGTTTTTGATAGGTTCATCTTTCAGTTTTTCTACCAGGACGTGAGTAGTTCACACATCACAACCACATTATTATAATATTCTGTGTTTTTCTGTGTATGTACTATTACCAGTGAGTTTTCCACCTTCAGATGATTTCTTGTTGCTCATTAACACCATTTTCTCTAAGATTGAAGAACTCCCCACAGCATTTTCTGTAGAACAAGTCTGGTGTTGATGAAATCCCTCACCTTTTGTTAGTCTGGGAAAGTCTTTATTTCCCCCTTCATGTTTGAAGAACATTTTCACCAGATAAACTATCCTACAATAAAAGTTTTATTTCTTCAGCACTTTAAATATGTCATGCCTCTCTCTCCTGGCCTGTAAGGTTTCCACGGAAAGGTCTGCTGTCAGATACTTGGGAGCTCTGTTGTATGTTATTTGTTTCTTTTCTTCTGCTGCTTTTAGGATCTTTTCTTTATCCTTGATCTTTGGGAGTTTAATTATTAAATGCCTTGAGGTAGTCTTCTTTTGGTCAATCTGCTTGGTGTTCTATAGTCTTCTTGTACTTGAATATTGATATCTTTCTCTAGGTTTGGGAAGTTCTTTATTATTATCCCTTTGAATAAACTTTCTGCCCTGATGTCTCTCCCTACCTCCTCTTTAAGGCCAATAACTTTCAGATTTGCCCTTTTGAGGCTATTTTCTAGATCTTGTAGGGATGCCTCATTCTTTTTCATTCTTGTTTTTTGGTCTTCTGTGACTGTGTATTTTCAAATAGCCTGTCTTTAAGCTCACTAATTCTTTCTTCTGCTTGATCAATTCTGCAGTTAAGAGACCCTGATGCATCCTTCAATATGTCCATTGCATTTTTCAGCTTCAGAATTTCTCCTTGATTCTTTTTAATTATTTCAATCTCTTTGTTAAATTTCTCTGACAGAATTCCGAATTCTTTCTCTATTTGCTTTCATTGAGCTTCCTCAAAACAACTAGTTTGAATTCTCTGTCTGAAAGGTAATATTTCTCTGTTACGCTGGATTAGTCCCTGGTTCCTTGTTTAGTTCACTCGGTAAGATCATGTTTTCCTGGATGGTCTTGTTGCTTGTGGGTGTTCATCAATGTCTGGGCATTGTAAATTTAGGTATTGGCTGGGCGCAGTGGCTCATGCCTATAATCCCAGCACTTTGGGAGGCTGAGGAGGGTGGAACACCTGAGGTCAGGAGTTCGAAACCATCCTGGCCAACATGGTGAAACCCCGTCTCTAGTAAAAATATAAAAATTAGCTGGGCGTGGTGGTGGGCGCCTGTAATCCCAGCTACTCGGGAGGCTGAGACAGGAGAATTGCTTGAACCCATGAGGCAGAGTTTGCAGTGAGCCAAGATTGCACCATCGTACTCCAGCTTGGGTGACAGAGCAAGACTCCGTCTCAAAAAAAAAAATAAAGTTAGATATTTATCATAGTCTTTGTTTGTACCAGCCCTTCTTGGGAAGGCTTGCCAAATATTCAAAGAGACTTGGGTGTTGTGATCTAAATCTTTGGTCACTGCAGCCATATCTGCATTAGGGGTCACCACAAGGCCAGTAACCCTGTGGCTCTTGCAGACTTGTAGAAGTACCAACTTGGTGGTCTTTGGTACGATCTGGGGGAATTCCCTAGATTACCAAGTAGAAACTCTTATTCTCTTCCCTTACTTTCCTCCAAACAAATGGATTTGCTTTCTCTGTGCTGAGCTGCCTAGAGCTGGGGAAGGGGTGACACAAGAACCCCTGTGACCACCACCACTGGGATTGTGCTGGGTCAGGACCAAAGCTAGCACAGCACTGGGTCTTGCCGAAGGCCCACAGTTACCACTGCCTGGATACTACCTATGTTCATTCAAGGCCCAAGGGCTCTACAATCAGCAAGTGGTGAATCCAGCCAGGCTTGCATCCTTCCCTTCAGGGCAGCGAGTTCCTGCAATCCCAGCACAGGTTAAGAGATGTCTTTGCAGATCCAGGGCCTGGAGTCAGGAACCTTTGGAATCCACCTGGTGCTCTATTCTACTGCAGCTGAGCTGGCACCCAAGCCTCAAGACAAAGTCCTTCCCACTCTTCCCTCCACTTTCTTCAAACAGATGAGTCCCTGCGGCCACCACTGGCTCAGGCCGACAGCGAGTACCACCAGGCTACTGCCAATGTTCACCCAAGGGCTCTTCAGTCAGTTTGTGGTGAATGCTGTCAAGCATGGGTCTCTCCCTTCAGGGATGTGGGCCCCCTTCTGGCCCAGGAAAGATCCAGAAATGCTGTCCAGTAGCCAAAGCCTGAAACTGGGGATGCCAGGAATCCACTTGGTGCTCTACCCCACTGTGGCTCAGCTGGTACCTAAGCTGCAAGACAAAGTGTCCTTTGCTTTTCACTCTTGTTTGCTCAAGCATAAGGAGTTTCTCCCCATAGCCACCATAGCTAGGAATGTGCTGGGTCATAACCGAAGACAGCAGAGCTTTGATTTTTCACTTAGGGCCTGCAGTGAGTACTGCCTGGCTACCACTGCTGATTACTCAGAGCCCAAGGGCTCTTTAGTCAGCAGGTGATGAATCCTGCCAGGACTGGAACTGTAATCACCTCTAATTAATCTTTATATTCAGGTTTTACTATACTTCCCATTCATGTGCTGGATCTTATTGCTGTTTCCATGATTGTGTCATGGGATAGTTTGGTCAAATGACTCTTGTTCAGAAGTGCCAGAAAGAAGTTTCCAGTATTATTCTAGGGATTCCATCAGTTTTCATTGAATAGAAGTATGAAAAACAACCAAATGCAAATCTAATACCCTGTGACCCACCTACCATAACCCCATCCCTTTGCTTACCCTTAACTCCCATTGCTCTTTCAAAAAGGAACAAACAGGTCAGCAAACATGTGGACTTTATAATCTCTGCTATTTTAACTTTTTGAAGACTCCTTGTAACATTGGCAAGCATGTTAGAGCTCTGCAAGTATCCTTTTGATTGCAAAATACACAAGAACTTGCTCCTGACTAGCTTATTGTTTTTCCATACACAAATGGCTTTTCTTTGCAAAATGTGTTTAGGAAAACTGTCCAACACCATCTAAATTCCCATGATTTTGTACCCACTTTTGTTCTCTGTGAAGGTGAATGATTAATACAAAAAATCAGGCAAGATTAGGGAATTCTGCACACTATCATTGCCAATCTGGTTGCAACATATTTATTAGCAGAGTGGCATTTGTTTGAGGTTAATTTGGGTCTGTTATATTATGTCATAGAAGCACTACATTTTCTTTTTTTATATGTTATTGTTTATTCATTTTGTGTCTATAGGCAAGTATTCATATAAGACATATTCCAAAAATAGAAATACTGTGTCAAAAATGTGCATTTTTAACTTTTCTATATCTTGTCAAATTTTGATGGCCATTGCTAAAATGGCACTGAAACAGCTGCACTCGAATGCACTGGGGGGTGAGAGGGCACCTTTCCCTGGGCCCCACCTCCTCAGATACAGTCTCAGCTACATTTTCTATGGCACAAATACACTATATCTTTTCTTTTCCCTCAGGGTCAAGGTTTTCATTCTAATAGTCCTAAACTGCAATCTTTTATATAGGGCAATAATGTTTAAGTTCACCAATATGAAAACAGTTCTTTATTTAGGTTTGTAACAATCCATTGTAATTTCTACCATGTACAACCTGAAGAGGCTCTTTGAATGATCATTTGTTATCCTCTAACTCCAGTGTTTAACTTAAGTCCTTGGAAGGTTGAGGTAGGGATAGTAATAATGGTTATACAATGCTGGACATTTTCCCAGTTCTACTGTGGTCACAGCTCTGGTCCCTTTCAGAAAGGTAGCTGAAATCTTTGTTGCTGATGGTTACCAAAAGCTATGGCTGCTGGGAAATATTTCTTTCAAGTATGAGCCTCAGTTGTGATTTATTATCCTTTTCCCAGGAATAGAGATGAATTTGCAATGAGTTATCACTCAGAAAAGGATCTTATACTTAAAAGCGTTATATGAATAAAGGCAACCTGTCACTCTCCAAAAAGTGTTCATCTACTTTGATTCTCAACCCAAGAAAATTTATTTCCTTAGAACTCGTATTCCAGGAAGAACAGAAATTCAAGTTCTGAATAGTGATTCCATTTGAAATCAAGATGTCATGGTTTTGAGTAACTCTTACAATATTTAATTTGTGTACATAATCACACAATCATATAGCTTAAAGAAACAACGCTACTCTCCTATCATACATCCTGTGGTGGTGTTATTTCTGGAAGATTCTTGGACCCAACTAAGAATGGCACTTTTTACATTCCTATGTCCATAATTAGGATGTCCTCTAAAAAAAAATAACTAAAAGCTGAGCACTACAGTAGGCTTCACCCAATATCTTCATGCAAATATGGTCCAAGCAATGAACCAGTCATATTTCCATTTCAGTGATCTTTGATGTATACTTGGGCCAGTTTTGCAAACACTCTGTAAAATTCAGACTTAAAATATTCCAAGTGGAGAATTGCACGTTTCATAACTTACCTGTAAGGGAAAACCCTTTTAAGTACTTCATGGGTGCAGGAAGATAATTACTAATGGATTCATCAACTGCAGAAGATATTTAAGCTAACTGACTTGGAATTTATGTTTGGCTTCAGTGGGCAATTATACATAGTTTCTGCTAATCTGAGTTTTCCTGGTTGGTAGCTCTATAAATCTAGAGGTAGCCAAAACTTAGTGGCTTCTCAAAACACTTTTAGGTCCCACCTCTTCCAAATGTAACATGATGTGGCAGGATGGATATCAACATGTGGAGAATATCTATGTAATGCTGTTGTAGCTAAGTGATTGATTATGAGACATATATTTTCACCTCATCTAACAGGCAAGTAGACTGTCAGTGTATGGTTGCTATTGGGTTTAAAAGTAATACCTATAGTTATGTGAGAGAAATCCTCTGGATTATTTAATAGTTATCAAAGAAATGATTTAACTCACTGCTAAACCATAGTATAATTATAATTTTATATTAGAGGTTTATGAGAATGTTTCCAGTAACAGTGCAATTTTTTAAAAGTGTGATTAAGTTTCTATAAAATGGACTCATCTACTTTATTGATAATTTAAGAGATAATTTCATATTGCTGTAGCCCAGAGATTCTCAACCGAGTGATCCTGCCTTCTAGGAAACATTTGGCAATGTCTGAAGACATTTTTGGTCATCACAACTGGGGAGTACTACTGGTGTTTAGTGGGTAGAGGCCAGTAGTGCTGCTGAACACCCTACAATGCACAGGACAGCTTCCCTCCTCACTTCCCAACAAATAATTATCTGGTCCAAATTGTCAATAGTGTCAGGGTTGAGAAATGCTGCTCTAGCCCGTATGGAGGGGAGGCTGCAGGAAACTCTACAGTCTTGTGGGATAAGCATTGGACTGGGAATTTGGGATAAGCATTGGACTGGGAATTCGGACTTCTGGGTTTTAATGCTTATTAATAGCCTAGGAAATTTGTGGAAGGGCATCTTACCTTGCTCAGCTTACTTTTTAAATAAAAATGATAACTTATTCGCCAAGCTGGGATAATCATTTTGAAGTAAAAGTAGAGTGAAATTGTGGTGACTTTATCGTTGATTCTGATTCTCTCTCATGGGTGGTAGGAGTTTGGGAAGAAAGTATTGATTATCTTTAGCATATACAGATTAATGATCATCTGCATCTTCCTTTGGAGATAACCTGGGTTGAGTAATTGGAAGTTGTTCCAGCATTCTTCTTCCTGACAAGTCACGTGGTCACCACATTTGTACAATGCAGGGATTGGATCGCATTTTTTCCATGCTTCTTTGGTGGACTACAGGGAGGAAAGTGTGTTCATGTACTGGCGTATCCTGCTGATGAACGAGGACCACACACTCTATTGTTTTGATATTTGTAAAATAGTGTAAGTGTCTTGCTGTTGGATTCTGATGGGAGCTGCCAAACGGTGTAGAGCTGGTAACTGGTGCTTAGTGTATGGAACAAATTGAAGAAACTCAATTCCAATGATGCATATTCAAACTGATTTTCTTTTATGGCTGAACATTGAAGTTTAAAAATAGAATATCTCAGTTTTTCCATAGATGTGAATGCTGACTGAAGATCCAGTATCCAAATACATTTCTTTCTCACACACAATTTTCCCTTTTCACATAGTCTAGCTCTGGAATGAAAACACAGCTTTTTAGCCATTTGGGTGGCACCAGGGCTCTATGCAGCAGTTACACCCAATTTTGTATTCCCTAAACAGTGTACTGGGTACAATATTTATTCAGAGACAATTTCATTATTGTTTTTAGAATAAAAAATAATAAAACATCCCAAATCCTAATCCTCCCATGTAAACATTATAAACTTAAACTTTATTTGATTTTATTTTTTGAGACAGGGTCTTGCTCTGTTGCTCAAGCTGGAGCGCAGTGGCATGATTACAGCTCACTGCAACTTCCGCCTTTGGGTTCAAGCGATCCTCCCACCTCAGCTTCTCAAGTAGCTTGGACTGCAGGGGTGTGCCACCATTGCCTGGCTAGTTTTTTAAGGTTTTCATAGAGATGAGGTCACACTAAATTGCCCAGGCGGGTCTTAAACTCCTCAGGCAAGTCTTAAACTCCTGGGCTCAAACACCCTCCCATTTTGGCCTCCAAAAGTATTGGTATTACAGGCATGAGCCACTGTGCCTGGCCCAGTTTAAACTTTAGATACAGAGACATAGTTTTGCAAAGCAGAGCCCCCTGGTCATGCGCTCCTTGGGCTACATGCTCTCCTATGCTCCTAAACATTCCTTCTCTAAAACAGGTTGGATAATTGTTTGCTTGAAGTAATTGCATTCTTCTACAACAATTTCAATGTGATTTCTTATGAATCACATTGAAATCATATAAGAAATAAGATGATTTCTTATGAATCACATTGAAATTGTTGTCAATTAAAGCAGTATTTTTTTCTCGTTTCTGTGGTTTTAGATTTCCTGTTTTTAGTCTGTGAAATTGTTTGATTTAGCTTCCACTCTTTGGTTGATTCATTTATGTAAAATATTTTAAGCGGCAATAGAACACAAACCCTTCCTCTGCTCTGTTCTGAGCAGATAATGATTATCCTGTGATTTCTCACCCTTTGTTATGCTGCTGCTCAGGGCATCCTGGGTCTGCATTTTTTTTTCCTTGGAGCTTCCTTTTCATTTATCTTTCTCGAGAACATTCTTATTAAATATTATTAAGTGAGCATACATTAGAAGGGAAAGACCAGTGTCTGCCAAAATTCTTACTTTACATCCTATGTATTTCGATGTAAAAAAAAAAAAAGATGACTTTTTTCTTTCTCTTTTCTTTCCTCCTTGGCAAGAATTCTGAGGAGGTCTTTCTGGAAATGGATCTTTTTAAGTTCTGGGTAAGCCTCCTTATTATATAGATAAACTTTCCATAATTTAGAGGGGTTGTAGACCCACTTCAGCATGATGTTGTAATCAGGGAAATGCAACTCCTACGTTTAAAATAATTGAAAAACAATTTACTTATTATACTTCGTGATTACATAATTTATAATACAGAAACACTTCTTATAGTGCTTTTCTGTATTTATCTTTTTTTTTTTCCCTCTTTTTTGGAGACGAACAGTCTCACTCTGTCACCCAGGCTGGAGTGCAGTGGTGTGATCTAGGCTCAGTGCAACCTCCACCTCCCAGATTCAAGCAATTCTCCTGCCTCAGCCTCCTGAGTAGCTGGGATTACAGGCGCGTACTACCATGCGTGGCTAACTTTTGTATTTTTGTAGAGATGGGGTTTCACCATGTTGCTCAGGCTGGTCTCTAGCTCCTGACCTCAAGTGACCCGCCTGTCTCGGCCTCCCAAAGTGATGGGATTACAGACATGAGCCACTGTGCCCAGCCTGTATTATCCTTATTCTTAATGTCTCCTACACTTTACTGCACTCCCAAGTATTCCTCAACAACCACGTCAAGCTTTCCCAAACTTTTGCAAACCCAGCTATGTTTCTTACTTCTTTCCTCCTCTTTCTGGCTCAATTACTTATTAGATAAACTGGCTTGGTCCCTGAGATATCTTTCAATTTTTCTGCTGGAGCTTTTTCCTTGCATTCCTTGCAGCAAAGGAGAATCTAAAAACTGAACCTGAAAGGAAGAGTCCTTCTTTCTTGGAAGGCAGGTAAGGGTGAGGGAGATGGGAAGGGTAACAGCACATAACTTAATATTGAATTTTTTCTTTTATTTCTGTCACATGCAATGCTTTTATATTGAAACAATATGATTCCTGATCACTGAAAACAATTGGAATTCAGAAATAGAAACAAGACCTTCATCTACTCTAAGAAATGTGTGGCTTAGTAAGCAATCCCTCCCTCAGCCTCATTTCCCCCTTCAATTCCTCAATTATTTTTCCCAGATATCTCAAACCTATGTGCTGCTGTCCTTTATGGCTGAATGTTAAGATTTAAAAATAGAAACAACCATCACCTTTCAGCCAGATAACTTCAGTTTCCACACAGAAAAAAGAAAGACTTCATTTGTTTTACGTTTTTGTCAAACGCAAAGATAATTATTTCACATTCCCTTGCTTGAAACCCTTTAATTGCTTCTTGTTGCCTTCAGAATAATGCCTAAGTGCATCCACCTACATCCAGTACCCTCTGCCATCAGAATCCTTCTTACTGCCACCACATTTCCCCATCATATCCTACTCGCTAGCCATATTAATTGTCCTTCAGTATACGGATCACCACGATCACTCTTATCTCAGAGACGTCCCATATCTTGTTGCCTCTGATGAAATATTCTTCCTGTCCCAGCCTGCTTTACATGGCCAACTCCTTTTCCTACTTCAAGTCTCACCTTAGACATTATTGCCTCCCAGGAAGCCTTCTCTTACCCTCCTGGACTGCACTAGGCAGCCCTGAAATGCATTCCTTTAGCAACCCCCACTGTTTGTTTTTTGGCTCGTAAAATCCAAACTATAGATTATCTTGCTCAGTGTATATTCCACATTGAGTGGTATGAATTAGACACTCAGCACATATTTATTGAATGCTTATTGAATGCAGGAACTAACATTTCTTGAGCAGCTTGTATGTGCACTACTCATCAAGCCAAGAAAGGCATCTATCAACTAGTATAATTTATCCACTGGAATTACTCTGTGCATACTCCACAGTGCTGTGGGATAATGTTGTAGCTCTCTCCTTCATGCTCATATAACATTCCCATTGTGAGCTATTAATTATTATAATGACAAAGCTAACCCTTATCTCTTATTACATGTGAAACCTTGTCCTGAGTGCTATATGTGAATTGTCTCATGTAATTTCCATCCTAGATATTTACTGTTTAGTAGGTTGGAAGTAGGTACTATTAAGTATCTCCATTTTTTGAGTGAGGAATTTGAGGGTTAGATAAGTCACACAGGAAGTCATGAAGCCAGGATTCAAGCCTAGGCATTTCAGGTCTACTCTGCTAAAGTGGAACTGAACTTGATTGAATAACTTGGGGCATTATGATGAATATAGTGATAATTGTAAAACCTTATCATTACATATATTTTGTAAGCACATTTCATTTTCTTCTTTAAACAATACTGCAAGTCATATAATGTAAGTTTTACTTTCTTCCTTCAACTGCTGGTAAAACTTAAATACAAACTGGTCAAATAATGTCCAAAAGCAGTCAGCTAATGAGAAATGAATGGAACTTCAGAACCCAGTTGTCTTGACTGTTTAAACATTTTCATTGGTTCTCCATGGCCTTGAGAATAAGCAATGCCTTAACAAGGTAATCAGGATTCACTCTACCTCTTCCAGCCTCATCTTCACCAACTTCCCGCAGTGATCTTACACTCAGCCAGACCAGAATACCTGCCTTCTTTTTCACATACTCTATACACATTCACAGCTTGTCTCTTGATTTATACTGTGTTTTGAAACCTAAACAAGGTAAGTCGAATGGATGCCAGATTTTAAAAACAAGGAAGCTTTGCCTGGATCAAGTTAGACCAATAAGACTTACAAGGTTTGATGAATAAAGTGGGACAACAGGAACATTTCTGCTTTCTGATCCACAGAATCTGAGTCTGGATGGCCGGTTCATTCCACATCTTTCAATTTGCAATTTATTTGTACTGATAATCACACTCTTGCAAATGACAAATGGACAGTAACTTCATGGAAGCACAGGAGTGAAAATAGCCTGTTTCTTTGGTCCATAATTGAAACGTCCTAAGCTCTCAGACACATTAATAGACAACATCTGCTAAAGTCAAGAGAAAGACTGAAAAACAGGATATGAGGCTTTGAGGATTAGAGTGAAGGGTATCCAGCATGAACAAAGCTCCCATGACCGGGGTAACTGAGGCCAAGTGACTTGGTTAAGCAAAATAAAAACAACTAAAAAGAAACTATTGAAATGGAGCAGAGTTTATTTTATTCATTTTTCATCTGTCTCTTTTAGCTAAATGGATAATATAGAAAGACACACAAAATGCTTTTTTAGTCAAAAAGGAGTCAATCAGAATGTATGCTCTTCAGGGAATTATGTTGAGAGAGCTAGAGTATAATTCTTTTTACATTCCCTCATCATGAAGACTGTGTGAAATAAAAAAAAAAAACCCAATTAAAAATCATCGTGGCCTCTCCACAATCTTCAGATGATTTCTTAATCAATGAAAATGATTCAATAAAACTTCTACTTATTTCTGAAGAAAAACGCATGACCATGAGAACAAGCTATGATGGTGTCTTTAAACATTCTTCAAACAAAAGCTATTGTAGAGTCCAATTTAATTTACAGTATACAAAGACTGAATGCCTTCATGACTTTGCCCTTGCTCCAATATGGTAGAATAGACGACTTCCATCAGAGAGGAAGTAAATGTGGAGAACTGATTTTATTATGCAGAATAATGCACATACCTTTAGAGATATATTTAACCTAAGCCCATTCAGAAGAGATTATTTTGTCTTTTAAGAGATATTTTTCTCTGTTCCGGAATGAAGATAACCTTATTGAAAAGAAAAAGTTATGGCTTATCCAAGGGTCAGCAAATGTTTTCTGAAAAAGGTCAGATAGTCAGTATTTTTGGTTTTGGGGGCTATACGGTTTCTGGGGCAACTACTACGCAATTTTGCCATCGTATTGTGAATGTAGCTATAGACAAGAAGTCTATGAATGGGCATGCCTGTTTTCCAGTGATACTTTATTTATAAAAACAAGCAGTAGGGCCAGACCCTGGGTTATAGTTTGCTGACCCCTAGCTTATGCTAAGCATTTACCAATATTTAAATGAAGCAGCTTTTCTCTCTGGATTTTAAGCAAGGTTCAGTGATTACTTAAGCTTTTCTAGTTGAATATATGGCTTTTAGTGGCTGCATATCATAAAGTGGTCAAAATCGTTGCTTTCTGGTTATAAATGATAGAACATAAAAAATGCTACCGACAGCTGGCTGTTTGTCCTTTGGCTCTTAAATAAATGCCAAAACCTCAGTATGATGTCTTAATATTGAATGGAATCCAGTCTGAGGCAGGATGATCTTTGATACCATTTGAGGGGAGTTAGAAACAAAGGGGCAAACAATACCTCATTATAAGGCGGTGTTACTTATGAGGCATGGATCTCAAGGGCATTTTTTGAACAACAATGCTCCTCATGTAGAGGGCTATTTTCTGAGTGGGATAAAATTTGAGGACTGCATTATTTTTCTTTCAGATGTCTTTGAATGGAGAAAGGAATATATTGTATTTTGGGATCTACTTCCAGCCTGCAATGTTTGGACTTCACCCACACAGGCAATAGAGTAGTTTCCTCTACTCTGTGTGGCTGAGTGATCACCTTTTATTTTATTTTGTCCTTAGGGATGGGATTAGCCCTACCTATTTCCCTCCTCCACTCCCACAAAGTAGTTGGGCCTCTAGATGCTTTTAGGAGATCAGTAACTCATTAAGCTGTCCTAGGTGAGCCCCCTGAAGTAGGTGTACTTACCTCTGTATGCCTGCTGCCACAGAAGCCTTACTTGAAGTTACAGGCAACTTTCCCTAAGGAGGAGCACCATTCTGAAAGCATTGGAAAGACAGAAGTTTTTCTTTTTCTGTCTTTTAGTCCCCTTCTCCTCTCATGACTCTCTGAGGCCTGACGACATATGATCATTCTGCACCATTCATCACTTAAAAGATTTCCAATGAAGAAACTTTTATGCAAAAGATATACACATAGAGTGCGGCTAAAGAGAATTTGTTTTACAGTTCATGTACCACCATAAGAGTTGTAAAAGTCCTTATTTATATTTCAAATTGGAATTTGAACTGCATAAGCTTTCTCTGTTCCTTAGAAGTGAATGTTCTGAGGTTGGAATTTAAATCAATATTTTAAAATATAGACTGGCTGTGGCTCACTCAAGGTTTTCTAAGTATATGGTATTGTATATCTTGCCTGCTTTTGGCTGTCTTACCCCAGGTAAACGCTGACATGTCTGCTTGTCAGCTCTCACCATACAGCAGTTGGTCCGGTCCTTGACTCATTTTCCCAGGCTCCATGCAGCTACGGTCCATGTTTAATATTTTTTTGTGGATGATAACGGCCATAAATGAGAGGAGCAGTCCTGCCCCCACTAACTGCTTTGATATGCACTTATCTTTCTTATTTTATTTTTGTGGCTATATGTCCAAATAATAAAAGAATTGGATGAGATGGCAAACTCTAGCACTAAAATTCTATTTTTATGTAATGCTATTTGATTCAATTGAACCAATAGTACAGAATGCATGATATAACTAGGAATAGGATTCTGGAGCATAAAGAGGAAAAAGAGTTCACAAAGTAGCCATATTTCCTCTAGAGGCACCTAAGATTGTGTTTTCTTAGATAACCTTCTCCTTTCTTTCCTCCTTCTATCACTTTGGCTCCACTGGCGCTAGATGGAAGGAGAAGCTTAGATAGAAAGGGGAAAGGCAGCTGAAAAGACCATGAACATGTATTACTCCACATCTGCAAAAGACCCATGGAAAACCCATCTGTGAATATCTCTCTGCTTTTCAGTGGAAAATATATATTCTTTAATTTCTCCATGTGTGAGCTACTTGGTCATTGCCTTTCTGGGCTGATAGCCATGCCACTATGTAGGCTTTGGCAAATATTTTCTTCTCCAAATTGGGCTTTGATAACTTACAGGAATGTATTTTGGGCCTATGAGTAATCTAGGTCCCCTGGAAGGGAGTCATCCCAATTAAAAGATAGCAAAAAAAGTTGGATTTTACAGGATTCTGGTCCTTGTCAGTAGGAGGATGGGCAAACATTTCCTTCCCTGGGTTGCTGTGGTAATCTCTAAACCCAAGGGTAACACAATCATGCCACAAGGCACTTTTCAGAGGAAACCCAATATCAGAGCAAGGGAATGGGGTGACTCAGGGGGATTTCCAGTTTTTCTGGAAAAATAATTTTCCTGGGTGACAACTTGGGCAAGGGTAACAGCATGGGATACTCTTCATTACTAAATCTTGTTTTTATGCAAATAAAGTATAAATTGCAGAATTTCTCTTCCCATCCTTGTAGTGTTTGATGTAGCAGTAAGTGGGTTGAGGAGGAGGTGCTTTTATTACAGTGCACCATTTTAGCAGAAAATGGTTGAATACTTGTATCCAACTTCCTTAAAGGCACAGACTAACAAGACTGCAAAGGAAGTAAATAGAAACCAACCATGAGCTAAAATTCTCTATAATATAGTCCCACTTCTCTGGCTGTCTGTGTCCTTCCCTTCTTCACCTAATACCCTCTTTTTGCACTCTCTCTCTCTCTCCCTGAAACTCTCACTCTCTGTAAGTCTCTGTCATCTTTTGCACCTCTAATTTTTTGGAGTATGAATGTTTTATTTTAGAATAACTTTAGATTTACAGAAAAATTGCAAAGTTAGTACAGAGAATTCCTGTGTATTCTATACCCAGCTTCTCCTCATTTTAACATCCCACATAACCATGATATATTTGTCAAAACTAAAAAATTAACCTTAGTACATTACTATTAATTAGACTACAATATTTATTCAGATTTCGACAGTTTTTCCACTAATCTCCCACTTATTTCCACGATCCAGTACATGCAATCATACCTCATTTGGTATCCTCCTCAATTTATTTGCATTTTACAGTCCTTTTTTTTTTTTCTCCCCAGCTAAGGATGTAGCAGCGCTTCTTTGTTGGGAAGGATGCATCCTGGTTTATATAAAAATGACTTAGCATATTTCTCAGATCTCTTCTTGAGGTACAGGCCAAAAGCCTCAAGGATTTGTTTTTGCCTAAAGTTAAACCCCCATAGTAACTGTCTCTCATATTTTTTCACTTGTGGGAAGTGTCGTTTTCTCACACACCTTGCTCTCTATTCTGCTTCAAACCCAGTGGAGATCAAAATTTAAATACTACACTTTCTCTGAGAAAAAAGCAGTCATAAGGAGAAATAAGATCAGTTCTAGGGGCACTGGAAGACTGGAACATTTAAAAATGTGCTATGTCAGGACAGTAAAAAGTGCAAATGATTGTTAGTTAACAAGTCTGTGTTATAGGTTTGCAATGCACCAAGGGCTTATGAAAGCTGGTATCATTGATTTGCAGAATGCCAAGGCTTGGTGTGGACGGTGGGCGGGGAGGTGTTCTGTAGAGAGACCTAATTTACCACAGTTACTTTATGGAGTATAAAACTGGAGCCAGCCAGGCAAGGAATTGTCTTGACCAAGTTCCAATGAGAAGGCAAAACTAGAAACCACGTCCTTGTCCCTCTGGTCCAGTGCTTCTTAGGTTAGTTTTGCCAACAAAAGCCCTATTAACCGTGCTTATGCTATCGAATAAGTAGTTGACAGGTTAATTAAGTCACTTAAAGAAGAGGATCATTAAAAATGGTAGCATATATTTTAATATTTCATTTTATTGTAAAAACATATAACTGAGCACAGAATAACTTAAAAATGTATGATCAAGGCTAATTTATGTTTTCTGAGTATGAGTTCAGGGATTAGAGCTCATGTTGTCTTCTTTACATAGCTTATGATTTCCAATTGGATTTCTTTAAAGTGGACTAAGAACAGAAAAATACTCATGAAGCAATCTGTGTCTAGAAATCTTCTAATTTTATTAACAGTTACCTTTCTTTACAGTTATTTCACCAATACCTACATGGGAGAATATTTTTAAGCAACTCATATATATCAGCGATTTTCAAGGTATATAAGTTAGCTTTTCTAGGAATTTTTTTTTACTGTTTCATCCATTTATATAATATTTTACTAAACTGTAAAAACAAATTCAGCTGGTATAAAAACGTTCACTTTTAGAAGCAAGTCACTACAAACTAAAAGTGATCAGCTGCTTGCGGGTATCGGTCAATATACTTTACAGAGGACAAAGAGAAGTCTGGGAAGTCACTTAGATGAAAAATTAAGCAAGACAGGTATTCAAATTTCCAAACTTGGTCCCATCTCCTCCATGAAGCCTTTCCCAGCTACTCTACTCTGCAGATGTCCCTGTCGTCTTTGATTTCTTCAGTACTTTTTCATCCTGTCACAGTGTCGTTTAACAAAAGCTGTTTCACTCTTATCTCTTTAATATGCGTATGTCTTATTTTTACCCCAAATGTTTTAGCAACTTGAGGCTGACAATATGACTTATAATTTTTATGTTTCTGGCCAGCACTTAGCCTAGAGCTGTGGAAATAAGAGTTACTAAAAATGTACTTGAGGTCAGTTGAATTTGATGCTACATCTCTTTTGAGGTCAGCCAAGAGCACATGTGACTCTTTTCCTCATGGTCAGAAGAATCAGGTATGTGCTCTATGAAGGGCTCTTCTATTTATGGCCCTGTGATGGGCACATTAGACAATAGCCTAGATAGACCACTACCATACTGAGGTGGAAGCTGGCAACGCATCTACAAGGGCCACTCAAGGGTGTGTTATACATCCTCACTCTCATAGAGAAAGATCTGAATGTAACACATGAGCTTTGAGCCTCGGAAAAGGAATTCCCTGATAGGGAAGGTTGCTAAGTACTAGAATGTACTACCAAGGCAAATTCCAAGAATACTTTTCTTACAGGCCTTTATAACAGGATATATTCATCTCTGTCTTGGGTTATTGGGCCACAAGGTCCCACTTCTGCATTTTAGTCACAGACCTTCTTTATTTACACCATTCAAGACGTGGGGGCAACTCTTCTCTTATGGAAGCTCTTTAGCAGGACAGGCTCTATAACCTCCTAGAAGAGATCATTTTACTGCTTTATCACTCAAACCTTGAAAATACCTTTTTTTGCTCAATGGTAAACTCTCTGGATATAACTTAAACACAGTTTTTTTTGTTGTTGTTGTTGTTGATTCTCTGTGGATGTGGAACATAATTATTTACTGCCTTTAGAAAAGAAATCTTCAGTGACTGAAGAGCTGTGTACAAATCACTGTTTCTCTTCTGTAGGTGAAACACCTCCAGTTCCTTTAAACTTTTCTTGCAAAAACTCTTTCCCATTATTTAATCACATTGATTGCTCTTCTTCTTCCAAAAGAGGATGTGGTAGGCAGCGGATTAATTCATGCTGGAGCTTGAGGAGTCTCTATCGATATGTGGGTTGTGGATTGGACATCCAGCAATCTGACTCTGTGGACAGCGCACATTCTTGGAACACACAGAATGTGCAGAAAGCAAGACAAAGGAGAGACGGAGCAGAATATTACCCGTTTGAGATGTCTTGTAAAAGGCTCTATTTAAAATACTTTAAAAGACATTCTGTAGGCTTAACTACAGTGTTTTTAAAAATAGATCAAATGGTTTAAATATGATACTGTTCCTCCACTTTGCAAAAACTTAGACTTTCCTCTGGAGTATAAAATGTTTCCAACACCAAGCATGGTATCATAAAAATGCAGTTTATAAAAAGCATGCTGACACTGTAGAAATTAATAGTTTTCTTGGAAGTGGAATCTTTTCAATTCTCACAGTGGTAAACTGAAGTGAAAATGGACTTTTTTTTTCCTTCTATCTTGTAAAGTTAATTAACTTTCTTGTCTTAGTTTTCCCATATGAAACATTTTGGATGGCACACATGCACACAGTGAGTGCTCACCACCAGGCACCCTCCTAGCTTGTCATTCAAATGCTCAGCCTTATGTCCTGGAACTCCTTGGGTCACAACTGTTAATGGTTATGTTGGACAAGAAAGGGGCCAAATACTCAACCTTTAGAATAGTTACTTAGATGAGTTTATCCTACTTTCCCATTTTCTTAAATGTCATAAGAAACCATGACCGTTATTTTCTCCCATCATTGAATTCATTTCCCATTTCTTGCTGCTCATTCCAGTGGTTAAAAATCCTGAAAGGAGAGAAGAAATTGCTTGTGGATGTTTTTTAAAAGACTTGAGCAACATGTCTATGCAAAAGAGACTTGATTACAAATTGATGAGATGCTTCAAGTTTAGGCATGAATTTCTTTATATGTTTTAGTCTTATAGAAAATAACTTCTGTGTAGTCAGGCAGACCTTTTAGAAGAGTCTGAGAAAACAAAACAAAACTATCAAAAAGTTGATGTGAAAGCCAGAACCATCTTTGACATTGAAAATTTTATATTGGGGCATTCCAAACCAGTTGTTAGTATTTGTACATTTCTAGACTGGTGGAGGTGCTCTGAAGGAGAAGGTTGGAATAGCCCGTGGTGGAGAAGAACACAGAATCTCATATCTAGAAAAGATTTTGGGAACCATCTAGTTCAGTGGTGTCGATATAAATCTGACTATAAAATGTATTGGCAGTTGTTCACTAGCCTTCTAATTTATTTGAAGAGTGGTCTTATGCCCTTAAAGTCTTCTCATTTTCAGGCTTAATCATCCCAATTCCTATAACATTAAGCCATTTAGATTCATTCCCATCTAGATTTTCCTGCACTGGAAACACTTTAGTTTGCTGAAGTTCCTCTTAAACTGTGACCTCCTAAAAAATTGCACTCTTTCCTGTGTGTTTATATATCTACATACAGATATTTTATACCTAAGAAAAACACTTTTATTTTTCATTAAAACTCAGTATGTTATTAGAACCAGCCATCTCTATCATTTAAAAGATTATCCTGTCCTTTTATTTTAATATCTCACACTTTATCTCATACTTTATAAGCATCTGAGCTGCCTGTAATCCCTCATCCAAGTCATTGATAACCATGTTGAGTAGAATAGAGCCTGATATAAATAAAATATCAAATATTCTTCATTGTGGAAATAAATGTGGAAAGGGAGAGAATAAAATCAGGAGAGGAAGAAAGAAGGAGCAAGATTACCATGGAAAAGTGAAGGACAGGGGGACAGTGTACGATGACCAGGAACCCTACCTGCTGGGTGAGGTCAGCTCTGGTAACCCCTGTGGGAAACCGACTCGCCCATCTGAGCAAACACTGTCCTTTCTTTGTGGGGTTAGGGAACCTAATTACCACAATGAAAATCTACTGAAATTTATGGCCTTGAAAATTTGAAGAGAATCTGAACTTTTCATGATTGAGTCCGTTGACAATTGGCAAATGTAGCTTCCTGTTTTTATGAGGAGAGTGGATTAAAAATCTTTCTGAAAAGGCTGAAAACTCTTTGTGGACATTAAATTCCTCCTGGAAAAGAGTAGTTTGATGATTACAGAGAAAATGAATCAGTATTACATGGGCTACATTTCTGCTGAAATACACATGGTTTAAACATGAATGGAAAAGTGGTTACAACTTGTAAGTTTCATAGTTTTCTTTCTTTCTGAGTCTCCAAGCCCCTCCACTTCTATCTGGGACGGATGAAGGGGAGAGTTTGAGAGCTTCACAAAACTTCAAATATACCCTGGCTTTCTTCTTTCTTGTCTTCTCACCACCAATGAGGCTTTATGGATGAATTTTTAATTATATAAATAAATGTAGCTATGGAAAATTAACAAGCATGTCCAGCTTCACCAGGTGGGTCTGATATCTAAAGAGCATAGCCTGAAGTCTTCTTGATTTCTTTCTTGTTTCTCTATTTGTCCAGCTTTCAGATTTTCCTGAACTTTAAGATTTATGTCTCCACATACTTTCAAGTATTACTAAATCAATATTTATCTTTTCTTCTATAACTTACAACTCCAGAAAATTACTTTCTTAGTTGATAATAATACAGGAACAATTCAATAAATTTGATGATCTCTCTTGTACCTGAGGAAGGAGAAGAGTGGACGATAGAAGTGATCGCCAGGCTCTTGAACCCTGAATCTCCTCCTAATCTTTAGAGGTGGGTTACAGCACTCTCCTGTAGATGTGACTATGTGCCAGCCCAACCCCAGTTCTGCCTTCTGAGGGGACCTCAGTAATTCATCATTAGGAACATCTTGTGACTAGTACCTCTCAAATTTCAGCAACGCTCTTCCAAGTTATTGGGTTCTTACATTGTTTCTAAACCTTGCTGTGGCTGAATCTCTGCCCCGTAATTATTTCTCCAGAAAACAAATTCTCTATCCTCTTCCCCATTTTCTTAATGGCAAGATTTCTGCATTGTGTCCTTATTCTAGTGACCAGACATTTATCTGGTAGCCCATTCCCTAGGGTTGGCTGTATTGTTTCTGAACCCAGAAATTTTATCTTATCAGGATGCTAAAATAAAATACCATAAACTGGGTGGCTTATAAACAACAGATGTTTCTTTCCCACAGTTCTGGGGGCCGGGAAGTCCAAGATCAAAGTGCTGGCAGATTCAGTGTCTGGTGAGGGGCTGCTTCTTGGTTCATAGATAGCAGTTTTCTTGGTGTGTTCTCACATGGTGGAAGGGACAAGGGATCTCTCTGGGCTCCACCCTCATGACCTAATCACCTCCCAAAGGCTCTAGGTCCTAATACCATCACCTTTGGGATTAGGATTTCAACATACGAATTTCGAGGGGACATAAAAATTCAGGCCATTGCAATCCCCATCCCTATAATTGGGTCTCCCAGATGTCCACAATGTGGGATACATTCATCCAACTGTTGCCTGCCACTTGTAACCTCACATCTCATTTCCCCAAATTTCCTGTGCCACTCATTTTTTGCACTCACTTATTTTCTTATTAATTAGCTATTCAATATATGTAGACTGTCTATTACGTTACACAAACTGTACTGGGTGCTGTTTAAACAAAACAGCATTCAGCCAGGTAAAATATTGGAGGAGGACAGGCCTTGTACACAAAGGGAATAGCACTTATCATGGATTATGGATATAACACTATGAAAAAGGCAGACAGAGTCCTTGCCTCATAGAATTACACTATAGTTGCCAGATGATAAGTTTTACCTGGAGAGCTTGTTAAAAACACAGATTCTTGAATCCCTTCCCTGTTGATTCTGAATTGTAGGTCTATAGTAGAACCTGGGAATTTGCATTTTAAAAAGCATTTCAGTTCTCTTTGAAGAGGTCCTTCACATCCTCTCTAAGTTGGATTCCTAGGTATTTTATTCTCTTTGAAGCAATTGTGAATGGGAATTCACCCATGATTTGGCTCTCTGTTTGTCTGTTATTGGTGTATAAGAAGCTTGTGATTTTTGCACACTGATTTTGTATCCTGAGACTTTGCTGAAGTTGCTTATCAGCTTAAGGAGACTTGGGGCTGAGACGATGGGGTTTTCTAAATATACAATCATGTCATCTGCAAACAGGGACAATTTGACTTCCTCTTTTTCTAATTGAATACTTTTTATTTCTTTCTCCTGCCTGATTGTCCTGGCCAGAACTTCCAACACTATGTTGAATAGGAGTGGTGAGAGAGGGCATCCCTGTCTTGTGCCAGTTTTCAAAGGGAATGCTTCCAGTTTTTGCCCATTCAGTATGATATTGGCTGTGGGTTTGTCATAAATAGCTCTTATTATTTTGAGATACGTCCCATCAGTACCTAATTTATTGAGAGTTTTTAGCATGAAAGGCTGTTGAATTTTGTCAAAGGCCTTTTCTGCATCTATTGAGATAATCATGTGGTTTTTGTCTTTGGTTCTGTTTATATGCTGGATTACATTTATTGATTTGCGTATGTTGAACCAGCCTTGCATCCCAGGGATGAAGCCAACTTAACCATGATGGATAAGCTTTTTGATGTGCTGCTGGATTCGGTTTGCCAGTATTTTATTGAGGATTTTTGCATAAAAAAATTTTATTAAAAATCAAAAAAAAAAAGCATTTCAGGTTATTCTTATCATCAGCCAGCTTGGAAAACTCTGTAGAGTAGAAAATGCTAAGGCTCAAAGGTAAGAAGTGTTTGGAAACTGAGCAGTTCCATCTGGCTGGATTGTGAGGTGTGGAATGGGAGTCAGTGAGAGATGAGGTAAGTAGGAGCCAGTTTACGAGAGACCTTGGAGGCCAGCCAAGGAGCCCTGGCATTATCTAAAGGCTGTGAAGGCCATGGAAGCATTTTAAGGATGTTAAGACTATGACTATTTTTAAAAGTCTTAGACTTTTGGATGGCTATAAGAGTGATTGGGAGTGGTGCTGGAATTAGAAGATAGAGAAAGAAAGAAGATATCTATGGCGTTGAGCTTCCTACAAAGGTTTGGGATGCAGATATGTATTAGAAGTCATCCTGACACACATGGTAATTGGACACCTTGGTCAAATTGGATCTTTTCCATTTCTTTTTTCCAACCCATATATCGATCTCCCCTTTTCTCAGCTACCCATGTGTGACTGTATCTACAGCCAACAACCTGTGACCTTGATCCTGTGTCCACATCCCCAGGACCTGTGTGCTGGGTCTGCCTAGACTTCTGCTCTCAGCTTTTCCTTTCATAACTAGTCTGACTAATACCTCCATTCTCATTGGGTATTTCTGCGAGGGGTGCAGAGGCTGCTCTTCTATCTTCTTATGCCATATGCTGGATTAGTACTTGATTGTGGGGAAGAAGTTTTCTACAGCTCTAAACCTCTATAGTTTCTCACAGAAAAATTGAATTAGGCCCAATTCATGATGGGAAGCCTCTCCTACATCTGGCTGATTAGCAGCTGTCAGACAATGGATTAGGATGCCCTTTAGGGTTTTGGATTTAGGATAACAGCAGGTAATTTAGGAAAGCTGACTCACCTGTTTCACCTCTCTCTTCGAACCTTTATCTTTGAAACCAGACTTTTGCTTTGGAAACATTGTTTCTGTTTATCTAGTATTGGTTTTTATGGTACTAATAATAGAGTAACCAGGGTATTGAAAGAGCGGTTCTCCATTGGGTGCAAGCAGCAAACTACATTATTTTTTTTCTCACTGTCCCTTTAGACAAAATCTGTGGATTAGTTTTTCCTTGCTTTTTGGCTGAAATTTTGGGCAGGGTCCTAACTTTGCAGACACTTTTTGATAATTAAAAAGTCCACTAGTCACTTTTAGCCCCAAGATACATAATTAACATTTGCTGTCCAGTTTAAATATCAGCATGGCAATACTAAAACATAATATTATTTTAGCCTGGAAAGCCATCAGGGGAGGAGAGATTTATGGTAGATTTCTCCTTCCAGATGAAGTTGTCTCCTTTCAGGGGACAAATAAATTCTCTGTGTGGTCTTCTTAGAGCCTCTTGCTGTAGATTGAGATGCAGGAGAAATTCTGTCTCCCCACCCCCAATTAAAAACACTTTCTAGAGAAAACTCTTCTGTCCCTTTAACTTCAAATGTTTTATACCCTAGAGTTGGGTGATGGGCTAAGGCTGACCTGCCAGTTTCAAAACCACATAGACAGCTTAGCCTCTCTCTGTGTAACGTGAAGGTCCTTGGCATCTGGTGTTTTGTTCTTGGTCTTTATGTCTTGGAAAAAACTGAATGAGAAAGAGTCACAAATAAGATTCCATTAACAAATTAATTTTGGCCAGTGCTATATATTTTACAAAGTGTTTTCACATGTATTGATTTCATTTGTTTTGTAGTAATTCCATGAAGTACACAGGACAAAAAAATGAGACTCAGATAGGTTAACCGGCTTGTAGTGTATGAGGCTAGGGAGATATTAATGGTGGAAGCTGGACTGAAACCTAAGTCTCATAGCTTTAGTCTGGTTTAGGAGTTATCCTAGTGGAGTGGAAATATAGTAAGTTTTAAAATGGGCCCAAATCCAGCTTTACTCATTATTATCTTGTAACTTTTATACAAATTTCTTAAACTTTCTGATCCTTAATTTCCTAATGTAAAATGGAGATAATACCATCCTTATCCAGGATTTTGATGCAGATGAAATGATATAAATGCAATGCTGCGGATCTTGTTAAAACGCAAGTCTGGATGGCACCTGAGATTCTGAGTTTCTAAAGGCTCCCAGGTGATGCTGATGCTGCTGGTCAACCATGAATGGCAAGAGCATCATTCATTTCCAGCACTTGGTACATAGGAGATGTGTAGGGAAAAGAAAGAGAGATCAGACGGTTGTGTCTATGTAGAAAAGGAAGACATAAGAAACTCTATTTTGACCTGTACCCTGAACAATTGCTTTGCCCTGAGATGCTGTTAATCTGTAACTTTGCGCCCACCTTGAGCTTATAAAAACATGTGTTGTATGGAATCAAGGTTTAAGGGATCTAGGGCTGTGCAGGATGTGCCTTGTTAACAAAATGTTTACAGGCAGTATGCTTGGTAAAAGTCATCGCCATTCTCCGTTCTCGATAAACCAGGGGCACAATGCACTGCGGAAAGCCGCAGGGACCTCTGCCCTGGAAAGCCGGGTATTTGTCCAAGGTTTCTCCCCATGTGATAGCCTGAGATATGGCCTCATGGGATGGGAAAGACATGACCGTCCTCCAGCCTGACACCCGTGAAGGGTCTGTGCTGAGGAGGATTAGTAAAAGAGGAAGGCCTCTTGCAGTTGAGGTAAGAGGAAGGCCTCTGTCTCCTGCCTGCCCCTGGGAACTGAATGTCTCCGTATACAACCCGATTGTACATTTGTTCTATTTTGAGATAGGAGAAAAACCGCCCTGTGGCAGGAGGCAAGACATGTTGGCAGCAATGCTGCTCTGTTACTCTTTACTCCCCTGAGAAGTTTGGGTGGACAGAAGCATAAATCTGGCCTATGTGCACATCCAGGCATAGTACCTTCCCTTGAACTTATTTGTGACACAGATTCCTTTGCTCACATGTTTTCTTGCTGACTTTCTCTCTACTATCACCCTGCTCTCCTACTGCATTCCTCTTGCTGAGATAGTGAAAATGGTAATCAATAATGAGGGAACTCAGAGACCTGTGCCAGTGTAGGTCCTCCGTATGCTGAGCGTCGGTCCCCTGGGCCCAGTGTTCTTTCTCTACATTTTGTCTCTGTATCTTGTTTCTTTTCTCAGTCTCTCATCCCACCTGATGAGATATACCCACAGGTGTGGAGCGGCTGGCCCCCTTCAGAGACGCTCAATAAATGTGTGTTTCCTTCTCCTTCCTGAATAGTCCATCTGCTCTGCTCTCCATCTGACTTTAGGATCCACTAACTTGTTATTTGGAACGTACTCATAGGTAACACAGAATTCACATTTAAAGGACATACATACACAAACTCCTCATCTGGTCCTCTTTGAGTCAGTTGGAGGGCAGAACGTAGCAGTATCATAATTCGGGCTCTCCATAATATGGCACCAGCAGCACGAACATAAGAAAAGCTACCTAGATCATAGGGGATGCTGGATTCCAGGTTCTCAAACAACAACTTTATCTTCACTGAGCTAAGAAATAAGTGGAGGGCTTGCCAGAAAGAATTTAAAAGATTGCTTTTAGAGTTATTTTAAAGAAATGAGATGATTGTTACAAATACAGAGATAGCTTATGACACCGTACAGGATGGCCAAAAGCCATACACCAGTTATACTTTTGATAATAATTTTTCAATTATGATTTACTGAGGAGGGAAAGACAAAAATATTTTCAAACCCAAAGCCTAAGCTCTGCTCCTGAGCACATCTGTTTGAATTCTGACATGGCAGCATATTGGCATGTGTTTAAGCTTATTAATCCTTAAGAAGGTGTAAAGGGATCATGGAAAAATCTTTTTTTGCCTGTAAAGAGCTGCAAATTTTGCCTTTAATATTCAGTTCCTTTTGTGTCATAATCGAGTGGCATCTTCAGTTGTCAGCAGCTTAAAAGATAAACTTAATTTGAAGAGGGAGGGGAATTTCTTTAATATATTTATTATATAAATGTATATAATTTTTAAGTTGCCTTTTTAATGCTTATTTGGGATACTTGATCTTTCCTCTTGAGTAAAAGCCCCTTGGCTATTAACAAACTGGGCATATTAGCGACTGAACTAGGCTGAGATGAAGTAGAATGAATCCCTTCCCTAGGTGGACACAATCAGAAGACTCCATCCCTTTTCCCCAGGTGGCTGTGGTCTGTGTGGCTTACAGTGTGTAGGAGGGAACATTGACGTATTGAGCACATGCAGTGGAAAAAAAAAAAAAAAACCAACAGGGATAAAATAGTTTGTGGTATAGGAAAGCACATTTTGTTTATTAATAGAAAAGACTAGAATATGCAGTAATTTTCTTGCAAAAGTAACAGAAATTTATAGAAGTTAGAAGAGTGCAACAGAACAATTTGTTGTCCCTGGAAATTTTTTCATTACCAATAAATGCAGACCATAATAACATGTTTGCTATATTTTTCCATTGCAAAAGTAATACTTATAAAACAATATTTGGAAATATAGAAAGTTAGTGAAAATGTATCCATATTTTTGGCATTCAAAGGCAACTAAGTTTAACATTTTGTAATGTTTCTTTTCTGCCTTTTCTTTGAAAAAAAAAAATTGGTTTCTGAAAATATTTTTGACCAGAATGTGTGGGTTGATGGCCTCAGACCCACCAAAAAATGAGGTCATTGACCCCACTATAATAAGACAGGGCTATCTGCCTGTAGTTTCCAAGGAAGATAAAGTCTCAGCAAATAAATTCTCAATGTCTTACACTCCTTGTCAAACATTGTAACCCTTTTATTCTATTTTATTTTATTATTATTATTTTTTTAGATAGAAACTCGCTCTGTAGACCAGGCTGGAGTACAGTAGTGCTATCATAGTTCACTGCAGTGTCAAATTCCTGGGCTCTAGCCGTCCTCCAGCCCCAGCCTTCCGAGTAGCTGGGTGCAGATGCATGCCACTGCACGTGGCTAACTTTAAAAAATTGTTTAGAGTTAAAGTCTCTCTATGTTGCCCAGGCTCAGTGTGACCCTTTTATAGGTTCTTCCTGTTTTATGGACACACTCTGAGCTCTATCTAGGATGTGTTATTGGTCCCTCTTTTGAAATAGCCTTCTTGATGTTTATTTACCCTTTCTTGAGACTACCGAGTCAGCTCTGCCCCAGCCCCTGCTGAGTATCATGAAATTTCCCCTGTATCCCTGACTCGGAGGAGGAACCTCTTCCCCTCCTGACCACACACACAAAATTTTTGCAAGGGTCTTAATTAGAACTCTTGAGTGAAAGCAAACCCATAATTTTCATGAGTTAAAATACTGGTAATCCCCAACCTCTGGCTGGTGAGCACCCTCCTTCCTTCCTGAAATATGGACTTTATAAACAATAAGGTCACATTTGAAAAATGTGAACTCTTCTAAGTTCATGGTTTTGTTTTTCACAGAAGAAGTAACATGGTATATGGAAGAGTCAGCTTCATCATCTTCTTTTAATTAATTTTTAGCTATGCTCTGAAACCAGTTTTACAGAATTTAATTGGCCCTGTGTATTACTAAGTATTTGTATTTGTTGAATGCTTTGGACATTATTTTTCATCAACTTTATTGAGGCAAAATTTATATACAAAACATCTTCTAGCTGGATGAGTTTCAGCAATTGTATGCTCCTGTGTAAGCAACATTCCCACAACTAAGATACATAATATTTCCATTACCCCAAATTTCCCTCAGGTCTCTTTGAAGTCAGTCCCCACCTATATCCCACCTTAACTCTAGGCAATGACTGATCTTC
Source organism: Homo sapiens (assembly GCF_000001405.40). Classification (NCBI taxonomy): domain Eukaryota; kingdom Metazoa; phylum Chordata; class Mammalia; order Primates; family Hominidae; genus Homo; species Homo sapiens. The sequence continues at coordinate 219,616,006 of NC_000001.11, read as the reverse complement.
TCCCTGTCAACATAGTTTTGCCTCTGCTAGAATTTTGTATAAATACAATTATCCAGTATGGACTCTTTTATATATGGTTTCTTGAATTTGTTGTAATAATTTTGAGATTCTTCCATGTTTTTGTGTCTTGCAGTGTGTTGTTATGATGTTACTTTTTATTGCTGAGTAATGTTCCATTGTAGGGTTATATTACAATTTCTTTACTTATCTGTTTTTGGACACTTGGATTGTTTCCATTCTGGCCATTGTGATTAGAGCTGCTATGATTACTTGTGGACATGTCCTTGTGTGGACATGTTTTCTATTTGGTAAATACATTGAAGTGGAATTTGCCATCGTACATCCTCTTTGGTGTCTTTTTGTCTTATGCCATTTTCTAATTAGATTTTAAAAATATTTTAGCTGTTAAGTTTTGAGAGTTTAATAATATATTCAAAATACTACTCAGATATGTGGTCTACAAATATTTTCTACCAGCTTGCGACTTTCATCTTTTTAACAGTCTTTGATAGACCAAAAGTTTTTAATTTGATCAAGTCAAATTTATTAACTTTTTCTTTTATAGATTGCACTTTCAGTGTCAAACCTAACAACTCTGCCTAGCCCTGGATCCTGAAGATTTTCTCCTATTTAAAAACAAGGCTTTATAGTTTGACATTTTACTTTGAGTCCATGGTCCATTTTGAGTTAATTTTTGTATGATATGTAAAACTTAGGTTGAGGTTTTTGGCTACTGATATCCAATTACTCCGGTACCATTTGTTGAAAAGATTATTCTTCTTTTATTAAATCGCTTTTGTACTTTTGTCAAAAATCAGTTGGGTATATTCGCATGGGTTTATTACTGGGTTCTCTATTCTGTTCCATTGATTCGTGTGTCTATCTCTTTGCCCGTGTGACACTGTCTTGATTACTGTAGCTACACAGTAAATTTTGAAATTGGGTGGACTTATTTTTCCCAATTTATTCTTCTCTTTCAAAATTGTTTTAGCTACTCTATTTCCTTTGCCTTTTCCTATAAACTTTTGTTTACATCTGTAACAAATATTGCAATATAGGAATTGCATTAAACCTAAACATCAATTTGGAAAAAATTGACATCTTTGTTGTATTGAGTTTTTCAATCTATGAAGATGGTGAAGTTTCTTCATTTATTTAGATCTTGTTTGGTCTTTCATCAGCATTTGAAGTTTTCAACAAATAAGTCTTGTAATTTTTTTTTTTTTTTAGCTCTACACCTAAGTTTTTAATTTTTGGGGACATTATAAATAATACTGTTCTTATAAATGTGGTGTTTCCATGTTCATTGCTAATATATGGAAATACAATTAATTTGTATAAGTTTATCATGTATATTGCACCCTTGATAAACTCACTTTTTAATTCTAGGAGTTTCTTATAGAGTCCTTAGAATTTTCGATGTATACAATAATGTAATCTTTAAATAGAGACAGTTTTATTTCTTTTTTAAAAATTACCTGTATCCTTGTTTCCTTTTCTTGCCTTATTGTAGTGGCAAATACTTCCAGCGTTATGTTGAGTAAGAGTGAATATTCCCTTTGTTTCCAGTCTTTTGGAAAATGCATTGTCTTTTATTATTAAGTATGATGTTAACTCTAGGTTTTGTGTGGATGCTTTTAATCATATTGAAGAAGTTTCTTCTGTTCCTACTTTTCTGATTTTTTTATTTACCACCAATGAGTAGTCAATGCTTTTTCTGAACTGATCAAGATGATCATATAATTTTTCTTCTTTAGCCTGTTGATATGGTAGATTACACTAACTTTTCTAATATTAAACCATCTCTGGATCCCACTTAGTAATGATACAGAATTCTTTGCTTATATTTCAGAAGTTTTTGCTAATATTTTGTTTAGGATTTTTGTATCTGTATTCATGGAAGACATCATTCTATAATTTTCTCATGCTGTCCTTCTCTGGTTTGATACCAGGATAATGTTAACCTCATAAATGAATTAAGAAGCATTCCCTTTTCTTCTACTTTCTGAAAAAACTTGTGGAGAATAGGCATCAAGATGTTTGATAGAATTCTCCAGCAAAATACTCAGGGATTAGAGATTTCTTTATCAAAAATTTTAAAGTTAAAAATTTAATTTTCTTTAGAATTATATGGTGATTCAAATTATCTGTATTATGTTAGGTGTTTTGTGATAGTTTGTGTTTTCTGAGGAATTAGTCCATTTCATCTAAGTTATCAGATTTATGTGTGTAGCGTGTATTACGTCTGTAGTGATACCCCTTTTCTCTTTCCTGATATTGGTAGTTTGTATCTTGCCTCTTTGTTTTCTTTTCTTGACAAATCTTTGTAAATTCAATTTTTTTTGGTCTTGACAAAGCTTTGTCAATTTATTAATTTTTTTACCAGCTTTTTGATTCTGTGTGTGTATATTCCATTTTTATCCTCATTGTGTTTTTATCGTCCTTAAAATCCTTGTGTGCAGCTATAACTACTTTAAGGTTCTTGTCTGCTAATTCTATTATTTCTGTCTTTCTGCATCTGTTTGTATTGACTTATTTTTCTCTTGTTATGGCTTATACTTTCCTGATCCTTTGCATTTTAAATAATTTTTGTTAGGATGTTAGACATTGTAAATATTTTATTGAAAGTCTAGATTTTGGGCTGGGCGTGGTAACTCATGCCTGTAATCCCAGCACTTTGGGAGGCCGAGGCGGGCAGATCACGAGGTCAGGAGATCGAGACCATCCTGGCTAACACGGTGAAACCCCGTCTCTACCAAAGATATAAGAAATTAGATCTTAGGCATCGCGTCATAGAGGAACTACATCTTCCAGAACCCTCGCGCCCTGCGTCGTGCTGGCACTTTTACCGGCCGGGCCTTAGAGCGCAGCCTGTAGCCGGGCGCCATCTTTGACGCTGGCAGTCTTGGTTTTCTGCTAGTGCTGCTGCTGCTGGGAGGACGACGGACGGCAGCGGCCAAGCAAGAAGAAAGACGTGGCAGCAAGCGGGAGTCGGGGATAGTGTCATCGGTTCGGGTCCCACTACTTTGGAGCTTGTCTCAAACTCCACATACAGAAAGCCACCAACCTTATTCCGGTATCCTACACCCATTCCCCACCCTCATTACACTCCCACCCCTGGCCCTCAGCATGGGAGTCAAGAGCAACAGGGACACTTCCGTACTCCTTGTAGGATTGGTGAAACCGTAATGAAGAACACCCCTAAACTCCCATAATTGGTGCGGATTCCTGTGGGGAAGGCCTATACTGTTGACATCTTCCAGGCCATCTCAAGGTTCTGGACCTTGAGAAGGAGGCTGTGGAACTAGAGATAGTGATGCTTTTTAGGATTTGGGGATATTCCCTGCCCAAAAAATTCCTGGAAAATTGACTAGTATTAAGTGTGAAGAAATCTTGAAGACCAGAAATTGGATCTTACTGAAAAATGTTTTTTTGTTTTTCAGATTATATTGTTCAGCTATGGAAGATGGATTTTTTTTCATGATCCTTTGACTCTCAAGTTCATCTTTAAATGAACTCTTTTTTTTGTTTTGTTTTTGAGGAGATAACTAACCCTTGCTGTCTCCAGTCTGACAAAGGTTATTTGAATGGACTTAATCTCCCAGTAGTTGGGAGATGTTTTAAAAACACATGCTGTGTTTGAATTGTGGCTGAGAGGTTTTCTTGGCAATGTGAGGAGGAAAATTTTTTCTGCCTCATTATTATTAATTCATGGATTGAGTGTTGGTTCGACCTACAGGCATAATAGATTGGAACTCAGTGAAGACACAGACGTTCCTGTTGAGAGCAACCAGCTAATGATTACAGTTTAAAGACAATTTCTGTGATCAAGTTGTCATTTGGAAGATTAAACCCATTTCACGAGGACTTGGAGCCTGGTCCTTGCTTTGAGGAAGCAGTGGCTTGTTTCAAGAAGCCACTTCTGATCTAAGAATCTACCCAGCATGCCTAATCAAGGAGAAGACTGCTATTTTTTTTTCTATTCTACATGTACCAAAGGTGACAGCTGCCCATTCCGTCACTGTGAAGCTGCACTAGGCAATGAAACTGTTTGCACATTATGGCAAGAAGGGCGCTGTTTTCGACGGGTGTGCAGGTTTCGGCACATGGAGATTGATAAAAAACGCAGTGAAATTCCTTGTTATTGGGAAAATCAGCCAACAGGATGTCAAAAATTAAACTGCGTTTTCCATCACAATAGAGGACGATATGTTGATGGCCTTTTCCTACCTCCGAGCAAAAGTGTGTTGCCCACTGTGCCTGAGTCACCAGAAGAGGAAGTGAAGGCTAGCCAACTTTCAGTTCAGCAGAACAAATTGTCTGTCCAGTCCAATACTTCCCCTCAGCTGCGGAGCGTTATGAAAGTAGAAAGTTCCGAAAATGTTCCTAGCCCCAAGCATCCACCAGTTGTAATTAATGCTGCAGATGATGATGAAGATGATGATGATCAGTTTTCTGAGGAAGGTGATGAAACCAAAACACCTACCCTGCAACCAACTCCTGAAGTTCACAATGGATTACGAGTGACTTCTGTCCGGAAACCTGCAGTCAATATAAAGCAAGGTGAATGTTTGCATTTTGGAATAAAAACTCTTGAGGAAATTAAGTCAAAGAAAATGAAGGAAAAATCTGAGGAGCAAGGTGAGGGTTCTTCAGGAGTTTCCAGTCTTTTACTCCACCCTGAGCCTGTTCCAGGTCCTGAAAAAGAAAATGTCAGGACTGTGGTGAGGACAGTAACTCTCTCCACCAAACAAGGAGAAGAACCCTTGGTTAGATTGGGCCTTACTGAGACACTGGGGAAACGAAAATTTTCGACAGGCGGTGACAGTGATCCTCCATTAAAGCGTAGCCTGGCACAGAGGCTAGGGAAGAAAGTTGAAGCTCCAGAAACTAACACTGACGAAACACCAAAGAAAGCTCAAGTTTCCAAGTCTCTTAAGGAGCGATTAGGCATGTCAGCTGATCCAAATAATGAGGACGCAACAGATAAAGTTAATAAAGTTGGTGAGATCCATGTGAAGACATTAGAAGAAATGCTTCTTGAAAGAGCCAGTCAGAAACATGGGGAATCGCAAACTAAACTCAAGACAGAAGGACCTTCAAAAACTGATGATTCTACTTCAGGAGCAAGAAGCTCCTCCACTATCCGTATCAAAACCTTCTCTGAGGTCCTGGCTGAAGAAGAACATAGGCAGCAGGAAGCAGAGAGACAAAAAAGCAAAAAGGATACAACTTGCATCAAGCTAAAGACTGATAGTGAAATTAAAAAAACAGTAGTTTTGCCACCCATTGTTGCCAGCAAAGGACAATCAGAGGAGCCTGCAGGTAAAACAAAGTCCATGCAGGAGGTGCACATGAAGACGGTGGAAGAAATTAAACTGGAGAAGGCACTGAGGGTGCAGCAGAGCTCTGAGAGCAGCACCAGCTCCCCGTCTCAACATGAGGCCACTCCAGGGGCAAGGTTGCTGCTGCGAATCACCAAAAGAACATGGAGGAAAGAAGAGAAGAAACTTCAGGAAGGAAATGAAGTTGATTTTCTGAGCCGTGTTAGAATGGAAGCTACAGAGGCTTCAGTTGAGACCACAGGAGTTGACATCACTAAAATTCAAGTCAAGAGATGTGAGATCATGAGAGAGACGCGCATGCAGAAACAGCAGGAGAGGGAAAAATCAGTCTTGACACCTCTTCAGGGAGATGTAGCCTCTTGCAATACCCAAGTGGCAGAGAAACCAGTGCTCACTGCTGTGCCAGGAATCACATGGCACCTGACCAAGCAGCTTCCCACAAAGTCATCCCAGAAGGTGGAGGTAGAAACCTCAGGGATTGCAGACTCATTATTGAATGTGAAATGGTCAGCACAGACCTTGGAAAAAAGGGGTGAAGCTAAACCCACAGTGAACGTGAAGCAATCTGTGGTTAAAGTTGTGTCATCCCCCAAATTGGCCCCAAAACGTAAGGCAGTGGAGATGCACCCTGCTGTCACTGCCGCTGTGAAGCCACTCAGCTCCAGCAGCGTCCTACAGGAACCCCCAGCCAAAAAGGCAGCTGTGGATGCTGTTGTCCTGCTTGACTCTGAGGACAAATCAGTCACTGTGCCTGAAGCAGAAAATCCTAGAGACAGTCTTGTGCTGCCTCCAACCCAGTCCTCTTCAGATTCCTCACCCCCGGAGGTGTCTGGCCCTTCCTCATCCCAAATGAGCATGAAAACTCGCCGACTCAGCTCTGCCTCAACAGGAAAGCCCCCACTCTCTGTGGAGGATGATTTTGAGAAACTAACATGGGAGATTTCAGGAGGCAAATTGGAAGCTGAGATTGACCTGGATCCTGGGAAAGATGAAGATGACCTTCCGCTTGAGCTATGAGAAATGATTGATAGCTGAAGGTGGTAGTGAGGACACTTTAAAAAAAAATCGCCAAAAAACTGGACTTAGTTTCATCTATTGTAACATTTACCTGAGATGATCATTTCTTTAGTCTAGAATTTGCCCCAAATCAGAAGTATACCTCTGAATTATCTGTATGTGTCCTGGATTCCTTGGGGTCAGATTTTTAAAGTTACTTTATAACCATTTTGTCCATTTGATGCCATTGTTTATCATCTTTTGAGAAAAAAGTTCTGTCATACCCTTCTCTCCACAAAAAAGAGACTGAGGGGGAGATCAAGTGAAAGGGTGCAAGCAAACTTAGTGACTCCTTGAGGTGTTTGTCAGTTTTGGCTTTTTTCTCCTTTGTTGTATTCTTTATGTATTGTCTTAATGTACTTAATATTACCTGAGTTTGAAATGGATGAAGACAGCTGCTACCATTAAGGGCCAAATTTTATGCTACCACTAAACAAAAATACCCACTCAGTCTGTGTTAAATTGTATGTCTTTTTAAAGGTATTTAGAGATTCAACTAAGCTTTAAAGAGGGCTGAGCAACTCAGGAAGCCTGTAATGTGGGCATAACTCTTTGGACCTGATCTTGATGCTTCTGCTGCTCTGTTGGCCTCTGAAGAGCAATATCTAATTTATTATTACTGTAATTTTTTAAAAGGCTTTAAAGTGCCTCAGGGGTCCCCTGAAACTAATTTTCTATTTCTGGGATTCCCTGGATTCATTATATGAGATGGTGACATGATTAGAGGAATTCTTTTTTAGTATGAAAATTGTTCCTTTTCTTCTTCAGTACTTGCCTCCTTGCTGGCATTGAATTAACACAGGGACAAAATTTGGTTAATTTTTTATTTCTAATTCTCCCAACAAACCCCTGTTGCCCAGTATTTATGTGGTGGCCTTTAACCACCTGAGGGAAAAAATGAGCTTATTCAAGCTGCCAATATTTATCTATGGGCTGTAGCAGTACACTGAATTGTACTGTGCCAGGGATATTGAGATGCTCTGGGGGTGTATTGTATACCTGCCAGTTTTCTTCATTTCTGAATTGGGTTTTCTCTTCTTGATGTTGGTTTCCTTCATATCACCTCAAGGTTTAGATTTGTGAAGGAATAAGCATGATGGAAATAATAGTCTTGAAAGGAGATATGTTGTATATAATCAGGAGGAAGAGGAAGGCAGGACTTACTCATTTTGATATTTTGCTGTAGGTGGCCAGTTTTGTTTCTCATAGGGAAATCTGACCCACCTGTCATGTTGGCTCCTAAGGAACTGCTGTTGTAAGCGGCTCATCAAGAGTTGAACTTCAAGTAGCCTTGTTGGGAATATGGAAAAGGAAGAAAGCCACAGGACTGCCCATTCAGTCTTGTTAAGATTGGGATGATTCTGCACAAGCAAAAATGACTCGAAATTTATGTATCGACACACCTCTACCAATCCATCTTCAGCTGACTGAATGTTGTATGATAGCCCTTCTCCAAAGCAGGGGTAGAATGTTCAGGTTTCACCACGGATTTTCTACTTATTTCGCTTTTGGAATCAGCTTACAGATTCCAGGTCCCTTTTGTATATATTCTTTATTCTTTTGCTTTTTTAAAAAATAAACTTGTATTAGTCAATGTTTCGTGTTCCGCATTATTTGAACCATTTGCCCTTACAGAAAGAGAAATACTTGTTTGTGTTTTAAATAAAACTGATGTAGGATAAAAAAAAAAAGAAAGAAAGAAATTAGCCAGGCGTGGTGGTGGGTGCCTGTAGTCCCAGCTACTTGGGAGGCTGAGGCAGGAGAATGGTGTGAACCTGGGAGGCGGAGGTTGCAGTGAGCTGAGATCGTGCCACTGCACTCCAGCCTGGGCAGCAGAGCAAGAGTCCGTCTCAAAAAAAAAAAAAAAGAAAGTCTAGATTTTGTAGTCTTCCTCTGGAAAGCCGAATTTTGTTTTGCCAGGGAGTTAAGTTACTTACCATTCAACCTGATCCTTTTTAAGCGTATTTTTAAGTTTGGGAGTATGCGTCTAGAGTAAGTTTTTCTTTAGGGCTAATTTAATTATCCTTTTGAAGCACGCCTCTTCAGGAGGCTCGAGGAAATATTCAGGGTGGTCAGCAATGCCTCCATTCTGGCTGGCTGCAACTCAACCCCCAGCTCACAAATCCCAGTAGCTGTTTTTGCCTGGCCTCACAGAGTTTCATTTCATGCATATGTAGCCTAATATTCAATGAAGGACTCAGGATAGCTGCCTGTATAGATTTCTGGAGTTCTTTCTCTCTGTGCCTCACATTTCAGCTCTTTTAGCTCCTTTAACTCTGATCTCTGTCTATTAAATTCAGTAAGTTGGATCTGCCTTGTCATGGTTCCTCCTCTCTTACTGCAGTCTTGGAAGTGCCTACATCCAGAAAGCCATGTTGGTTCTAGGGCTTACCTCATTTCTTTTCCTGTTGTGAAGACTCACACTTCTGTGCTGTGTCTGTTTTCTAACGTCTGAAAACAGCTGTCTCATGTATTTTGTCCAATTTCCTAGCTGTTTACAGCAGAGAGACAGATTTGGTACCAGTTATTCTATCACATTGAGAAGTGATAGTCCCTAAACTTGCTCTAAACATGTTTAGATTTAATGTGAACAACTAATGTTTCCATTTTCAGTTTCTCTTAGCAGTTTTCAGGAGCTTCAATCCATTAATTCTCAAATACATCCATAAATCACTTGGAATATCTTAATGCATTGTATGAAAGATAATTCCTCCTCTGTACCCATCATCACCACTCTTCCTTTAAATTGTGGGATATGTTTTTCTGAGACTGTGGCTTTAGTGTGTACGAGAAAAATTCAGTTGTTATCCCCTCATTTTGGGGAGTAAAAATAATAAGAATGAGGAGCATTATAGTATCTAATCTTGTCCAACAAAAACCTAGGTAACTTTGGAAGTTTTCTTCTCTCTCCCCCACTCTCCCACTTCTATGTGTGTATAAGTGTGTTTATTGAATAAAGAGCCTTTTATTTTTATTTATTTATTTATTTGAGATGATGTCTCACTGTCATCCAGGCTGGAGTGCAGTGGTGTGATCTCAGCTCACTGCAGCCTCCACCTCCCGGGTTCAAGCGATTCTTCTGCCTCAGCCTCCCTAGCAGTTGGGACAGACTACAGGCACATCCCACCACGCCCAGCTAATTTTTTGTATTTTTATTAGAGACAGGGTTTCACTTGTTGGCCAGGCTGGTCTTGAACTCCTGACCTCAGGTGATCCACCTGCCTTGGCCTCCCAAAGTGCTAGAATTACAGGCGTGAGCCACTGCCTCAGGCTGAATAAAGAGCCTTTTAGATAATGTCTTGCCTGACAAGTTTAAAACAACTTTCTTACCAGATATGCCATAATAAAAATCTCCAAGAAATTTTCCTTAGGCTACATCTCAATGGGCCATTTAATACTATATCAATAAACTTTATTACATAATAAGATCTTGGTGTTTATCAGAAAGGGATTTGAGCCAGGGTGTTTTAAGTTGGTTAGTATCTTGAGTGAGAAAGATCTCTGTTTTCATTAGCCTTCTCAGAAAAAACTCCCCCTATTTATCAGGAATGCAAATGTTTCAGATTGAAGTGGGTACCCAGACATAGCTCAACATTGCACAAACAGGTGCCAAGGGGAATCTGTTTCTTTTTCTATCTAACTCCAACTCCTTTGAATTTTTTTGACAGGTACTTAGAAAAACTGGGATTGACAAAGTGATACAGTTTGAGTTATATGTTGCCATAGAAAGAGGCAAGTTGGCAAATATTTTGGTAAATCATTTCAAGATAGCTTTGAGGAGGTCCTCAAAGCTTAGTATTATACATAGAGCAAGAGGATTATATGAAGTATGAAGAGAAAATTTCTTCTGATTTTCTAAGGAAGATATTGTTTAAGATCCAAGACTAGAAAACCAGTTGAATAATGTAATAGTAGTGCTTGGGCGAATCAAACCTTTTGGTGTGTTAAGTTTAAATTCTCAGGAGGATTGGGAAATCCATGGAACCAGATGGCTCCTAATTGTTTACAAGGAGAAAAAAGTCATGCAGAGGTTGAGAATTGCATGGTATTAAAACCTATAGGGTTAAAAAAATTAGAAAAAACTAGTGTGGAGTTTGGAGTATTTCGACTGGTAATCAAATACAGAATGTTATGAGATAGCTGATGAGATATTCTTTCGTCAGATTTCCTCAAATAAATAAAGGCTGTTGATGGTTCCATCAAGACAGTTTTGCGTGTAGGGAAATAATTAGCATGTGTTTTATTTCCGTTAACATATGTTCGTAATTGCACCCATACACTTCCTTAGAAGGGGAAAGTTTGCAGGCCTCTGAAATGACATTTGTACTTCCATAGCAGAATTCAAAACCAACACTATAGAAAGCATCTATAGCTGCCTTAAAGAAAAAAACTGGTGAATCAGCCAAGGGTGATGGGAAACATGGGGCCTGATAGACTTGTCATATCTTGTTACAAATGTTCTCAAAAAAGCATTATTCATGTGCCTCTGGTTCCTATGACTAGATATCAGATATCACCAAGTCTCTGTCACTGAGGAGCTTCTAGCTTAAAAGGGGGACTTTTAAATAAGTAAACACACTAGTAGACATTAATCAGCTCACCAACCCCAAAATATTGGAGCATTAGGAAGAACTGAATTCGAATCTTCGCTCTGGTACTTAAAGTGTGATTATGGGAATGTGTTTTAATTTTAATGAACATCAGTTCCCATCTCAGTTAATAGCAACCAAGCTTCCCGGTAAAAATTCTATGGTTATCCTTTATGTATCTTTCCCCTTGCCTCTTACTGCCAATTTAACAGCACGTCCAATTGATCCTACTTTCAAACAGACATGACTACTTCTCTCCCTTTCACAGTGACATCCAAGGCCCCAACATCTATTGCCTAGACAATTGGCCTCCAGTCTACTTCTACTTTTGTCTTCCTCCCCTTGATCCCTGTTCAATTTTTCTTGGTTGAATAGCCATATTGATCCTTTCAGTATGCACTGGATCACAATACTATCTTGCTCTAACCCCTTCAGGTCCCTCCCATTGCACTGGACTATACAAACTCTTGGCTGGGTGTGGTGGCTCATGCCTGTAATCCCAGCACTTTGAGAGGCCAAGGTAGACAGATCACTTGAGGTCAGGAGTTCGAGACCAGGCTGGCCAACATGGTGAAACCTCATCTCCACTAAAAATACAAAAATTAGTCAGGCAAGGTGGCATGTGCCTGTGATCCCAGCTACTCGGGAGGCTGAGGCAGGAGAATTGCTTGAACCCAGGAGGCAGAGGTTGCAGTGAGCCGAGATCATGCCACTGCACTCCAGCCTGGGTGATGGAGTGAGACTCTGTCTAAATCTATCTATCTATCTATCTATAGATATAGATATATCTGGGATTAGTGGTGACCAGCTTCCAAGATGACCCTCAATGATCCTGCCTGCCTCCGAGTACCCACACTCTTGTGAAGTTCCCTCCCTCACACACTATGCCAAGGTTAGTCTGTTTGACTAACCCTTGTTAGTCAAAAACAAAAACAAGGAAATAAAAAAACCCAAACTCTTCAGTATGCCCTTCAAGGCTCCATGTGACCTTGCCGTGTCTACCTCTTCTGCCTCATCTGAACCTTAGCTCTTTCCACACCCTTCTCATTCTGCTACAGTCATCTAGTTCTTACTGTTCTATGAGCAGCTCATTTGTTAAGCTCATTTCTTCTCCAAGGAGTGGCTCCATTTCTCGAGCGATTCCCATTTCCACTGGCTGGTTTATCATTATCATATAAGCTCCATGTCTAACTCAAGTGTTACCACTTCAAATGGGTTTTCACCATCCTAGCTAAAAGAGCAGCCACTGTCTCTCTTGCTCTGTTTTATATCTTCATGGCAATATTGCCAACTGAAATTTTATTATTATTATTTTAAAATATTATTTATTTCTTACTAGAAGGTTAGTTCTGTAATGACCAACTTTTCCTGTTGTGTTCACTATTGTTTTCCAAGCACATAATCGATACCCATTAAATATCTGTCAAATGAATACATACTTTTTAATGGGGATGATGAATAAAATATTATTTTTTGAGGAGGGAATAAAAGAACATACGTATATCTATAAATACTACACTTGATCTTAGCCAAAAGGCCGAGAAGCGATATGTATATCTATAAATACTTAAAAAGTATGAAGTACTACAATATTAATATTCATAGATATATAACTAAAAGGGTTGGATGGTAAACAAAGTACTTGGACATGTTTCTGGTAAGTTTCTCTATGAGCTGGGACATAAGTTTTACATTTAATCCTATTTTCTATGTTAAAGGAGGATAAGTGAGTTTTACCCATTGAACAAATAGACCCATTACTCATATTTCACAATTAGCTGCTTTATGCATATTTGACCAGTGTTGCGCTTTAAGCAATTACAGTTAACACTTAGTCCTGGACTTACAGATGGTTTGACTTATGGATGGGGAACGCAGTAGAATATTGTGTTCCCAATAATGCTGCCTATTTACAAAAGCAGCGTTTCCATCCTTTTCATTAGTTAAAAGTGAATAGTTTTTACTAATTAAATTAATATTTAATATTTAATTTGTGTCAATTAAATATGCACAAATTCTGCACAACCCTCAGCCCCCTTTTGCAGATTCTGATATGACAGTTGAGTATTATTATATGAGTAATGATAACTGTCAGGGCCAATGTTGGAAGCAACCATGTGACCTACTAATACAATATTTATTCTCTGTCCCTTTGATTTTCTGTTTAGTAGGCTCTCCAAATTATCACTCATTATGTATCCCAAAGCAGAAATCAGTGTAGGTAGCATTACTAAACTTAGCAAATAAAAATATGGGATGCCAAGTTAAATGTGAATTTCAGAAAAATGAGTGCTTTTCTAGTATAAGTATGTCCTATGCATAAGTATGTAGGGGTACAGTTTTGCTAAAAATTATTTATTGTATATTTGAAATTTAAATTTAGCTGGATATCATGTATTTTATCTGGTAAACATATATATAGGATATAGCCAGTGACATAATTCCTGATGCCATCACTGGTCCTTTGGCTCAGACCACAGTATTTCTAATATCAGCGGAGCACAGCTAGATTGTTCAACTGTTGCATCTGTTAAGGTGGTTAGAAGATGGTATTTCATGGAACAAGAATATTTACTATGCCTTCCTTTATCTAAGTGCCTTTAATATGTTTCCTTTTATTTGAATAACTTTGAGTGAGAAATAGACATAAAGGAGAGTTTTCCTATGATGCTTGACTAACTCTGAATACTTCCTGGCACTTGTAAGATAAACTTGGTCATGATAAATTAAGTGATCAGTTATTGCTCCCAAGGTTTCTGTCATCTGGGTTTAGGGTCAGAGGTGGATTTTCTGTGAAGTTAAGAAAACTATAGCTTTAGGGCCGTCACTCGCATAGGTCACTTCCACAGCCCCGTGCCTAATTTTGTATTCTTTTTCTTAAATACAAAAAAAAGAGACCTCCCAAACTCTATAAGTGCCATGAAAATCTGCATTCTATCCCCTCATCCCCCACCCACGTCTAGGGATAAACAGTCTAGCATGCTAGCTCTAGATAATTGCTGCTTTGGATAATTTCCAGATAAAATGCCCAAATTGACAAGACAAATGTTTTACATGTAAACAAGTTGCACTTACTTATCTTAGGCCCCCAACAACCTGATTCATTTCAGCTATTGGCTTTTTCTTTTCTCTATGGTCACAGTTATCACAGTATGCTCTCAGGAACATGGGGGCAGAGCTTCAACGTTAAACAGATCTTTCTGTTTTCCTTTCCACTGGGAGATACCTAGTTCAATGTTCCTGTAACCAGTTGTAATATATGCCAATCTCAAAGTTAAATTCTGGCTCTTTAGGAGGGAGCTTTCATCTGAAGACCTGGGATCTTCAGATTATCACTGCGTTGTCACTTCCCCTAATTTAACAGCTGCTTGTTTTGCTTTACTCCAGTCCTCAACCCCCAGATGAGGTAGTAGAGATCCCCTACTGTTTCATGGAAACACCAGCAACATGGACACAAAGGCAAACTGCAGCTTTCCTCACACCTCTTAAAGAGCATCTTGAACCCTACAAGTCTAGATGGCCCTGGCCTATTCCCTGGGGGATATTTTTTCCCTATAGGTAGGGCTGGTGAGATATTATGTTGGAGTCACCCGGGGCCTATTCTTGTACCTCTTCTGTCTTTCTTTGGGTATTTTCATTCACTTGGTAATCCCATCTTTTGTCATGGCTCTAAAAACCATCCAAATGTTGACAGCTCCCTAGTTTATATCTGGGAAATAATAGGAGGGTTTAGAGTAAAGAAGTGACCCGATACATGCGTGATTAACACATGCTTAAAGGATCAGCCCCGAATTCTCCCTTGACTCAAAACTTATTCAACTGTCTATCTGGGTGTCCTTTAGGCATCTCAGACATACTGTGATCACAGCTGAGCTCCTGATCTTGCCTCCAAATATGGTCTTTCTGCAGTTTTCCGTATCTCGATAAATGACAACTTCATCTTCCCAGTGTTTCAGGCCAAAAATCTTGGAGTCATTTCTGACTCCTCTGTTATTCTCACGTTAGCTGTTCAAACTATCTAAATAACAGTCTACCTACTAAATACCCTTTGTCTCTACCTTCAGAATATATCCAGAATCTGATCCCTTCTCAGTATCTTCACAGCAAACACCTGGCCCAGGCCACCTCATCTCCTACGTGGCCTTGTAATTGCCTCCTAACTGGTCTCCCTGCTTCTGTTTTCAGCCAACTTTAGTCTGTACTCAATGTAGCAGTCAAAGCAGTCTTTTCAATACAGAAGTCAGAGCATGTTAGTTATCCTCTGCTCAAAAGCCTCCAAGAGCTTCCCACATTAATAGGAATAAAAGCCCAAGTCCTATAATGGCCTGCAAGGTGGTATCTGATCAGACCCTCTGCAATGACTATTGTCCTTGTCTTCTAAAATTTTATCCACCACCCACTCCCCTCCAGCCTTGCTGACCTTGCTGTTTTTCACAGAAGCCAAACATTTCCCCACTTAGTGCCTTTCCATTGGCTGTTCCATCTGCCTGGATTGCTCTTCCTTCAGGTGTGTCTATCTGTGTGTGTGTGAGTATGTGCGTGTGTGTGTATACATGCTTACATGCTTCCTTACCTCTTTCAAGTACTTTCTCAAATGTTACCTTCTCAATGATCACCCCATTTAAAATCGAAACCCCCCCTCCACAATTGTTAATCCTTGTTTTGATTTTTCTCCATAGCATTCATTACTTCTAAGATAGGTTTTTAAAAATTTTTTATTCTGTCTCTTCCAATTAAATATAAGCTCCATGAAATCGGGTTTTTATCTGTTTTCGTTCCTGCTCTATCATTCCTAGCACTCAGAATAGTGCCTGTCACAAGAAATGGAGGGCACTCAACATATATCCATTGAATGCATAAAACAGGATAAGAAAGTCTTAAACATTTGCTTAATGTGTCTTCATCAATCCTTAAAGGTTCAAAAGCACTCAACCCTCTTTCTCTTCTTTGGACTTCCCCTTATGGTGTGTGTGTGTGTGTGTGTGTGTGTGTGTGTGTGTGTGTGTGTGTTTTCCAGCTAAAACCTAATATCCTTGAGTTACACCATTAAGAGAGTTGCAGCTAGCTCTTCAGAAATCTTGTATCTACTGAACTCCAAGAACATCATTTATTCAGTACCCAAGGATGGGACATAGCCAATGATGATGATGGGAACATTTTCAGGAACTGTGCTCACTCACATAGATTTTTGTTGATGGAATAAGTTTCTGAAGGTCTGTTTATCAGGGTAAAACTTCAGTCCTGTATCAACTAACAATCCCATACAGAAGAGTCACTGTTTATATTTCTCCAAAGCCTGGTCAAAAGTAACTTTGACTAATTTGATTAAATTGATTGATAACTCAAAGTAAATCATATCACCAAAACACTTCTCATTCCAATGCTTGATAGTTATGGAATTTGCTGAGACCACCCACTGAATACCCGTTCAAATGAATGGAATCTCACAGAGCACACATAATCATCTCTGACTTTTGTAGCCATAGGGATACATTAATACCTGTGCCTCATACTTAACTGAAAATCACCAGTTGTCTGCTGAGTAGTTTACTGCATGTCAAATCTGAGGTCCAGTGTAATAGACTGTTTTACTACTTCTATTCAGAATTTTCTAATTCATAGACATTCTAATTTTATTTGTCTTTTTCTCTCAAATACCATGATAGGGTGAAAGTTTGAGCTTTTGTATCTTAATGTTTATTGAATATTAAGATACATAGAGAATACTCTACTATACATAAATGCATACCACTCAATGAATTGTCCTTGGATCAACATTGCTGTAAAACTATTCAAGTTAAAAACTAATATTTCCAGTATCCAGAAGTCTTCTGATGTCTCCTCCCCATCACTACTCCCTTCTTCCTCCCCAATGTAACTGTTACGCTCATTCTAACATTGGAGTTCAGTTGTGTCTCTTTTCCAACTTTCTATAAATGAAATCATCTGTATAAATCTTGCATCTGGCTTCTTTTGCTCCATATTATGTTTGTGAAATTCATCTATATTATTGAATATAATAACTGTGGTTCATTCAGTATTACTGCTTCATAGTATTCCACTTTATGAATTTATCACAATATATTGTTTCTAGTTTTTCATTTTTATAAATCATGTTGCTCTGGGCATTCTTGGAAATATTTTTGGTTACCATGATCCCCTTTCTGTTGAATATACACTTTGGAGTGCAATATCTGTGTCATAGGTATGTACATGTTCAACTTTAGTAGATAATGTAAGCAGTTTTCCTAAATCATTGTCCCAATTTAACTCCCACCAGCAATATAAGAGACATCCTATTGCTACATATCCATGTCAGCAGTTAGGATTATCTCTCTTCTTTATTTTAGTTATTCTCCTTGGTAAATAGTAGTAGTATCTCATTGAGGTTTTAATTTGCATTTCTCTGACTACAAATAAGATTGAAAATATGCAGACATCCTTTTCCTGAAGTGTCCACTCAAGTATTTCCTTCTTTTTTCTATTGCATTGTTTATCTAGTTATAGTTAATTTGTAAAAGTTTAAAAATTATTTATCTGGATGCAAGTCTTTTGTTAGTTATGTGTGTTGCAAATATCTTTCCTCACTCTGTGGCTTGTTTTTATAGTCTCTAAATGGTGTTTGTGTTGAAAAGAAGTTTTTAATTTTAACATCCAATGTATCCATCTTTTCTTATGAACAGTCATTTTTGGTCCCAATTTATCAAATCCTTACCTATCCTAAAGTCTTGAAGTTATTATCTGTGTTATAGTCTTAGATTATCTTCTAATTGATTTATTATTTTCTCTTTCACACTTTTCACAGTTAAATCTACAATCATCCAGAATGGATTTTCATGTGTGGTGGGTGGTAAGGGTCATTTCTTTTTTAAATCGTCAACTTTTTAAAAAAATTATTTTTATACTTTAAGTTCTGGGATATATGTGTAGAACATACAGGTTTGTTACATAGGTATACAAGTGCCACGGTGGTTTGCTGCACCCATCAACCCATCATCTACATTAGGTATTTCTCCTAATGCTATCCCTCCCCTAGCCCCTCTCCCCCTGGCAGGCCCCAGTGTGTGATGTTCCCCTCCTTGTGTCATGTGTTCTCATTATTCAACTCCCACTTATGAGTGAGAACGTGCAGTGTTTGGTTTTCTGTTCCTGTATTAGTTTGCTAAGAATGATGGTTTCCAGCTTCATCCATGTCCCTGCAAAGGACACGAACTCATCCTTTGTTGTGGCTGCGTAGTATTCCATGTTGTATATGTGCCACATTTTCTTTATCCAGTCTATCACCGATGGGCACTTGGGTTGGTTCCAAGTCTTTGCTATTGTGAACAGTGCTGCAATAAACATACATGTGCATGTGTCTTGAATTGACCCAGCATCATTTGTTGAAAAGACTATATTCTGTGTGGATTTCAATTTGAAAATTTTATATAACAAATATTGTATCTATATTTATTACTATGATTTCTCTTTATGTTTGTAAGGCTTAGCAATTAGGATATGCTATCAATTTATCATTTTAAGGCTGATTTTGTCTTTTTTTAAATGTCAAAGTATTTATTTTACCTCAATTGTTGGAAGAACTCATTGGTTGGAGCAGCTAAACCTAGATCTTTGTGGAGAGATAATGTAAGAAATCCGTAATAGGTATTTGATTTTCTACTTAAATCTATTCACTGATTACTAATTTGCTCAGTTTATTTTCTGGAGTCAATTTTTAGTCATTTATATTTCTCCAGAAAATTATACATTTAAAGGCATGTTTTATTTTTACTAATATAAAGCTACATTTAATATTCTGTTAAATATGTAAACAATTCTTGTAAATACTGTTTTTCATTTGTAGTTTTGGTATGATTTTTGTTTTCTTATTGTTACGGTCTGTATATTTTATAAAATGAATGTCTTTGATTCTGTTATCTATTGCTGTGAAACAAATTACTCCAACACTTAGTGGCTTAAAACAACAAACATTTAGTATCTCATGCAATTTCTGAGGCAAGGAAATCTGGGGGCAGCTTGGCTGGTTCAACATCTCTCACAAAGTCACAGTCAAGCTTTTCTTCCTGGGCTGCCATTGTCTCAAGGCTTGGCTGGGGCTGGAGAATCCACTGTTAAGCTCACTCACTTGGATACCGACAGAGCTCGATTCCTTGCTAGCTCTTGGCTGGAGGCTACATTTTCTTTCTTTCTTTCTTTGAGACAGAGTCTCCCTCTGTTGCCCAGGCTGGAGGGCAGTGGTGCGATCTCGGCTCACCGCAACCTCCTCCTCCCGGGTTCAAGCAATTCTCCTGCCTCAGCCTCCAGAGTAGCTGGGATGACAGGCGCCCGCCACCACGCCCAGCTAATTTTTTGTATTTTCAGTAGAGACGGGATTTCACCATGTTAGCCAGGATGGTCTTGATTTCCTGACCTCATGATCCGCCCACCTCGGCCTCCCAAAGTGCTGGGATTACATGCGTGAGCCACCGCGCCCAGCTGGAGGCTCCATTTTTTTTTTACCGTGCAGTCCTCTCCATAGAACTGTTCACAATATGGCAACTTGCTTTTCACTCCTTTCCCCTTCTCACTCCTCTTTTCCAGCAATAGATCAGAGAGAGAGAGAGAGAGAGAGAGAGAGAGAGAGAGACAAAGACACAAAGAGACAGAGAGAGCAAGAGAGCTCAACGTGGAAATTATACTCTTTCAAAGTCTAATCTTAGAAATGACTTACCATCACTTCCACATCTGCTATTGTTCAAACAGACTAACCCTGGTATAGTGCGTGTGGGAGGAGACTTCACAAGAGTGTGGGTACTCGGAGGCAGGCAGGGTCATTGAGGGTCATCTTGGAGGCTGGTCACCACTGATCCTGGTTATATACATATTTTATATATATATTATATATATTTTATATATTATATGTATTACATATATTTTGTATATATAATTTATATGTAATATAATATATATAAAATATATATAATTTATATATAATATAATATATATAAAATATATATAATTTATATATATAATATATGTATTTTTTAAGACAGAGTCTCATTCCATCACCCAGGCTGGAGTGCAGGGGCACGATCTCGGCTCATTGCAGCCTCCGCCTCCTGGGTTCAAGCGATTCTCCTTCCTTAGCCACTGAAGTAGCTGGGACAACAGGCATGTGCCACCATGCCTGGCTATTTTTTGAATCTTTAGTAGAGATGGGGTTTCACCATGTTGGCCAGGCTGGTCTCAAACTCCTGAGCTCAAGGGATCCATCCGCCTTGGCCTGCGAAAGTGCTGGGATTACCGTTGTGAGCCACTGCGCCCAGCCTGGTAATAGTTTTGTTGTGAATTCTATTTTTTTCTGATATTAATATTATTTTCTACTTTTGATTTGTGTATTTACATATATATGTTTACATGATTTTTATCTTTATATTTTTAAACTTTTAAAATGTCACTATTTGGCTGGGTGTGGTGTCTCAGGCCTGTAATCCCAGCACTTTGAGAAGCCAAGGCAGGTGGATCACTTGAGGTCAGGAGTTCGAGACCAAACTGGCCAACATGGCAAAACCCCGTCTCTACTAAAAATGCAAAAAAAAAAAAACAAAAAACAATTAGCAGGGCATCGTGGCACATGCCTGTAATCTCAGCTACTTGGGAGGCGGAGGCAGAAGAATCTCTTTAACCCAGGAAGCGGAGGTTGTGGTGAGCCAAGATCATATCACCACACTCCAGCCTGGGCAACAGAGTGAGTCTCCATCTCAAAAAAAAAAAAAAATATATATATATATATATATTTTTTTTTTTTTTAATTAAAATGCCACTCTATTTTAGCAAAACATGGGTTTTGTTCATTGAATCTGAAAGTCTTCAGTTTTCCATAGAAGAACCGAAAACATTTAAATGTACTGTCCTGATACTTGGCCTTACTTCTTATTCCTCTTATTTTCAAAAACATTGTTGAATTATATTTGTGTCTTTATTAAGATGATGTCCAAACAGGAGTTTAAAATTTCTTCTGTATAATCATGGAACATTCTCTGAACTGGCACATTGTAGACACTCAATAAGTATTTGTTGAATCAGTGATACAGATAGATGGATGGTTGGTTGAAAGAGGAATGATGCCGCTTTGCTAGGGGAGGTGAGTGTAGGACTCCCTCCCTCAAAGTAGTCTGTTAAACAGGGAAGTGGCTGCTTGGTTATCTGAACAAGTATTCACTCCATATTTTGAGCTAGACATAATCATTGAAAGAGAGCTAGAATGCCTTCCTGTTGACTTCCTGGCCTGCTGGGAATTTTTGCTTCCTTCTCCCCCAGCCATCCAATTTTTCAAGAAAAATTTTCTGTTTGCCAGCTTATTTCCCCAACTCCCCTACTCTTTTGTCTTTCCTACCCTCTAAAGAGAGTCTAGGTCTCACAGGTGATCTTTTGTAGCTCTGTGATGCCTAATAATAGAACAGAAAAGGAGATGGGGAAGAACTGACAGAAAGACTAAAGAAAGGAATTAACTAGCGAGTTTAAGTGGAGCTGCCTCAGGATGCAATGCAGGAAAAAAAAAACACACAAAAAATGGATGGGGACTACATGCTGAAGGGACTGAAGTCAAGAGGGAGAATTTGGGCTGCGAGTCAGCCAATGAGAGATTCCAAAAGGAATAGAAAGTGCTGAGAAGACAAAAGCACATGTAGCCTGATAAGGGCATGGTGACCAGGAGCTCAGGTCCCTCAGAAATGAGTGTCTAGTTCATGCCATCAGGTAAGCTACTAAGACTAGCAGAGCTGCACCCTGATATAGGAGGAATCCAGACGGATAATGGAGGAAGGAGATGATGAGTATCAGTTGCAGCCCTGGGACTGGTGCAGAAGCAGGGGTGGAGTTCCTCCTATTAACTTCCCCTATTGTAGATTTCACTGGGAAGAGATGCCTCTTGGTACAGTGGAGGAACTGCTCCTTGAATGTATTCAAGTGGCGCATTTGGCTCCTTGAAGTGGATCCAAGTGGCACATGGGATAGATGGTGGTAGAAACAGAGATGTGCATCTCAGAAGGACATGTTGTCCTTCTGCCAGTTATAGTTCTGACAGTAGATAGCCTCTAGGGCTCAGCCCCTTCAGGGATTCTTTTAGCTGCAGAGGTGCAGCTTAAACAGGTGGCCTGAAAAAGGTGGCCTTAGCTAAGGCCACCACCTCCATCCCCTCAAAGGTTGGCATGCAGTGACTGATGGAGGGCCATGTTCACCCTAAGTGAGGCAACTCCAGCAGGCACCTACAGCTTCCTGTGGAGTTGGCTAAGGCAATCAGGTCTGCATCACAACCTGACTTCTCCCTCTGCTCCATTGTTTTCCCCTTCTTTTCACAGCTGTTGGTCCCAAGGGATACCCTAGAAATATACTAAACGCTAAACATTGTCTCAGGTCTGCTGTTGGACAACTCAACCCATGGCAGTGCTCTGTAAGACTACGGAGATTTTGTGGGATTAAAACTAGTAGAGAGTATGAAAGCCTTTTTTTTTTTTTTTTTTTTTTTTTTTTTGGCAGATGCAGTATTCTGAGAAATGGATTAACATGATTTAAAATGGTGGCCAAGAAATATGATTCTTGTTGTTTCATTGGAAGGCCTGGAGGTGTAAGAGGCTAAAATATAAAACAGACTGGGAATTTGTTTCAGGAGTCTAAGAATAAAATCCACAGGCTAAAAGAGGGTTGCAGTTGGAGGGAAAAAATGTACTTGCTATTTTTCAAAAAAGAGTTGGAAAGATTTGGTGTCAACCTGGATGTGAGGATGAAGACAAGCCAGCTAGAATAAATATTGATTCCAAGATTGAGGGCAGAGGTTTCTGGGAGTGTCACTGATGGGAACAGACAAAATGGAAAAAGACTTAATGAAGAAGATAATATCCTCAAGTTTTGACATCTCTAATTTAAAATGTCAACAATCTATTTAAGAGGAAGTTTCTTTGTGTTGGGAGCCACCTTAGTTGTCCAGCCATATTAAGGGGCTGCAATACAGTCTCATGAAGGCTATAACCAGCACTATGGTATCATGCCCAGTCTAAAATGAGGCTGAGCTCTGGCCAATGTGGGGCTGCATGTGCCAGGAAGAAGGGGTGCCTTTTCTGACTGGCACAAAGATGTTGTGTGAGCTGGTAGGGGGCCTGGCCATTGTCTCAAAATCAGTGAGAGAGACAATGTGATGCCTGGTGAAATGCACAAATTTGGTTTAGATTAGAGATGGAAAGTTAGTGAAGGAGAAAAGGCTTTAGTAAGTTAGATTTCTTTAGGGTCAGAGAATAGGCAAGTCACTTAAACCTTCTGAATCTCATTTTCCTTATTTGTGTGGCAGGATGCTTTTCTTTTCTCCACTCCCTCACAGCTTCCTCGTACCAAGATATGATAACTGAATGAGATATTTGGCAAGGCAGAGAAAAGAGATGGAGATGCTTAGCCTAATTAATGTGCTACACTTATGCCAAGAAGGGATTCTATGCTTACCTAGCAGATAATTTACCCTGAAACTGGACTAGGCAGGTCACCTTTTTCTTCATTTTATTCTTGCATATGCAGGATCTAATTATCCAGACGTATCCACAGAGAGAGGAACCAGATGAAATGCGGAAAGCACGGTTCACCTTCAAGAGAAAGAAGTAGGACTCTGGGGTTTTAAGCCGAGGCATGAAATGTACCGATTAATAGCGTCATTTTGTAACCACAGGTCTCAGGAGTTTTGGGAAGGTTAGTATGAGCTTGTCAGCATTGCTTATTAATAACAGTGAGATTGCTGCTTTGCACCTGATCTCAGTCAGACCTCAGAGGCTCAGCCACTGGGGCTGGTTATGCAGCAGGAATATATCCATGCGACCAGCAGGGTGTAAGAAGTCCAGGCCAGGACGGGCGCAGTGGCTCATGCCTGTAATCCCAGCACTTTGGGAGACCAAGGTGGGTGGATCACAAAGTCAAGAGATCGAGACCATCCTGGCCAACATGGTGAAATCCCATCTCTACTAAAAATACAAAACTTAGCTGGGCCTGGGGGCACGCGCCTGTAGTCCCAGCTACTCAGGAGGCTGAGGCAGGAGAATCACTTGAACCCAGGAGGCAGAGGTTGCAAGTGAGCCAAGATTGTGCCACTGCACTCCAGCCCAGGTGAGAGAGCAAGAATCCGTCTCAAAAAAAAAAAAAAAAAAAAAAGAAAAAAGTCCAGGCCAGACTCCATCTCAGGCTCACTGGTTCCAATGTGTTCCATCCATACCTCAGTGGCTCTTGATTTAGGGAAAAAAGCACATCCTGCTATTTAATTTGCAAAAATTAAATAACTACTTGATGTGTCTTTTGTGCAGATAATACCCACAAAATATTAATTTTTGCCCTTTTTCCCTTATAATTTTAACATACTTATTTTCTTTACTTGTCTCATGTTTTCTTTCAGAGATTCTAACTCTCTTTGCTAAATGGATATAGGAATAAATACTCTTAAAATACATTTTTTATTGTATTGATGTGGAAAATGTAGAAAAGCACAAAGGGATTTTTTTAAAACTCTGCAATATCATCCACCAGTCATAATCATTATTAAGATGTTTTCACAGATATTCCCAGCTTTTATTCTATAAATAAGACTCTCATGATTCACTTATCCCTCACTTGTCTAACTATTTTATACTTTTTGACGCACTAAGATTCTAAAATGAACCATAAAAGCTGGCACATATTTATAGTAATCAGTTTTCTTATTTAAGAGGATGAGATAGATGAGTGTAAATAATCTTGCTATACACAAAATTGTTTCTGCTACTCTGAAGACAAGATGTTCTTACATCTTGGTCTTTGAGCATATATGTAATTAAGTTTTGCATAAGGTTGCAGACTTTGTCTTTAATACAAAGGAAAACAACAGGTATAGCCTTCATATAAATTATCTCATTTAATCCATACCGTGATTTTATGAGTTTGGTATTGTTACCTTCATGTTACTGATGAGGGACCTGAGCCAGGAGAGGCAAAATATCTCAGTCAAAGTAGCCCAGCTGCTAAATGATTCTGCCTTTGAAAAATCGCCTGCCATTGACACCTTTGTCACCGTCACCTCCATCTCTGTCTGAGCCACCATGATCTTTTTTGACCTATTGCAAAATCTATTTAACTGCTACCTCTACCTTGGCCCCTGTATAGTGACCAAAGTGAGCCTTTCAAAAACATAAAGCAGATCATGTCATTCCTCTGCTTAAACCTTTCACTGGCATATCCCTCAGGGTAAAATCCAGAGCATTAGTAGGGCTTCTAAGATTCTATATAATCTATTCCCCACTCCCTCACTTTCCCAATCACTCTGGTCTCACCTCTCCCTCTTACTTCCTGAACTCAGTGCTGCCATTCTCCACACAGCTTGACATGTTCCTACCTCAGGGCCTTTACACCTGCTCTGTCTCCTTTGCCAGAAATCTATCACTTTATTCCCATCTCTGATTAAATGTCACTGCTCCTTCAAACCCTTGCCTGGCTACGCTATATAAAATAGCCCCTTTCCCAACTTTCTTTATCAATTACCCCGATTCATTGTTTTTCCAGTGGTATTTGTTACCACCTGGCTTTTATTTGTTTATTTCTTCATTTGTTTATTTTCTGTCTTCTCCTGCAAGAAGGTTACTATATGAGAGTGGGGACTTTGTTTTATTTGTTGTATTTCCAGGCCCAAAACAGAGCCTGGGCCCACTAAGGAAAATTTGTTAATGAATGACGGAAAGGAAGGAGCCAGATTTCCAGTTCACATCTTCACCCTAAGCCCAGGCTATTTCCTCTATGCATTCTGAATACCAGAGCCACCTGAAGGAAGGAACATACAGCGAAACACCGGTGATACTGTAATCCTTCCTTGCAACCCTCTTTGCTTGCCTTGCTGAGATTAGGAAGATTGGGATGAGTCAAAGCCAGAGTCCTTCCTCGGAAGATCACTCTAGCATTTGCTCTTCTCCACTGTCAGGAAAGAAGAGAAAGCATAGAGAAAATGGTACCTATAACAGTGAATTCACAAGAAAGAGGACACGAGACCATTTGATTGTACATAAGTAACCTGGACTTTGGATGAGAGGACCCTGGCTCTGCTGTGTGACTTGGAAAAACTTTTTAAAAACCTTTCTGAGGTTGTTTTTATCATTTTTAAAATGAAATTAATGATCCTTCCTTTGGTCATGAAAGAGTCAGGTTCTCTAAAAAGCCAAAGGACCTGTTTCCTCACAAAGTGTCAGAGAGATTTTTGAAAGAGCTAGATACTGCATCTCTGGGATTAAAGTGTCAGAGAGATTTTTGAAAGAGCTAGATACTGTATCTCTGGGATTAAAGTGACAAAGCATGGCCTTTAAGAGATCAGAAGTAAAAGATATTTTAGCACAGTGGATTGTCAGTCTGCATTAGCAGGTGGTGGAAGAGCTTTCGGCAGACATGCCCCTATAACTTCAGTTAGTGGCAGCACCATTGGCACAGGTACACCCCCAGGGAGCTGGCCCTGGTAACAAGGTGGCAGCAAGGGGAATTCACATTTAGAGGCAATGAAGGTAGCTGTCGCCACCATCATAAACTTCTCCTCCTACTCCTCCCTTACTCTTCCTCATCATTCTCCTTTCTCCCTCTTCTCCCCTCCTCCTCTCCCTTTTTCATCCTCCTCATCCTTCTTCATCTAGCTGTGATACTTTTTGTCCTGGATTTAGGTTGTACTGGTGAGGATAGAGACAGCAAATCAATAATAATATTTTAAATAAAGTTTTAAGCACATATACAACAAACGCTGCATTTGATACATACATTGTCTCATTTCATCATTATTTAATCTCCCTTAAGGTAGGTATAGTAACTCTGCAATGGAGTTGAGAGAAATGAGGCATAGGAGGGAGAATGACTTGCTTAAGGTCTCACAATTCATAAGTGATGGCAGGAGGATTTGAACTTCTCTTGGAGGTTCAAATTTGAACCTGGAGTCTCTTTGACTCCAGGACACTTGTTCTAAAGTCACTCAGATTCAAAAGGTAGAATCAGATGCCTTAGTGATTGGATGTGTCAGGGACAGGGGACTGTGAGGAGGAGAAGGGGTCTAAAATACTTCCTAGTTTTCTGATTTGGGTGGCCTGTTGAAATGTTAATGGTGCTTTACCCAGGGTAGGGACACTCTGACTCCTAGAAATAGTTCCAGCCTCTAATTAGTGTCGAGATCATTTTTTAGGTTAAAAATGAGCTTTGGGCTAGAGTTACAGGAATTCTTATTTCAATCTTTCACTTGGTTTTGCCTATAATAGACTGGCTAAACTGTAAGAGGCCTCCTCTTAATTTTAAACTGTCTTGAACTCAAAATAGGCAAAGTATTAAGCTAATGAAAGAGCAGTGTTCTTGTTACCTTTATGTTCATGCCCCCAGAGTCTTTTTCCCAATGGGCACCAGGTATCATGTTATGGCCGTGAAAGCTTTCAGGCAGTGGTTACAGAAAGTCTTGAAAAGTAGAAAAGTCAAGCATGCTGGAGGAGCCCTGGCCTATTAAAGAGAGAGAGAGGTCTGGTTCTGATTACTGATAATTATAGATAAGCTGGAGCCGACAGCCATTTTCTGACCACAAACTCAAATCAATCAATTAAAAACTGCATGTAGCTGCACCACGGCTAATCAGTCCCAGGCACTTCAGGATGATCCATTAAGTCCTACCTCTACCGTGTCATGGTTGCTGTGTTCCATCTGCTACTCTGACAGTGGATCAAATGCACACCTCATTTTATACTTCTGGCTAATCAAGAATGCTGTTCACAGTGTTAGTCTTCCTTCTACTTCCTGAAATTGCCAGCCTTGTACAAGAAGCTTGATGATTGAGTCATTATTTCCCTTTCTGGACCCAGACATGCAATACTAAGAAAAATAATTACTAGCAAGAAGAAGCAATCATCTTTGAAATATTTTGCTCATTCTGTTGCTCTCCCAGGAAAACAGATGGTGGGGGCTTCTGGAGGTGGGTGGTTGCAACACTGAGATACAGAAGCTATTCTGTAGAAGCAGCAGTTGAATGTGTGTTGGCTAAGTAGTCTCCGAAAGATATTTGGGGAAATGTGATCTACTTTCAAACTGAGATATGTGGAAGAGGGATAGTGACTTTTGGTTCCTCCATATGTGTGGATTCTCAAGGAAGCAGATTTCGACACAATCTAATGAAGAAATCTTTTCTTCTGAGGCTGCAAACTGGTAGCTCATGAGCTAAAGCCTGCTAACAGATGTGGCTTGTTGGTCTCACAGAGTGTTTAAAACAAATTTTGAATTAGTTACTAACATTTAAAAGGCAAGAAATTGAACATTTTTTATTTCTGACTTTATTTATTTATTTATTTATTTTGAAAAACTGGAAGATCCAGTGAAACTGAGCTCAGACTTCCTCCAGCCTGCAGGCTGTTTCCTTTGGACAGCACATGTGCTTTCCAGCTCACCACATTCCCTCCAACTTTCTTTGGAGGACCTGCATCAGCCTCCTTCACTCATTTATGTTACTTTCTGGCTCTTCTAGCTTTTCTGAGTTTGTAGCTCTTACTAAATACTGAAGCACCTTATGTAGTTAGTGATGAGCTTTTCAAGTGTTTAGACAGGCTGGAAGAACATTTGCTGGACAAAGAGTGGACAGTATATCCTTGGACTCCAGAAACTCGGCCCCTTCTGAACTCCAATCTTTAGAGGACCCTTCTTGGACTTTCCTCCAGCTGTGCCCCACCCTTGGGAAGAGTAGGCCATGGGGTCAAAGGGACAAGTCCTTTCAGAATCTATTCACTTTTGACATTCACTGCTCACTCCAGACACTTATCTTTCAGATTCTCCCCATGTTTGTCTTGCTGAAGATGGACTGTGCTGCTGGTGTATACGTACCCCTAAGTGTGATGAGTGGGCAAGAGGAGACAGTTAGGTAGGCAAGATATATTTGGTGCTTAGATATGTGGGTTGTTGAGTCCATAGACATGCATGGGAGACCCTTTGTGATACAGGACAGAATTCAGGGCAGGAAAAGAAGGTGGGCTGGGGGCCTCTGTTAGAACCCTGGGAAGGGCCTTTAACTCCTTTCCAGGGCTTATCCTGAGCTCATATTTTTAAATACTATGTCTCTAATATTCTCTTATTTCCAGTAATGGCACAAATCCTGTGCTTTGCAAAACATTAAGTAGAGGGTGGGTGGACTCAAGAGAAACAGGTACACGCCACTCTAAAATATGATAGACTATAAAGAAAGGCCAAAACAACACATAGATAACCATATGTCAAAAGAGTGCTTGGGGAGAACACTGGATTTCAGCAAAGAAGTGATAAAGACCCTCTGATGCACAAAGACTCAGGATGATAGCACAGAGAGGGAAGAAAAGCACCCAGCTAGAATTGGCTAGGAGTCAGGAGGGGCTCCCCATTGCAAGGAAAATATAAGCAGGATATCTCCAGCAGTTCACATTCCCACCATGGACTCCTGCAATCCTAGCCACAGGAGAGCCCCACAGCCCTTGCGGGACCTGAGCTCAGTATAGGGAGCTGCTTGGAGTTCACATGATTGCAGTGTTCCAGAGAGGGAATTCATTCTGGGTTCTCCTCCCTGCCCCCTGGGCAGCACCATTCTGTCACCATTTTGAGAATGGAGTAACCACCAGAGTGCATCCTGCCCTAAGGCCCAATAGCTCCTGCATCTCCATATCTCTTGTGCGCCACTGACGTGCTGTCACATCCATCTAGAGGGCTGTGATGTCACAACATAGGCTGAACCCAGCTGTGCAGCCATGACCTTGTTTACTTGAGTGCACACAACACATTATTTCCTGAAGCACAGGCAGTTCAGCTTAGCAAGAATGCTGCCCCAGGACAGAGGGAGCCAACAGGCATGCTCCCCAGGGCCTGTGGACTACAGCTGCCACCACTAGTGACCTCATTTGCTCTAGCAGCAGAGCTAGCACCCTCCTAGGAGCCAAAGAATTGGCCTTCCCAGGCCCACTGACGCTGCTGTCAGTGACGTTTTTTCATCCAGAACAAAGCTTCTGCATGTCTGCACATGCCCCTAAGTGGCCTGAAGACAGCCTTGCCCAGGATCTGCTGCTGTTGCTGGTGACCCCTCCCCTCCAGTGGTGAAGCAGCCATGCATGGGCATGCTCTGAGGGGCCCAAGGACTGGCCCACCCAGTGCTCTGATTCCCAGCAAAGTCTCACCCCCAACCTCCACAATCAACCACACCCTAGGCCGTTGAGGCAGTCACAGACACCACTGACATTGATTATAGCTGAAGAAACCATAAGGAGGCCATACTACTGAATCAATCAAGAACCAAAGCCAAAGCATCCCACCCAACCAACACTATAGGACATGCCAACAGAAATAGCTTTCATATCTTTTGCTATGAAAGCTTCTCCATAAAATTGGAAGAAGCTACTGATCCACCAGATATACAGATATTGACATATAGACACAAGAAATATGAAAAAACAAGGAAACACAACACCTTCAAAGGAACATATGAATTCTCCAGTGACAGATCCCAAAGCAAAGGAAATCTATGAAATGCCAGAAAAGGAATTTAAAATAATGTTCTTAAGGAAACTGAATAAGATACAAGAGAACAGAGATAGTCAATTTAATGAAATCAGAAAAACAATTCATGATTTGAATGAGAAATTCCACAAAGAGGTAAATATCATTAAAAAACAACCAAACAGAACTCTTGTAACTAAATAATTCAATGAGTAAAATAAAAATACAATTAAGAGCTTCAACAACAGACTAGATCAAGCAGAAGAAACAGTGTCTGAACCTGAAGACATGTCTTTTAAGATAGCCCAGTCAGATGGAAAAAAAAAAAGAAGTAGGGGGAGAGGGGAAAGAAAAAGAATGAAGAAAGCCTATGGTACATATAGAACACTGTTAACAACACTAAGCAAATGAATATTCACGTTATGGGAATTTCAGAAGGAGAAGAGATAAGAAAAGGCACAGGAAACATATTTGAAACTGATAAATTTAGCAAAATCGCAGGATGCAAAATCAGTACAAAAAATCAGTAGTATTTCTATACACCAATACAAACTAGTTGAAAAATAAGGAAAGCAACTCCAATTACAATAGCTACAAAAATACCTAGAAATAAATTTAACCAAAAAGGTGAACGATATCTACTATGAAAACTAGAAAACATTGATGAAAAAAATTGAAGAGGATACAAACAAATGAAAAGACATCCCATGTTCATGAATTGTTAAAATGACCATACGACTCAAAGAGATGTATATATTCAATGCAATCCCTATCAAAATACCAATTACGTTCTTCACAGAAATAGAAAAAGCAATTGTAAAATTTGTATGGAGCTACAAAACACCCTGAGTAGCCAAAGCAATCCTGAGCAAAAAGAACAAAACCGAAGGCATTACACTACTAACTTCAGAATATACTATAAAGCTATAGTAATCAAGACCGCAAGATATTGGTATAAAAACAGACACATAGACCAACGGAACAGAATAGAGACATCAGAAATAAATCCATGTATTTATAGCCAACCAAGTTTTGACAAAGGTGCCACAAACACATACTGGGGGAAAGGACAACCTCTGCAGTAAATGGTGCTGAGAAAATTGGATATCCATATGCAGAAAAATAAAACTAGATGCCTATCTCCCACCATATATAAAAATCAACTCAAAATGGATTAAATATTTAAACATAAGATCTGAAGCTATAAAACTACTAGAAGAAAACAGGGGAAATGCTCTAGGCCATTGGTATAGGCAAAGATTTTATGGGTAAGACTTCAAAAGCATAGATAACAAGTGGGATTATATCAGACTAAAAAGCTTCTGCACAGTAAACAATCAACAGAGTAAAGAGACAACCTGTAGAATGGGAGGAAATATTTGCAAACTATTAATATTGCAAACTATTAATCCAACATGGAATCAGTATCCAGAATGCACAAGGAACTCAACAGCAAAATAAATAAATAAATAAATAAATAATCTGATTAAAAAATGGGCAAAGGATCTGAATAGATATTTCACAAAAGAAGACACACAAATGGCTATTCAGATCTTGTCCATTTTTATGACAGAGATGATTAGAATATCTCTGATCATCAGGGAAACGCAAATCAAAAACACAATGAAGTGTTATCTCGCCCCAGTTAGAATGGCTATAATTAAAAAGATAAAAAATAGGCCAGGCGTGGTGACTCACGCCTGTAATCCCAGCACTTTGGGAGGCCAAGGCGGGCGGATCATGAGGTCAGGAGATAGAGACCATCCTGGCTAACACAGTGAAACCCCGTCTTTACTAAAAATACAAAGAAAAAATTAGCCGGGCGTGGTGGCGGGTGCCTGTAGTCCCAGCTACTCCGGAGGCTGAGGCAGGAGAATGGCATGAACCTGGGAGGCGGAGCTTGCAGTGAGCTGAGATTGCGCCACTGCACTCCAGCCTGGGCGACAGAGAGAGACTCCGTCTCAAAAAACAAAACCAAAAACAAAACAAAAAGACAAAAAATAACAAATGCTGGCAAGGATGTGGAGAAAAGGGAACTTTTATGCCTTTTTTTGGGAATATAAATTAGTACAGCCATTATGAAAAACAGTGTGGCGTTTCCTCAAAAAACTAAAAATAGAGCTATCTTATCCAGAAATCTCACTACTGGATATTTATCAAAAAGAAAAAAATTATATATTGAAGAGATAGCTGCACCTTTCTGTTTACTGCAGCACTATTCACAATAACCTAGTTGTGAAATCGGCTGAATGCCTATCAACAGATGAATGAATAAAGAAAAAAATGTGGCACATATGCACAATAGAATCCTATTCGGCCTTAAAAAAAAAGAATGAAATCCTGTCATTCACGGTAACATCAATAAGCCTTATGTTACGTGAAATAAGTCAGGTACAGAAAGATAAATACCACATGTTCTCACTTCTAGGAGGTAGCTGAAAATTGAGCTCATATAAGTAGAAAGTAAAATTGTGGTTACTAGAGGCTACAAAGGGTAGAGGGTAGGGAAGGATAGTGAAAGGTTGGTTACCAAATACAAAATTACAACTAGATAAGAAGAATAAGTTCTAGTATTCTATAGTACTGTAGGGTGAATACAGTTAACAATAATTTATTGCTATTTTCAAATAGCTTGAAGAGAGGATTTTGACTCTTCTCAGCACAAAGAAATGAGGAACGTTTGAAGTGATAGATTTGCGAATTACCCTGATTTGACCATTACACATTGAATACATGTTCAAAATATCACTATGTACCCCATAAATGTGTACAATTATTATGTGGAAATTAAAAATGAAAAGAAAGCAAAAGAAAAAAGTGATAATAAATGTGTTGATGGATTTGGTCCTCTAAATTGAATTACTGTCAGAAATACAGATTGGAAAAAAAAGGATAGGTTTCACAGAGACAGGAAGTAGATTAGTGGTTGACTGGGGCTGGGGGGTGGAGAGGTTGAAAGAGGGGGAGGGATGGGGGAAAGGGGAATGACTACTAATGGGTACAGGTTTTTTTTGCGGGGAGAGTATGCTGAAAATGTTCTAAAATTAGATTGTGGTGATGGTTGCACAACTCTATAAATATATTAAGTCACCACACTGTACACTTTAAGTGGGTGAATTTTATAGTGTGTGAATTATATCTCAATGAAGCTGTTTTTAAAACATTTTAAAAAATGATAGCTTTTCTTGCCAAGAAGAAACAAAAAAACAACAAATCTTAGAGCACCTCCAGGACACTTTTGTTAATTCTTCTCCTAGTTATAAAATATTCAGTATTAGAATGTGATACTTCCCTGGTTATACTGGAACCAAATGGTCTTAAAACACAGTATGGTATTCTATCTCTTTTGAGCATCATTGCTCATTTCTCATGGCTTTTATCTATTTTCTCTGATCCTGGATACCTAGGCTGTGCCTATTTTCATGGCTGGTCTCATTCCTTTTGCTGAGGTCTTCACTTTGACAACCAAGAACTTTTTCTTTTAGGATTAGAAGAACCAGTCACTAAAACAGCTTCAGGTTTCCATGGTTTCCATTGCTTCTTGTCTTTAAAGAAGTACCCAGTCCTGCGACTCCCAGTAGCTTGCCAGATATATACAGATTTTTCATCTAAAGCCCCTCACACTGTTGCAATGTCACCATAGTGCATGACTCCTCAATGAAAAAATTAAATTTTGGTGACCTTGGCATCATCTCTCAAGTTATGATAAGAAGCACATTATCCTTCAAGTTAAAAAACCAACCAAACAAAAAACTGATAATTGGGCCAAAAGATTTGATTAAATTTGTTTTCATCAAATTTAAATTCAAGCAAATTGGCTGAATGAATTGGCCAGTTATTAATTGAGTCAAATCCTGTCAAACTGGTTGGGCTTATAAACACAGCCGTGGGCTATCAAGGTTACACCACTGCTTACAACTGCCCAAAAGGAGAGCTATGCTCCCACTGTTTCAAAAATGTCCCATTTCAACACTTTTCCTTTATCTCTAATCATTTGGCTGTGCTGAAAGTCACCACACCATCAAGCAAACAATACTTGGCCACAAATCACAGAGTTGTAGAAATATTAATAGCAAATGGACTCTCATCACTTTCCATAATTAGAGTAATAGAAAACAGACATCTAAATGTCATCTCTTTGATTGTCAACTTATGCTTGTCATCTACTTTGACCTTAGGAAGAAAATATCATCCTGCTTATGGTGGTATTGGCTTGTTTATTTGTTGAAAGGACTGAAATTTGTTATGAACACACAATTTGGATTCATCATTTACTCCAAGCCACTCTTAAAAGAGACTTTCTAATCCACTCAACATTTCGAAAAAAAGTATGATAACTTGCTATCATTGTCCTTGTCCGTTATCATTCCAAAAGATGATATATTTGGAAAGTATGTTAGATATCACTCCAAGTATCTTTGCCTTGTTTTGCAGAAGCATAGAATTACTGTACAAATTATAGAAAGTTAGTACTTTCATATCCTTTAATGCATCAATTTTCAACTTGGTCTGCACCTTGGAATGATCTGGGAAGTTTTTTAGAAATGCTAATCTTGGCTGGGCACGGTGGCTCACGCCTGTAATCCCAGCACTTTGGGAGGGCAAGGCAGATGGATCACGAGGTCAGGGGTTCGAGACCAGCCTGACCAACATGATGAAACCCCGTCTCTACTAAAAATACAAAAATTAGCTGGGACTGGTGGCACGTGCCTGTAATCCCAGCTACTCAGGAGGCTGAGGCAGGAGAATTGTTTGAACCTGGGAGGCGGAGGTTGCAGTGAGCCGAGATTGCACCACTGCACTCCAGCCTGGGTGAGAGAGGGAGACTCGTCTCAAAAAAAGAAAAAAAAAAAAAGCTAGTCTCTGGGTTTCCAATCCAGAAATGTGATTTTATTGCTCTGAGTGTGGCGTGGGCATTAGAAGTTTTAAAAGCTCCCCAGGTGATTCTAATCTTTAGCAATCTTTGGGAACCACTGATCTAGTATAGCCCAGTGCTTCTTAAATCTTAATGTGCATATGGATCACCTGGAGGGCTTGTTAAAACATAGATTGCTGGTCTGCATTCCTAGAGATTCTGACTCTCTAGATCTGAGGTAAGACTCATGAATTTGCTTTTCATACCAGTGTTCTTGTGATGGTGATGGTGCTCACATTTTCATTAGCACTGGGGTGGCCCAACAGTTTTCTCTCTCCTGCATATGGAGCAGGCAAAGAACATTGAAGAGACGTGAACGGTCAAATGTACTCAACTGAATCTTTTAAAAGACAAGCCAAAGTATATAAAGGAATGAGTCAGAAGCTTTCGATTTTATTGCAAGGGGTGCCAAACCAGTAAACAAACCCTTGCCAAGCCAGTAAACAAACTGCTGAAATCCTATGGGATTATTTGAATTACTGGAATGTCAACACAAAGCTTAATTTATGTAGGAAGAAAACTGGGAATGAGCAAAAACAGAAAATCTGATCACATAGACTCTAAATCTTCACATTGGATTTGCAATCCAGTGATAACTGGAAACAGAGGAAGGAAATAAGGACAGAATTATGAGGGATGTTAAAAGAAAGAAATTTTTGGCCGGGTGCGGTGGCTCACGCCTGTAATCCCAGCACTTTGGGAGGCTGAGGTGGGCAGATCACAAGGTCAGGAGATCAAGACCATCCTGGCTAACATGATGAAACCCCGTCTCTACTTAAAAAAAAAAAAAAAAAAAAAAATACAAAAAATTAGCCGGGCGTGGTGGTGGGTGCCTGTAGTCCCAGCTACTCGGGAGGCTGAGGCAGGAGAATGGCGTGAACCCGGGAGGCAGAGCTTGCAGTGAGCCGAGATCGCGCCACTGCACTCCAGCCTGGGCGACAGAGAGAGACTCTGTCTGTCTCAAAAAAAAAAAAAAAAAAAAAAAAAAGAAAGAAAGAAATTTTTGTTATATAACCACATTTGAATTTTATTCTAGGTCTATCCACATTTGGGCATTGGAGCTAGAAAGACTTCAGTTTGATTTTTGTTCTGAAATTATTTATTTTGTGACCTGATGGGGTGACCAACCATCTTAGTTTGTCTAAGGCGTTCCCAGACACTGAAAATCCTGCATCCTGGAAAATCCCTCAGTTCCTTGCAAGCTGAGATGGCTGGTTCACCCTAAAATAGGCAAGTAATTTAACACCCGGGTAGCTCATTCTCTTCACCTATATAATGTAGACAATGACACCTCGAAGAACTGTTAAGAGGATTAAAAACAACAAAGTATCAAGCACCCAGCACATACCTGGCTGTAGGAGAAACTGAAAAATACTGGCTTCAAATAATAACTTTTTCCTGGCTATGAAATTTTGGAATGGGAGGCTCCTTAAACCAAAAACTATGCCGACACTTTACAACGTACCTAATTTGGTCTGATGGACTATTTGATGATAAGGAAGAACAGTTTTCTACACCACAGAAGAGTTCCAAACATTTGCTAGTAAATTCTTAAAGTCTTCTGGTGATTGAATAAGGTGTGCTATGAAACAAAAATTTAAGTTTTCAGGCATTCTCTGATAAACCTATGCACACATCTGCCTCCTTGAAGAAATCTCACTAAGAGAATTCAGACTTCAGGCAGATATCTTGGGCATGCTTGTTCACATTATAAGGATCCTTTCTTTCATCTATCAAGTTTCCTAGTAGCTTCTTTCTGCAGCAATGGAAATGCTCTATACCTGTGCTGTCCGATATCATAGCCACTAGCCACATGCAGCTCTTCAGCCTTTGAATGTAGTTACGGAAACTAGGGATAAGATTTTCAATTTTACTTAATTTTAGTAAATTTAAATTTAGATTGCCTTCCTGTAGCCTAGTGGCTGTATTGGAGGGAGAGGAGCTCTAGTATATTTGTTAGCTGTTAGAATTGATGATTAATAGAGAAGCTAAGACAAATGGAGGAGGAAACACTGATAATGATATCTTAATTAGAACAGAGGATGGAGCTATTTCCAAAATTATTTAATTCAGTAGACAAGTAAGGATTTATTGAACAGAAGGACAGTTAGTGAACAACTTTTCAGAATGGCTGTCATGTCACCCAGGAGTTTGGGAAAGGACATCGAGGAGAGGCTGGAAGTCATGGAGTCTTGAATTTCACTTGTAGTTCTGGCCTGCCCTAACCTGCTGAGTATCCCTGCATAAGTCACTTACCTGCACTGGGCCATTTTTCTCTAAGATCCTTTAAAACCCCCAATATCTTTTGAAAGGAGAGTACTTGCACATTGTAACTATTTTTTTTCCCCTGGTAGGCATATCTAAAAGTCATTCTGATTTTAGCATTTTTGAACTAGTAGGGAAGGAGAGAAATGTATTGTGAGAAAAAAAAAAAACAACTTTTCTCTGGAGAGAATCTGAGTTAACGTAATTCAAATTCATAGATACTCAGTCTTTACTTACTATGAACACAGTCCCCTACAAGATGGATAAAATAAATTCTCTGTTCTTTTACCACTTACAGCCTGGTTGAGGAGGCAGGTAGGACAACTCAATAGGATCCAAGGAAGAATGAAATAAATGTGCAATGTGCATACAATTTGGGGTGAGGCCACAGAGGGAAGGTCTTTTTTTCACAGGGATATGCACAGGGTGGGTGGCGTTTGGCCACTTGGGCCTTGCAAGAGAGACTGATGCCTTCAACAGGGACAGAAGACGAGGAATCAGGTTTGACTAAACCGTTTGGGGTTTAAGGACCCAGAGTATTTGGGCAATGGTATAGTCACTTTTATTTTTTATCTTGCTGAAACAACTCACATTTGGTATTACTAAAGAATGAATAGAGTCCTAACTTTTGTTCATTATTTACGGCATCTCTTCCTTTCCTTTTGATAATTTTAGCACATTTCTGATGATGATTATAAACTTCCATTGTCTTCCCAAATGTACCTCTTTTAGAAGGGCATTCTAGGTGAGGGAGCATTGTGAGAAAATACAGGGAGATATGAGTGATGATTTCTACCAGGTACTCATTATGATGCAATCACTCAACAAAACAATTTTGAGGACCTGTGGTGTAGGCTATAATAGGATTCTACCTGCATTTGATCTTGCAACCCTAAGTCAGCTGCTAATTAGACTGCATATTTATCTTTTTCTCCTCCGAAGTGCCTATTAACACTCAGCTGCCCACACACAAAAAAGCCTATGCAAACAGCTTCTACCAAGGCTGCTGTCCCTTCTGGTGGCTTTCCAGACCTCCCTCACACAATTTTCTTAATTATATCTTCCACCATCCCCAGCTGTACCCCTGGAGCAGCTGCCACTAATCCTAAATAAATATTTCCTGTTCTCCTTAGAAACAATTAAACTTAGCCTTTACCAAACCTTTGGCATCTGAGGCTCACACTGGTGGTGGTGCAGCAGTTGCTTTTTGTCCTTGTAAACTGAGCAGAGACTAATTCTATTCTTAAAGTCCTTTTTCTTGAAACAGAATCGCCTCTGCTGATGTGTCTCTAACCTTTTGGTTATGCATACTGAATTGATAGCTTAGAAAATCGCTCACAGCCGCTTTCTGCCCTCCAGGCAACATAGAAACATAGAAAGAGGTTGTGGGCCTGGGGCTGATTGAGGCTCAAGCAGAGCCTGACTTTTCTCCGCAGCAGTGGATGCTGATGGTCGGAAGCATTGGTTCCCAAACTTGGCTGCCTTTGGGAGTAACCTAGAGAGTTTTAAAAATGCTGATGCTTGGGCCCACTCCAAGAAATCTCATTTAATTGCTCACGGAGGTGACCATGGGCATTGGGATAGTTAAAAAGCTTCCCAGGTGACTGGTCTAAATGAACTCCCTTCACACACTTCCTGGCTCTCTGTCTAGGTCCATTTTTACCCTGTTTTGGTTCCCTCTGATTGTCAGTAAGGCCAAGGCAGAAGAGATTGGTATTCAGACCTTCTTTGTCAGCCTAGATCTGCTTTTAACTGCAGGTCTAGCCCAGGGAAGAGAATATCTAGCTGGTATATTCCCTCTTCCCCCGAGCCGGACCTCTACTTTCCTTTGCTTAACCACTCTCCAATTAGCACTTCCTAAGAATTTTCCCAAGAAACACATTTAGTTCAAAGGGACTCCCATGATGGTAGAACAGTCAACATTTCCATAGTTCCAAATGCAGTTGCCAGTATTTGACCCTGGGGAAGTCTTTAGGAGAGGGTGCTCTTTGGCAGGCAGCATTATGTCTGTGCAGGCCGTGCTGTAGCTCAGCACGGCCTGCAGAACTAATATGCCTTCATGTGGCCCATCTGAGCTTTTCTCTGCAGTCTTTCAATCCCTCTTCTGAGGCCCCACTTGCTGTGTGTTGAGACTAACTTTTAGGGATGCCTTTTCTTTGTCCGTTATCAATATGAAAACAGCAGATCCAGTGAGAGATGTAAGTTTGTCCTGTGGCTAAGCACTGAGAGCCTGGCTTCAGGTAGTCCTGGGCAGTCTCTGTTCCACCACTTCTTAGAGGCTGCCAAGCCAGCCTTTGGAAAGTCTCCTAGAAGAGTGAGAAATCAAATCGTTGCAGAGTGGCAATTCCCTGAAAGGCAGCTCATCCATCATTTTGACTTCATTCCATTTACAATAAGCACATTCAATTTTCCCTTTAATTAAGAACCTGAAAAGTACACCATCAGGCAGAAATACAGCCCAATGTGAGTTCTGGGTAAAATCTACGTGTCCTTGACAACAACAGCAATCTGAGTGTTTAGTTTTTCCTAGTGTTCCTGTGTGTAGAGTAAAGCAATAGTTTCAGGAACCACAGGTGGTAACTGTTGAACCTAATGGTTCTCCAACTCTCCTGGAGTGTGAGCTATCAGTCAGTCAACAGCATTTATTGAGCCTACACTCATTACTGAGCTGCAGAAAGCTTCAGAGTAAGTCAATAACATGTGCATTAAGGTTCACCATGATTCCCTTAAAGCTAATGTGAGTGGATGTGTGGGTGTGTATTCTCCCTTAAACATGTATGAGGTGATCCTGTAAACTTCATTCATTCTCTAATTCAGCTAACAGCTATTGAGCTCCTACTAATGCAGTTTACTGCTAGATTTTGAAAGAGTTGCAGAAATAAGACAGACGTTGTACCCACAGACCTTATGCTATAGCAAAACAAGGGAAAGGGAAGAAAAGGAAAGTTTAATGAAAGTGTAGTAACTGTCATGCAATGTTCTGGGCAGTTTACACTTTTTAGTTCATTTAAATCACACAGTAGCCCTTTGAAGTAGATATTTTTCATGCGCTCCTTTCTTCCAACTGGCTAGGAGATTGAGTAAGTTAACTAAGGGTACACAGTTCATAAGCAGTGAAAATGGGTCTGACTTCCTCTCTTCCCTTAGCGCTCCAGCGCTTCTCCGGGAGCATCCAAGGAGAGACACAAAGGTAGGGCATGAAGAGGAGGGAGACGTTTATCCTAGTTTCAGGAATTATGGAAGGCTTTTTCTAGATCAGGGACCCCAAACTCTTTTTAACTCTCAGTAATTGTTGATTGGGTATCTCTATAAGTGCCTAATACAAAACCTGTGGGGTCTTACCAAGGTGAGAGGAAAAGAACAAAGGTAGGAAAGGGGGAATAAGAGATGTGAGTTACAGCATGTTAAAGTCTGGCTGGCAGCAACTGCCGCTTGTGCACTCAGCTACTCTCATATCTGAGAAGTTACTTAGCGTTTACAAGTGGGTTTTCCCCCCTTGCTCACTAAAACCAGCTCTTAATCTTTAGATCAGTTTACCAAACACTCTAATGATAAGGCTGCTAATGAAACCTCTTTCCTGAGTACCCTGAAGGAGCTTGGAGAATGTTTTGGATGCTGCTTTTTAGATCTTTGAAGACAGCACCTTGGAATTCCCCACTCGGAGGGCTCCCCACTGTGCCTTCAGGAGCTCACAGAAATATCCCAGGGCAAAGAAACACATGGGGTTTCTCGAAATGAACTCACTACTTTCTATTATGGCCATGTTGAAAAATGTAGAACCTTTTCTTTGTTGTGTGTGTGTGTGTGTGTGTGTTTGGTTTGGAATAGAAAAGTGTTTTCATGATCCTTGGTGCAGGTTAAAAATAAATATTTTTTTTAATTCATTCATTTTCAATGGCAGTTTCCATTTATAATGAGCCAAGAAGCTCTACACCCTTTAATTTAATTGCCCTTCCCCCCATATTTCTTAGAGCAAAAGCCAAAGCCCTCACAATGGCCTACTTATTCAACATGATTTGTACCTTCTTCCCACCCCTTGCAGCATCATGCCATGACTTTTACTGACTTCACCCTTTATAACTTTCTTCTTTTTCATCCAGGAACATCCTGTTTCATTTCTGTTCTGCGCATATACTAGGCATGCTCCTGCCTCAGGGTCTTTGCACTAGCTGTTTCCTCTCCTGAAATGTTTCTACCCCAAAAACCCATATGACTCTTTCAGTTCCCCTTACCATTCTCAGCAGAGGCCTTCTCTGATCACTCTATTTAAAACGGCATTCCTTCCCATTCTCCTTCCAGACTTTAGTTTTCAAGAGTATTTATTACTTTCTAATAAACTAATTTACCTACTTTTTAAAAAACTTAAACCCCAGTAAAATGTAAGCCCCATGAAAGAAAAACCATGAGCATAGTACTCATGGCAGGGTGTTCAATATAGTTCCAGACAAATAGAGAGTGTTCAATAAATTTTTTAAAAAATTCCATAATTAACATTTAACATAGAGCCAGATCACCCCAGTAGCAAGGAGTATACCTACTTTTCGGGTCTTGTTTCTTTTATTTTTTTTTTCTTTTCTCCACATTCATTCTTTGTTTCTCCTGTGAATTGTCTGCTTCTGCTCTTTGACCATTTCTACTTATTTACTTACTTACTTAGTTGACAAATAAGAATTATATATACTTATGGCATAGAACATTATGTTTTGAAATATGTATACATTGTGGAATGGTTAAATCAAGCTAATTAACATATGCATCACCTCACTTATCTATTTGTGATGAGAACACTTAAAATCTACTCTCTTAGCAATTCTCAAGTATACAATACATTGCTATTAACTATAATATATTCACCATGTTGTACAATAGATTTCTTGAATTTATTCCTCCTGTTTAACTGAAACTTTGTGACCTTTGATTAACATCTCTCCAATCGCCTCCCTCTCACAGACACTCGGCCTCTGGCAACCACCATTCTACTTGCTGCTTCTATGAGTTTAACTTTTTTAGATTCCACATATAAGTGAGATAATGTAGTTTGAGTCTTTCTGTGTCTGGATTATTTAATTTAATAATATCCTCCAGGTTCATCCATGTTGTCACAAATGACAGGCCTTCCTTTTTTTTTTAAGGCTGAATAGTGTTCTATTGTGTATATATACCACATTTTAAAAATCCATTCATCCACTGATTGACATTTAGGTTGATTCCATATCTTGGCTATTGTGAATAATGTTGCAGTGAACACAAGAGTGCAGACATTTTTTCAACATACTGATTTTCCTTTGGGTATATACCTAGGAGTCGGATTACTAAATCATATGATATTTCTCTTTTTAATTTTTGAGGAAGCTTTATACTGTTTTCTGTAATGGCTGTATAATTTACATTCCCAACAGTGTGCAGAGTTCCCTTTTACCCACATCCTTTCTAATACTTGTTATCTTTCCTCTTTTTGATAATAGTCATTCTAACAGGTATGAGGTGATATCTCGTAGTGGTTTTAATTTGTGTTTCCCTGATGATTAGTGATGTTGAGCATTTTAAAACATATTCATATGGCCATTTGTATATAATCTTTTGAAATATGTTTATTCAGATACTTTGCCCATTTTTAGTGGGATTATTTATTTTGTTACTGTAGAGTCATATGAGTTCCTAATATATTTTGGCTATTAATCCCTTATCCAGATGTATGGTTTGCAAATATTTTTCCCATTCCATAGGTTGTCTCTTCATTTTGTTGATAGTTTAATTTGCTGTGCAGAAGCTTTCCTCCTTCCTTTCTTCCTTCCTTCCTTCCTTCCTCTCTGTCACCCAGGCTGGAATGCAATGGTATAATCACAGCTCACTGCAGTCTTGACCTCCCAAAATGCTAGGATTATAGGCATGAGCCACCATACCCAGCCTGCAGATGGTTTTCAGTTTAATGTAATCCCATTTGTTTATTTTTATTTTTAGTGTCTATGCATTGGGGGTTATACTAGATCTTG
This sequence comes from Homo sapiens, assembly GCF_000001405.40. NCBI lineage: Eukaryota > Metazoa > Chordata > Mammalia > Primates > Hominidae > Homo > Homo sapiens. The sequence continues at coordinate 219,572,352 of NC_000001.11, read as the reverse complement.
GTTTCTAATACCATTTCCTAAGAAAAAGTAGCAGGGCTACTTGGAGAAAAGGCTGATTCTAGAACTTGATAGAAAATATAGGAGATGAGCCTGAACTATATACAAGATGAGGCTGAACTATCTTGTAGTGCCAGAAAGTAAGGAAATACTAAAAAACCCCAAACCCAACCAACTAACCAGCCAACAAACCAATCAAACAAAATCCCAAAAATCCCTGTGTTGATGGGGGATATGTTAAAAGGACAGGAAGGCCAACTCAAAGAGCTCCCAATAGCCAAAGCTGGAACATTTTGAGCACAGATAAATAAATAAATAAATAAGTATAAGAGTGTTGAATTATAATGCAGAGTATGAAATAAATATTCATGAGTCCATACTGATATAAGTAAATGTGTGAATAAATACGTAAATAAGAGAGAAGAGACAAATCTCTCTTGCAGAAGAATTTCAAATAAATTATGTAGATATTCTGCCTCTACAGGAGGGCATGCTTCTTTACTCCTTAAGCGTGGGACGTACATAGTGCCTTTCCCTCCAAAGAGTACAGTCTAGAAAGGGTCAGGGAGTGGAGAATAACTTTACAGTGGAGGAAGCTGACAAACACTACCTCAGCCTGGTGTTCAAAGTCAGCATCAACAGTCATAAATCATGACGATAGTATGTACCCTTGGTACGATGTGATGAAAATGGCACTTTACCTCTGTGGTCTTCTTTTCTAAAACCCATAACTCGTTTAATTATGAGAAAAACATCAGACAAATCCCAATTGGGGCATGTTCTATTAAATCCTCAACCAGTACTCTCAAAACTTTCAAAGTCATCAAAAATAAGGAAAGCCTGAGAAACTGTCACAGCCAAGAGAAGCCTATGGAGACATGACAACTAAATGCAATGTGGCATCTTGGCTAGGCTGTGGAAAAGAAACAGACATTAGGGAAAGACAAATGAAGGAAATCTGATAAAGACTTTAGATAATAATAATGTATCAATATTGGCTCATTAATTATAAGAAATGTACCATACTAATGTAAGCTATTAATAATAGAGGAAATTGGATGTGGAATATATGAGAACTCTCTTTACTATCTTTAAAATTTTCCTGTAAATCTAAAACTATTCTTTAAAAAATGTCTGTTTAAAAAATAGAGCCAAGACCAAATTAGTTAGGAAGCCAGAAACCATTATTATATCTTGAATATGTCAGTTCCAGTTGGAAATAAGCCAGCTTTCTGAGAATGATCACACTGACAGCTATATTAATCTCCTGATACCAGCAATAGCAGAACTCCTTTTAAATTTAGAAATGAAGTAAATGGCCATTTTTCCCTCCACTACCTTTTTCTTTGGTCTTGATATTATAGCCTTAAGGCACTCTTTAATAGCACACTTATTTTCCAAAGAATGTGATAATTAATAATTCTGCATCTTATTTCTTCAACTTGCTACCAACTTCCATTTTTTCAATAACTTTTATTATTAATTTATTCTAAAATGGTTCTTCTTCTCTTGGTCATAAAATTAGAGAATTTTTCTATCTCAATGTTCTAAAAGGGCAGGTTGCTTCTAATGTGACCCATAATCTATACTTGTCTATAATTTTATTGTAGCACATTTGAAGTAAATAGTGCATCATTTCTCCATAGGTGAAGTTTGTTCCTTTAGAGAATAATAATACAGTGATATGAAATTTCCTATTTTTGCTAAAAAGTTCACATTTTCATTTGGAATAAAATTCACGAATTAAAAAAAACAGAATTTAATAAAAATTAATGGTTAGTTTGTTATGTTTTAGGTGCCGAACAAAGTCCCATCCAAAAAAAAAATTATTTGGCTTTGGTTCCTTGGCAAGTGGCTGTGACTCAATTGTTCTCCTTCGATCTCCTACCCTTACTACTGTACTTCGTTTTGGAGGGGGTGGAGGGGGAGAGTATTAACAACATTGGCTTCAGTCTGGCTGAGTCTTTTTTGGCCATCTGTTTTAACTACACCTGAGAAAGGCAACCTTAGGCTTGTTTGCCTTTTCCAGGATATGTAAATATTGAAAAATAAAAGTGATGGAATCTAAGTACGGAACCCTGTTTCTGTTCCACACCTGCACACTCATCAGCTGTGCAACTCTAGTCAAGACACTTCTTGAAACCTTGGTTTCTTTTTTCTTTTCTTTTTCTTTCCTTTCCTTTTCCTTTTTCCTTTCCTTTCCTTCCTTTGCTTTTCTTTTTTCTTTTTTTTTTTCTTTTTGAGACAGAGCCTTGCTCTGTCACCCAGGCTGAGTAGAGTGGCATGGTCTTGGCTCATTGCAGCATCCAGCTCCCAGGCTCAAGCAATCCTCCCACCTCAGCCTCCCAAGTAGCTGCTACAGGCATGCATCACCACACCCAGCTAACTTTTTGTATTTTTTGTAGAGATGGGGTTTTATCATGTTGCCCAGGCTGGTGTCAAACTCCTGGACTTAAGCCACAGGAGGCCACCCATTTTGGCCTCTCAAAGTGCTGGGGGTTACAGGTATGAGCCACCACACTTGGCTGAAACCTTGGTCTCTTAACCTGTAAATGCCAACTTTACTAACTGTTTTACTTGCCCAACTTCCATGTTTGGTTGGGAGGAACAAATAAGATAAAAGATGTAAAATTGTATAGAACTATAAAGCACAAAATAAAGGTAAATAATTATAATTAGAAATATTTTCAGTTATTAACACATTACTTTGTCTTGCAGTTTTTAAAATGATAGCTTTTGGAGAATTTTTAGAATTATTATTTCTAACTGGTTTACAACATTTATATCTGTTGTGCCCAGGCTTTTATTATATCTTTTCTTACACTTCTGGCCCCTCTCAGACTGCCAGCCTCTCAGAAGTTATCTTTATCTTTATTTCCCCAAATTTCTCCTATCAGTTCCTTCCATTCTGCTGGCAGGCTAAGAAAATCTGTTTCTGGGTTTAGACACTGATGTTACCTTTCTGCAGTTCAGCTTCATTAGTTATTGTGGGGTCAACAAGTGGATTTTCTTCAATGGATTTCCAGGCACATCATGCACTCTGGGCTGATTGTGGGGTTCATGCTGACTGTGAGCCCAGTTTTCCACCACCTCACGGGGCCATGGCCTGGACCTGTGAATGTGGAGGCAGTGCTGGCCCAAGGAGGCCTTTTTGATGACCGTGAGTGAACAAAATCTAGACAAACTCTTGATCAGGTCCTCTCCTTTTTTGTCAGGCTTGAATTGGCTTGATCAGCAAGAACATACTGTAAAAACATGACGGAATTAAGGTAAAGGGAACTGCCCATTTTCCTACTTCTCCCTGGTTGTGTCACTGTGTGTACAGCCTGTAAGGTTGATCAGGCAGGGGTGACTCAGGCGTCTGGGCTCTGCCCTTGTGGAGACAACATGGCTTGTCAGTCCTGCTCAGCATCATTAGGAAGAGGGCTGACCTCCGGGAACTTTGCTGTGAAATTTCCTATCAGTGTCACTTGGTAAGAATTCACAGAACAGTAATTCTCAGAAGAAGACCTGTCAATAACTGTCCATCAAAGTGAGACTCATGCGTGGCAGCCAAGCTTCATAGACAAAGGTGGATCAGGAAGTCATTGTTACCATAAGGAAGGAAAAAAGGAAAGGCAAATTAACATTTTCTGAATGTGTGATGTGTGCCAAACACTTACGTAGGTCCTCCCAGCCTGTTATTTGTTTGGGTTATATTCAGCATCTCAGCACTCAATTATACCTTGTCTTGTTTGGTTCTTTGATTTATCTCATGGGGTGAGGAAGACAGGGACTTTTTTTTTTTTTTTTTTTTTAAGCTGCAACTCTTTTGTTTTCCTTGTAGGACTCTGTAGGGACAAGGCACATGAACCTGCGGTAGGAATTTAGCAAACCCCGAGGACAAGGTGAAGGAAACGTGACTATTGCTTAGGCAAAGTGCAGGACTTGGAACATATAGAGCATGTTTATGTTACTATCCAGGCAGGAGGACCTCAAAGAGTTGTTGCTTCCTTTTGTGAAGCTGTCAATGGTAGTAGAAATCTCTGGAGCATTCAGGAAAGGCTTCTACAGGGAAGACTTTTAAAATCTTAGCTTCTTTAACTATCTTTGCCATGTTTGGGATAGAAATGATAACTCTTTTTCATTGTGTTCTTTTGAAGCTCCTATTCTGGAGAATGAGAAACTAGGAGTTTTATTTCCTATCCCTCCATGGTGTGGTGACCCATGTCTGGTCAATTTTTAGTTTCCAAAATCTTTCCATTTTGACACAGTTAGAGGGCACCAATGCAGCTATTTTTAGATTTTCTCAAGGTGGGGAGTCTCAGTGACATGCATGCATACCTGTGTGCTATTTGTGTTACATGTATGTTTAATTTATTTCTCTGGAAAACTCTGCACAGGCCCAACTAGGTACCATAAATCTATTCCAAAATGTCATAGTTTGGGTTAAGTTCAGGGCTATTAGACTCTAAGGACTGTGCTAGATCAATTAGACTGTCTATTCATTCCTTCTGTACCAACCCAACCAGAAGTGCATTGTGATTTTAAAATGTACTCTGTTTTTCAATATTCTCCTGGTTTCCTGGCTACATCGTTGGTGCTCTGGGGAGCAATAGTGAGCAGTAATGACTAGCATTAACCTTCTGGGCAGTAACTAACTGGGAAGAACCTGGGGAATTCTGTGAAGGCTCATTTCAAGCAGGATGAGACCCAAAGATACCTGGAAAAGAACTTTTAGAAACATTTCAGAATTGAATTGCAAAGCTCAATATTAACCAAGCCAAAATCCACTTGAACTTGGAAACTGTCAAAGCATGCAATAGCCAAAAGGTGGCACTCCTTATCCACTGTTCATTTTGTTCCAAAGTAAGGTCATCTCCACGTGTTTTTCTGTTCCTTCTATTAGTTGTTTCATAATAAAATATTATACCCTCATCCTCTCCTGGTAAAACATAGCAATAAAACAGACCTCATTATCTGGATCGATATGTGTTTTGATATATACCAGTTCTTATCCCTCCGGATGGACAATGTATAAGATAAATTGTATTTTCAGTAGAGTTTGGCTTATAGTTCTGTGTGCATCTATAGACTATGCCATATAACCAAACACCTTTACTGTAAAATCATCTCTGACCAGATCCAAGGTTTTAATTTGTCTCTAGAGTTTGCCTCTCTCAATTTCATAAACTGTGAAAACACAGCTGGAGCAATTTACAGACTGTGGAAAAACTCTTGAGTATTTTTGCTGAGGTACTAATTCAAGGATCATGCTTTGTTATTTCCTGTTTCATTGTTGTTTGTAAAACTAGTTAATGGGCAATGGGCTGTTTCAAATTTGTCTAGTCCCTCAATACTGTTGCATGCACCTCCTGTCGGGGCATAGCATGAATTGGGTGCAAGCGTGACAGCAAAATGGCATTGATTTGAGCAGACACACATCACTGAGAATGAAATCATAGCAAACATTTGGAAAGAGCTAGGCTTGTACTCTTTGAGCTACATGAATGTGGTCCCTGAGGCTTTTAAAAAATCAAATCCTACTCTGTTATAATTTCCCACCAACCCAGAATATTTTTGAGATATACCTTCAGGATCAGCACTATCAAGTAAGGGAAAGTCTTTACTGTCTCCTGGCTATTGGTCCTTAGAAACAAAGACATAAAACATGATGGAGAGAAAATGCCAGCACTGAGTAAAGATATAAAGCAGGACGATTAGCTTCACTGACGCCCCACTAACCTACAATCTGGAAATCTAGAAACCTCAGTCATTTAGAAAACAAACATAACATCATACATAAGTTAAAAGAGTTTCTGAGCAGCATAGAAAATTGTTATAAAGTGCAAGCACCTTTCTCCACAGGAATAAAGCTTCTAGGCATTTTGTAACTTTAATGCCTGATATAATACAAGATAAGGGCTCAATAAATATTTGTGGAATGAATGGATGATGAATGGAGAGAAGCAGAACCTGAGAGAAACAAGCTTACTGAGGCTGATGTTAGGAAGGGACCATCTAGTGTAGGGAAAAATTGCTTTACACTCCTCAGTGCTGTCTCTGAAGGCATCATCACTACAGCACAATTAAATGATTGAGGCTTTCCCTGTAAACTTGATATACTGCTAAAACATGAAATTATATTTAGAGTGCCCTGGTCCTTGAAATGTATGTAATAAAATGATTAAGATTAAAAACAACTCATGCTGTTAAAAGAACATGTTTGAATTGCTTACTTTGAACATCCACTGCTTGCCAAGAACTGAACTTGATTCTAGCATAGAATGGTAAACAAGTTATCTGAAGTGTTGCCTTAGATTGCATATTTTATATCTTTATGATACTAAATAAGACATTAGTACATTTTATTATATACATATGAAGAACAAAGGCACTTGAACACAACAGATCTAAAATACTTACAGCTCTAGTTCAAGTCCTCGGTAAAGTAGTGATCAGTGGAAAACATTCAGTACTACAGCAAGATTGATTTATCAAATGGATTTTCCTGTATTGACAAACTGTGATGCAACTTTCTTAGTGGATGACAGATTAGATGAAGAAATCAGGTAAAGTGCTGAGAAGCTACAGTTTTCATCTCTTACCAGAACAGAATTGCATTATGAAAATTATCTTATTTGTCAGGTAGCTCACCCAATATTCTGGCTTCTAGTACTCTCTAGGTTGGGTTGGAAAAGCTCATGTTTGATGTGTGAAGGGTCACTGTTTGGAGTAGAGAAGTGAGATGAATTTAGTCCCCTTACCCAAAATGTTTTTTCACCATGCTTTGGGAAACGTCTCTGGGAAGGTTCGGCTGGTGTAGGTTTGAACTCAAGTTTAGTAATTTGTTTTACCTCTCTAAACACTTTAAAGCGTTTTTTTACCTCTTGCATAGAAATGAGACCTCGACCATTGTTCCTATTTAATTCTTCAACATGCTCAACCATCAATTCCCAGTCACCTTAGTGAGAGTCTTACCGTAGTGTTCTTTATTATTTCCTTTGTATTTCAAGGATAAAGTCACTTAAAGAGTTTGCATATTCAACTTCAGCCCGCACAAAATCACAGAGCAGGACTGGGACACTGGGACTTCCACTGCTGGTGCCCAACTCTTCCACCACTCTGCAGAGCCTATACATTTGCAAACTCTAATTTCACATTGCTCTAAACTAGAAAATGCTCTATAATGCATTGGACTGGCATTTTAAATGTAGATTGTTTTCATCTTTATAGGCTGATAAGTTTTCAGAACACTCTTTAAGTGGAAAAGTCTGGGTCTCTCCAACATCAACTCATTCTACTATTACAGAAACTGAAGAAGCAGTTGCTTATCTAAGTTTTTCACTTTCCAATAAGTTTTCGTAGTGATTGTAAGATCTAGCCTAATCTCAGGACAACTCTGATAGGCAAAGGATTAGTGTTATCCTGCATGGCAGCTCTGGTTCACTCCTCATTTCTAGCCGTTCCAACTCAGTGAGATTCAAGAAAGAAATGCCCCTATTCATGCCACCAAACTAAACTCATGAGTATTACTTATTTTCTCCTACAAAGATTTTTTTTCCCTTTCCATTGACAACCCTAGATTCAGGCAAACACAAAGGTCACTGTGACTTCTATTTTGAACTTATATACTGCCCCAAAAGATTAATGAAGTGCCAAAGCCAAGCCAAGTGAATCCTAAGCCAAACATAGTTAACAAAGCAAGTCTGCTTCCAAGAAAATTTACGTATCGATTTGAAAAACTAAAGAGAAAATTATTTCTGGATAACCTATTGTATTAGTGGGATTTTATTGGTAGGCACAATTGAGAGTCAACTATATGTATTTTTCTGAGCCACTCATCTGTCCACACTGTCCAGATTGTTTTTAAAACTATGGAAATTTCCATCCAGGGTGCACTTTCCCTGTTTGCTTCCATCAACATTTCTCTGCTCAAATAGTTCCTTTTGTGGTTCAATTTTTCCATCTTTTTAATATAGTGGGTTGATCCCAGCTGTAATTGTGCATGGTTATATACTGACAACCCACATAAACAAACATCAACAAACACAGTCCTTTGATAGGGTGATGTCATCACAATGAGAGTTTCAAAAGCAAATACAAGTGGGCAACTTGGACACCTGTGTCAGCTCTTCTTAGTCCTCCCTCCCCTTGCCCTTGATGATGAAAGAATTATCTTTACTGAAGCTGGAATTCTGTGTTGACACCAGCTCCCCTAGCACCGACCCTGGAAGATCAATTTCACGTCAAATTGTTTAGATTGATACTGAGACCACCTGGGCATCAGCTGTCAGGAAACTCAGGGCTTTGCTTAAACAGCAGGCAGCTATCAAAATAGGAGAATGAAAGAGAGAGAGAGAGAGAAGAGAGAGACTATCAGACCCAATACTGGCACACATTAGAGAGCTACAGAACTCTCTCAGGTCTGGTAATGTTGCTGCTACCATTTGTCAGGTGTACAATCAACCTGAGAATAGGGATAATGGGATCTTTGTAGGATCCTGAATCAACATTCTAAACAATTCAACCACTGTTCGCAGGTCAGAGTCATACCTCCCTGACCCTTCTCCCCTCTCTTCTCAAAGAACCCAGGACTCCTCCCACCTCCCAGGAGCATTACATCAATGGGTACATTCACTTTTCCTCAATATGACAGCTGTTTAAGTGACACCATGAGATTCCCTCCTTAATAGCTCATGTATAGAAACAGCTGTTAGAATGATTTCTCATGTTGTTCAACCTTGTTTCCAGCATCGTAAGATTTAGAGTTTGGATTTTGTGCATGTTTGGAGAGACTTTTCTCTTTTGTTTTAAAATTTTTTAATTTTATTAAGAAAAAGTGAATGCGATTTATGGTTTAAAAAATAAGGGGAGGATAATTTGCTTTTGAGATTTATAAAATAATCTTTTTAACCATTTTCATTTCAGTATTGAAAATGGCACATATCACATGTGCCTTCATAATAACAGACACAGAGGGAAATTTGGGCTCAGCTTTGATGGTGACTGGGCTGGTTTGTGACTGGGCTGGTTTGTGACTGGAGGTGTCCCTGCGCCCTCAGTCTTGCTGCAGCCTTCCACTCCAGCCCGTACTCTCCCCAGCTCCATCTCCCTTTCCCTTTGCTTCTCACAAGTCCCTTGTCTCTTTTTAAAAACCACCAAGCCAGATCCACAACTCCCCTGAAAGAATTTACTTTCATCTCTTTTAGCACCGGGAAGAAAATGGAAGTAACTCAAAGAGCAGTGTCAAATAAATACGTAAAAATCTACCTTCTTGCTCACTAAAGCCAGTAGACTCTCTTGCTGGAAGTCCAGGGATGTGATTATGGATTTCCAAAGGTAAAAAATCAGAACTAACATTGGACTGACAAATGAACTTGTAGCAACCAAAATCATGGTTTTTTAGTTGTTCTGTGTATAGCTCAGAACGAATTTCCCAGAGACTTAATAGGAAAATGTCTTTATTATAGTTTTTCAGACATCAAGAAGAACAGAAAAATGTCTTTCTTGACAGGGCTTAATTTCCAGAACACACTTACTTTTTGCTTCCCTTTAGGTTGCAATTCTGTCTCTTGCAAAGGGGACTAATTTGCTCAGTAGGAGAAACTGTGGTATAGATGTTTAACCATGCTATCTCCCAGTTCCTTCTATGATGCATGAAACAGTTATAAGGAGGAAAGGTAATCGAAGTTTTTCCTTGTACATTTAGTCATCATTGATGAACAAATATTATCTTCATAATGTACTTTATTGACTTGAATTCACACCAAGGCACAAATTACATCTGTCTAAGAGAAGAAAGAAAAGTTAGAAGTACTGGATGTCATAAAATGTGCTCTGTGTGTGTGTAGCTTTTTCCTGAGCCCAGCACTGTATCAGTTTGGGGACATATACAGTAATATGCTGTTCTTGTGGTCTGAATTATTGCATCAGGAAAGGATTCTTTGAGCTCAGATCGGGGAGGCTCCAAAACAATCCATCTTCACTAGACAATTTACAGCAGTGCCTAGTAGCAAATTTAAATTCATTCACGTAGGATTTGGTCCATATAGCCAAGTAGATCCTTCTAATGGAGCCACATTGTTTTTATGGTTTTTTTTTTTTTTTTTTTTTTTTCATGTTGCTCCTTTTTTTTTTTATTATACTTTAAGTTTTAGGGTACATGTGCACATTGTGCAGGTTAGTTACATATGTATACATGTGCCATGCTGGTGCGCTGCACCCACTAACTGGTCATCTAGCATTAGGTATATCTCCCAATGCTATCCCTCCCCCCTCCCCCCACCCCACAACAGTCCCCAGAGTGTGATGTTCCCCTTCCTGTGTCCATGTGATCTCATTGTTCAATTCCCACCTATGAGTGAGAATATGCGGTGTTTGGTTTTTTGTTCTTGCGATAGTTTACTGAGAATGATGATTTCCAATTTCATCCATGTCCCTACAAAGGACATGAACTCATCATTTTTTATGGCTGCATAGTATTCCATGGTGTATATGTGCCACATTTTCTTAATCGAGTCTATCATTGTTGGACATTTGGGTTGGTTCCAAGTCTTTGCTATTGTGAATAATGCCGCAATAAACATACGTGTGCATGTGTCTTTATAGCAGCATGATTTATAGTCCTTTGGGTATATACCCAGTAATGGGATGGCTGGGTCAAAATTAACAACCTGATGCTGAGCCTAGAAATAAAATAGGTAAGAAAATTGATTCTGTAATATATCCACATACTCACTTCATCAGCACAATTGTTGAATGCTGACCATATTTATTTAACGATGTGGAAAAAATTGCCTTCCGAACTAGAGATCTAATTTTTCTTTTGTCTCGTAGTAAGCCCCCAGTTCTTTAGTATGAAATGTATGGGATTCATTTTTTTTTTTCAGGTGTTAGTTGCCTTGTCAGAAGGAGGACCCAAAATACTGTAGTTCCCTAGGTACTTGCTCACCATTCTCCGATGCACGTAAGAGAAGGGAGTGAGGGAGAGGGAGATGGAAAGGGAAAAGGAGAGAGAGAGATTGGTTCATTATTTAGATCCTTGGGAATCCCTTGGTGGTTTATTTGTTGTGCAGAGACAGGAAACCAATCCATTCTAAACTTTCTCCTTGTTGGCAGATTTTTCCAAGCTGATGTTTCTCTGCTGACTGTGCACGTCCTCTTAGCATGTGTTTGGTTTTTCAATATCTAGCCATTTCACAAAGAAAAGGACATTTATTTTCAATTAATAAACCACCCCGCAGTTACCCTTTGTTCATAGCCATGGAAATGCTTCTGTGTGTGCAGACGACAGCTTACACATTAAACAACTCTTTCTATCAGCTTCCCAGTTGTCCCAGTTCCTGGCTATGTTTTCCAGGTTGCCTTCTTACTGGCACATTATGCCTGCTTACTAGCAGATCTGCAGAGAAACACCCACATGGTAGTGGGCACATCACATTTCATGTTCATTTACAAACTGAGAATTAATGTCTTTTATTCCCCCAATGCCTTGAGAAGATTTTCATCATTGGTATCTGTAAATTAGGTGACTTACTTTCAGTAGACCTAATGTCTTCCCCTAGAAAGTATAATTACGCTTTGAAAAGAGCCATTCACTGATTTTAGTGAAATGAATTGTTATTTTGAAAACAGTTAGTGCTCTGGCTAATTTCTCTTGTTATGGCAATCTGTGTTTGGAACTCCAGGACTGTGTAGATGCAGAATGAATTGTAAGATCCTGAGAACAGCATTGGCTCTTTCTCATGTCTGTATTTTCATATTGAAAACAGATTTGAGAACATAATAGCCTGAGATGTTGATGCACAGATATAGGTGGAAATAGAGAGATGACCTAGAGAAGCATATTTAAGCTAGGCTGCAGTGATCTAGAGAAAATGTATGTCGGCTGGGCTCAGTGGCTCATGCCTGTAATCCCAGCATTTTGGGAGACTGAGGCAAGTGGATCATGAGGTCAGGAGTTCCAGACCAGCCTGGCCAAAATGATGAAACCCTGTCTCTACTAAAAAATACAAAAATTAGCCAGGCGCTGTAGTGGACGCCTCTAATCCCAGCTATTCGGGAGGCTGAGGCAGGAGAATCGCTGGAACCCGGGAGGCAGAGTTTGCAGTGAGCCGAGATCGTGCTACTGCACTCTAGCCTGGGTCACAGAGCAAGACTCACTCTCAAAAAAAAAAAAAGAAAAAAAGAAAATGTATGTCATTCTCACTGTTCCTTCTGCTGCTTCCTTTAAGTTTTTTCCATTCATTCTAACTCAGCAAGCCAAAATACAACATTCTTTCATTTCTATTATCCTGGGAAAAATGGTTAAAGGACTAAACTAAGATTAGAACACATATAAAAATCAATCCTGATGCTTACAAAAAGAAAGCAAGACTCTAATTCTGAAAAGCTCTGCCAGTGTGAATATAGTGGATGCCACTTGTTTGAGTTAAATATTAAATTTTCCTCCAGGCTGTTCACAGTTCCTTTCTCCAAAATACTTTGTGGGAGGTAGAGATTTTCCCAGCCCAACTGTTCCAACAACATTCTCAACAGAAACAATTCATGATCATTATACAAAATTCACCAAATACAGAAATGTACAAATATGAAAATTAAAACTGCCATATCCCAACCATTCATGAATCACTGAAACATTGTACTGTATGTCATTCCAGTTTTATTCTATAGATAAATGTGACTACCAATCCATCCATCCTTTGTCTGAATCAGAGCCTCAGATTCATTTATAATTTGATGGGATATTGTATTAGTCTGTTCTCATGCTGCTAATAAGGACATACCCGAGACAGGGTAATTTATAAAGGAAAAAGGTTTAATTGACTCATAGTTCCACATTGCTGGGGAGGCCTCACAATCATGGTGGAAGGTGAATGAGGAGCAAAGTCACATCTCACATGTCAGCAGGCAAGAGCACTAGTGCAGGAAAACTCCCATTTATAAAACCATCAGATCTCAGGAGACTTACTCAGGACCATGAGAACAGTATGGGGGAAACCGCCCTAGTGATTCAATTATTTCCACCTGGCCCTGCCCTTGACACCTGGGGATTATTACAATTCATGGAGAGATTTGGGTGAGGACACAGCCAAACCACATCAGATGTTTATATACTAAAAATTAAATATTATACTAGTTTAAAACTTATGAAGTTCTACCATAAAAGTTGGTAGACTTATTGTATATAAATTAGGGATTATAGACAAACCATTTATCTATTATCTAGATATTAAGTACCTTTATTAAAATATAGTTATAAAATTTATAAATGATATAATAAGGAACAAAGGGGCTAAGTGATAGTGTCCCAATTACACAGTGAATATTTAGGAAAAACAAGCTAGAAATCATAGTCTCAGAGCCTACATCTATGTTCAGACACTCAGAAATCTGGTTGAAAGGGTTGAAATCTGTGATTGCCATTAAGATTCATTTTGAGGTCTAGCGATATATTTTTTAAATGTTCTGTATTTGATGTTTTTCAAATTGCAAATGATAGTTCATACTTTTTTAAAAAGTAAATGTACTAATAGAAAATAAAGGTGTAAAGGGCAAAACTACACATCTCAGGGCCACCATATATGGTTGGGAAAGTTCTGCGTTGCAGAAGGGCATAACAGCTCATGCGGTTCCTGTCATGGCAGACAGTGAAGATTTTTATATTTATTACAGTAATTTTTTAGTAGATGACAGTATATTATGACAATGTTCCAACAGAGAGAAATAAAGTGTCTTGAGTAAGGGGTATCTTTAATTGGCAGCATCTCTGGTTACTCTCCAAACCCATGTCCTTTCGTTGACTTTTTTTTTTTTTTTTTTTTGAGACGAAGTCTTGCTCTGTCACCCAGGCTGGAGTGCAGTGGCGCGATCTCGGCTCACTGCAAGCTCCGTCTCCCAGGCTCACTGCAAGCTCTGCCTCCCAGGTTCACGCCATTCTCCTGCCTCAGCCTCCCCAGTAGCTGGGACTACATCGTCGCATTCTTATATTGCTGAATCAATAATATCTGACAGAAATCGTCTAAGTCGACTGATGTTTTCAATGGAGGTGTCCTATCTCTTATACAACTTATGATGTGAACTTGAAAGGCCTAATGGGATATAGTAGCTACTGATAGCTCATATTTCAAGCAACCATGTACATAAAATCATCAGAATTTTAATTTTGCCATGTAATTCAGTGGAACATTTCTGTAATCGATGCTCATGTTAATGTTAGAGAAAAGCATTGCCTCATCTTGAAATACTTTCTAAACTTTCGAAGAAAGGTTAAATTATATTCAAGATTTGTGTAGTGTTGGATTTTTTTTTTGGTTATGCTCTTTGAAAATGGTTGATCTATTGCTTATATGTGCAATGAGTCTTTGTTTGTTTGTTGGTTGGTTTGTTTTTGACACATGGTCTTGCTCTGTCGCCCAGGCTGGAGTGCAGTGGCATAATCTCGGCTCACTGCAATCCCTGCCTCTCAAGCTCAAGCGATCTCCCACTCAGCCTCTCAAGTAGCTGGGACTACAAGCATGCACACCTCCACACCCAGCTAATTTTTGTATTTTTTTTGTAGAAATGGGGTTTCATCATATTGCCCAGGCTGGTCGCGAACTCCTGGGCTCAAGCAATCGGCCCACCTTGACCTCCCAAAGAGCTGAAATGAGAGGTGTGAGCCATTGTGCCCAGCCTGTGCAATGAGTCTTTATTGGAATAAATTAAATTACATATTTATATGGGGCTTCAAAACATCTTCCCATAACCTTGGTATTTGATCTTTGCAACTGCAACAATATAAGGCAGGAAGTGTCAGTTTCCCAGTTTCCCTGTAGAGGAAGAAGCATTGGCTTAGTACTGTGGTTTGAATGTCCTCTCCAAAACTCATGTTGAAACTTAATCCCCAATGTGGCAGTATTGAGAGGTGGGCCTTTACGAGGTGATTGGTTATGAGGGCTTGGCCTTCATGGATGGATTAATCCATTCTTCAATTAATGGGTTAATGGATTAATGAGTTATCATGGGAAGGGAACTGGTGGCTTATAAGAAGAGGAAGAGAGTGCTAAGTGGGCACATGGGAGCACCCTCAGCTCCCTCTCCATGGGATACCCTGTGGGGCACTTCAGAGTCCCCACCAGCAAGAAGGCTCTCTCTCACCAGATGTGCCCCCCGCCAACCTTGGATGTCTCAGTCTCCAGAACTGTAAGACATAAATTTTGTTTCTTATAAATTATCCAATTTCAGATAGTCTCTTATAAACATTCAAAAACAAACAAAGACATTTTGAGAGGATGAGTATCTTGCTCAAGGCCCTGTGATCACAAAGATGCAGGGCCAGTTGGGTACTCAGTCTTTATAGGGCCCCACAGTGCTTTAGAGGGGAAATAATAAGAACCCACCATTTTCTGACCACCCTAATTAATTGGGGATTTGCTCTGCTTTGGATACTATAAAAGATACCAGTACAGCTCATGGGATCAATGTCCTCTTCTTCGCTAGAGGAGTCCCTTGCTGTGATTCTCTTGGATACATTTTAGGACTTTCTTCCGTGTTTCTCAAATGCCATAGGAACGCATTTGCTTCCACTTTCTGCCCTATCCCACCGATCTCCTTCCTACCTCTCACACACATTTGAAAGGCTGAATGAGTCTACTAATGATTTTAGTGACTGAAATGCAATCTAATAGAATAATAGACTATTAATTAACATCAATAAATAATGTACTTTTGTTCAAGTTTACAGTTATAGTGGTTTATAGCTACCAGCACTTTACAGTTTACAAAAACCCTTTCCTTCATTAACATCTAAAAATAATCTCCTGTTGGATTGGATAGATCTGACTTTAGTTAAGCCTCATGATTTTAGCTTTCTGGAGTGGGGAGAGGGGCATATACTTTAGAATAAAACCATTTCAGTAAGGTGTGATGAAATTAAACTTAGGTCACGGTGTTTAGTTAACATCTCAGGAACACCACCACCAATGAAAAGCAAAGCCTTCTTCCTTTTAAATTAAATAATGAATAGTTGGATATTTTTGTTAGGAGCTGGTGGGTTAGGTAACTGCACTTATTTACATTTTAGAATTACAGGCTAAAGACTAATTAACTGGTTAGAGCATATGCAATGGACCGTGGCAGTCTGCAAAGATTAACAAATTAATTAGTTATTTCCATCCGTT
The DNA here is from genome assembly GCF_000001405.40 of Homo sapiens. Classification (NCBI taxonomy): domain Eukaryota; kingdom Metazoa; phylum Chordata; class Mammalia; order Primates; family Hominidae; genus Homo; species Homo sapiens. The sequence continues at coordinate 219,556,213 of NC_000001.11, read as the reverse complement.
ACAATTTTATTCTTTTCCTTGGAAATGAGTGGCCTGTTGATTTCAGCCTTTAAAAGTTTCAGAGCAGGGCTGTTCATTCAGCTTTCTGAATGGCTGAATAGAACAATAAGATTGTGTAACAACTGGGACACGTCAGTGCCTTCGTCAGGGGATAATGTAAGCTATAGAAAGCCCTTTTCATCTTTTAGCAAGGGCCCATTATTCCTATGTATCTCTCTTCTCTGCTTTATGAAAAGGTTTGTACAGTAAATAATGACCAACTATGTAGTAGTTCTTTCTTCTTTTGCCAAGCTCTTTTTAGCTTTGGCAGCAATTTTGTTTTCCCTGTCATCATCTAATGTCTATTTATTTTACATTGCTACAAAGCCAGTGAAATTCCCTTATAAATCCCAGGTCATGAAGATGAAGCAGCAATTCGATTCCTTTTATTAAACGTCTCCAGTGTCCTCTGCTTTTTCTAATTAGGTTCAAAGTGGTCAGTGGCTTAAAAAGCCTCTGGGCAGGAATCAAATCTGTTTGAACAACGCATTCCTAAAGGCCATGCATATTAGATCCTTGGATTTAATTAGAGGAGAGGTATCAAAACTCAGATACTCTCTGGATGCATTTAGGATTGTCACCGAAAGGTCCTGTTTCTACACAGGCTATTTGACCAAATTCCTCTCCTCCCTTTGGCTCTCCCTCCCCTCAACATACAATAGACATTAGGTATTCAGAGCCTGGGGCTATTACTCACCACTGGTTCTCAGAGGCTGCAGTTTTCTTTTGTCAGCATTGCCACAGCATGAAGGTGAGAACAAGAAGCTCTGAAACTGAAGAGAAAAAGATAAAAGGAAAAGTATGCAGGAGAAAAGAGAGGCTCTTTAACTGCTCTGTCAACTCGATTTCTCTCCTCTGCCCCAGGCGTGTTCTGAAGATGGATGGGCGTAGGTACAGGTGGTACATGACAGCAGCTGTGATTTCCATCTGGGTACCATTTAGGAGCAGATAGATTTTTCAGGCCATAGTCTCTTTCAATTGTTGTGGTTAGAGAGCGAAAGTGAGAGGCCCACTGTGTTTTCTTCCACCTCAGGTGCTATTGTTCCAAACCATTGTTTCTCCCAGGGTTGGCTTGCTATCAAAGAAGAGAATTAGAAGGGAATTATTTGATTGTGGGGTGAGTGAATGCGAGAGTTAACTGATGAGAGGTGGTGGAGCTCAGACGCAAACCATCTCATGGAATACATTAGATATTAGATTTATCCAACACGTACTCCTCATATTGTCTATTTCCCTCCTTCTAAGCTATAAGACTGTCAGGGGACACGGTGCTCTTCTGGGGAGTAATGTACACATTTGTGTCTGTGCAGTGCTAAAACAACTGGTTGAACTGTGAAAAATTCAGTACATTAACTAAAGCTCATTTTTGGTTGTGCTAAGAAACCAGCTTCTCTTTTACCTCTATGACAGAATTGACAGGTGTCTACATGTGATGCCAGGACAACCACCCCAGCCAATGGGTTCTTCCCAACAAAAACATTTTTAAAATATTACATATCTGAAAATATTTTAAGTACGCTATTTGATCAAATTTTTTCTTAAGTCTAACTTGCTATTTTTTTAAATTGAACATTTGTGTTTTTTAACCAGCTGTATCAGTGTGACATGGGCATGATAGAATTAAATAATTGTTTTGGAGTAAATTTTCTCTATAGTTTGTTCTCTATGTCTTTTCAACTCACCTGTCAGGGACATCTATAAGAGTCAGGCTGTTTTCTGCTCTTCACAGATGTTTTTAGGGGTGAAAGTTGGTGATTTTCCATCAACTAAAAATGCTTTTTGTCAAAGAGACAGCACCAATGATGTGCTCAAGGGCCTAGTTCTTCATGTGATTTGGATTTGAGACCCGAGGTGTTTCACAAGCATTCACAAGAATTAGCAAATCTGATCGAGGGAGAGATTGCAATATCTTTTCTGGCAAACCAAGCTCCTTTTTCTTTGTTAATATGGACATTTTCCAATGTTGACCCAGATTCTTCAGCTTTCCTAATGTATTCAAGGTCAATGCTTCTATCCCTAAGGAAAAACCATTCGTGAGAGCCATGATCAAGGTTGATTTTATTTTGCCCCCTAGTTGACTGCCCTTTTACCTCCCAAAATCCAGAAAATAAAGTAAGAACATGTTGGTAAATATGATGAAAGAGTACTTGATTCTTGCATTGAGTTTTAGAAGGAAGAATTCCTGGGCAGGGGGAAGCTAAGAGTGAGGTGGTGATGGTGGATGAGGTTAGGGGGTTAGCAGTTACATAAACAGAACATCTGGAGCTGTGATCCAGGGTTTTTTTAAGAAGTCATGCCAAAAAAAGTAAAAATAAACAGTTGTAATTAATTTTAACAATAAATTTTGTTTAACTTAATACAGTATATCCAAAATAATATCATTTGGACATGTAATTAATATAAAATTATTAATGAGATATTTAATCTTCTTTTGTTGTACTAAATCTTCAAAATCTTGTGCATTTTTTGCATTTATAGCACATTCCTCAGTAGCAATGTGAGGCTAATGGCTACTGTACTGGACAGTATAGATCTGGTGTGAACAGGTAAAGGAGAACTAGTTTTCACTGAGCACTTTCTATGTGCAAGGCATTATAGTAGTTACTAATATAGATTATGGTTAGCTTTCATAACCACCCTGGGAGGTGCTTATTATTTCCATTTTACAGAAGAATGGATGTAGCCATAACATTTATTATCCAAACTGGGGCCCTTTCAGAATGATAAGGCAACTTTTATTAATTATCAAGGGACAACAGGTATAGCTTGTACTGTACCAGGAAAAGTGGAAGGAATGGTCACCCTAGATGGGAAAAGAGGCTAGAATAAATTAACTAACATGCTCAAGATCCTAAAGCTCATAAATGGCAGCATGTTTTAAGATTTAAAGCCACATCTATTTGTGTCAAAAGCTCATGCTTAGAACGAGACTCCAGTATTTTTTCTAGATTTCTCCCTTGATGATTTGGTTAACCATTCTAACTTAGAAGTATTGGTCTCAAAATCTGTTGACAGCCTGGTTTTCCATTAAGCAAAAAACAAACAAGACAAACAAACAAAAAAACAACTTAGAGTCTACCTCTGTTCTTAGAAAGGCCCTTCCAAGGAAACAGAACTTACACAGAGGTTGACTACACACCTGTCATTTTTAGCAGAGCTTAGACCCCTTAGCTGTGTTATTTGGTGGCAGGTGGGAGTGTGGTGGAGATTGCAGGCAATTTTCTCTCAATGCTCTGGTTCACCCCATTGCTTTCCCTGTTGGAAAACATATCACTGGAATCTGTTTACAGACTTGTAAGAGGGCCAGAAATGAATATAGGAAACAAAAACATCATGCCCTATTCTGGGAAAACTGTTACTCTGTTCACAACAATTCTGACACCAAATGTGTGTTTTTTTTTTTTTTCCATACCAAGCAATTCAAGTCCCTGGACACCAACCATGTGTCCTACAACTCAATTCAATACTAACTCTCATTATGTGGAGTTAGCACAGACCTCACAGGTTAAGGGCTCAGCCCCACAAGACTGCCCCCGTTCACTTTAGATGCCAATTGCAAGTCTGGATCACTTGTACTTCTGACTGATCTTGAGGTCTTAATCAGGGATTCTCATAACCCTTTCCTTGGTTTGCTAATTTGCTAGAATGGCACACAAAACTCAGGAAAACATTTACTTATATTTACCAGCTCATTGTAAAGAGTATTATAAAGGATATGGATGAACCAAATGAAAAGGTACATAGGCTGAGGTCCAGAAGAATCGTGAGTACAGGAGCTATTGTCCCTGTGATGTTGTGAATAACAAAGACACTCCTATCACTCAGGAAATTCCAAGGGTTTTAAGAGCTTTGCACCAGAAACTGGAGACAAAGACCAAATATATTTCTTATTAGAAATATTATAATTATACACCTACTTTCTCCATCTCCCTTTAGCTCCCCAGAATAATAAGACTTTCTTCATCTCCAATGTAAGCAAGTGGGTTCTCTGGTCCTTGGTCAGCATTTCTCCATTTGCCTGACTGTTCTGAGATGATCTCTTCCTCAGAAATACATTCATTGTCTCCTTTAAGTGATGCCAGAGCTAATGATGACCATAGGAAATCAAGATACAACAGAAGGAAGGTCTGGGACCGTTAATGTAAAGCCAGCATTTATTGAGTGATTACTATGTGCCAGACACTGCTTTAATTGTTTTGTATCTTTAACATGTTTAATCCCAACAACAAGTCTATGGTACGGGAACTATAATTATCCTCATTTTACAGATAAGGAAGCTGTCTCAGAGAGATTGGGTAACTTGTTCGGTGTCACCTTGCCAATATTACATATTAATGCCAAAACTGGGTCCCAAACCCAGAGCTGGCTAAGTACAAAGCACTCACATTACATTATGTAAAAATATGATTATGTAGAAATCAAACTCACCTCTATTACCAAGGGCATTACTTGGAAATATTGTATTGTATATTTGCCTTGATATACTATTATATCTTTCTTATCCTGAGATTCCCTGAAGAATATATGGCTACCAAATTGAATGAGAAGGGTGATTTTTTTGGTTTGTGGTTGGGTTTCCCATAATGGGACAAGTTCCTTGGTATGTTTGTATAAAAATTTGGGGCACTGTTAAGTAGATGGATCAAGAAGAGCCTGAGCAGCTTCTCAGTATAACTGGCAAACTTAATTTAAGATAAAACATTACTGTCCTGTCTCTCTCTATTTCTCAGTTATGCCCATATTTGAACATTTTAGAGGTTGACGAGCAGTGCAAGTTTTTCTTATTTACGTTCTGCTTAGTAGGGTAGCCTCATCTAAGCTGTATGACTATACATGTTTACCATGAAATGCCAGAAGGCTGTTTTCAGGTGGAATTAAGAAAATGTGATCCAATATTTAAAAAGGAGAACAATTCCCATGCATTTGTTATCGTGATGCAGGGGGTACCCAGGTGAAGTTGAATACCTGAGCTCTTCCTCTCTCCTGTTCTGGAATAGTACCTTATTGGACCCTCTAAAGCACAAAGAAAAGATTTGAGTAGAATGATAATAACCAGATTTATTGTTTATATTAGACATATTTTAGAATAGCCTGTGACTTTAATATGAATGGTTTGATATTAAGTTTTATATTCTAATTGCCATAAAAAATTGCTCTTTCCCTAAGGCAGAAACAGCCAAGATCCTATCTGTTCTTTGTGTTAATTGTTGATAATGAGCATAAGACATAAAATGGCAGACACTGACCAAACTCACAGATTGTCCCCAGATAGAGAAGGGCTGGGTCTTCATTAGACTGTAAAAGTAGAAGTTTAGATCCATTGACAAGCAGCAGCTGGCAGGGCGTTTCCAGCTTATGCTCCTAAATAGCACAAGGTGGGTCTGCAGAATGTTATTGCCAAGTACCCCCTGAAAATAAATGCAATAATCTTCCTCATGTTCAACCTTTGTAGCAACCATAGGGCTGGGGAAAAAATAAAATAAAAATTGCATTTATAGGCCTGGAAAAAATAGGGGCGGATTATCTCTCTCATAAAACCCAACTTCTAGACCTGAAATTGTATTTCTTCCAGACTAATATTTCAGTTTATCTTTGATCATTATAAATTATTCTTTTTCTGTTTCTTTCTTTTTAAAGTCCTGGTTGAGAAAGTAGTTGGCAGTCCTTTCCATTGCAGCTTAAATGGACTTATTTGTTGAAAAATACTCAAAAGTAAAAATTCTAGAGTGCTTCCCATTACACTCCTCTGAACCCACCAAGATTGCTGCATGGAGCTGTCTGTGTAAAATTATGGGCAGAGTCGGGTAACCACCTCTGGCTCCAGACTCAACTTTCCATAGCTCTCAATGCCAAATACGTTTGCTTACTCAGATTTTCACTTGAATCATAATCTTTTTTTTTCTTTTTTTCTCTGTGGGTGATTCCAAGTTATGAGGAGATGGCTGGGCAACATTAGGGGTAGGGGTCTGAGAAAAGGCCACCTGGAGGGGGATAGGGGAGCTGGGGGGAAGGTGGCCAGGTCCTTAAGCCTTTCAGGTTGGAGAGATGATCTTCTCAGTGGGATTACTGGAGACTTCAGCAGTAAAAGCCTCCTTTCACAGTGTGGATACGTGGGTGCGTTATCAATGATAATGAAGAATAACTTCAACAGTGGAAAGTTACTTTTAGAGTCAGCGGAGGTCCTGATGGACTCTCATAAACACAGCTACTCTTCTAGCAGACTACAGCGGTGATGGATAACATCTCTCTTCCCCGTGTCTCTTGCAGCTTCCATATCTTCCTGAGGCATTGCAGCCTAAATTGGAACTCTGGAGCAGGAAGCTTGGTGATTCATTTTATTATTAGTAGTAACAATTCTAATAAATAAATTACTAACAATAATAAAACAATCACTAACATTTAAAACTTTATGGTTTACAAAGCATTTTCTCATTCATTATCTCATCTGAGATAATGGCTATGTGTCACAATACTCCTACCCCAGAGAGGACTTTCAATGTACTTGTTTTCAGATCAAAGGAGAGGTTTCCCCCCAGCCCCTGGGAGTGGTGGTGAAGTGAATCTCTAAGGGTACTAGCCTGGCCACCCTGGAGAACACAGAAGGGAAAAGGGGGGAATCAAAGAGAAAACAGTGGGTTTGATACCATTATGTGAAAGAGCTTTGTTTCTTCCCCATATATTTTTAACTGAACCCTTGGGACTTGGGGAGGTGGTTGGATGATCACATGCTTTTTGAATGCCTTATTGTGTTTGAAACATAAAGCTGCTTCATAAAAAGTTTGTATTGTGAAATGTCAGGTTTTTGGCATGTATCATATTTGTCAAATGAGGTTATATAAGCTGAGCTTTCCAGCATGGCCTCCCCTTGTCTAGCACTGGAGAAAAGGTTCCTAGAGAAAAGCCTAAGCCAGGTAAAGCCAGGTTGTGCTGAGTTTCCAAAGTTCTGAAAAACCACTCAGAAAGGAAATCTTTGGAAAGGGAAACTACTGAATCCTAGAAAACAAACTAGGACATACAGAAAGTTTGTATGCTTTTGAACTATCAGGAAGAAGGAGGGTGATTGATCATAAATTGCTAGTGAGTCCAGGTAGGGAAGAGTCAGATCATTTTTGTATCTTGTAGATGGAGCATCAGTTGATTAACTGCATTCTTCATTCTAACCACCCCTTCCTCTCCCCACAAAGTCAATCCACTGTTTATTGAATAAGTAAATCTTCTAGGCAAACTTCAGTGGTGAATTAGCAAATGGAATACATGATAAAGTATCCCAAACTGAAAGTAAGATCAGGTAGTGATCTGGGGTGCAAGCACTTGCTTGCTGGCTTGTGTTGAGTTTAATGAAAATAGGATTAAAGTGAGAAAAGTCACAGACAGACTTTTGCAAGAGACCACAGCCTGTGTTTCCTCACCTGCTATGCCAAAACAAAATCCTAGTTTATTCTTGGTTGCACAGTTCCCAGAGTGACACAGAGTGGAGCTGAGCCCCCCATTGTTGTTCCCTGGGTTAATTCCATCAGTCAAAATAATCTGGGGACTATGTAAAAGGGTGAGCTGCAACAGATATTGCTCTTTATTGCATTAACTCTGATTGCATTAACAATTTCCTCAAATCTGATTCTGTCTTAGGTCTGATTCTCCTAGGTACCAATCAAGCTGCTTGTTTGTTCCCCTGCATTAATCCTCACCCTTTAGGTTTACCTGCTGGTAGGTGCTGCAAGGCCTCCTCTCAGTCCCCATTTCCATAGCACCCCCTCAAGCTGCCCTACAATCTCTGCCGCTGATCCAGCATGTCACTCTCTCACTAAGCTGAGTCCATTAGCTCTTGTGGGAACTGAAAGTCTCCTATTCCAAATCCAAGAAGATTTCTGTCACTGTGATACGGTTTGGCTGTGTCCCCACCCAAATCTCACCTTGAATTGTAAGAATCCCACATGTCAAGGGCAGGGCCAGGTGGAGATAATTGAATCATGGGAGTGGTTTCCCTCATACTGTTCTCACTGTACTGAATAAATCTCATGAGATCTGATAGTTTTATAAATGGGAGTTCCCCTGCACACACTTTCTTGCTTGCAGCTATGTAAGACATGACTTTGCTCCCCATTCACCTTCCACCATGATTGTAAGGCCTCTCCAGCCATGTGGAACTGTGAGTCCATTAAACCTCTTTCCTTTATAAATTACCCAGTCTTGGTTATGTCTTTATTAGCAGCGTGAGAAGAGACTAATATACATCGTGTCCCCTTTACCCACTATAATGGAGAAGGAAGGGGAAAAGAAGGCAACCATCAATTTCTAGGTGATAGGCAAAGAAGAAAGTTATAATAGAAAATGTCTTCTCAGTTGCAGTAATTCTGTGTGTATGCTTATTGCTTGAATAATAATAAATAAGGACTAGTTGATTAGCTGTGTTGATAGGATCATATCATGTTTCTTGGGGCACTTAGTAAAGAAGGAGGTTGGGCCCAATCAAATAGAGATGGAAAAGATACAAAATATTCAGACAAAAAAACATAGGCACGAAGGCAGATAAATACAAAAACCACAACACTGCACACTGAGAAAGGTGGATTCGGGTTAGTGCTGGTGGGTTGGAGGAAGATCAATAAGAATGAAGCAATGCTCCCCAGCAGATGACCAACTTGAGATATGTTTTAAAAGGAGTGGTGTGATTTGGCGAATATTAAGGCCTCGTGCACAGTCTAAAAATCGATTCCACATTCTCGGTGCCTTTTACAGGGTGTTCGCACTAAAAGTGGTGTGGTGTATTTGTTTCCAGGCAAAATTCAATTTAAAAGCAGGAATAATTGAAAACATCATTTTGAATGATGTGATTCTAAAAATGGAATAAAAAAATGTTGACAAGCCTTCTGAGCTCTCACCACTCTCGCCTTCTTGACTGCAAGAGGAACTTCTGAAGACTTAGATTTCTTTTGTTATCTGAGACACTTTATAATTCCTTTTAAAAGTGTGCATATGTGCTGAACTAAGCCACGGTTACCTTCAACTCCTAGGCCAGTAAGCCAGTCAATTAACAAATGCTTAAGTCTGCCTTCTAAACACTTACAGTTAAGTTTTAGCAAGTTGAGGATCCACCCATTAAGAAATTGTCTTTGATGCACTTAATGACTACCTATAGGCCTAGCCATTTAAGACATCAGACCCAGAACTACTGTCTTGTTCTAGTCTCAGACAGGACTTTTGTTGCCCAAACTACTCTTTTGTTAGTGAGGAAAAACACTGCCTCAATGGATCTAGGACATAAATTTTTTTTTTTTTTCTGTTCATAGAACTTTATTTATTTATTTTTTTATTGATCATTCTTGGGTGTTTCTCGCAGAGGGGGATTTGGCAGGGTCATAGGACAATAGTGGAGGGAATGTCAGCAGATAAACAAGTGAACAAAGGTCTCTGGTTTTCCTAGGCAGAGGACCCTGCGGCCTTCCGCAGTGTTTGTGTCCCTGGGTACTTAAGATTAGGGAGTGGTGATGACTCTTAACGAGCATGCTGCCTTCAAGCATCTGTTTAACAAAGCACATCTTGCACTGCCCTTAATCCATTTAACCCTGAGTGGACACAGCACATGTTTCAGAGAGCACAGGGTTGGGGGTAAGGTCACAGATCAACAGGATCCCAAGGCAGAAGAATTTTTCTTAGTACAGAACAAAATGAAAAGTCTCCCATGTCTACTTCTCTCTACACAGACACGGCAACCATCCGATTTCTCAATCTTTTCCCCACCTTTCCCGCCTTTCTATTCCACAAAACGGCCATTGTCATCATGGCCCGTTCTCAATGAGCTGTTGGGTACACCTCCCAGACGGGGTCGTGGCCCGGCAGAGGGGCTCCTCACTTCCCAGTAGGGGCGGCCGGGCAGAAGCGCCCCTCACCTCCCGGATGGGGCGGCTGGCCGGGCGGGGGGCTGAACCCCCCACCTCCCTCCCGGACGTGGCGGCTGGCCGGGCAGAGGGGCTCCTCACTTCCCAGTAGGGGTAGCCGGGCAGAGGCGCCCCTCACCTCCCAGTAGGGGTAGCCGGGCAGAGGCGCCCCTCACCTCCCGGATGGGGCGGCTGGCCGGGCGGGGGGCTGACCCCCCCATCTCCCTCCCGGACGTGGCGGCTGGCCGGGCAGAGGGGCTCCTCACTTCCCAGTAGGGGTAGCCGGGCAGAGGCGCCCCTCACCTCCCAGTAGGGGTAGCCGGGCAGAGGCGCCCCTCACCTCCCGGACGGGGCGGCTGGCCGGGCGGGGGGCTTACCCCCCCACCTCCCTCCAGGACGGGGCCGCTGGCCTGGCGGGGCTGACCCCCACCTCCCTCCCGGACGGGGTGGCTGCCGGGCAGAGACGCTCCTCACTTCCCAGACGGGGTGGCTGCCGGACGGAGGGGCTCCTCACTTCTCAGACGGGGCGGTTGCCAGGCAGAGGGTCTCCTCACTTCTCAGATGGGGCGGCCGGGCAGAGACGCTCCTCACCTCCCAGACGGGGTCCCGGCCGGGCAGAGGCGCTCCTCACATCCTAGACGGGGCGGCGGGGCAGAGGCGCTCCCCACATCCCAGACGATGGGCGGCCGGGCAGACACGCTCCTCACTTCCTAGATGGGATGGCGGCGGGGAAGAGGCGCTCCTCACTTCCTAGATGGGATGGCGGCCGGGCAGAGACGCTCCTCACTTTCCAGACTGGGCAGCCAGGCAGAGGGGCTCCTCACATCCCAGACGATGGGCGGCCAGGCAGAGACGCTCCTCACTTCCCAGATGGGGTGGCGGCCGGGCAGAGGCTGCAATCTCGGCTCTTTGGGAGGCCAAGGCAGGCAGCTGGGAGGTGGTTGTAGCGAGCCGAGATCACGCCACTGCACTCCAGCCTGGGCACCATTGAGCACTGAGTGAACGAGACTCCGTCTGCAATCCCGGCACCTCGGGAGGCCGAGGCTGGCAGATCACTCGCGGTTAGGAGCTGGAGACCAGCCCGGCCAACACAGCGAAACCCCGTCTCCACCAAAAAAATAGGAAAACCAGTCAGGCGTGGCGGCGCGTGCCTGCAATCGCAGGCACTCGGCAGGCACTCGGCAGGAGAATCAGGCAGGGAGGTTGCAGTGAGCCCAGATGGCAGCAGTACAGTCCAGCTTTGGCTCGGCATCAGAGGGAGACCGTGGAAAGAGAGGGAGAGGGAGACTGTGGGAGAGGGGAGAGAGGAGAGGGGAGAGGGGAGAGGGGGGAGGGGAGAGGGGAGAGGGCGGGAGCCGGATCTAGGACATAAATTATCTGCCTGTATTAATAATTTCCTCCTCCTACTTCCCGATCAGCTTTGGGATGCTCCTGATGTTCTTACCTAAATTGTTCCTCCTCTATCAGGATAAGACCTGGAATACTCACAGATCTCACAATTATACCGTTGCTCAGGCTCGAAACCTTGGATTCAACATGATCTCTTTCTCTCCCAGATTAAATCTGGCCAATTAAATCCTGCTTGTCCCACCTTCTTGGTGCTCTTAAATTCATCCCTCTTTTCATCTGCAGGAATGTCTTTAGCTTTTCTTAGGTAGATTACTCCAATTACCCTCAAGTTGAATTCTTTCCTCTTTCTAATCCATTATCCACACTGCCGCCCAAGTTAACTTTCTTCAATGCAGATCTGTTTAAAAGCCATCAAGGGCTCCTTATCACCTTCAGAATAAATATCAAATTCTTCATTAAAGCCTACAAGGTCCTTTATGGTCTGCTCTTTCCCTAACTGTCAGTTCTAATTTTTTCGTGTACTTTCCTGTTCTCTTTTATAAAGCCAGATGGCACTAACGTGCTTGTCCTATAAAAGGGTCATGGTTTCAAGCCTCTGGGTTTTAAATCCAACTGTTTCCCATGAAATGCCTCTTCCTTAGCCCTTTGCCCATCTTGTCTGCTTAATGACCCTTACTTGTCCTTTAGCAATCAACACAAGTCCATCTTCCTCTGGGAAAACCTTCTGCACATCCCTGTGACAAGTAGGTGCTCTAACTCCCTGCTGCCTGTGCTCACCCAGCAGTCTGCCTACCAACTAGTATAACATTTTCACACAGTTTGTTAATTGTTCATCTCTTATCTGTGTCTTCTTAGGGACATTAACTGGCTTAAAAAGAGAACTTGGATTTTGTTTGCATACTTATCCATAGTACCTAGCACTTGTCAGAGTAAATGTATATAGTGTGCATAAGTAAATCATTTGCAGGTGAGGCTCTGCCAATTTCTATGAAATATAAAATTTTCTCCATGTTTATATCTTTGATTGGACAAACCCAAGCCTCTTCTGGCATTTGCTTTGGAGATAGGTCATGGGAGCAGAAGCTCTTATAACCCCACCCTGGTTTGAAAAGCTGGAGTCAGTTTGGAGTTCCACAATGACCCTTGGACTTCCACAGACCTCAAATATTTTACTTAACTTTACCAATTATTTGATTAATGCTATAAAGTTTCAAAATACTTTCACAAGTAATATCTATTTTCACCCTCACTTGAAATATCTGGGAGCAAGTGAGCAGATATATTCATAATCCACACTTGAGGGATGAGAAAGCTGAAGCTCAAAATAGTTATTTAACCTGCTTGAGGTCACACAGTGGGTAAATGAGAACCTACAGCCACTCAGCTCAGGCTAGGTGTTAGTATCCAACTGCTACTTAACAAATTACCACAAACTTAGTGGCTTCAAACAACAGATGTTTACTATCTCATCATTTCCTTGGATCCTCTGCTTGAGGTCTCAAAGTGCTGAAATCAAGGTGTCACCTGGTTTGGTTTTTATCTGGACCTCAGGGTTCTCTTCCAAGCTTATTCATACTGTTGGCAGAATCCAGCTTCTTGTGGTTATAGGAAATGAGGTCCTGTTTTCTTGCATGCAGTTATCCAGGCATTGTTCTCAGAGAATAAGTCAACGACTCACGTCTAAAACATGTGGCCTTATCACAATATGGCAACTTACTCCCTCAAAGTAAGTAGGAGAATCTCTCTCTGGTCTGTTAAAATGGAATCTTGTAGAATATAACCTAATCAGAGGGGTGACTATCCCGTCATATTCGTAGGTCCTGCCCACTCTGAAGGAAGGTGATTGTACAGGACATATGCACCTGGAAACAGAGACCTTGGGCACATCTTAGAATTCCACCTTCCCTGGGCCTGATGTCATCATTGCATTAGGCTGAGACTCCAAGGACCTGCCAATATCCCAGTCATAGAATGTGCCACTGAAAAGTTGCCATCTGCTCTGTGGTCTTAGTTTGGATAATTTCGTGCTGAAAGAAAAATCATTATTGTATGTCCTGTGGGTAGTTTTTGTTTGGGTAATTATTATCCTTTGGAATTTGTGACCTGAGAAGTGTTGATAGTTGGAGACTATTTTGACTTTTCTCTGCCTAGGAATACTTCAACTAAACATCCCAGATAGTCACTAGAAATTAATGTCCAGGAACAACCGGGCTTTAGAATCTCAACTTTTCAGTTTTCTTTGTGCAGACTTCAGCTGAAGAAATACAGATGGTCACTGCAAGCCTGGCCCTTGGAATAGAGACCTCTGCTAGATGGTCAGTTGAGAGTGTTTTTTCTCAAATTAGATTATGTCATCCAAGGAGTTTGAGGAGTCCAGAGTCCACCAAGGATCTAAGCTTTCTAGTTTTTCGGTCTTGTGTTTGGGATGGGAGGCAGCCGGGCATTTGCCTTTGGGCAATTTGTGCCTTCTGTGCTTTTGTGGGTAAAAAGTGTCTATTGCTTGCTTTTTTGAGGTAGCTTTTTAATAATTTCTCTCGGTGTATGTTGCTGTGTTTGATCGGGTATGGTGATAGAAAAGAGTAGTAACATGGGACTTTGGGGGTGTTCACCTTAATCTTGGCATATAGATTCATAAATATAGACTAGGGTGATAGCTCCTTTTCTTCCTGGAGTTCAACTCAGACATCTTTGCTTACAAAAAGCCAGAGCAGCTATTGTTTAATTTTTTTCATTAGGAAACTCACCAAATGTTTTGGCCTTAAATTCTCTATTTCTTCAAGCCACCTGGAAAACACCACAAGCTGCAAGGAAACATTAACCCACTAAATTAGTCACACACAAAAATGTATGTATGAAGTCTCTCTTGACCCAGTTCTTTCTACTTGCTTTTTTCATTCCACCAATCAGGTTTTATTTACTTTCATAGAAAAATGGAGCCTTTTGATTACTTGCTTTTGTTGCAACTTCCATCTAAGTTTATGCCCACTAGGTCATGCCAGTAGACACTGATACCAACATGCTACATGCATGAGCATTCAACATCTGCATGATAACCGTGTTCAGTGTTGTAGGCTCTGAAGTATAATGCAGACCACATTGTGCAGCTCTGGAAATTTGGGATCAGGATACTTCTGACTTAGTGCGACGTATTTACCAAGGAAATACCTATCAAGAAATGCATTATTGAGAAAATTAACAGCGGCTGTAAATAAGATAGCTAGCACTTACTGATTACTCACTGTGCTAGGTGATCTATGCAGCAGACTTCACACTTTGTTTTATTTAAACGTCACACCCTCTATGAAGTAGGGACTATTGTTTTCCTAATTTTGTGTTAAAAGTTGCTATTTACACTACTTAAGAGAAAAAACTTCAAGTATGTTCATACAGTTAAAAAGCCAAATACATTTTTGGTGTGATATTTATAAAACATTCTTATTCTTTTCATTACAGAAGGCCTTTGAAAGTTTTACTAGTGACAATGTACACCGTGAGCTACAGGATCACTTCCACAGTTGGTTGGAACAACCTGCAGATGGACCCATTCTTGATCCCTGTGTTGATCAGTTATATTTTTTTCTTTTCTAAACCCATATAATGTTTCCCTGTTCTCAACCAACCATCAGAAGAGTTTCCATAGTGCTCTGTGTGGAGAATTAGAAAGGATTCAGGTTTCTCTGGTCCAGACTTTCTTTGATGAATTCCTGTTGGGGATATAAATAGATGGTCATCCAATTTCCATTGACATACCAGAGAGAGAGAGGGAGCGCAGAACTCTTTTTCATTAGAAAGTCCTTCTTTGTCTTAAACTGAAGTTTTTTTCTTTTGTATAGCAGTCATACACGTCTTTGTAATTCTTGACCTGAACATTTGCTCTTCTATCATTAAATATTTCCTGTCTAAGGATAGACACCATTTCACCCGATCCTCTATGCTACACATCTAGTTTGAGTTCTATAGATCCATCCTTTCTATTAAGAAAACATCCAAAGCTTAAGTTCTTCTTATGGCTTGTCAGTGACAGCAATGTTTATTGGAAGGAGAGGACACTGCATCACACAAGCCCCCTTTAAGGAAATTTAGAGTGAACATGTTTTACCTATTTCACTTTGTCCTCTTATAGTAAGTTAATAAGGTTTGCCTTTAAGCTGAGGGTGGAAACAAAGGGTGGAGTGTGTGTGTGGATTGAAAGGTTGGAAGGGTGGGCATAGGTGAGGTGGGATTAGCGCCCAAGAGGTAAAGTGCTTGAAGTGGAAGAGTTTATATATATGTTATGTGACATGGAAGAAGCTCATTGAATCAAAAAATTCTAACAAAACAAATGGCTATTTCCCAGTCAGGTGACAGCAACGGAATTGCTTCCAAAAAATGAATCCACTGGGAAGTGGCACCAGCCCCAGAGTGGCTTCCCCATTGGGGTGGGATCACACAACTGGATTTATGTTGCACAATGATCTGGTGGATTCAGGGATAGGAAACCCTGTGAATTTCATCATGAAATTCACAAAGGTCACATTCAGGTATATGTAATAGCTGGAAGTGCTACACAGTATTTGCATTCAGTTTGCAAGCAAACAGCTTGCTGTCAACATGTATCCCTTGCTATTTCTTGCCAACCTACTCTAACTGATGAAGAACTCATATTCATACTATATTATATTCACAAGAACATAGCACAAGTGCGTGCATGTGTGTGTGTGTGTGTGTGTGTGTGTGGAGTAGAAGATGAAGGGCAAGGGTTATACACAATATGATGGGAGATTATACAGGTCTAGCAAATATATAGAATGATGTTTAGTGGAAATAAGAATGGGTTAGAAAGTAGATCTGGATTTTAGGCTCAGCTATTCTACTGATCAGCTGAGAGATCACTGAAATGCCACTTTACTTATCTGAGTCATAATTTCTTCATTTTATAAATCATGAGCTTGAACTGGAAGTTCTCTGAGGTTACTTCCAGTGGAAACAAGTTAGAGGTAAGTTTTTTTCTTGAATTGGCCACAGGGTCTTGGCCATTCATACAATTCATCCCTGCCCCCAAATACAGGACATTTAATGGAGCCTGAATCTAGGAAACTGTTAGCTCTTGACAACTCCTTAACATATGCAGAGCTTTCTTATTTCTCACTTCCCTTAATTTTTCTGCCATTTACTCTTCCTCCTCATTTCTTGTTACTTTTAAGTTTCTTTTGTCTATCTTCGTTTTTCTAATATCTCGACTGGGACATGGGGTCAGTAAATATTACTTGGCATTCTTTCCTTGATCAAGGTTATTGGGATAAAATTCATCAGAAAACGCATAAATCTCTCTGCTTTGACTGAAGTTTATATGTTTTATTTCTAACCTAAGCTGCTTCCCTTTATGTAGGTATTTATAGAGGTAGAAGTCAGTGAGAAGCCACTCTGCTCTACCTTTTTGAATGTAAAATTGTTACATTAGAAGAAAAAAAAAAAGCATATCCAAGAGTAGCAGGGCTTCCAAGAGTGAAATCATCCCACCAAACAAAGCCTGTTGGGTGTGTTTGTATTCATAGCGTTTGTGCCTATTAGTTTCTTCAGTTCATGTATGGGTGAAAGCTGCACAGGCTTTTTACTACAGTTATTTATATATATTTTAAAATCCATCAAAATTTCACTGAACTAATAAACCCAAGGCAGACATACTGTAGGATTTGTGAGGTAATGAATAGCACCCTTTGAAAACTCCATTCTGTTTTGCAGGCAGCCCATAGTGGTCAAAAGTTGTCTAGCCCCCATGTGTGAGAATAATGCTTTCAATAGACCACACTTTGCTTTGAGGAAGAACAGACCAGCTAATTGGATGATTAATGTTCAGTCCCAGGAAGGAGAGAATTACAACCCAAATGCACAATTTCATTACTTGATGCACTGAAATACACACACACACACAAAGGAAAAATTCTTTTGTTTTATAACAGAGGTACCTTGCATATACCAGGATGTGAAATCCCCTAAGGAATCTTAAGAGTTAAAGAAATGCAATTATGAACCCAGAGTATTAGTAACTCTATTCACTAGACAAAGAATGTGTAGCTCTTAACCGTCTTTTAAGGACGAATGTGTTAGCATAGAAGTCCTTGAGTGTAGAAAGTAGGATAGCTTAGAAAACTTTCTAGTTGCTGATTGTAGAACTTTAAAACTTGAGCTTAGATTGGCCTGACACTATTGAATTCAGAGCCTATTCACAACGTGTCAATATACTGTTATGTATTTTTATTAGTTGCTTGATATGCATGAATATTGCCTTCTCAGCAAGCTGCAAGTTGCTTGAGGGTGAGTAAGAGTTTTATTTTTCTCATTTCCCTAGTTTTAGCAGCTGCTGATTTTAGCTGTCTCTGGGCATTAAAAGGTGTGGTGTCAAGAAGTTGGGGTGCTAACGGTGGTTCAGTTCCCAGATCCCTGAAGGTATCTGCAAGCTGGGGCCAATAGCTAATCTAAGGAGGCTAGAAAGCTCCTTAGAGCCAGAAGATAAGACAACTTTATTCTAGTGGGCTCTGGATATTAAAAAGAAAAAAGTGAGAAAAGAAAAGACAGATAGAAGAAAGAGAAAAAGAAAGAAGGAGGGACAAAAAAAAGCTATAATCATTGGAAAGTAGATAATACTCAGGCCATTTCTACCCCTCTATTTCCCTGAGAACCAGGGAGCATGTTTTCTTTTAAAAAATAACTATCCCACTTGACTGACCCTTTTCCCCACTATTTTCCAGTAGTACATCCCCTGTGGAAAATGACAAACAAATCTTAGGGTTAAAAGTAGCTAGTTCTCTCACTTAGAAAGGAGAAGAGCCTCTTGGCAAGTAGAATTGAGGCTCCTCTGTAACCCTCCCCTGCTTAGGACCTTGTCTGCAAGCAACACTGTACTATAGTACAAAGCAATAATACTATACTTGAATAGTATTTGAAACTCAAAAACTGAAATACAGGACAGTCACCAGCAACATGTTTTTTTTCCTCCCTGAGAGTAACAAATATTTGGAACAGAATCCCAGGCCCAACTGTAAGCAGCACAGAAGCAATTAGATGCTGCCCTAGGAAAAAAAAGAGCTTATTGGAAAGGAATGGCCTCCATGGACCCCACTGACCTTCTCCTGTTCCCTGTGTTTCTTACACTCATATGAATAATGAGTAAATTTGAGACCAGTATACACCCGGGCTTAGCTCTTTCTGCTTTTTATGTTCTTCATTTGCTACTTCCATATGGTAGAGTAATTCTCCAAAAATTTAGCCCTGGTATATTAACTAGCCATTCTGGGTGGGAAGAGAATGTTAGGCTTATAAAGCAGCCGATAAAAGAGTCTTGCACTGTGCTTAAACACAGCACACTCTTCTAATATTTATATAAGCAAATGGGATTACCCATTTGCTGTCTACTTCAAAAGTAAAGCTGGCGTAATCACTGAAGCTGGGTGCAGGAATTTGTAGATGCCTGCCTTATAGAACAAAGACCATGATCATTACTAATTTGAGATGTAAGCTGTTCTCTGCGGTTTCTCACCCACTAAGAGTAAAAACTGCCTAGATGTTCTTTATAAGTGAACTTGGTGGGGCCCACAGGCTTCTGTGATTTAGCAGCCCCAGAGCAAAGAGGTCAGTTTCCCAGGATTCCAAGCCCCCAGCAGAAGCTGACTCTACAATGATGACAGAATCAGATAAGATAAGCACAGTCAGCCTGTCCTCCTCACTGCAGCCAAACTGCTTAACTCCATGGGCAGCAATGATCATTCCTGTCGTCCAAAAGCCTTTTTTAGTAAATTAGATGTGTTGATATTTTCAGTTGGGTTGATACCTCACAGTGGCAGGGCACTGATCTTTTCCATTGTTCCTCAGAAATCGAAAAATAGTGAGGATGATATATTGGCATACTGGTCCATTACCCAATAAAATAGTTTTTCCCCGCTAGTTTCTATGCCATCATGCAATAGAGAAAAACCATCGGGGGCAGATATAATTTCCATCATTCAGGAAATTGGTTTTGTCGTTGTCTTATCCAAGTGCATTCAATTATTGAGGTTTTTTTGGCTCATGACATTGTCTGAGGTTTAGGGCAGGACATCTAGCTAGAGTCATATTCCATCCTCTTGAAACTTAGTGTCTCTGTATTTTTATGCTATTTTATGAGGGGATTAACCTCTCCAAGGTTGGAATTTGCCTGCTTTGTATAAACTAACCCTTCCAGAGAGTTTTCATAATATATTGAACACCATTCCTGGAAACATGGATAGCTATGTGCTGACACTCCATGCCGGCTACTTATGTTTTAAAAGAACAAAGATCAGAATGGTTGAGTGGCTTGTCCAAAGCCACAGAATAAATCTGCCTTTGAAGTGGTAAACAATAACAACAACAACAACAACCACCAAACCGGATTTTCTAAATTTTCACTTTTGTCAAATGCTGAACTAATTGGATTTAGCGGTAAGAAGTGGGATCAGATAGAGTGGATTGCAAAGAGATGCCAGCCAGGCTGCAGATTGTTCTTCAGATCTGGAGAGAAGAAATTCAGCTGAGTAGCAGGTCCCTCTAGGCTTCATATAAAAGGACAATAAAGAATTGTTCTGAAGGGCACCAGAAATCTAAAGTCTGAGGGCGAGGCTGTGTTGGGAACCTGAACTCATTGGAATCAAGAGAAGTGAATCAGCCATAGGTTGGCTTGTTTCACTCACTGATGATCTTGCTGAGGTGGCTCATTTGTATTGACTCAACTAACCCTGTGACCCAGATCCAGGGTACTTTGAGAGTAATATGAAAGTAACCCTACTGAGATTGACTTCCTGTGTGTTTCTGAATGAAGATAGTTTTGACTCAAAAAGGTCATTATAAAACAGACATGGCACTTAGGGAGGCTGAGGCAGTTGGATCACGAGGTCAGGAGATCGAGACCACGGTGAAACCCCGTCTCTACTAAAAATACAAAAAAAAATTAGCCGGGAGCGGTGGCGGGCACCTGTAGTCCCAGCTACTCAGGAGGCTGAGGCAGGAGAATGGCGTGAACCCGGGAGGTGGAGCTTGCAGTGAGCCAAGATCACGCCACTGCACTCCAGCCTGGGCGACAGAGCAAGACTCCGTCTCAAATAAATAAATAAATAAATAAATAAATAAATAAACAAACAAACAAACAAACAGACTTGCAAGAAAAGTTAGCTGCCAAAACCTGAAGATTTTGATTGCAATTGGGTTGAGGAGGTTTTGCTTTCTTGGCGGGCAAGAAGCGTCATTCTCATGTTCTTCCCAATTCTTCTGTTACTGGGGCCATCATCTTGTTGAAAGTTCCTTTGCTCTGGCAAAAAACTGAATGAATGGCCTGAAAGACCCTTTTGCAGCCCCAAATAGTTGAAACAGTGAAGTGCTATGTTGTGTTCTTATGTTTAATAGTGGCTGGTGAATTTTGTGGGTGTCTCTCACCCTTTGCTTTCCTCCAACATATACTTTCTCTATCCTCCCTAAATACAAATTTAAGGTTCAGTTTAGTGTCTTAATTCAGGTTCTCAAGGCAAGCAGATTTCTCTTTTCCATTCAATTCTACCTAGTAAGGGCTGGAACTACTATCAAACTGAAGTTTCCTATGCATTCATTTGAGATGACTCTGCAGATGATAATGACCCAGGTTCAGTCAAGCAGGAGGGGAGCTGAAAGATATTTCAGACTTCTGTGGATAATAAATCAAGTCTAGGAGACAATATTTTACATTTACATTCACTTATTTCATCCTTACAGTAAACACAAGGTTTCTAGGTCAGCAGCAGACTGATGATCTATGTCTCAGTGCCAGTTTTCCATGTCCATTTCTTCTTCAGGGTATCATGACGAAATTATGAATCTTGGAGCTCATATGGGAGCAGCAGCACAGCTGTCTTTTCTTCATTCCTGAGAGAAGGAGAAAAACCTTTGCTTTCTAATGTGAGCAAATCTTCTCTAAGGAGAGAAGGGAAGGTCCTAGGGTGTTACAACCCTTTGAAATGTGAACATATGGCTCAAGGGGAGAGAAACTTGTAAATCTCTCCTAGGTAACTTACTATCCTTAACTTTCTACCCTTGTTTGCCATTCACTCACTCTCTAACCCAAATTGCTCAGAAAGCTCAGAGCATACAGAATTGTGAAAATATTCCCATTGTTTTCTGACACTAGGCAGCTCAACTAAGGAGTCAAGTGCCACAGATTCAAAGAGGCAAGCAGAAATTCAGAAGTCAGAGTCAGAAGGAATGAGATCAGTGGACTCTGGGGCTGGTGGAAAGGCTATTTTTCTCTTTCTGTCTGTTGGGTGTGGGTAACCCTAGGCCAAGGGGTATCAATAAAGGAAACACTGCCTCAGATTTGGAAGATAAGAGAAAGTAGAATTCTCTGGTAGCCAGTTCTAGTGATGGCAGTTGTAGCATGGCATAGTTAGTAGGCTATGGGATTCACAATTAAAAGAAGGGAAAGGAAACTAGAATTTATTATCACAGCTACATGCTAGATGCTACATTCCACATATGTTCTCCTGCTTAATTGCACACCTACTCATCCTGTTTTGCTGATGAGAAAACTGAAGCCTATATAACAACCTTCAAAAAAAAAGTAATGCTAGATGGTAGTAGAGCTAATATAAGAGACCAACACTGCCTGACTCCAAACTCCATGATAGTTACATTCTACCATGCTGTGTCTGAGTAACCGCTCTGTATAACCTCATACAACTCACTTAGCTTATTTGAGGCTTCATTTTCTCATCTGCAAAATAAAAATGAATAAAAGTCATAAATTGGCCTGCTTTTTGTTAGGCTGTTTACAAATTAGGCAATGTACTTGTAAATATTTTACAAAGTAATATGCTACACAAATTCTAGTTGTTTTTATTATTGTTCAAAGCTAGTAAAATATTGTTATGGTTTTAACATTTTGGAAGCTAAGTTGTTTCTATTTTTTTACCCTTATATTTAATGCTCCAATGAGCATCTTAGCTCATATTGCTTTTTTCCTCCTCCTGTTTAATTATTTCCTTATATGCAGACAAATTGAGATCCAGAGAGAGTAAGTGATTGTCTAAGATCCCACCATAGGTGGGTTTTTTCCACATTATTTGAAACTACATCCTGACTGTGGGATAAGACATTGTTCAGTGTAGGAGTGGAGCCTGGGAGAGACTCCTTGAAAAATTCATCTGTGAGCTGGTAGCCTTGTTCTCAAACTCTAATGACTGGGTAAATGGATAAGTTCAACGGTGTTTCAAAACTGGGGTGGGTAAGTATTATTTAGAATCATATTGGAGTAAAGGAGGAAGGGAATTCCTGAGGGAAATCCCTTTGAAGTAATGGAATGTAGATGCTGATCTTTGTCTTGTAGCCCTAATAGCCTTGGCTGTGGAGAAAAAAAATAATTCCTAAGTGATGCAGTTGAATGGGTTGACCAAGAAGCCCCAAGGGAGGTGGGTGTGGAACATGCCAGGAAGTGCTTTTCATAAATTAAAAGAGAGAGAATATTTCATCACATGGTGGTTCTATTAAGCCCACTACATAATTCGTTTCAGCTCACTTTTCTGGCACTCAATTGATTCTTCCTCCCCATCTCTAGGGGTTAGAAAGGATTAAAATTTCCAAAAATCACATGGACTCTCTTTAGAGTCAACCCAAGAACCTAGTGGAAAAAGAAGAATCTGAAGGGCTCTCTTGTTGGCTTTAAAAGATGATGAAACCCAAAGAATTTCCCAGTGCTTAACTTATCTTCAACTGTGGTCTGAAATTAGGAACCTGGGACATAGTATTTTAAGGAAGGACTTCTTTTATTGTTTATGGAGATAGATTTTGCAGGAGCAGATGGCAAAGGGCAATGAAGGGGGCTTGATGGCATACTGTACACCTTCTATGCATAAAAACCCATAGACCACAGGTCAGATTTCTTGAATGTGTTGTGTGAAGGCATGTGTGTGCTTTAGGATTTTATTATTTTAAACTTCTACTTAATTATAATGTCATATATTATTCTTTAAGCTTTATATTGCAGCTAATTTTAAAAATGAGAAACCTTATAGGTCTGATTCTGTCAAACAAGTGTTTAACAGGTGGTCTCAAACACAGTAGGGGTGATGGGTAATAAAATGTAAATTCCTCATCATGGCGCACAAAGACTCTTGGTGATCTGGACCCACCTTATGTGTTTGATCTCATCTCTTGTCGTCTCCCTTCTTCCCTGTTTCTGACCTCCACTGGCCTCTGTGCTGTCCCTCTGCTCTTCCCACCTTAGGGCTGTGGAACTCTCCTCCATGCCTTTTACTTGCTAACTGAGAAGGTCATTGTCCAATAGGGTCCTCTTTAAAGAACCTTCCCTGACCATCTTCTCTCAACTTGAACCAACCAATTCCAGTCTTTCTCTATCTCATTACCCTGCCTTACTTTGTTTCTAATACTGACCATTATATGACCTTATTTTATGTACCTGTTTATGTGTTAACTCTTTATCTCTTCCACCAGAAGGCAGGCTCCATAAGTGAGGGTCCCTGTCTGTTTTACTTGCTGCTGTACCTACAGGGTCTAGAACAGTGCCTGGAACACCTTAGGTACTCAATAAATATTTGTGAAATAAATGAATCAGAGAAGAAAAATGATATGAGGAGAGAATGAAGGAGAAACATCAGAGCTATTTTCAATGAGTTGGCCCTTGTGCAATGCCAAGGTTAAGGGTATTAAACCCCCTGAGCAGTCAAACATCTATGTATAACTTTTGACTTCCCCAAAACTTAACTACTAATAGCCTACTATTGACTGGAAGCCTTAAAATAACATAAACTGTTGATTAACACATATTTTGTATGTTACATGTATTACATAATATAATCTTACAATACAGCAAGCTAGAGAAAAGAAAATATTAAGCAAATAATAAAGAACAGAAAATATATTTCCTATTTATTAAATGGAAGTGGATCATCCTAAAGATCTTCATCCTCATCATGTTGCATTGAATAGACTGAGGAAAAGGAGGAAGAAGAGGGGTTGGTGTTGCTGTCTCAGGGGTGGCAGAGGTGGAAGAAAATCCACATAGAAGTGGATTCATGCAATTCAAACTCATGTTGTTCAAGGGTCAACTGTAACGACCATTTTAATTTATCGCACTGATGAAAATAATTCTAGATAGCCTAATTGGTGAGTTTCATTTCCTTTTGATTGCTAAGATACTTGAATTATTAAATAATTCCACACCTACTTTTATTTTCACCATTAGATTGAACCAACCAGATTGAGGAGTGTTTTATTTTCCCTAAGAGCACTAGCTTGCCTTATTTATAAGTGTTGGTTTATTTATTTTATCATTTTACTTTTTATTTGATTTTATGTTTCTAAATAAACTCCTTCATCTGCTCTGGATCTGTTTGTGTTGGCATCCAAAGTCTTCATGCATTTGGGTTTGGAAATACAAGTTTGGGAGAAGTTGCTAAGGAGAGCCGAACTCTTAACAGGTAGGGTGATGGGAATCAGAGAAGGACAGCAAGGTGAGAGGAGCAGGACGGATGGCTGGGGGCATTGAGATCTTTTCTTATGCCCTGTCCCTGTGGCCCCAAGATTTTCAGTAGAGCCCACTGTGCTCATGAAAGTTTGTGTGGAAATGAAGGAAGAAACTGAGTTTCTGTGTTTGTTGTATGAAGCAAGGCGCCACAAAAGAAAACATGCCTGGAGGAAGAGGTGACTAGGCAAACATAAACCCCAGGGAATCTGCAAACATCTTATGGTGCAATGGGGCTTTCACAGGGCATGGAAAGAGGGTCCCAGCCCATCTCATCAACGTCTTAAGGGTCACGTGAGTTAGATACATATAAGTGCAGGTCAACACAAAACAACCAAAAAAGACAGAAATACATGCAATCACTACTAAATTGATACTTCAAAGTAAACACAATATTCCTCCTCATTCGTTTTTATCTCCCAGCCTCAGAGCCTTGGGAACGGTGTAAAGAGGTTGCTGCTAAGACTCTGTTGGGTACAGTTATAGCATATTTGTAGATCCTATCCTAGCATGATTGAATAGGACTTAAAAGGAGACTAACGTCTGGATCTCACTTGCTTTCTACCCTTATACTGTCCTAACCCCGGGAGGTATGTCTGCTCTTCACTCCCCACCTACAAAATTCTGATCTGTTTGCTAGTGTGGCAGAGCCCCCAACACCAGGGGCTGGATCGGCCTTTTGCCAACTCAATCTCCTGTTGGTTTGAACCATGGTCAGCCATC
This sequence comes from Homo sapiens, assembly GCF_000001405.40. Taxonomy (NCBI): domain Eukaryota; kingdom Metazoa; phylum Chordata; class Mammalia; order Primates; family Hominidae; genus Homo; species Homo sapiens. Next base: position 219,530,731 of record NC_000001.11, on the reverse strand, counting down.
TCTCCTGATAAATTATCCCCACTTAACTATTTTCTATTTTGCCATCAGGTCACTTGGACCTTTACCAATAGAGTCCTATTTTTACTCTGTTGGAGTAAAAATTTATCTTACCCCAATAGAAGTAATATTTCCCAGCCCTAATTTCAGCTTTGGTCCTCCTGCTGTTTTTTTCCCTTTGGGTATCTCTCCTGATTTCAGTGTTGCCTTCCAGATTTTCATTTTTCTTTTATTTTTTTTTCTGTCCACAGATTAAAAGTGCACTTGGATATAAGACCATTTTTAGAGCTTGCCTCATACTTGTCTTTGTATTTCTAGGAATCAGGAAGCCTGGTTTCTGACCAGGCACTCATATCATGTGACTGTGAATAAAGGAATAAAAGAAGGAGAAGAATCTATGAGATATTGAGTGCTCACCACTCAGTAATAATTAATAGTCTAATTAGCCCCATTTTACAGATAAGGAAACTGAGGCTTGGAGAAATTAAGGCCACATGGTTAATTGGTAGCAGCTCTAGGATTCAAACCCAGATATGCCTTATTTCTTGCCCTCTGTTTTGTCTTTTGTACCACATAGCCTCAATTCATTTAATTACAGATCATATAATTAATTTCCCTAGGTCTTAATTTCTCACTTTTAAAATGAGGAGGGTAGGACTGCATGAGGAATATGTAAACTCCCTTCTAATTCTAAAATTTATCAATTTTGAGACTTAGGCTTCTTACCTTCTGTGGTTGATCATTTTCTTTTCTTTTCTTTCTTTCTTTCTTTCTTTTTTTTTTTTTTTTTTTGACAGGGTCTCATTCTGTCACCTAGGCTGGAGTGCAGTGGCACAATCATAGCTCACTGCAGCCTCAAGTTCCCGGGCTCAAGTGATCCTCCTACCTCAGCCTCCCAAGTACCTGGGACTGCAGATGCACACCACCACGCCTGATTAATTTAAAAATTTTTTTTCTGCAGAGATGCAGTCCCACTACATTGCACAGGCTGGTCTTGAACTCCTGGCCTGAAGGGATCCTCTCACCCCAGCCTCCTAAAGTGCTGGTATTACAGGCATAAACCACTTCACCCAGTCAATCATTTTCTGACAATCACCAGTCCTCTCCAAATTAGAGTGAAGTGCAAGAAACAAAACCATTGTGGGTGTTTTAGACAGAAGGTGATTTAACATAGAGAACTGTGTGCTTACAGAGTTAGTGGAAGAACTGAAGGAGTTAGGGTCGAGGTCCCAGCACAGGACTATTCATGGTTGTGGCCAAGGCATCAGCAGGCTGCTGCTGTGCTGCTGTGGTCCCTGCTGCTGCTGCTGCTGCTCTAACTGCATCCTGACATTCATGGGACTGGTTATTTGACACTGGAACCCTGCAAGTGACCAGCTGCTGTGGTTTGGATATGGTTGGTCCCCACCAAAATGCATGTTGAAATTTGATTCTTAATGTGGTGGTGGTGGAGGTGGGGCCTAGTGGGAGGTATTTGGGTCATGGAGGCGGATCCCTCATGAATAGATTAATGCCCTCCCACAGGGTCAGGGGTGAGTGAGTAAATTAGTTCTTAGGACAGTGTTTTAAGAAGAGCCTGGCTTCCTTGGTTTCTTTCTTTTGCTTCCTCTTTTGCCATGTAAACTTTTTGCACAGGCCAGCTCCCCTTCCATTTTCCACAATGAGTAGAAGCAGCATGAAGTTCTAACTAGAGTCAGCTGCCCAATCTTGGACTCTTCAGCCACCAGAATCATAAGCCAAATAAACCTCTTCAATTTGTAAATGACCCAGAGTCAGGTATTGTGCTATAACAACACAAAACAGACTAAGAAATGGCCTCTCAATAGTTACATCTTTATGGCATGGTTTGCCAGCAGGGACATCTGCGTGAAAATAGCCTTCCCTCCTTATCTGTAAATCTCAGGCAACTACATCTGACTGGTAGAATCTAATTTGTATTCGCAACACCAGTTGCTAAGAAGTGTGGGAAATGTGGACTTCAGCTTGTCTCACTCTGCGGAACAAGGAAGAAGGAGGGTTAAATAGGGGCTGAGCAAAGAAAACCATAGTATTTGCCATCCTTCTTTGACTTCTAAATGTCATCTGCCTTTCTCTTGCTTAATCTGCACTAGCCCATCTCTAAGGCCCTGTGCTGCCTTCAGACTCCTGCCCTGTTGCTGTCTGATTTCTTAAAAAGTTATATTAGCAAAGACAATTTTTCTTCCCTATGAAGGAATAACATGTTTCCTGACACATGAACAGAAAATTCAGGCATTTGGAAAGGTGTGGTAATCTCATATTATCACCAGAATAGTAGAAAACAGACTCCAAATGTGATCATTCATAAATATGGTTGGTCACGTTAGCTTTATTAAAACCTAAAAGCAGCTACATTTTCCACTTAGAGTGACTTCAGACACATAAAGAATTCTGTAGAAGCCTTCTACTTAGGAGGCGAGCTGAAGGTAGATTTCTTTCCCAGAGCAAGAAATTTGCTATTCTGATACGGACATGTGGGATATGTTACAGTGCACAGTTGCCCTCTCCTCTGAAGAAAATGCTGATTCTGCAACTGAGTGTGGCCTGAAAAAGCTTGTCTATGTGGAAGACACAAGCCCAGTTCTTAACCACTTTTCCCTTTGCACAGCCTTATTCTCCAGGAGGCCACAAGTACAGCATGTTAATTCAAACTTTTCAAAACCATGAAACCACTGAATATCTCAATATCCACGTGTGGACTCTCATTTGCCTACTCTGTGTTAACAGAGAAACATTTGGTTTTAAACAAGACTTTATTTAAGAGGAAAAAGTGTATAAGATTACATTTGAAAATGTAATTACTGAAAAGATAAACCATATGTTGTAGTCTTTGTTTTATCTCCTTTTCACTGAGGCCTGCTTTCAGGGGTTCATTTGGAGGTGTATGGAAATTCTAATTCTATAACCAAGCTGGGTAAGCTGAGTGTACTTACTCACCAGTAATACGTGTTTACATCTTGATGTAGTTATTGCCAAAGTATTTTATAGTCCAGTGATATAGTCTTACTTAAAAAGAGCACAAAATATTGACTCAGAGATGCTGAGCTTGAGGTTCCGCACCTGCCTCCCTCCTCTTCCCACTGCCGCCTTCCTCAAAGATTAAATAAAGGGAGGTTGTCATCAAGAGAGAAATCTGGGGCTGGCAGAGTGGGCCAGGAATAGATAAAGAATAAAAATTGTGTTTTCTGGTTCCTTTGACTTCAGGTTGAGTAGGTTGTCTATGCCACACTAGGACTAGACAAAACGTGAACTAGGAGCAAAATATTAACAGCCAGATGGGTGCTCACAGATGTTAAAACCCATTATAGGCCCCACTCAAAATCTTTTATAAATGCTACTTCTGACCTTTAGTAAGCGGAATTAATAACCTTCTTCCAAATGGGAAAAAAGGGGGGGACTAACCATGGTAGTAGTTTCTGCCTGTTGCAAATCTACCTGTCAATTTGTTTATGTACATCTTGGGTTCTTTTTGATAGATAAAGGTAATAGCCCAAAATGTTTGAAGTTGATAAGGGCTACTATTCCACCACAACCTTGCTACAAAGTTATAATGTAAGCAAGCTTTTGGTAAATTTCATTGTTGGTGTAGACATTTTTAAACAAACCTTTATGAGCAGACAAGCACAATATAGTCTGCTCTGTAAGTCCAATGTGGCCCCAGTACCCCAGTACTCTATTTTTTTAGTTGCTCCAACCAACATTCTGCTAGAAAGGTTAGCCTAAGGAAAAGGAGACAGCATTCTAGAGGTAGACTTCTGTTATCTGTTTAGCAGCAACAGGTAACAGAAATTTAGAGGTAATTTAGAAATCCTTCTAAACCAGTGGTTTAGACTATAGTAAGGTGAAATTGTGAAAGACTTTTAAATGAACCAAAAGATTAGCAGGTGTTTTCAGTAGAAAACTTTGCATTGTTTAGAGCAGGGGTCCTCAACCACCAGCAGGTACCATCTGTGGGCTGTTAGGAACTGGTCTGCACAGCAGAAGGTGAGCAGAAAGTGAGCAAGTATTACCACCTGAGCTCAGCCTCCTGTCATTAGATTCTTATAGGAGTGCAGACCCTGTTGTGAACTGTGCATGTGAGGGACCTAGGTTGCACGCTCCTTATGAGAATCTAATGCCTGATGATCTGAGGTGGAACAGTTTTATCCCGAAACTATACCCCGCTCCCCACCATCCTGTGTAATAATTGTCTTCCATGAAACTGGTCCCTGGTGCAAAAGTGTTGGGAACAACTGGTTTAGAGAATACCTTTGCGATTATTTGATTCTATGTAGTGTCTCCCTTTCACTGTCTGAGCTGTTTTACAATTCTGTAGATATAAGTTAACATGTAGAAAACTGACAGTAGGGCAAATAATTTTTATCTATACACATGCAAATAAATTCTATCTAGTGGAGGTTCAATGGACTTCCCCTCCCTACAGTGGAAGAAACCAGTTTTGTACCTATTTAAAAAATTCGTTTCAGCATTACTCATGGGCTTATATGTTTGTCTGGTCTTAGAGGTCTTCTCTGAATAAACTGTTACTTCTTTCCTGGTTTCCTCATTAGTTAGTGAGGCAAATAAAATCTTTGATACATGTTGTTTTTATATTATAAAGAGTCATAATTTTACTGATTTTAAAAAATTTATCCCCACCACCAAACAAAACCTAAGGGCTAATTTGGACCTGGCCAGATTTTTATAGGCTGTTCACCAGAGTGAGGAGTGAATCCAAAGTATTTCATCCAGTTTTCAATCTACGTATCTTAAATATCTTTAATTTTATAAAATATTTTTTCAATCTGTATATCTTGAATATATTTAAATTTCACTAATAAAGTCCCAATTGTAACATTTATCATTCTAAATACTGACTGGAGAATCTAGCCTATTATGTTAATTATCAAAGTTTCAGGGATTGATCTAGATATGAATAATAGAAGTGCTTGCATTTCTAGTGTGGCCTTTCTAATAAAATTATAGTTGGTTTCCCTGGAGTGCAGATTCTCAGTCAGAGGAAGTGACTATCTTTAGAGCTCAAGCTTAAATTTTTTTTTTTTGAGACAGAGTCTCACTGTCTCCCCTAGGTTCAGGTGTAGGGGCACGATCTTGGCTCAGCCTCTGGAGTAGCTGGGATTACAGGCATGCATAACCACGCCTGGCTAATTTTTATATTTTTAGTAGAGACCGGGTTTCACCATGTTGGCCAGGCTGATCTCGAACTCCTGGCCTCAGGTGATCCACCCATCTCAGCCTCCCAAAGTGCTGGGATTATAGGCATGAGCCACTGCCCCAGGCCTCAAGCTTAAATTAAATAGCATATTTATAGTACTATAAGATCTATGATGGTATATTTTAACACAAATTACAAACATTATAACATTGCCTTTTAAACAAATTAAGACAAATCTTCATAGTTGAAAATCTCGCATTCTAACAGTACATCAGTTCATGTAATCTTTAAGCACAAAGTAATTTGGCATTCATATTGCTAGAAAATGAAAAGTTGATAAAATCTCAGTTGAGTTGAAGTGAGTTCTAACTTGAGTATTTTAAAGCTATTCACAGAAATCTGCAGAAAACATTTGAATATTCAACCTTAATATAAATACTTTTTTTGAAAAGGGAGAAAGATTTACAGAAAGTAGATAGTAATTTACATATAATAATAGTGTTTTGCATTTATATGGCACTGATAACCATTCAAAGTGAACTTGTGACCCAATATCAGTGAGCCCCAAAAGGCCAACAGAATTTCAAGCCCATTCGGCTAAGATTAATCAAAAGGAGAAGCAATTTTTTCTTCAATGAAACATCTATAGGGTGAAGGGAGGTGAGGAGGCCATAAAGAAAGGTTATCTGTGTCACGGCAAGAACTTAGCTCAGGGGATGTTTTCTACTCATCTAATGCTACAGAGAACCCCATCTGAATATAAGGAGAGTTTCCTACTTAAAGCCACAGGATAGAGTTCATCTGAATTGGAGAGGGACTTGAGTTATAGGTTCAACATTGTATGGAATTATGCAATAAAAATCAGGAACAGGCTTACTAGTTACAGAGGCAGTAAATGTTCTGTTGCGAATGTTGGGGCAGTTGAAGCCAAAGTCCCATGTAAGATGGAAACCTTGAACAGTTGCAGAGAGATTGAGGACTGACCACTTTAAGAGGGATAGAATCAGAGCAGCTTGGTTCAGGGAGAATTGTAGGTATAAGCAATCTGGATTAGAGAAAGTATTGAGACAACAGAAAAGGAAATGGGGGGAAATATTTCCCTTGACAATTTGGCTAAGGGGCTCACCAACACTCTAGAGAAGAGGTTTGATTAATTTCCATCAGAATTACATTGTTCTTAAGTCTGCAAGCAATATGTAATTTGCTGTACACTTTCATGCTTGGGCTGTTAAAAGCTCATGCTATTTCAGGATGTTTTAGTGTATATAAAATTTCAAAAAAGTAATAAAGTTAAAGAAATAAAATGTAACTTAAAAGTAAAATCTTTTTAGGTTATGTTAAGAAGTATTTGAATCAGGAGAACCTAACAGTCTTTTCGTTTCTATCTTCATAGATCTATTGAGGTTCTTTTGTAAAAGATGGTTAGAACAAGGCAGTTTCATTGGATCAGTCAGCTCTTATTTCCACCATGTGGTTTTTCACCTCTGTTATTTTGTCAAGCTTTCCCTTTTGTCTGGAATCACCTTCTCCACTCCTGCATCAGCACTCTCCTATCTCCTGCCCCCAAACACCAGGTTAACTTATCCTCTCAAACACGTTACATTGAATTTTTGCTAAAAGCCGTCACTATCCCACACCTGTGTGCTATCCTGTGCATGACCCTATGATTGCGTTCTCGCATTTTACTTAAATTATATTTCCAAATCTATATTCCCAAGCTGTGAACTCTTTGGGGGCAGAAGCTATGTCTTATCCATTGCTGTATCCTTAGCACCTTGCACTGTTTGTCCAGCACACAGTCTTCCAACATTGAGTGGAAGATTGAAGGAGTGAACTGTAATTTAGAGCTCATCGAATTCAATTATCTTCATTTTGCATGATAGAAAATAAGGCCCACCTTCCTTTCCTGGCAATGTGCCAGATTGGAGGATGTTCTATAAAACACTTAAAAATGGCATGTAAAATATCATCAACATTATCTCCAATGCGCAGAGTAGTTTGCAATTACCAGGTACTACATTAAAATGGAAAATGAAAACCATGTGGTGAAGGGACACAGAGGCCACTACTGCTGCCTGGGTTTGCTGAAGATTTCTTAACCTAATGCTGGTTTTGGACATTTAGTTCAGGTGGGCCTGGAATCCAGTGCAAGGCTTTGGGTCAGGACAAGGAGGGGAGTTGGGCTGTTTAATGAGTGTTTTGCTTTTGTGAAAGTGTGAACTAGGAAAAAAAATTCTCACAAAAAGATGATAAGGAAACCATCTTTTTCTGCCTGGGCTCTGGTAGAAAAACATCTCTGAGAATTTATAATATAGATATTCCCTTGCAGAGGTTTAGAGCCAGTTTTGTATGACCTCCCTGGTTTTAAAAACCCCAACCTCAGGTGGCCTATTAGCATCCTGAGGTGCCTCGCTGAGGCGATGTGAATTTCCACAGCAGGGGAAGATTTCAACCCTGATGCACAGGCTTGTCACAGAGATACACGGGCTGAATGAACACTAACACACTAATCAAATTTTATCTAACACACAAACAATTGTCCACAAGGCAGAATTATTAGATAAAGGACATAAAATTAATATACTTCAAATGTTTAAAGAAAAATGAGCCTCGCTTTGGTTAAATAGAACTCAGCAAATTTCTGGCAAAAATCTAAACTGTATTCCATCCAGGGCCGGCTACATAATTTGCAGGGTCCCGTGCAAAATAAGAATGTAGGGCTCCTTGTGAAAAAATTAGGGAAAAAATGTTATAAAGGTGCTAAAAGAGAACGTTTTTTCTTTAAAAACATTTTGTTACTTGTAAAACATAACAGGAATAATAATAATACACGAGTAACAATACAAACTTACAAATCACAATAATATATTGGTATAATTTTAATTAAATAATAATTTAGTAATATTATATCAACGAATTATGCAATTTTCTGACCTAATTTTCTGCAAATTCATTTATTAGGTCATCAAAAGTTACACTTTTACCAATTTAATTTTCAATTAATATAATTGAAAGCAATGTCAGTCCTCTTGGCAAATGCAAAGTTGCAAATAATTCTTGATAATATTCAATTTTGAAAAGGACCTTTCTGTTGATGCAACTGTTTACTAAAACTGCTAGTAGTATTTTATAGGCTGTGAGGACATTGACATAAATTTCTGACACATTATTTTGAAATACACATTTTAGCACATCAAGAACTAATGATTCTTCTTTTTTTTTTTTTTTTGAGATGGAGTCTCACCTTGCTGCCAGGCTGGAGAGCAGTGGCACAACCTCGGCTCACTGCAACCTCTGCCTCTCAGGTTCAAGCGATTCTTCTGTCTCAGCCTGCGAAGTAGTTGGCATTGCAGACATCCACCACCACACCTAGCTAATTTTGTATTTTTAGTAGAGACGGGATTTCACCATGCTGGCCAGGCTGGTCTTGAACCCTTGACCTCAGGTGATCTGCCTGCCTTGGCCTCCCAAAGTGCTGGGATTACAGGTGTAACCCACTGTGCCTGGCCAAGAGCTAATGATTCTTGCAAAAAAACTTTTCTAAAAAGATTTAACTGTATTCAAATTGGTTTATTGTAAGTCTGAATTTAATTTTACATGTGAATATATACAACAGCATTTTATTTTATTGTTTTCTCTAACATTTCTTCTCTAATGTTTCCTACAATTTGTGGCAGTCATACAAGAAACCAAAGATGGCTTCATAATTTGTATACAATTCAGAACAACTGTTTATGCATTCTATCACAATATATCCCTTGGCAGAAAAATTAGTCTTAGAATTGTCTTCCTTGTTAATAATTGGTTCATCCAAAGCTTCATATAAGGATACTGTTCTTTTGAATGTGATGATCTTTAAACTGTTTCTAAGTCTGTGGATATTTGCTTTTTAATGTTGCAGAAGTTTTCAAAACCAGAGAGTCTAGTCTTTGCAGAATTTTAGTAACTATCTGACATGCTTTAGTGCAATGTCCATGAGCACAGTTTATTTTGTAATAATGTATTGACAAACTTTATGGCCTGAGTACAGGCAGTTCCTGTCCCAGTATTCAGACCAGAGAGTTAATTTTGGTACAGATGCTATAAGGACAGGCTTTGGAGGTAGAAGGGCGAGCTGTGATGTTGGTGCTGCCCCCATGCAGAGCACATAATCTCTCCCTGAGCCATGGCAGCTGCTGCCACTGTTGATGTTTCTGCCCATTGCTCAGGATTCCAGAAGACCCAAGCCTGCACACAGCGTGTTCACACCTATCACATCTGCTCTGCTCATGCTTCGTTGTCTCATCAGACTTCACCGACCAAGCACAAGTTCAAAGGTAAAATTATTATGAATTTCAAGTCAGTGACAACTAAGCACTAAGCTATGGCCCTTCTGTTGAGCAAACCCTGTCAACTGTGTAGGTTCTCACCTTCAGCAGAGAGCTGCACTGATTACACAGTTTTATTTTGTTCTCCCAACCCCTTTAAAATTAGATACTGCAAATTTATTCTCTCCTGAGAACTCCTGGAAAAATTAATGTATAGAATAATTAATTTATTGGCCTGAATTCAAACAAGGTAGTAGTAAAGGTTAAGTGTAGAACTTAGACCATCTGAACTTAAGCTTGAGGTTGTCTTAGATGTTTAGGCTATTTTTCCATAGTCATGTCAAAAAGTGCACAGATTTTCCTTATCTAAAATGTTTGGTGTTTGCCAAAGTTCCCCTCAGTTTAATGCTGATTCTATCCATGAGAGCTAGGAAAACTTAGACATGTCTAGGACTTCAACTCAACTCTAAGCATAGCCTTGAAAAATCCCACTTAATATACAATACATTTGATGAAACTCAAGAAAATTTATTATTCTCCATGATGAACTGCTTTATACAGAAAGTCCATAGTATTTTAAAACTCTTTCTATAATAAATGTGTGTATCTGTGTGGTTATGGGTGTGCATGTACCACCCTGTGAGTACGTAATCTCTCACTCACACTAGATAACACTTTTTGATATGTTAGTGGTAAAGAATGTATATTTCATATGGTCTTTATATGCATATGGAAAGATCCAGTATGTGGGCTGATAAATGTTTACAACATATTCATAAAGTTGGTCTACAACCAGTTTCTATGAAGAATTGTGTAATCCTTACGTTGGATCACTCCCCAATCTTTGCTATTTCCATCATTGCCTGAAACTAACTGAATCTGGGGTTAAGATAAGAAACGCATTTATAGGGGAAATTTTGGATTTTTATTCTTCATGATGATTTGAAAGAAAGGTACATTGGGAATGGCCTTTGAAAAGCTGGATGATTGAAATGATACTCTAACAGCATTATTGGAGGCTTTGCAAATAGCTAAGTAAAGCCAGTTGGAAAGAAGGGTAAACTAAACTCATTCTTTCCAATGTCTCATCTATCACGAAAGAAAACATAAGGGCTAGTCTTCACTTTTAATATGATATGATAAACACAGAAAGGGAACGGCATTCATTTTGTTTAATATTCCATGAAGGTATGTGAGCAGGGTAATATTTTATTGTCTGAGAATATAACAAATGTCTATGTCATTTCCCAGTAATGAAACATGTCAAGAAATTATCATTGCTTGGGAAAATGAAGTTTAAAGAGCGTGCTTTTGCTAATAAATCATAGGATGTAATATAATATTGTGTGGCTATGTTAAACAAATAATTATATCTACGAATGCAATCTGAGCCAGAAGGGAAACATACGCTCTTTTGCTTTAGTTTGTACTCCACCCACACTCACACAAGCACACACACTCACACACAATTCACACATACACACCGTATCATGCTTAAAGATCAGGGATGTATTGCTTGATGGCCTAGAGAAACTAGACTAGTGGGAAACACTTATTAAGATTTGGTTACCTTTGCCCTGTCACCCCTTCTCTAAGTCCCCATGTATATGCCATATTCCCATGATTAAATTTGGAAGATATTTGTGTACCAAGCCTGCTTACTTAAGAGTAGAATTTGGTGAAATTGACTATGCAACTGAATTGAATATCCAAACCCCCAGTCATTTGCTATTCCCCAAACACCGTAACACCGAATGTTCCATTTAGAATCTTCAGGCTAGATATTTCCATGCTCATTTCAAAATTTGCAGTTTCCCTGCTTTGCTCCCTGCCCATCAAATTTGAGGGGAGGTAATCCATACAGTGCTCTTTATACAATAAGCACACAACAAATGTATACAAGGGAAATATAAATACACTAAAATGCCTTTCTGAAGTGCAGACCAATTATTTCTTTCTACTCTCTTTACCCATTGGACAGACGCTGGAGCAGATACTCAAAGAGGTGTCTGAATAGAGTTAGTTACTCTTATTGTGAAGATAAACTTCTGAGGCACCAGATCATTCTGTTTTGTTGTTGTTGTTGTTGTTGTTTGTTTGTTTGTTTTTTGACCCTCAAGGCTGGGTCTACCTGCTTTAAGTTCTGAGTGAGCTGTGTAGATGTGTGTCTATGGGCTGGGGGTGAGGTTGGAGGAATGGGAGACTATGTTCAGCAGGCATGACAGCATTTTCTAAATGTTATTACTGTTGGCAAAGTCTTATCTTAGATGAGGTGGTAAATTAGTAAACTGCCAGGGAGAAGTATGATTTTGTAAAATTAGATGGGGTATAAAGAAACACAATTAATTCCAGACCTTCCGGCAAGAGTGATGAAGTAACTGCAGTCTTTGTTCTTTTCAGACTATCAGATACACCATCTTTTCTTCTGAGTAATAGCAGGCACTCTCAGGCTGTCAGATGATATGCCAGGTATGCACTTGCAATGTCGACAAGGCCACCCCAGGGTTACATGTTGGTGTCTTTAGGGAGAAAAAGAGTGAATCACCATCCAGTCATCTGTTTTCTCCTGTTAACCCTAAACCCTGTGTTACATCTTTTCACATTTTTAAAACGACCACAGAGTGGTTATCAGCTCTTTTATTTATTTATTTTTTTAGCTTACACTCTAAATTAACCAATGAGATCTATGTTGAAAGACCCAGAGAACCCCATCCCTATGAAAATGCAACTTAGGCCCTTGCAGTATCTCATATTTTAAGGGAAGGTGCTGGAAAGACTTTAGATAGATGAAGACTGAGAAAAACTTTCTTTACTATTTGTGCACAGCCTCATGCTGAGAAGAGAGAAAAAATAAACATAGAAGAACAGGGTGCAGAGTTCTGCAAACTGGTGGCCACACACATGAGCCCAACACTATGTGGGGACTTCCTAGGAGCTATTCTATGGACTGTGTGAGGCCTGCCTTCCTTCTGCTGTTGGATCTCAGTTTTCTTTGCATCTTCTGAGAAAGCAAGTTCCCAGGTGTTTCAACAGTGGGTCTCTGAAATGCTGTACTCTAAAGGCAGGACTCACTTCATGTAGGTATCATACACACAGTTTTTCATTTTTAACCAAAACAACTTAAAATTATTTGCTCATGCCTAAAATTCTTTGCTCATGTCTATAATCCCAGCACTTTGGGAGGTTGAGGTGGGAGGATCTCTTGAGCCTAGGAGTTCAAGGTCAGCCTGGGCATATAGGGAGACCCTGTCCCTACAAAAAATTACAAAATTAGCTGAGTGTGGTGGCGCATGTCTGCTACTCACTCGGGAGGCTGAGGTGGGAGGGTTGCTTGAGCCTGGGAGTTTGAGGCTGCAGTGAGCTGTGATTGGGTCACTGTACTCCAGCCTGGGTGATAGAACAAAACCCGGTCTAATAAACACACAATTCCTGTCCCCCAAAACAAAAAAAGATTTAGAAAGGATGGGTTTTGGAGATTAAATATAGGTCTCATACACTGCTAAAGTCCCTTTTCAGTGGTTTTCTGGAAAGTGTCCCTAGTGATACTTGTTAAGAAAAATAATCAGAAAAATGCGAGAAAACAGACTTACACAACCATCACTGGGTGAATTACTTTGTCTTTAGGCAGAACCTTTCTGCTGAGAGGAAAGATTTAAAACTGTGCTCATCTGATTCAGAACATATATGGGATTCACCAGTATGACGCCTCAACAAATGGCCTCTTCACACATGTCAACAACACTCATTTCACAACTATTTATTGATTATCTATAATATGCAAGTTATAGTCTGAGCACTAGGTATACAGCAGCAGGCTCTTTTCATGGAAGATACACGAAATAAGTAAGTAAATAGTAGAGGCAGCTATTTTCATTTGAACTGGGAGGGAAAGCCTTTCTGAGCAGAAGACTTTGAATGAATTTCTAAAAGGAGTCAGTCAAGCAAAGACATGGGAAAATGGCATTCCAGGCAGGGGAACAGCTCACTTAAAGGCCCTGAGGCAGAAACAAGTTTGGTGAGTTTGGAGAACCAAACGAACAGTAGTTGGGAAAAGCGAGTCAGCAACAGAGACAGTAGACTGACATGAGGTTGGGTGGTAAGTCATGGACTAGATCATACCAGGCCTTGTAGGCTCTGGTTAGAATTTTTGATATGATTTAATTACAGTGGGAAGCCCTTGGAGGATTATAATCCAAGAGATTACTTGATTTTATGTTTTAAATATATAATTCTTACTGTGAACAATATTCTGTGAATAAGAGATTATATGGGCAAGAGAGGAAGCAGGGAGACCAGATGAGTATTGAAATGATACAGGGTATAAATTATAACAATAATAATAGCAAACACTTAAACATACTTACAGTATGTCAAGTGCTATTCCAAGGACTTTAAATATGGCAACGCACTGAGTCCTCATAACAACTCTACCATGATTTCATTTGACAGATGAGGTAACTGAGGCACAGGAAGCTTGAATGGCTTGCCCAGAGCAGGTAAGTAGCAGAACAGGAATTCAAATTCAGACAGTTTGTGCTCTCAGCTGGCCCTCAATTATGGTAGCAGCAGTGGAGATAGAGAAACATGGATAGAGTATTAGTGCTCTATTGCTGCTGTGACAAATTACCACAAACTTAGTGACCTATATCTTATGACTTTATTATCTTAGAATTCTATAGGTCAGAAGTTTTGCTGGGATAAAATCAAAACCTCAGCAGTCTTATGTTCCTTCTGGAGGCTCTAAGGGAGAATTCATTTCTTTGCATTTTCTAGCTTCTAGAGGTCAAACTTATTCCTTGACCTGCATCGTTCCACATCCCTGCATCACGTAGCCTTTTCTCCTCTCTCCCTCCATGGCCACCTTTATCACCCTTTTCTCTCTCTCTCCCTGATCTAACTCTGATTTTTCTGCCTCCCTCTTATGAGAAACCTTATGGATTACATTGGTCCTACTCAGAGAATCCAGGATAATCTCCCCATCTCAAGATTCTTAACCACAACTGCAAGGTCCCTTTGCCATGCAACATTCACAGGTTCTGGTGATTAGAACGTGGAAATCTTTTTTTCTGGGGCAGAGGAGGGGGGTCATTGTTCAGCCTACCATGAACAGGTTCAAGATGTGTTTTAAAGGTAGTATACACAAAACTTTGCTGATCCATTGGATGTGGGGATTGAGAGAAGGATTTATGAACCAAGGATGCCTTCTGGATTTTTTTTGCTCTGAAAACTGGCTGGATGATGCTACCACATATCAGGATGGACAAAATACTGGGGGAGAATCAGCTTTGTAGGGGTAAAATAGAGCTCAGTTTTTTCCATGATTAGTTTGGGTTGCCAAGTTGAGATCTCCAGTAGTTGGTTACAAGATAGCTGTTGTATATAGAAATTTTGAGTATAGTAGAAGGAATAAAGCTAGAAAAAGGAATTTAGGATTTGGCATTTTCACAGAATGAGTTGGGATAATCAGGGGAGAGTATTGCTAGAGAAGAGGAGAGACCCAGAAACTGGCCCCTTTGACGCTGATCCCTAAAAAGTATTTAGAGGTTAAGTAGAGTTCGGAGTCAGCAAGCGAGACTGGAAAAAAATGGTCAAGAAGGTGAAAGGGAAACCAGCAAAGAGTGGTGATAGATAATCCAAGAGGAGAGTGGATGGAGACGAAGTGTCACCAAAATCCATACTCTCCTTCCACAGAATTAGGCTAGCAGCTGGGAATGTGGCCACCCATTGAAAAGCTGTATTTCCAAACTCCATTGTACCAATATGTGACTACGTGACTAAATCTTCACAAATGACATATGCCATTTCCAGGCCATATCCTTACCATGTTGCACATGTACTCTCCAATGCTCTTCCCCCAACTTTCATCATGTAGCCAGGAACAACATACTATGGAATGGTAGAGAAATAAGAAAGAAAGATGCAGAGCAGAGCAAACCTCATATCTGGTCTGTTTTGTGGGAGAAAAATGAACATAACTATTCTTTAAGGCAAGGTATGGTTAAGTCTCTTTTGTCTTTAAGCCATTTGTGTATTGTTTGCCTAGCTATATTTTAGTTAATTCAGACATTGTGTTAAATTAAATTAAATTTGGCCCAAAGGTGTGTCTTTACTATGAGTTCCTGTGTAACAAACTACAACCTAACTTAGTATGTAAATAAATAAGCTGCAAACTAACCTAAGAGTATATTGTAGCAAATAGCTGAATCCTAGCCAATCGCAGTAGCTGAGTTTCAGTCAGTCACAGACTGCCAACTGATCAGACCATGCTCGTATGAGGCAAATGCCCAGCTGTAGCCAATCAAGCTGGTTCTGCATGCCACTTTCTCTTTTTGTTTGTACATACTATCTGCCCACATTGCTGGGTGGATATCTCTGAACCTTTCCTGTTTCAGGGTGCAGCCTGATTCATGAATTGTTCTTTCAGCAAATAAACTCTGCTAAATTTAATTTATCTAAAGTGTTTCTTTTTAACAGTTGATACTGGAAGAGGGGCTTTTCCTAACTAAGCCAATATATACGCCATCTGCATAGTGGTGAGGCAGTAGGTGGCCTCAATATACTAGAATGCTTATGACCTTTATAATGCTATAACAAAACATTTGGTAAACTGTGGCCTGCAACAAAATGTGTACCCTGCACTCACGGAGACTATTGGGTAAACAGAACCAACTAGATATAGCTAGATTACTGTATTTTTCTAGCTCCTTCCTGCTTTAGAAAAATGTTTCAAAACAGGTACAAACTCAGAAAAATAGTCTCCAGAAATTTAGACCCTCTTATGTTTGGGAAAGCTAACTCCTATGCCTTAAACAAAAAAGAAAAGACAGCTGTTGCATGTAACCTTGAAGAAGAATAAAAAAACAAACAAAAAACATTAAGCTCCTCAGAGAGAAACAGGCTAGGTAGGCAAAGAACAGACCAAGGATGTGGCCTTCCAAACCAGGCCTCTTGGTTCAGAAGACCTAAAAGTAGCTGCCATTAAAGTAAGAAAGAAGTGTGTGTTAAATAATGAAATGAAGCAAGAATTAGAGCTATGCTCACAAAAAAACTTTAGTTAGGTTGCTAACACATGGGACTAATTATGAGCAAAGGTATCTTAAATCTATGAATTTTTTGAGGGAATTCTATTTTCAAAGAAATAATTGCTTAAGCTTTTACCAATATGCAGGACATCAAAATTGTATAAGCAGAAAGTATGATATGAAAGTTGTACAGTTGCTAACAGAACATGGTTCCCACCACCTACTTTAGATATGGTCTTGAAGGATAACGACGTAACAAAAACTTAGCAATGTCACTGGGGATGAAGGACAATGATCAAGAATTCCTTCTAGGGAGCAGAACTAGTGTCAGCTAAGGAACTTCCTCAGCTACCGGAGCAGGGAATTTTCAAAGACCTGTCCAATCAGAATTCCATCATTCCTATGGACAAGTGACTGATGTATTTCCCATTATTCTCTTTTAATTATTTATTACATTTTTAATTTAAAAATAATTTTAGGCTCACCAAAAAGTTGCATGAATATAGAATTTTCTTACACTTCTCATGTAGCTTCCCCTAAAGTTCATATTTTGCATAACCACAATGACAATGATCAAAACTAAGAAGTTAATATTGGTGCAATAGTATTAGCTAAATCAGAAACTTTATTTTGGATTTCACTAGTTTTCCCACTAATGTCTTTTTTTTTTCTGTTTCAAGATGTAATGTGGAATTCTATGTTGCATTCAGTTGTCACATCTCATCTAGTCCCTTGACAATCTGTGACAATTCCTCAAGCTTTGCTTTTCTAGAAAAGCAAAAATTTTCTTCATGAATTTTCCTCCAAAATTTCTGCCCAATACCCTTCAAAAGGGCCAAGGACATAAAAGACCTTTTCAAGGTCTTTTGATAAAGTTTCTTCTATTTGGGTTTGTCTCATGTTTTCTCATGATTAGATTGAAGTTAGTCCGTTTTGGTAGGAATGGCACAGAAATGATTGTCTTTCTCTGTGTTGATACTGAGGGCATATGAAATAAATATGTCTCATTAGTGATTATGTTAACTTTGATCACATGGTCAGAGCACTTTCTGATGGATTTCTCCGCCATAAGTTGCTAACTTTTCCTTTGTAATTAATATGTCTTTGAGATGTTGAGAAATACTCTGAGACTATGCAAATATCTTGTTCCTTATCAAGCTCTTCTCTGATTATTTTAGCATCACTTGGTAGGACTAATGGTGATTTTCATTTCTTCTATATTTATTAATTGAAGTTCTTCATCAGGAAGAGTTCTCTCTCTTTTCACATTTATTCAATTATTTATTCATATCAAGTAGACTAATTGATATTTATTATATTTTATGGGTTATAATATAATATTGAGATTATTTATTTTGTTGCTCAAATTGTTCCAGCTTGATCATGTGGCACTCTTTTAGATTGCTTCTGGATCCCTTTGACATAACTCTTTCCTTGAGGACCATTTCCTTACTTTCTGACACCATACAATGTTCAAGGTTCACCACTGTATTTTCCCTGCCCAGCCCTGGAATGTACCTCTTCTCCAAGGACTTCTAGTTCCTTTTTTTTGGGGAGAATTATGTTTAAAACCAAGAGGAATAGATGTGCTCATTTCTACAAGGGTGTTGTTACTTCTAGACCCTCGCAGTGCACAAAGATTGGAAATATATATATGTATACTAACTCAGGCATGTACATACATCTACATTTCTCTATCTATTTGTATTTATATTTTAAAAAGCATGAGTTGTTACTGATACCTCTGATTCCAGTTCAACACTACAGTGTTCATTCTAGTTTTCTGCCTTTTCTTATTTGTAACTTCTTTCTCTGACAGTGAGAATCCTAGTTCTCATTATCTACCAAATATTCATTTACTTGTTTAACTATAGTACAAACATAAAGTGTTTCAGGAGTGCTAACTCATTCCTCTGAGAGAAGAAAATGTACTTACTGGAATTTAGTATCGTACAGTTCTTTTAGTCTTTAGTCTTACAGTATCCGATCAAAATACTGATTTTCAAAGTAATTCAGGTTAGTCCCTTTCTTCCCTACCCTCTTTAGCAGGGTCATGCTATTCATTTGTAATATAGTTACGTTCATTTGTTAAGTTTGTAGTCCATTTTGGGTCCTCTCACAACATCTTGGTTGGTTCTTAAAATTTTTTACATATAATAAAATTTGCTCTTTGTAGTATATTGCTCTACAGGTCCTGACAAGTACATAGTTACATATCCACTTTTATAATCATGATATAAAACAGTTTTATCAACCCAAAAGTCATCTTTACTGATTTTTTTCTAAGCAACCCCTCTCCACATCTCCTACCTCTGAAAACCACTGTCTCATTTTCCATCTGTAGAGTTTGGCCTTGTCCAGAATGTTATATTAATAGAATCATAAAGCATTTTCTATATCACATCTTAGGTCTGGCTTCTTTCACTTAGCAGAACGCTTTTTTTTTCTTTTTCTTTTTTTTTTTTTTTTGACACGGAGGCTTGCACTATCGCTGGGCTGGAGTGCAGTGGCATGATCTAGGCTAACTGCAACCTCTGCCTCCCAGGTTCAAGCAATTCTTCTGCCTCAGCCTCCCGAGTAGCTGGGATTACAGGCACCCACCAACACGCCCGGCTAATTTTTTAAAAAATTTTTAGTAGAGATTGGATTTCACTATGTTGGCGAGGCTGATCTCCAACGCTTGACCTCGTGATCCACCTGCCTCGGTCTCCCAAAGTGCTGGGATTATAGGCGTGAGCCACTGCGCCTAGCCCAGAATGCATTTTAAGATTCATTTATGTGGTTGTGGGCATAAATAGTTCGTTCCCTTTATTGGTGAGTAGTATTCCATGGTATGGAATTATTTTATATTAGCCATTCAAATAGACGTGTAGTCATATCTAATTGTGGTTTTTATTTGCATTTCTCTAATGATTAATGATGCTTATTTTTCATCCATATATCTTCTTTGGTGAAGTGTCTGTTTATATATTTTGTTCATTATTAATTGGGTTGTTTTCTGGTTAGGTTTCGAGAGTTCTTTTTGCATTCTGGAAACAAACTCTTTGTCAGATAGATGACTTGAAAATATATTTCTCTCATTCTGTGTCTTGTCTTTTTATTCTCTTGACTGTGTCTTCACAGCATAAAACTTTTCAACTTTGAAAAAGCCCAAATTATTGTTCTTGTTTTTTTAAATGAATTATACCTTTGTGTCATATATGAAAATGCATTGCCTAACCCAAAGTCAAAAAGTTGTTCTCTTATATTTGCTTCTAGAAATTTTATAATTTTATGTTTTATATTTAGGTCTATGATCCCTTTTGAGTTAATTTTTATATAAGATTTAAAGTACTCATAAGGTTCTTTCTTTCACATATAGATGATATGGTAAGCAGAATTCTAACACAGTCCCCTCAAGATTTTCCACCCTAATTCCTGGGACTGTGAATACGATGAAATAATACACCCTGATTATGCTACTTTACAAGGTATAAAGGATTATGTGGATGTCATCAAGGTTACTAATGTGTTGATTTTCAGGTTTCTCAACAGGGAGGTTATCTGTGTGGGACCAATCTAATAGTCAGGATCTATATTATACAAACAACCATGTGAACTTGGAAGCAGATTTTTTCCCAGAGTCTTCAAATAGGAGTCCAGCCAAGCTGACAGCTGTATTTCAACCTGATAAGTTCCTGTGAATACGTGTATCGTTTCACTAATACCATACTATTTTAATTATTGGATATTCATCTTGCATTTCTGGGATAAACACTGCTTGGTTAAGATATATTAACCTGAGGCCGAGGCGGGCGGATCACGAGGTCAGGAGATCGAGACCACGGTGAAACCCCGTCTCTACTAAAAATACAAAAAATTAGCTGGGCGCGGTGGCGGGCGCCTGTAGTCCCAGCTACTCGGGAGGCTGAGGCAGGAGAATGGCGTGAACCCGGGAGGCGGATCATGCAGTGAGCCAAGATCATGCCACTGCACTCCAGCCTGGGCGACAGAGCGAGACTCCGTCTCCAAAAAAAAAAAAAAAAAAAAAAAAAAAGATATATTAACCTTTTTATATTGCTGAACTTGATTCGCTAATTATTTGGTTGAAAATGTTGTGTCTATGTGCATGAGGGATATTGGCCTGTAGTAAGTCTTACAGCAAGTCTTGAAATGGAATAGATTCCTTTAATGTTGTTCTTTTTCAAACGTGCTTTTGCTATTCTAGTTTCTTTGCCTTTCTATATACCTTTTAGAGCCAGCTTGACAATATTTACAAAAAGGCCTGCTGAGATTGCATTGAATGTGTAGATTTAATTGGGAGAGAAGTGAAAGCGTACTAATATTGAGTCTTCCAATTTATGAACAAGTTATATCTCTCCATTTATTTAGATATAATTTGCTTTTTTGATCAGTGCTTTGTACTTTTTAGCATTTAGATCTTGTACATTTTTAATAAATTAATGCCTAAGGATTTAATTTTTTGGGTGCTGTTGTAAATAATACTTTTATCTTTTTTTTTCAAATTCCCACTGTTTGTTGTTAGTATCTAGAAATACAGCTGATTTTTGTGTATTGACCTTGTTTTCTGCAACTTTTATAAACTCCCTTGTTACTTCATTACCTTTTTTGTGGATTCTTGAAATTCTCTATGTCCACAATTATGTTGTCTGTGAATAGAGAGAGATTTTTCAAATATGTGTACACTGTATTTTTTATTGCATTATTACACTGATTAGGACATACTGTATGACGCTAAATAGTTTCAGTGAAAGAGGACATCCAGACTCTCACCAGAAAGTTTGATGTTAGCTGCAAGGTTTGTGTGTGTGTGCCTTTTATCAGGTTAAAGACATTCTTTTTTTCCTAGTTTGCTGATCTTTAAAAATCATTAATGTGTTGATTTTTTCCCAAATACCTTTTCTCTCTCTCTCTCTCTCTATATATATATATATATAGACATGATTATATGATTTTTTTATTTAGTCTGTTAATATAGTAAGTTACACTGATTGATTTTTAAAAGTTGAACCAGTCTTGTATTTTTGCAATAAAGACTATTTGGTCATGACATAGTAACTGTTTTATATATTGATGGACTTTGTTTTGCTAAAGTTTTACTGAAGATTTTTGTGTCTATGTTCATGAGAGTGAGGGATATTGGCCTGTACATTTCTTTTTTGTGTGTTATGTTTTTGGCTTTGATGTTAGGGTAATGACGGCCTCATAAAATGTGTTGAGGAGTGTTTTTTCCTTATTTTTCAGAAGAGATTGTTTATAATTGGTATTATATCTTCCTTAAATGTTTGATGAATTAACTGGTGAAATCACCCAAGCTTGGAATTTTCTTTGTGTAAAGGTTTTTAACTACAAATTTAATTTCTATAATAGAAGTAGGATTATTCAGGTTTTTTTTTCTTGAATGAATTTTGGTAGTTTGTCAAGGAATCAGTTCATCTCTTCTAAATTGTTGAATTTATAGGCATGGAATTATTTGTAGTATTCACTTACTATTCTCTTAATTTCTGATAGGTCAGGGTTATATCTGTTTTTTCATCCCTGTTGGTAAGTTGTAATCATTGTGTTAGCCATACCCAACAAATTTCTAAATTTTATTGCATAGTATTTTAATTACCTTTCAGTTTAAAGTATCTTAAAATTTTCTCAAGACTTCCTCTTTGAATCATAGGTTGTTTGGAAGTGTGTTCTTTAATTTCCAAAATTTCAGAGATTTTTTTTCAAATATCTTTGTTATTGATGCATATTTTAATTTCTTTATGATTCAAAAACATGCTTTGTATAAATTCTATTCTTTTGAATTTGCTAAAGTTTGTTTTATGGCCCAAAATATAGTCTATCTTGCTGAATGTTTTGTGTTCAATTGGAAAAAAAAATGTATCTTTTACTGTTGTTGTAAGTGTCACGTTTTACATAGCTTCAAATTGAAAGTCTGTTTAGTGTTTATGCTGCTCAGCATTTTGGTACTGTGAGCTATAAAGATAAAAATGTATATCTTTTGGCTAAGTTTACAGTTTGTGGAAGGAGCAAGCACAGTTAGTGAAGGAATACTATAATATAGGGAAAAGGAAAGATGCTCTTCTCAAAACAGGTTCTCTGACTCAGTGTGACTCTATCAGGTTTTGCCTGCTATTCTGGCTCTGGTTTTTCCATAACTAGGGATACATAACCTTAACCTGACACTGAGGCTTGTACATGGCCTTGGATCAATTCCGACCTAAGGTGACAGCGGGATTTAAGCAATTTTATCCATCAATGATTCTGAGCTTCAGGTCTTCTTCACTGCTGTCAGTTATTGCTTCCAGGAGCCCTAAATTCTGGTAAAGGTCCACTTTGCTGAGAGTCTGTGATCACAACATACTTCAACAGAACCCCAGATAAATCCTAATGAGATGTCTACCACAGAAAGTAGACTCTGCAGAAACTGCAATGTCTTGAGTCAAATAATTAACTTGGCAAAGGCTTCTCTGCTCTAAATACTAGCAACATCTCTGAACAGCAGACGGCATTTTAGAGTGATACATCTGGAAAGTTGCAAGCACAAAAATACATCTGTTTCCGTTGTTATAGAAAGATAAACAGGACCAGATTCAAGACACTGTGGGAAAAAAGTTCTTGCCTTAGTCTGCTTACTGTTTACTGCCTTTCTGGAAGCAAAAATGTCACAGATGTGTCAAATGGTGAGCACAAACTGGTATACAGTGCAGTCATCTCAAATGTTTCCTGTGAAGAATAAAAACAAGACTGCATCAACATGACAGAAAAAACACTCAGCTGATTTTTTGTTTATTTATATTTGCCTACATTATATCAAATTCAAAAACATCAAGAAAGTCATATTTAGCTTTGTATTCAGGCTCTTTGAGCCATTTTGTTTAAAAATGGGTTAATTATCCTTTTTAATGTTAGTCTGGTTACAGATATATTTATGATTTTCTAGCTTTCTCATGATGAACTATATGAGGTTGATTAACAATAGATTTATCTAATGCTTTCTTACAGCATTTGATATTTTTAACCCACACAATATCTTGGAAGTAATTTGCTACTTGCTAATTGAAGAGGTATTTACTTTTATTTGCCTAAAAATGACTGATCTGACTGTTTTTTTGAGTGAATTAAGTGAAAGTTTTGGCATGCTGGAGAAGTCAGAAGTGGCCAAATGATCTAGAAGAACAACATCATTTTTTTTCTTATGGGGTCAAATTATGAGCCGCTTGTCTCCAAGTGATCTTTCAAATATTTTTAGCCAGAAGCCATCAGATAAATGGAGATACTGGTTCACACTGGACCTTTTTGGAAGAGAGAATGAACCTTCCTCATAGTTACCTCTGTTGGCTTCACATTGGCCAAGTCCAGATTGAGGATCTATTAGTCAAGTCTGACAGGAAAGAACACAGTGTATCCTCGGTGTTCAGGGTGATGTATGGGCATCTGATAGGGTATTTGCTTTCCCTGACAAATCTCAGCACCTGCTTTCCAGCCAGGATTGAATAACCAAGGATCTGTGGGTGCAGGAGGAGGGGCTGTTATTCAAGTGCTGGATTTGTGTTAAACCTAGGATCAGTGGGGCCTAATGAATCTGCCATTGGAGGCATGCCCCAGTGAGACGCAGAACTGCTGGCTACCAAGAAAACCACGTGCTGTTCCCCTTGCCTGAACAGCAGGGCTTTGAGCAAACGCCTCATAAAACCCAGGGACAGCTAGACCTGGGGAGGTATGTGTGCTTGAAGGCCCTCATGATCATTTTTCCCCCTTTTAAACTCTGTTCAGCATGTTGACCCCCTGCTTTTCCTTGCCATGGATTCAGAAGAGATGAAAGCCAGTGGGTTTTTCACCAGCAGGGTAAATAAATGAGGACTCAACTTAGAAAAAGGACAGTCTTTCTTAGGTTTTCTGGCACAGCTGCTGAGCATTCGGCATTAAATTGAAAGAGAGTATAAGCGACGCAGAAAATATGATCAAGATCACCATAGGCAAGCAGGGATTCCTTTAAAGGCATGGATAGTCTTGTATGGAAGATTTCACTAGGAGGGGAACACTTCTCAACTAGACCCAAATCGTCTGTCCTATGGCCCTGAACCTTTTTTAAATGTACATCCATATATTTACTTATTTGTGGGAAATGCTGAAACCACAAAGTTCCTGTTTGCTCTATTTCTTAGGCATAAAGTTATTCTGTGGTCAGAGACACCTAAGACCATTAGACACGCACACTACAGATCTGAAGAAGGGCTATTTACCCGAGCTTCCAGGAAAAATATTGACAAGGCAGTAAAAATACTTTCCTTGATTACTCAGCCTTGTATTTTAAACCTAAAATTACAGGAACTTTTCTCTTTTAGTCATTTATTTTTAGCTTCTCTATTTTTCCACCTTTTTGGGTTTTTTGGGCTCACCTTTTAAAAAATGGTGTATTTATACTGACTGCAAATCGAGGAATAGCAAACTCTTCAGAGTGTTGTCACTGTTTTCTTCTGACCAGTTTTCAAGCTACTTGGGGACAAGTGAATCTCAGCTTCTGGAGGTAAACGGGAAAAGGAAAATTTGTTACACAGCTGAAAGAAACTTCAAAAAGTTCTTTAGTGCTGGTTTTCAGGAAAGTCACCATATTAACCATTCCTTAGTTCCTTATCTTTGACCAATGATCGGAAATAGTTACGAATCTGAAAGAGAGAAGTTGAGTTTGACTATCAACATCATACAGAGCGACCTCATTTGACTTCATTATGCTATTCCAGAAACAAGAGATTCGCACCATTTGGTCTTCCCTTACATCTCCACTCCATCAACTGTACCCCTACATGGAATTAGACTATATATTTATTTGATTATTTGTTATTTGTCATTTTCACCAGATTATAAACTACAGGAACCAGGGGGCTTCTCTCTATATCCCTGTCTTGTAGAAAAGGGTTGAGCACAGAAGAGGTGCTTTAAAATGCTTTTATTGTTGAATGAATACGTCAAAGTTTTGTCAGTTGACTGACATTTTAAAATTTGATCTAGTTATTCATTTACAACATCCAATGCTCATTTCTTTTGAATTTCTCATCTATAAAGACTTCCCTTTTTTCCCTGAATGCAGAATGTCGGATAGGACTTGCCACAATTTGAGAAAATTGCTCACAGAAACAATCAATGAGACTGAGTCTTGCCTTCGAGTTCCTCCTGAATAAACCTACATAATTTTCAAAGCGAATGAATGAATCATGCCTACACTGTCAGCTTCTGCTGAGTCCTCTCAAGTGTTAGGTACTATTTTTACCACTTCTGCCTGGGGTCCCCTAAAGTGCTCTTGCTGCTTTGACCTGCCAGTTTGTATTTTATATAACATTGCCTACTTTATATCCTGCCATAAAAATACATACACTTCTGGCTAAACAGCCATTCAGAACACACAGTGTGCTTTGACTAAGATAAAATAACATTTGGTCACCTGGCAATGACACACACAGTTGCCTCCTCCTGGAATGGATAACTGATACTCAAGAGAGAAAGATGTCTAGTTGGATTGGGAGGAAAAGTGTTGCCACTTAGCTTTGGAAACCCTGAAGATAAACTTGTGCAAAATGAGCCAATGCCTCATTAGCTATTAGGGATTTAGGCACATGGCAGATTACTCACCTAAAACTTGTTTTCTAGGTAACAGAATCTTATGTTTGGAAGAGGCCTGAGAGGCCAGACCACCTTCTTCCTAACATTCAGCAAAGTTTTGGCTTTCTCCTCTCACTGATAGTTGGTTACGCTTGGAGAGTGCCAAGCTCAGGCAACATAATTAGGAAAGTAAATCTACTGCTGCGAGAATTTAATGCAAGCTTATAAACTCATTCCAAAGATAGGTAGATGTCTGTGCCATCATCATTGTTAAGGATATCTGTCCAACTACTCTTACGCATAGTAGACATGATAAGGAGTTGACAATACTTAAATAGTAATGAGGAACATTTATGGGGCATTTAGGATATGACATATGCTGTTCAAAGTGTTCCAAAGCCTTCTCTGACTTCTTGCCATAATATCTAAGGTAGATGCTCTTATTATCGTTCCCATTTATAACACTGGAAACGAAGATTCAAATAAGTTAATTTTGCCGCCATCACCAAGATTTGAAACCAAAGAGCTTTCTTCAGAACCCACCTAAGGACATTTCCAGTCCTGACAATGACTGAGAAGTTGTTTATATGGCCTGTGAAATACCTTACCAAAATGACTCATTTTCATTCAGCTTCTAAAATTTGGCCGCTTCTCTATTTTCAAATCCACAAATATTATATTTTCCACGAGAAACCTCAGAGGTCCCATTTCTGGCTCAGAAGAGGGTTAATACACACTCCACCCAAGAGTCTCCCAGTACTGGGCTTCATTCATTTTCCAAAATATAGCATGTTCTGTTTATTAGTCTGCTCCTCATCGTTAAAGGAAACCCACACATCAACAGTTAGCTGAACCCCAGCCAGGCAGTGTTGCAGTGACCTTGACCTCATCGCCCCCTTGAGCTCTTGGACTTGATCAATTCACAGAAACCAAAGTTCTGTCATAGAGGCTTCTGACTAAAACAAATGAGGGTGTTTCAGCAGCCTGCTTTTGCAAGGAATCAACTGCTCTCTTCTGAAATGTCTCTTGACATTCATTTACCAAACATTAAAAATAAAAGTTTCCAGGAGAAAATGAGTGGAGTTTTTTTGAGTTGCCGATTTATTTGATGTGCAGATAAAAGTGGCATACGTCCTATGACTTGAGGAATGTTGAGGTGAGACCTTGGCCCCAGTGCCTCTCCCTCATGCCTCTGCCTGCTGCCATTAGAGTTTCATGCCTTAGAGATCATTTGCGTCTGCCCTGAAAATCAAAATGCAAACAAAGGGGGCTTCTGTCAATCTCTAACATCCTTCTGTGATTCAGTTAATCCTTCAAGGAATTCAGTTGGTCAGCACAAGTCATAAGAATTGGTAAAGTTTGGTCTGGAGAGAGAAGAAGAGAAGGAAAAGGCACATTTGGCTCAAAGGAACCAGACTGGTGGATGAGACCTAGGAGAAGTTGGCAAGTGGAGACTTGGGACAGTCAGCACTCCCGAGGAGGACACTTTACACCTGAAGGAACGGAATCTTAATACCCTGGCTTTAGACCTCTCCTGGTAGGCTTTCTTCCCAGTCTCAGTCCCCACCACCCTCAGGGCTAAGTCTTTTTGAGTTATGACCTCGAGCGTATGAAAATGGAAAGGTGGCAGTGAAACTTTGTTAATTTAAGGAAAAGATAGGTAAAGGGGGTGTTCCCTTATGCTAGGAAAGATAAGTGCTTATAATGTAGCAGATAGCAAGCACTTATTGTTATGGAATGGGTAGATGACCATCATGGAATGATTAATGGAATAAAAATGAACTCGATTCATCTTCAAAAGACCCTCTCTTAATTTACATGAACATCTATTTGTCTATATTTATTTACTGTGTGTTTTAGTATTCCTTGAAAAGAGAAAAGATTATCATCCAGCTAAGGGAATAGAAGGAAGTACCTCTTAGAGCCAGAAGAAAGGCCTATTGATCTCCAAAGTATTCTGCTATTTACAAAATCTGGACAAATGGGAACTCTTTTTCATGTGATTTGGTAATGGCATGGCCGACCTTACCAAACCCACAGTTCCACACACCAGGTGGTTTCCTGACTAATTGTGATAGAAGAGTTTTTGTTTGATATGTCTAGCATACAACATACCTGGCCCATAGTGAATTTTTAATACTTGTGATTTGAATGAATCCATTCATGGGCAAATAAGTCCCTTATTTTGGGGCCTACATCTGTGGGGCTGACTGACCTTGAACTTAATTGTTTATAACAGGTGGAAGAAATGAATGGCAGAGTGCTGTATATTGTTGGTAAAGATGTCCACCAACAATTCTTCCCATCTCCCAGCATGAATGACAAAGCTCCTGTCAAGCAGTAGAGTCTGATGGGCTTATGACTTGTGCTGACCAACTGAATTCAGTGAAAATGATTTTCTGGTGCCTCTGAGCTCAGACCTTGGAAGGACTTGCAACTTTTGTTTTCTTCCTTTTGGTATCTAGGTGTCAATGAGAAAAGCTTGGGTTAGACTTCTACATGTAAAAAGAGAGAAGCCCAGCCAGCTCCCAGCCAGCTCCCAGCCATTCCAGCCAATCCAGTCGAGGTGCCAAATATGTGAGTGTATTATCCTGGGTGTTTCAGGCCTAGCTAAGCTCCTAGCTGAATGCAGCCACATGGTTGACCCCAGTTGACACCTCATGGAAAAGGACCCAACTGAGTCCAGCCAACCCACAGCGTCAGGAGAAATAGTAAATTATTGCTGTCTTAAACCCTACATCTAGAGGTAATTTATTAAGCAGTGATAAATACCTGAAACCCATAGTAACCCAGACTCACCAAGCTCAGAAGCACTTACTTCCCTATGGGGCAAGAGTCTTTAGTGATGCCTCTTGTGCTGTGTATATTTTGTCCGTGTTGCAATTTGTGTCTTCCTTGCAGATCAAATGGTTGCAAGTGTCACCAGGGATTGGGATAACTGTAAAGGCCTTATTACCTGGGATTTAGTTGAGTGGACTCCTGCAATGGGAAGAGCAAAGATAAAATATGCCTAAAGAGGCAGGAGGAATTTATAGCAGTAGAGTCTGACTAATAGTTGGCTGTATCAGCGTCCTGACTTAACTAAACAACTATCCGCAGATACTATTAAACGGAGTAAAAAACAAGGATATATGCATATTATTTTATGATTTAAAAGTGCTTTGGGCCAGGTGCAGTGGCTCACGCCTGTAATCGCTGCACTTTGGGGGGCCAAGGCAGGTGGATGGCCTGAGGTCAGGAGTTCAAGACCAGCCTGGCCAACATGGTGAAATCCTGTCTCTAGTAAAAATACAAAAATTAGCCAGGTGTGGTGGCAGGCACCTGTAGTCCCAGCTACTCAGGAGGCTGAGGCAAGAGAATTGCTTGAACCCAGGAGGCGGAGGTTGCAGTAAGCCGAGATCCTGCCGTTGCACTCCAGCCTAGGCGTCAAGAGCAAAACTTCATCTCAAAAAGAAAAAAAAAAGTGCTTTGATGTGCCCTGCGTCATTTCATGCTCATCTCAAGCCTCTGATATACTTTTAAAAGACACTCAACTTTTATTGAGGTGCAATTTACATAAAATGAAATTCTCACACTTTAAGTGTATGGGTTAAAGACTTTTGACAAAATATATACACTTACGTAACTCCACCTGAATCGAGATGTAGAACATTTTAATTTTTCCAGAAAGTTACCTCATGTCTTCTTCATTCAATAGTCTCCACCACACAACCCAGGTAACCATTGATTGAGTTTCTGTCACTATAAGACAGTCTCGCCTCTTTTAGATTTTCTCTTTCTTTCTTTCTCTCTCTCTCTCTCTCTTTTTTTTTTAAGACAGGATCTCTCTATGTTGTCTAGGCTGGTCTCACACTCCAGGGCTCAAGCAATCCTCCTGCTCCAGTCTCCCAAAGTGCTGAGATTACAAGTGTGAGCCACTGTGCCTGGCTCTATTTTCGAATTTCATAACAGAATGATATCCTATGTCCTCCTTTGCTCCCAGTTTCTTTCATCCAGTGTAATGAATGAAAGATTCATCCATGCTGTTGCATCAGTCAGCCCTTCTTTTGAGAAAGGGCTTCTTTCTCTGATTCTATTGAGGTCGAAACTCAAACTCAAAGAGGTGGGCGATTTGTCTGAAGGTCTCAGCTCACGAGTAGACCAACTAGGACTCCCACATTGATTTTATGCTTCCTAAATTACTTACCATGATGCTGCTCTTGGTGCTGAACTGAAAGGAAGAGAGCATTCACTCTTACTTTGCCAAACAATCATATGATGGAGGCATACGGAACATGAGGAAAGAGCATATTCTGATAGTCTGATGCAAGGATCACTTTACGGCTTACAGGATGAGCACCCGATATAGCCAAACCGATCAGAACCCTTTGCCTGGGTATTTGAATAAAGAATAGGGTAAAATCTTTTTTGTTATTAAAAGCTGTTAGCTATGATGCTTTGATGCTTAGGACTGGCCAGAAGGCATGTTTCTTGCCTTGTGGAGGAAATTTAAAGAAAGAAGTTGACATACAGAGAAAAGCAACATAAGAGACACAGAAAATCCTCACTGTTTGAAACTCTGGTTGCATTTATTTTTGAGGGCTAGCAGCATTCTCGTCCTTCCAGTGAATTGGTTATTTAACCCTTCATTTGATAATGTGAGATGCTTCATTATCTATGAGTAAATTTCCTCTAAGTTAATTTGATTAGTTTTCTATCACTTGCAATCAAAAGACCGCTGAGTAACATATTTCACTTAAAAGAATTTAACTGGAATTAGTCATTTGCATAATGTTGCCACATCTTGCAAAAGACCCTCAGTTTTCTTAGTAACTCAAGTTAAATATGCAGCATCGGTATTGTGCCAGGAAGAATGAAAGCCTGGTATTTACCTTTTCAAATAATCTTTGTTTCCATTTGGCATATACAGAGGTTGAAATATTAACAGTGCTTCCCAGGAGAAAACCTAGCTCTGTAAGGCCTATGGGTGATAAAACGTATTATATAAATACACTGTGTTCAAGATCAGCAAATTCTATACATTTTTTTCCCCACTGGGAGCTACTCATTTTTATGGAAAATCTCCTGGCCCACTATAATAAATGTGAATAAAACTGCTGGGAATACTTTAATTCTTCTCATATCAAATGCAGGTAGTGAATAATGTCTTATATATTTGAGATCCCATTTTCAGAAGTGGAATACTCATATGCGGGAAAGACTGGAGGTAGTTCACTTCCCTTTAAATAGAACAAATGCCACGAGCAAAAATAAGTCCTTCTTGTTTCATGTAAATAAAGGCCCCATTTTTTGAGGATCAGTTCCTACTTATGTACTTATGTTATCAGTGGTCCCAAAAGAACTATACAAGAAGTAGAACCTGACCCTTGGTTGAGTTTCTCTTTGGCTTCCTTTTGTTATTTCACTCTTCTTGGTTTTAGTGTGTCCTTTGTTTTGCTGCTTTTTCTTCTGTCGCTGTTTCCCTTTTTTTTTTCTCATTTCCCCAGAGATTCTTGAGAGTAGAGTCCAGTCCTCCACCAGTCCTCCATTCCTCTTCATGATGCCCAGTTGTGAACAAGAAGGAATGCCCTTGTCACCTTTCCACAAGCAGAAGGAGCATTCAAGGGTTTCCAGTTTGGATCTCCATGCTCCAGCATGTCGAGATGCTCAGAGGGTAAATGTATGAGAAACAAAGGGTAACTGAATTACCAATTTCAATTGTCTTCAAGATGTTAGCTCTTGCACACATGTAGCAATTCTTGATTGCTTAAGAGGTCCCTGGTGTGTTTTTGGCAAGTGAAGACCTTTACATGTGCCTGGTTCTGGGCCAAGTGACATGCAAAGTTCTGGGATTGCTTAACTACTCATCTGCCTGTGTTTTCTTCCAATTCCTTAGAAAGAAAACTAAAAACAAAGATTAAGAAAGAAAAGGGGTGTTGACCCTTGTGACCAAAATAATTCCTTTTAGATAAATTCCAAGATAAACTTCAAGATTGAAAGGATAAGACACTCCTCAATGGAGTACTTGCAGAAAATAACTAACACAGGCTTTCTTTAAAATCAGATTAAAAACCAAAAGTCTGCAGTCGTTGGAAATGTGCATGTATGTGTAGGTTTGGTTTCATCTTATGAGCTTAATAGTGATTATTAATGTGATTTTCAAATCTGCCCAAAATGAGGGCCTAAGTGAAAAATAATCCTGAATAGAGGCTGCTTTAACTGGATGATATACTAATCCAATTAAGAAAGCACTTATGCAGTAAAAGAAATAAACATAACTAGCTGAAAAAATTAAAAAATATAAAAAATTACTGAAAATGTTTTTCATGTGTAAATTACCATGCTTAGTATTAGTTATATGTAGCCAAGATAGGTATCTGAAATTCTAAATGAAGAGAGAAAAGAAAGGAGAACAGAAAGTATCTTGAGGATCCTAGGAAGCCACACCAGTCTGCATCCTGGGGGATCCAAGCTTTTCTCTCTTGTCTAACAGGAACCATTCCTGTCTTTCGTTTCCTAAGGGTCTCCAAGAGACAGGTACATCCCCTACTGGGAGCTGGAAAACAGAACATGTATTGTGGTCTCTTGGCTTAGGGCATACTCTTCCCTTTGCTCTATAGAAAGAGTGGTTCCTCTTCTCCCTTGCCATAAGATCATATATGAAATATAGCAATATGCTGTCAAACTCCAAATAAAAAAAGGGCAAGAACAGTTATGAAACTTGATGATAGTTTAAAGTGGGATGGTGGATGGATAGTCCTCAGAAGCTGTGAAAGAAACCTCTCAGTCCCCTCCCGTGGTTTACACCTGGTCACCCTATCATGTGATACATGCTCAGGATCTAGTCTTAGAATTTGATATTCCCATATAAAGTCAACAATCAGAAAAATATGTGAAGAAGAAGAAGGGGATGGAAAAAGGGGATGCTTCGGACACCTACTGCTTTGTGTAAAGTAGCTTAATTGGTATTTTTTTTCCACTGACACCATTGATATTGAAGAAATGGGGGTGTCTTAGGGGGATTAGTTGCAAGTGTGAGACATAATTTTGATCATGGAGGCTTCTAGATTGCATGATGTTAAGTGGGTGGTGAAAGGTCCAGATAGGGCTTTGGGCATGTGCAGCTCAGGGACAAGAAAAGGCCCGCAAGATATAGAATACATGGAGAAGGGTGATAAATAAAAATACAAAGTGAAGTAGAAGAGTAGCTCAACAAGGAAGAAGAATAAGGACCCATTCAAATCTTCTCAAAGTGCTCTCTCTCTGTTATCCCTATTGTAGATACTATAAAGTTGTTATTTGTTTCACATGGATTATTAAAACAAATCTTTCCTATGATACTGAACACTTTAAGGGCTGGACCAGGCCACGTCTTATATGCTTTCTGTATTCTATCACCTCTATCAGCCCAGTGCCAGGAGGAAGATCTGCACCCCATAAATACTCATTTTTTGAGGGCTTGATTAGAGATAGCTAGAAGACTAAGCCCAAAATAAAAAAGATGGAACAACCAGTTTCTCCTTTGCTCTATTTTTTTTTCCCAAGGGAATTTTTCTTCAATGACAATTTGCTGTTGGAGATGTTAAAAAAAAAAAGAAAGACAAAGAGGTAAAACTAATTCTCCTACCCTAGTTCTCTGAGACTCCAAAATCCGTTGCCAGTGCCGCCAAGAACATCATCAGCTTCTTAGGTAAAATGATTTCTCAGAGCCACTTTGGCCCTCACACTTGCTTTTGGACTCTACTTGTCTCTTGAACCTTTGCCATTGACAAAATCATAAGCTCAGGACAGAACAAGGCGCCCATTGGACTAAGAACGAAATTCTGCCAAAAGGAAGACATTAGGCATGGGACGTGGGGGGCCACTATTTTCTTCACACTTGATGTTTAATAGGCCACGTGATATTGGTCTGAACTGTGATGGAAAAGAAGGTCTAGTTCAACATGATAAGGTTCTGAAAACATTGCTCTGACAAATGGTGAAAATTAAGTTTGACACTCGGAAGAATACTGAAGCATCAGATCTGGACAAATAAAAAACAGTAGAAGCTGCCCCTGCACCTGATAGTTACGTGAGACTTTCTCATCAGCCACCAAGAGGTTTATGGAGCAGCAAACTTTTCCTGGTGGTGGGGGCGGCAGACTGGAGGGCACCGTGTAAAGGTTTATGGGAGCCATAGAGAAAAAATGGTGTTGGAATTTTTTCTTTCTCCCTTTTTCCCCTCCATTGCCCCTTTTTGTTTAGCTTAGCTAGTTCTGAAGTCTGCCATAGAAAAGGCCTTGATTATCAAATGTAATATTCACATAAGATTTTGCTGTTCAGCCTCACATTGGGGAATATACAGGGCTTCAGTGTTCCTTAATAAATTACCTCTTCGTGTAGCAATTAACCCCCTTCTGTGAAGGTTCAGTGTTTCCTTGGTCCCTTGCCAGTGCTAACAGCTATGGCTTAGCATTCTTTTTAATGGGCTGCATTTACTGCTGAGAGTGGGGAAACATAAAATATTAACACTTAAGCATCTTTTACACTTCTTTGAACGTGAGATTACGTTGAAAATATAACTGACTTTTCATTCTTAAACCTGATATTTGCTTAGAATTCCACTGGACCCATGAAAATGTTTCGGTAAGTGGTTTCTGTTGATTTATTAACTCCCATGAAAGCCTCATGGAAATCCCTTGCCACCAAATATTTAATATGTTTTATGCATGCTTACAAAAGTCTTGTTTACCAATTCTAGCTTTCCCACATTTTTAAGATGATAAACGATTTGGAACGCAGCATGATGTACTCCCATTTTTCTCCTTCCACACCATCTGTTGGGGAAAAGAGGACTCACACTGATTGATAGTTACAGGTAAAGTTGACTTGGTCTCTCCATTACAGATCTATTTGTTGTTATCTTCACTCAAGTTTTTAAATTTTTTTTGTATTACCCTTTCTGTATTACCTTTCGATGTGAAGATTTAACGAGATGAATAATGTGGAAATGTTTGTAATCTGTACATTACTTATTCTTCATTCTTTATGTAGTATATACATATGTGTGTATATATATATAGACATACAATACAGTTGGCTGTCCACATCCATGAATTCAACCAACTGTAGATAAAAAATATTTGGAAAAGATAATAATACAACAATAAAAAGTAATACAAATAAAATATAGTTTAACTATTTACATAGAATTTACATTGCATTAGGTATTATAAGAATTCTAGAGATGATTTAAAGTATACGGCAAGATGTGTGTATGTTACACACAAGTAGTATGCCATTTTATACAAGGGACTTGAACATCTGTGGATTTTGTTATTCATAGGGATCCTGGAACCAATCCCAGGTGGATTCTGAGGGATGACTATACATATGTGTATATATATACTACATATACAACACACATGGTATATATGTCTACATAAACACTACATATATGAACACTGTACGTGTATATATATAGTATCTGGACACAGTATTTATATATGCACACACATATAACTTACACACTACATATACTATACAGAGAACAACAATTAAGTAACATACATATAAATGTTTATGTCTGTATATGCACACACATGCAAACACACATATATATTTATTTTAGTGTCTGCTTCACAAAACTAGAGTAGTAGAGGTGAAACTAATTTCAAGAGTTTATATGCATCCATCTTATTATTTCAGATGGTTAAAAATCTTAATTCCTGGAGATTGATCTATTTTCTTCTTTGTTATATTGAGAGAAGGCTATTACATAGAAATAAACAATTTTAATAACCACGTGATAATCTCTCATAAACTAAATTTAATTTTCTAATATTTGTTTCTTTTCTTTTGCCTTCTTTTTTATCTTTGCATTTCTGCAATAGAACTTACATATTGCACGGTCATTAAATATGTATAGATTGACTGGTGGTGAGCTTTATTCTGGTTCTTCTAAACATTATTTTGTGTACTATTATTGCCTCTGACGTGCCTTCTGATGTTTAGATAATCTGACAGTTTAGACAATTTGCCTTATAAATTAGTTTTGTAATTTAACATAAGTTTCTTTCCTTGTAATCATTAGTTAATACTACTGAAAGTGAAAATGAAAACCGTGTTGACTCCCTCCCTTTATAAAAATGAGATTCAAGTGTTGCTTAAATTTTAAATATATCTATTTGTTTTTCTTGCTTTCTATATTAGCACTCTTTTAGAGCTTTCTCCCTAAAATGGGATCACTTTAGCTATCTAACATCGGGGCTGGCAAACCTTGGACCATGGCCCAATTTCACTTCTGCCTGTTTTATACATAAAATTGTATTGGCGCACAACCACACCCATTTGTTTATGTATTGTCTATGGCTGCGTTCATGCCACAAAGGCAGAGTTAAATAATTATGACAGAGACTCTATCACCCGCTAAGCTGAAAATAGTTACTGTCTGGTCTTTAGAGAAAAGGTTTGCCAATATCTGCACAGAGATGGACATTTAGCAGCATTAATGATGCTGCTATGAAAACAAGCCTTTATATGCTTGTTTAATATATTGTTAGGTATCTTAATAAACTCATCCATTTAGTAATAAGTATATTAATTTATTCTCTATTAATAAATTATTATAATACATTTATCCACTAATAAATGCATCCAATTCAGGGACAGTTTCAATGTATATTTGAATATTTCACATTATACATGTTTACATTTAATTGCTTGTGTCCAAGATAATTATCCTCTCTAGAACTGGAATCTGCCAAAATTTTTTCAAAATCTGAGTTCTATTGCCTTTTTTCTGGGTTACAGAAATATTATTTTACATGATAGTTAAAATTATGGCTTTGGGTGTCTGATAGGTCATGATTGAAAGCAAGATCTGCCACTGAATGGCTGTTAGTACCTGCTAAGCACCTAGAAAGGAATACATAAGCATTGGTATGTCACTTGAACTCTCCAAGCCTTATTTTCTTCATTTATGAAATGGAGAGAATGAGAGTATCCATCTCACAGGTTTAATTTGCTAATTAATTTTAAAAAATGTATATTGGCTGGGCACGATGGCTCATGCCTGAAATCCCAGTACTTTGGGAGGCCAAGGTGGGTGGATTACTTGAAGTCAGGAGTTCAAGACCAGCCCAGCCAAGATGGTGAAACACAGAAATTAGCCGGGCATGGTGGCGGGAGCCTGTAACCCAGCTACTTGGGAGTCTGAGGCAGCAGAACCACTTGAACCCAGGGGGTAGAGTTTGCAGTGAGCCGAGATAGCACCACTGCACTCCAGACTGGGCGACAGAGTGAGACACTGTCTCAAAAATAAATGAATAAATAAATAATAAAAAATGATATAATGATGTTCATGGATTAAGGCCAGAGCACATGCCATATACCCCGCACATAATTAGTGTGTTTTTCTATGATAAACGAAGTAAATGTACAATAAAAAATAATTACAATAACACTGTAGTTGCCTCTATTCTTCACCTTACATATTCCATATAGTCCTTACTCTTGTTCCAAAATCAGTGGCCTTGGCTGCTTCTTTCACTCATAGTAAAGCTCAGCAGTTCATTCTGAGCCATAATGATATGATGTGAGGCAAAGCAGAGTTCCTAGTTTATTTATGTTTCTTAATTACTCTCCCTCATTCAGTCTCGCTGTCTCCAAGCACAATTAAAATGTTATGTGCTTCTCTAACATACCAAACAATTCTTGGTCCCCAACCACACTAGAATCTCAAACTGATGAAATGATTAAGGGAGAGGAAAATCCCTGAGGGTGCCCCATTGTGGTATCTAAACATAAGAGATTATCAAGAATGCTCACATTCATGTGGACACATGGGAATTCGAATGGTACGATCCACATTCTGACAATGGGGTGTAGCTGAAACACTGTCAGGGCAGACTCTTACTCCTCTGGCAGTTTTTGATGTTTATACTATGCTGGCATTTTTATCTCTTTTACATAGTTGTTGTAGTATCTGAAACTCTATCATTAGAGAGTCATTTCTCTGAGGATAGTCTTTTCTGTCTACAAAATAGGCACGTGCTTTTTTTGTAGCAAAACTTTTTCCCAGTAAAAAATCATTTCTCCTTCCACTAAAGTTGCTGCATTTTACTTGCTTTTTCATAGTATGCATCATATACTATCTTATATTCATGTGCAGATTAATCTGAATTATTTCCGCATCCACTCTCCATACTTCTTAAGAGACCTGGGTATGAACTACACATGCTTAACTGTCAGTATGGTCCAGACACTACCTGCATATAGGCATTTTTCAGCAACTGTTATCAAGATAAAAACTGTTTCTTTGCTTTCCACAAGACCCCATCTCTGAAAAAAATATGCTTTAGAAGAATTCTAACACCAGTTAATGAAATTTATACTATATTGATCAAATAATCCCTTCTGCCATGGATTGAATGTGATATCCCCCTCAAATTCATATGTTGGAACCCTATCCCTCAATGGGATAGTATTTGGAGGTGGGGCCTTTGGGAGGTAATTAAGGTTAGATAAAGTCATGAGGGTGGGGCGCGTATGATGGGACTAATGCTTTTATCAAAAAGGAAGAGATATGAGATCTTGCTTTCTCTGTCATGGGAGGACACGGCAAGGAGGCATCTGTCTGCAAACCAAAAAACAAACCCTCACCTGGAACCAAATGGGAGGCACTTTGATCTTAGACTTCCCAGTCTCTAGAACTGTAAGAAATAATTTTTTATTTGTTTAAGCAGCTCAGTTTATGTTATTTTTGTTACAGCAGCCTGAACAGATGAAGACACCATCTTTGAATATTTACTTTCCACAAATACTGTTGGGTGGCTAGTCCTGTGCCCATGCCTGGTCCTCTTCTCCTTTGCCCATTTGCACTTTTAGACCTGCCAAAATTATTGCTTGCCTTTGCAGCATTCCTTGAAGCTACGTATAGCCACGTGACACAGATCTGGGCGATAGAATATAAGAGGAATCTGCTGAGACTTCTGAGAAAGCCTTCAATTTCCTGATAAAAGGGATAGATGTCCCTAGCTCCAGGCTTCCACCTTCATTTCTGACTTGAACACCGGCCTGATGCCTGGCCCTCTGTTCCATCTTGTACTGAGATGGCACTCTTCGGTGTTAAGAATGGTGAATGGTTTACTAACTTTATTCCGTCTGCCTCTTTCTTGACATGTTCCAATCTTGGAATGTAATTTCCATTAACTCGTCTATATTAGTGGGTCCTCACAGAAATAGGTTACCTCAGCCTCAAGAGAAATAAAGCCGGCAGGTAATGTT
The DNA here is from genome assembly GCF_000001405.40 of Homo sapiens. Classification (NCBI taxonomy): domain Eukaryota; kingdom Metazoa; phylum Chordata; class Mammalia; order Primates; family Hominidae; genus Homo; species Homo sapiens. Next base: position 219,491,393 of record NC_000001.11, on the reverse strand, counting down.
TGCGGCACTCTGAAAATTACCCTGAGATATATGTGAACTTAATGGGACTTGGAGAATTTCTTTGGGGCCCTCCCTTTTGACATACTTCTGTTAGAATAAAAAATTTAGCATCTAATATCCTAAGGACACAAAAGTCTATATATTAGGATTTTTTAAATTTCATTTTTTAATTGTGATATATATATGCATAAAATAAATTTTACCATTTTAACCATAAGAAAAGAGTGGTGAATGGACAGAGGAGCATGGGTCCTTGACAACACTGTTGAGCTCCTTAACTCACTTCAGTAACCAGGTACCCCCAACTTCATGTGAAATCATACAATGAACCTTCCTCAATTTTTTGAAACGTTGTTTAAGTTGTATTTAATGCTGCTTGAAAACCAAATGTAGTCTTAACTATTGAATAGATAATAACAAATTCGGCAGGAGTCTACTAAAACACTTGGGAGATGTGATTGGAACTCATATCTCATCTAACCATTGTGTATAAAGGGTAAGCAAAATAAATAGCCCAGTGTTTAAGAACAAGGGTTTAAGTTTTGATCACTAGCCCCACCACCCACTAGTTCACTTATGTAAGCTATTTTCTCTTCCTAAAGTTCAGTTTCTGTATTTGTAAAATGGACAGGATTATGTAATAAAAAATAGAAGAAGTAAATGAGAAAAAAGCATAGAAAGCAGTCATTTGGCACATAGTAAGCATTCAATAAAGATTAGATTTTTAATATTTATGATTTTATAGTATGAAGTCATGCTAACGGTCTTAATTTATGAACTCTGTTATGTTTTACTGAGGTTCTACTTTACAAATTCACAACAATTCAAACTTTTAGATGCTATACTGTCCTGCCTTGATTTGACACCCATAAATCAACTCAATTTTATTTACTATTTCTTTCAAAAGTGACATGAAATCATACTAGTTCTATGTTTTTTATGCTATTATTCTTTTACTACTAGCATAATTCCAATTTATCACAGTTCAATTAGTTCAAAACCAAAGATTCATTACATTGAGGTTTATTAGAATTAATTGCCATTATTGTTCATGTCAATTGCCAAAGTGAATTTGAATTGCCCCATCCATTCACATGAATGCTGTTTACTTCTCTTGCCCACTCAATGTTCGAAGTTTTTATTTGTTCATTTTCAGATTAAGAAAAAACCCTTAATCGGTTTCTTTTCTTTCTTTCTTTTTCTTTTTTTTTTTCTACTCGGTTTGGAAGCGATCTTATGCCTGGTTACCATAGCTAAAACAGGAGACACTAAATGGAAGAGAGGTATGATTTATATGAGAAAGAATGAAAATAAAAATCACACCCCACTTAGAGGAAGAGACTGGGACCTAGTCAAAATAGTCAGAGATGAAAGCTTAGCAACTTCGCACATTTTAAGCACTGCCTGGAATTCTGACTGATGGGATATTCTGGAAGGAGGCTTAAGCAAATAAGTAGGCTAAGAGGAACACTGAAGTTGTTTCATGCTGTGGCTGTTTTAATCTTTGGGCATGAACTAGTAATTATTTTCATAGGAAGTGGGGGCAGAAGTAACCCGGGGATTTCTGAGGCCTATAATGGACTTCTGTGGTGTGAGCTGAGAATCTAATGTTATGCCACAAGATTACCAAGCTCTCCATGTCTTCTGACCAGTGAAAATTTTAATTCACTCTCCAGACTCAGTGTGTCCTTTTGGCTTGGGTCTGCAGAGGGGGACTTCATCTCACTGCCTGGGCTTTAGAATAAGTAAAATGGAATTAGCTGTTGTCGTAAAGGCAAACCTTAAGAGATTAACTGAACAAGGCTTTTAGGGAGGTATGCATAAGATGCTTCTATAGTTTAAAGTCTGTTTCTCTACGGGTACCTGAGATTAATTATCTAAAACAGAGGAATAACTCTCAAGTCTCTGCTACTTAGAAGAAATTTAAAGTATCCAGGAGAATATAAAAGAGTAAACTGCATCCAGTTACATTCTTCTTGTGCTGACAATACAGTTTTAGACCTTTTTTTTTTTTTTTTTTTTTTTTTTTTTTTCCGACGGAGACTCTCTCTGTCACCCAGGCTGGAGTGCAATGGTGTGATTTTGGCTCACTGCAACCTCTGCCTCCCAGGTTCAAGCAATTCTCCTCCCTCAGCCTCCTGAGTAGCTGGGATTATAGGCCCATGCCACCACACCCGGCTAATTTTTGTATTTTTAGTAGAGACGGGGTTTCACCATGTTGGTCAGGCTGGTCTCGAACTCCTGACCTCTTGATCCACCCACCTGGGCCCCTGAAAGTACTGGGATTACAGGCATGAGCCACTGCGCCCAGGCCGTTTCTTAAATTAATAACAAAAGTCAACGTATCTGAGTCTGTTCTCTCTTATATAAGAAATTCTTTGAGGACAGACTTTTTGAAACTTACTCTACCATGACTTTGCCTAGCTGCCCGCACCTTATGACCAGGGTGATATTAAACGTGTCTATAATGGAGAATGAAGAGGAAGAAAATGTTCAAGTTACTAGAATGAGCCTTTATTATCCCATTACATTATTCTTTATTTCAAACGCTGTATCTTTTTTCCATAAACACATATATGACATAAATATTATCTCATTTCTCTTCATCTCCTTGCAGGTACAGGATATTAAAAATAATAATGTCATCCTGAGGTTTACTAGTTTCAAAAAGGAGATTCTTTGTGGTTTACATATTTGGTGAGGCATTTGATATAAGAATATCCCCTAGGTTAAGCCCTGTTCCTTGACATCATAGTTTTCCTACATAACACAGCTAGATTAATCTTCCTAAGGCATTATTGTTATTGTGTCAGAAATGAACCTTGGTTTCTGCTGTCCGTGGTGTAGTTTCTTCTGCAATCTGGCTGGCACTAACTTTCAAGCCTTGTGACTCCTTTACTTGAACTTGATTACTAAGGTTCAGACAAACTTGGTTGCTACTTATTCTTCCAACATATTGTGTAATCTTTCATTTGTGAGTTTTGGGTTGTCCTTCACTTTGGAACCCCTGGCCTCTGCCTCTATGTCAATCTGGTTTATGCATCATGGTTTAAATGAAAAGCCCTTTCCTCCAAGAGTCCTGTTTTGGTCACATCAGATCTGATATTTTTCTTTTCTAAACTCCTATGGTATTCCACTTGTACCACTATTGGTTCACTTTTTACTTATTGCCCTTTATTAAGCTATTTGAAAATTGACTTTCATTAATTCAATGTGCATTTATTAACCAGCCTCTCTGTGTCAATGGCTGTCCTAGGAAGAAGAAATATTGTAAGTGACCTATACTCACGAAGCTCCAGGATATCTCTCCTATTAAATTGTGAACTCATCAGGGCCATAGACAACATCCATTTTGCTTCTATATTTCCAATAGGACAATGCTTTGGACATGGAAAGCAATTAATAAGTTGTTAAGTAAATCAGTGGGTTTTAACTCTATAAGACTCAATGCTGTCTTCTAGCCAATATTTTGTAATGCCCCTTTTGCTATACTGTAAGAGAAGTAACAAATAGTATACTCTTTCTACATATAAAATTTTGAAAATATTAATAAAATATCTACACATAAATTTATTGCCCTCAAAAAGGACAAATACAAGAAAAACATTTTATCACAAAATAACATGCATTTAATTATGTAAGTGCTTGGACATGACTACTTAGAAAATATAGTGAAGTAGTCAGATTATTGCCCCAACTTCACAATGAATAAGTTTGGGTTTTTCAACAAGAAAGTAAGAAATCGTTCCCTACACGAAAAGCAGGAAAATGAAATAGTATAGCTATGAGTGACACTAAATAAAAAGTAGTGTTTGAATAGGTTATACCAACCCAGATTCATTTGTGTGTAATAAAGGAAGGAGAGAAGTAACTTTAATTGAAGTTGGGATAACATGCCAAGAAAAATTGCAGACCAACGAAGTGGAGAAAATGAGGAATTAGTCCAACAAATGAGCTGTATCTTACTTGTAAGTGGAGGGTCAAAATAATTCATATGGAATGACCTAGGCAAAGTAATGACAGAGTATCCCAGAAAACATATCTTCTATTTTAAAATCCTGCCACGTGTTGGGGAATACTTTCAGTTACTGGTATTTATTAAGACTTTGAAGACCAAATATTTTGGCAGGTGGTAGGGAGCAGAGAGTGGATTAGGAAAAAAAAAGTAATACAAATAGGAGGCTGTAGAAAACTGTTTTATGATATGCTTCTGGGGGCAGTATAAGCAAAAAATTAAAATTCATAGGCAACTCACTTCTGCTTCCGGTCACAACTGAGGAAATAGTTCCTGTGGTAAACAATGCATATCTGTACAAAATATATGAAAAAAATGTTTTCAGGTGTTGGACAATAGCCAACACAAGACTGTGATTCCTGAGAGAAGGAAGACGAGTAAGATGTGTCAAATGATTACTCTGGTTTACAATTTGGAAGCATGTCCTGGAACCATGGCACAGAAAGCAGGAAGCTAAATGAAGCACAGCCATCTTGCTGAGCTGACAGCCAGAGATCAGAGCCTAGAGAGATTAGAGAACCAGAGAGAAAGGAGAGATGAAGAGTAAGTTCCAGAAATCTACATCAAATGTCCCTTTGAATCTAGGATGTAACTCCATGAGACTAGAGAAAAACAACTATGGGGCAAAGAACAAGTACCCAAGAACAAGAAACTGAGCAACGGTGTCCCATCTTTTGGCTTGAGCAGGGGTGTCCAATCTTTTGGCTTCCCTGGGCCACACTGGAAGAAGAAGAATTGTCTTGGGCCGCACATAAAATACACTAACACTAACAATAGCCGATGAGCAAAAAAAAAAAAAATCACAAAACAATCTTATAAATGTTTTAAAGAAGTTTATGGTGTTGGGCTGCAGGCAGCCCGTGTGCAGCAGGTTGGACAAACTTGTACTACAGCATGCACAGGGCTGAGAAGTGGGTAGGGTTTGAATTTAGTATAGTCACAGTGGAAACATCTCATTAAACTCAGAACATTCAGCAGAGACCCTTGCAAAGCCATGTCTTAGGAGTAGTCCCCACATAGTTAGTCAAGGCTTGACCTAACAAAGCTTAATATCAAGACTCAAAAGAATCAAGCTAATCCTCAAATAATTTAATTGATGCTGGAACAAAAATTCAATGATCTCTAAAGAAAGACAACAAAATTAAAAAAAAAATCAGCAATCTAATCACATCAATCAAAATGTGCTTGACACAAAGAAACAGAAAAATATGACTCATAATCTGGAGAAAAAATAATGAATAGAAACAGACTCAGAAATTGTAGAAATGTTGGAATTAATAAGCATTTAAATAAAGATATACATGTAAAATAGAGATTAAAAATGAGAGATGAAAAGCACAATATCTGAAAGAAAAAAATTCACTGGATGGGCTTAATAGCAGAAGAGATACTGGAGGAAAAAAAGATCAATGAACATTAATACATAACAATAGGAGTTTTCCATACTGAAGCATGGAAAGAAAAAGATGGAAAGAAAAAGCAGATTCTCACTTAGCTCTGTGATAATGTAAGAGGTCTAAGAAATGTGTAAATTGGGGTCCTAGGAAAAGAGAAGAATACAAAAAATTTGAAAACGTAATGCTCGAAAAATTTCCTGGTGATGAAAACTATGAACACACAGGTCCAAGAAACCCAACATACCCAAAGTAGGACAAACACAAAGAATCTAACCCCTGTGACATGAGTTTAACTATATAACAAACATGCACATGGCCCCCTGAACCTAGAATTTTTGTTTTAAAAGAAAGAGGCACATTGTAATAAAATTCCTGAAAATAAGTGAGAAAGAGAAAACATTCTCAAAAGCAGCCAGAGGAAAAAAGACACATTGTGTGCCAGGAACAAAGGTAACAATTAGCACTGACTTTATCAGAAACAAGCAAGCCAGAAGACAGGAGAGGAAAGAAAAACAAACCTCTGTTAATTAAGAATCCTCAATCAGCAATCCTTAAAAAATGGAGAAAAGACATTTTCACACAATCAAAAGCTGAGGGAATTGTTCACTAAGTATTACAAGAAATGTTAACATATATTATTTTGTCTGAAGGTGAAGGATACCACTGAGACACTTAATCAACATGGTAGAACACTGGAATTGGTAAATGCGAGGCAAATAGTAAAGACTTCTCGTTTTTCAATTTCTCCAAATGTTTGTGACTATATAAAGCAAACAACAAGGTAGTGTGGCGTTTGTAACATATATAGAAGTGAAAAATAAATGGCAATAATATCACAAAGAACAAGGGGAAAATGAAAAATTCCTGCTGTAAGCTTCTTGTGTTAACTTGTAAAGTGAGTATAACGTTATTTGAAGGCAGACTGTGATAAGTTGAGATTCACATTTAAATGAAATATAATGTTTTAAATGAAAACATAAACTACCTATGATTCTAACTTTCTAAGATAACAACTGACTCAATAAATACTACATTTAGAAGAGAATGGACAACCCAAGCAAAATAAATAGGCATTTTTTTTTGCAGCACAAATTTCCTATCATTAAGCTACAATACATATATTCTGTACATATATAGAATAGCAATAACATGAAAGACTTTAAAAATAATCCTTAAAACAAAAGTATATTTGTTTCATGTGACTCCACCAATTTGATAATATTTGTTTTGGAATTTGTTCACACTGTTTATATTCGTTGTATGTTTTAAGGCTTCTTTACAGTGACCATTGCAATATATTTATAACAACTGTAGTTTGTATTAACTGTGATGTAGCACTGAAACTCATTCTCCCTGAATATGAGGTTCAAAATGCTCTAATAAGTAATTCAACTTCTTTCTTTAAAGAAGTGGGTTTGCAGGAGAAACATGAGTGAATACACACAACAGATAATGCCTTATGGAAAAATAGATGAAGATTATGGAATAATCTAAAATTTTAACACTAACAATGAGACACTTGAAAAAGATTCAAGGGAAAGTGACAAAGATTGAACAGAGGCCAAATTTAAAAAAAGCAAATGAAGGAGTCCCTGAAGAACCGAATAAAAGCCAAGAGACAGGACAAATCCCAACAGTATAATTGGAGGAACTTTTCCAAAACAGCAACAACAATAATAGAAACTGCATATTGAAAGAATATATCACACACCTGAGAATATTAAGCCAGATGATCAATACTAGGATGTATTCTAGAGAAATTTTTAGACATAATCAAGGTGTGATACAAAAGGGACTTTTAACTGTAAAGAGGAGAAGCCAACTGTTACGAACAGGCAAGAACTTCAGATATCTCCATCCCATGAACACTTGAAGGAAAGTATTAAAGAATGAGCATCACATAACCAAAATTACTGGTGATAATCATGATAAGTACTGGTGGTGAGCAGTAAATATATAGTTACTTATAGAATTAGAACCAAATGAGGGTTAAAAAGAAGGGATTATAATATGTAATAGCTATATGCCCTGGCAATGTAGACATCAGTCCTTTAAACAGATTAAGAGAAAGATTGAATAAATGTTAAATGATGTTAAAACTATTTTCATTAAACATATTATTCATTAAACATTATATTAAAATTGAAAAAATCAAACAAACAAGAAAAGGAGTGGGTTAACTTTGTGATTAGAATGATTAAATTCTTGGGCCCCTGTCCTTTCTTCCTCCCTCAGGGAACTCTGTAAGTGTTGGCTGACATGCCCTTTTTCCATTTCAAATGAATAGATCATGCATTAATCACTTATTCATTCAGATAGTTACATTTCATCTTTTGGTAGCATCCATATGAGAGTAATATATTTCCAAATAGTATTACACTTAACTTCATTCGGTAGGTGGAAAGAAGAATAATGAAAATGTTCAGTGACAAAGATTATTTTAAAGAAATCTGTTTCTTGATAATTCCCATAAATATTTCTTTCACATTGATGTGATTGATTTCATTTCCTTGCATCTCAAAATTACCTCATTTAACTTTACAACTATCTCTAAAAAATAAATTCAACATTTTTCAACATTTTAATTTTGGTATTGTATTTGTCACTAATTTATCAATGATGCAATAATTCTACAACACTGTCAAATAGTAAGCATAAAATTGATAAGCAGTTGCCTTTGAAGAGCTATCTTACTTATAAGATTACTTATTATGTTGGATAAAATTTTTAATATTTTTGTCAATTCATAGGTTTCTAAATAATAATTCATAGATGTCTTAATTTTATTAAGACTAAACAATATATTGATTTCTGAAATGTTTCACCAAGATTCTTACCTACTAGTCATTGATGAAAAATAGAAGGAACTGCTAAAACATGGTGGTATTTTAATTTGTTTACAAAGCCTTATTGGCAAATCATAGCTGGTCCCATTTTCTATGGTACAGTCAATGACTGGAAAGGAAATTATTTTTCTGTTTAACATTTTTTAACAATTCTAACTACTGACATACTTTTTTTGTACTTGATCAGTTCTTTTGAAAATACTAGTTTATCTACTACTCTTTTTTTCCTTGCAGATCTTTGTATATGAGCAGTAAATCTTCATTGTCATACAAGATGCTTTCATATACTTGACATAAAAACTTACTTGTTGCAGTTCATTACATGGCTAATTTTTCAACACTGCCATAAATTCTTCTGGACACAGTAACACTGCTCAAAAGAACAGTAAAAAAAAAATTATTTGCATTTTTTCCATGATGATTTTACTAAATTCTTGCATAGCTAGTAAAGTTAGCTTTTCTCCAATATTGTGTAGCTTACCACAATTTAGCAATCATTTCTATTGCTAAGATTCATCCTTTTTTTGATTAAAAGACTATTTGTGAGTATTCCAGGGACAAGATCCCTTGGAAATGTGACACACTTTTGACAACTTTATTATGATGTTTCTTTGTAAAATGTTTCTTTAATCTTCATGACTTTGTTACTTCATTAGAAAAAACACATCGGGAGAGAAGGCATTTCCATAACTTCTCTTTTAAGGGCAAAGCTATATAATCCAATTTCAAATTGTCAGCTGAATCTTGTTGCTATTATCTTATATTTGATATTTTGAAACAAGATCTAAAGATATATATGCATACATATGTTCAATCATCATGAATGGAACAACTACTAGTATAAACAATTACAAGTATCTTGTATTAGAAACAAAAATCCTATGACCTGAGTTTCTCTTGGTGGCATAATTTTCCAAAATGTTGAGCAAATCTTTGTAAGGTAACAATGTACAGTCTTCTCTTCATTCATACAGTAGCTGCATTTTTGGAAAATTAATATATATACAAACTATTAAGTAGATTACTTAATTTAATTATAAAGGAATTAGGGTCAAGCTTCAGGTAATTGTACCAGTTAAAAGTGTTTTAAATATATATATATTTTAATATGAAGGTGTGGAACAATTTTTTCTAGTTTGGTTCTTCCCTGAACTTCGTAAGGCATCTAGCATCCCTGGTCTCTTCTCATTAAATGCTAGAAACCTCCCAAACTTAGTCTCAACTGAAAAATTATGACCAATTTCTGAAATGTTTCCTGGAGATTTTCCATCGAATGAAGCTGGGTAAAAGAATAATTGTGAACTGAATGTGGGCGATCCTTTGGGGTTACATGTTTAGGGTTGCACATTCCAAGCCCTGCCTATAAATGCTGGATGGAGGGAATGAGTGGGGGATGTGATCCAGGCTGTGCTCAGTCCTACCTGGAAGAAGGGGGAAGGCACCACCTTTTTCTTCTGTAAAAAAGTATCTTCCTCTTGCCAAGAAGTCATCCAGAGGGGCCACTGTTTTCTTATTTTTATGAAGGCACTGTAAAATCAAATTATGTACAAAATGGCCAAGCAGGTGCATCCACATCTAATTAAATATATATGGATAAGAAGTAAGCAAATAACCTTCCAACTTTTAAAATGGAAAAGCTCTTTGTCTACAATATTTTCTTTATTTCAACAGCATTGTAATTGTGGATAAATGTGTATTATAGCTTCCCACTGATCATTTGAGAGACATGGAGGGCAGAGGGTGGAAGAAATTACACGCAATTGTCTTTTACATCAACTCAGAGCTTCAACTTTTGCTCATTTGTACCATATATCATAGCTGGCTTTCTAGTGAAAACTTAATGCGTCATGGACTAATTTTTAATAGTTTTGTTACAGGCTGGGGGCATGTCTAGAGATGAATCCTATCTAAATATGTGAATAGGTCATATTTTGTAATCATTCTTTACTGAGAACACTAGACATGTTTATTTTGTTTTACCATGACATTCATGCTGGTCTTAGTCTCCTCTCTATAATCCTAACTTGCAGCCAGGGTTGAGGGCCTCCTGGCTGGAGTGGTGGGACTGAAGCTGTAGCCTGGAATGGAGAATGGTATGTATCTGCTGTTTCCTCTGAATAGCACAGTATAGTGACCTCAGAAAACTGGAAAGAACATGGGCCCAACTCAGGAGTAGCGGCATCACAACAGAAGGACACGACTGAGCAGATCTAGGTGATAAAAAAAATTTCTAAAGATTGTTTCCTGAGTCACCATTGCCACTGAAAAATAATGATAACAAGCCCCAGGAAAAGTTTTATTTGGCCAGAGTCCTCATCTAAGCCCAGTTCTGACACTTCAAGACATTCTTGGTAATTGGCAATGAAATGTCTTCTATTATGGAAAGGCAGTGTTCTTAAATACATATTAATTTCTCTCCATGATGTCTGGGGCCCGTTACCACACGTAGTTGTCGCAGCCTATACTGGGCTCCACTTCCTACCTGGTTTAGTTCCTCTTGCACTTCCTCTTGCCTGACTCACACCTGTGGACTGGTAGGTACCTCCTCAAAGAACCTGCTCAGGCTGGGCGCGGTGGCTCACGCCTGTAATCCCGGCACTTTGGGAGGCCGAGGCGGGCGGATCACGAGGTCAGGAGATCGAGACCATCCTGGCTAACACGGTGAAACCCCGTCTCTACTAAAAATACAAAAAATTAGCCGGGCGAGGTAGCAGGCACCTGTAGTCCCAGCTACTCAAAAGGCTGCGGCAGGAGAACGGCGTGAACCCCGGGGAGCGGAGCCTGCAGTGAGCAGAGATCGCGCCACTGCACTCCAACCTGGGCGACAGCGAGACTCTGTCTCAAAAAAAAAGAACCTGCTCAATGCCTCTGCTCCAGACCTCTTTGGATACCATGTCTCTGAGTCACACATGTATGTCTCTTAGCTAGAAAATGCACTAGAGCCGAGGGTGGGGGAAATTGGGTGTAGTTGCAAGTTGCACTTAGAGAAGGCAAGGGAATGCCCTTTATCCTAGAGTTTCCTTGCTTTCTGGAGCATTGAGCCAGAAATTCTGGGTCTGTTACATGTTACTAATAGGGGAGATGTATCATGAAGGACTTGAGTGTGCAGGTTCTAGAACCAATGAGATCTGAATTTGAATCTTAGCCCTTCTACCACCTGTGTGAATGACCCTCCTTAAACTCCAACTACTTCACTCAATGCGGATAATACTAGCTACAATGTGAGTGACTCCCATGCATCCCTTTTTGAAGGTGTCTTAACCCAAATGTGTAGATACTAATCCAAAGGCCCCAGATGTAGTTCAGATGTTGACCTCCTGAACCCTCATGGGGTCTCTTCCAGACAACCTGAAGCCAGTACCTCAGACACCCGTAAAGCAAATGAGAACAGAACTGGACTCGCCCAGGCTACTTGTTGTGTTAGAGTAAATACTGTGTTATTTAGAGGAAATAGGCTACTTGATGTGCAAACAGAACAAATAAAAACATTGCAGAAGAAGAAATGTTCTGTGATTTAAAATTGTCAGAAAATAATAGCTCAAATTCAGGCAATTCTAGTTTTCCTCTAGAGAACAGGAAAAGAAAAAGATGATGACAAGCACAACTATAGAACAGAGATTATAAGTGGAATTAACATACTTTTGGTCGTTGTTCCCTAGTGGATTTGAATGTAATAATGCTTTATTTTTTGGGTGGGTGGGGCTGGGCAAGAGGAGGAGGATGGTATTTTCTTCGAAAATGCCCTTTTTAGAAGCATGCCTCTATTTCTTTTTCTGAGAGTGCTTGCACAAATACAAAGACCTAATCAACACATTTATTTTTAAGACAATAATTTCATTGCCATGAGTCCCCTTCTTAGAATAAGGCAGGTTATTTTGCTAATTGTCTGGCACCCTGGCATCACCTGATGCTAATCATCAGACACAGGACACCTCGCAGTTCTCAGCAGCGAGTTGAGTTAAAGTGATTGAAGGGAGAATTGGCTTGGGCTCTCTCATTCTCCCGGCCCCAGGCTTTTGTGTGGTTTGGGGCTGCTTTTATGAGACAGAGAGATTTTCTTTCAGGAAAATATGGTGAACTGAAAAGTCCTTTGTATCTTCCATAACCTGGGGAGAGGAGTTTCAAATCTCCTTAGTCTGGAAGGCAAGGGTGGCTGAAAGCTAACAAAGAAAACCATTTTAAGCTTGATGAGCTGAGAGAAGGGAGACTATTTGAAGCTCTGGAAAAGTCCCAGAAGGTGGCTTGTCTACCTTTCAATATAAATGTGTGACTAGACTCTAAGAGCCAACTTGATCTATGTGCTCTTGGTGGGCACAGGCCTTGAAGGCTGCTACTGTTAGCAGCTAAGTGTCATGCGCACCCTCTCTTGAGACTGAGCCAATGATGCGGCCTTATGCTGGACTGGTTTATGCATGTGCTAGAATAACCTTTAGAATCACCTAATTAAACATATTATAATGTCAGCTCATGGTGCAAACACTTTCTCTTAGAAAAATATAATACTTTTTCTGGAATGGGAAAAGAATGTTTTTTGCATTTAATATCAACAATTTACTAAGCTTTAGATTTTTTATTAAAATTCTACCTTTTGTATTTTCTCAAGGTTCTTGATTAATTTTCAAAGCATGGAAAGAAATCTTGGGCTTTCCACCTCCTACCACCGGCTTCCCGCTTCTTCCTCCACTCTAGTGAAATCATACAGTCCCAGCACTTGGAGGGGAGCACTCTTTGAACTGCTGCTGCTGAGGCCCTGGGGGTAGAGTTGATTATTTTTGCAAGGGGGCATTAAAATGCCAGACATCAATTTCTTGTCTCCTGGTGAAGATATCTATACATTGAAGAGGCGTGCTTCAACCCTTTTCAAAGAATTTTTGCAAGTGCAAATTATGGGAACCCGAGAGAATTAGCTATATTTCTTTAAATAAATCCCCTCAAGGTCCATCTGAAGATGGTTGTGGAGATGGTTGTGGTTCTCTAAGAAGCAGCAAATTCTGCCTGGGGGAAATGTTGCACCAATACCCCTCCCCACCCTCATTCTCCAGCAAGTAGCCAGCGGTGTGGGGTGGGGCCGCTGCAGTGATGGCACATATTAGGTAATACCCCCCGTTAGACTGCAGATGTGTGAACTAGTTTAAAACTTTTATTAGGGTTTTTATTAGACTCCACTGCAGTCTTGGCCTCTTTACAGCTGCCAGCTTAGCCAGTTGCTCACAAGTTATAACAAATTAGGAATACCTAATGCCTAAGCTATTCTTACACTTTGGGGACAAAATCCCAAACAAATCATAGTCTTCCCTGTGAATCTAGTCTCCATTTAAGAAATTGCACTTACAGGCAGAATGGCGCTTGAGCCAGGGTTTTGTTATGGCTTTGTAATAACAGTGTGGTTCAATTCTCCTAAGCACATAAATCCCGGATCCTTTATCATTTTCTGCCTGGCCACGGAATGCCCTCTTTTAAGTCTTTGATGGCCTTCCAGAATCTTTTTTTTTTCGTCTTCTTTTTATTGTACGTATTCCTTAAGTGATCTTAATTCTTCTGTGAGTGCCAGATTGGCGTCTCTGAAAGCTGACATTGGCTTGCAATCCCCAAAAGAGGTACTTATAAAGTAGAAGATCCCCATCCTTCCTCTGTATGGGGGAAGAGCTCAGGAAGAGGACACCTCTCTTACCTAAAGAGGCAAAGCAGCCTGGTCCTTGGCTTCAGAGATTTTTATAATGTGCCAGTGAAACAAGCGTACCGGACTGTCTAGCTCCTTCATCTGAGAAAGACATTAATCTCCTTCTATTTAGACTGACTTACATAGGAGTGAATAAGTATAATGTAGTTTTTTTCCCCCTTGGAGTTAATAGACATGCATTGAAAAGTGTCCATTCACCAGTCCTCAAACTTTTTTCTTAAAGGGTCCCAATCTAGGCACAAAAGTGAGATTATTGTGCATTAATAGCTTCAATAAATCATATATCTTTTGGACAAACTAAACAATAGGATAGCATAATGTTTAAAATCTGAAAAAAAATTATTTGTTGAATCACTAAAATGTTATATTTGAATTTATTAAAAATATCTTTAATTCAATACACAAGGTTGATGTATGAAGATTACCTGCCTTCTCCATAATCCAATATTCAAAGAGATGAACTCAATTTAGTATATCTCTTCATTTTGTCTATTTTTGACAGTTTCTGTTTTACTTCTTGCTACAGTGTTACTTCCTGTGGTAATGGTTACAAATCAGGGAATAGGTTAAAAGTTTCTAGAAAAATTATGCAGGTGTTAAATCATGTACACCTAATCTCTTTCTTTTATAGGTAAAATTGAGGCTCAGAGAAAAGGGAAATAGTTTACCCGAAAAACTGGGTACAAATTCTCTATACATCCTACATTTGGCCTTGGGCAAGTTGTTCAGCCTCTGTTGCCCCAGCTGTGAAAAAGAGGCAATGTTAACTATAAGGTAAAGCTATGATGCTGATTAAATAAATGACATACAAAGTGTCTGGCACAGAATAGGTGCTCAGCAAACCACTAGTTGCCTTCCTCTTTCCTAAAGTCTCCATGGAGTTGTTACATATAACAACATGGAGTTGTTAAATATTTGGGAGCAGAATGCAAGAGTTGGCCCTCAATCTTGTGTTCTTCCCATTTCACCAGGCTGCTTCCTGCTGAGATTTATAGGGAAACTACCTTGTTGAAGAGCTAGCTGCTGACTCTCACTTGGGAATGTGTTGGGGAGATGGTGTGAGTGAAAGGTAGAGATGTGTTACAAACCCTGACTACCACCATGGCTGAAACTGCAACCACCAACTACAGGAGGGTCATTCATTGTAATAGAAAGGGGCTGTTGGTGGCAGAACTGTGTTTTCAGCATCCACAGCTGACAGTCCCCCTGAGGTTATAGAACTATGCTGCACACGAGTTCACAGCTGTGAGTGTGACACCGATGATAAAGCAATAATCCTCTCTATCTAATGTCCTTCCAGGTTGGGTGGCTGCCTGCCTTACCTAAATAGGTTTTGTGTAGACTTACATTTGAATGCATTCATTATACTCATAGAAACTGGTGGTGGCTTGAATAAACTCCTCATTCTCCTTGAGAAATAGCCTGAAATCATTCACTCGTCATTCCTTTCTTCCTCAGAAATGTCCTGAACCCTATCATATGCTTAAGATTTAGCAGTGCACAAAGAAAGATACAAAGAAGGAGTGTACACAGCCCTTCAAGTATTTTACAAGTCTGGGGTTTGCTAACAGACCTGGAAACTTAAACAGCAAACCACAGCAACAATTTATTCATTCATTCATTGAATATATATTTATTTAGAAATAATGCTGACCACCGACAAGGCTTTGGGCTAGGTGAACTGTAGCATAGAAGGATGAATATGATTTCTTTCTTTCCCTCTTTCTTTTTCTTTTCTTTCTTTCTTTCTTTCTTTCTTTCTCTCTTTCTTTTTCTGTTTCTCTTTCTTTCTTTCTTTCTTTCTTTCTTTCTTTCTTTCTTTCTTTCTTTCTTTCTTTCTTTCTTTCTTTCTTTCTTTCTTTCTTTCTTTCTTTCTTTCTTTCTTTCTTTCTTTCTTTCTTTCTTTCTTTCTTTCTTTCTTTTTGGGGTGGGCAGAGTTTCACTCTTGTTGCCCAGGCTGGAGTGCAATGGCACGATCTCGGCTCACTGAAACCTCCGCCTCCCAGGTTCAAGCGATTCCCCTGCCTCAGCCTCCTGAGTAGCTGGGATTACCGGCATGCACTACTGTGCCTGGCTAATTTTGTATTTTTATTAGAGACAGGGTTTCTCCATGTTGGTCAGGCTGGTCTCAAACTCCCGAACTCAGGTGATCTACCCACCTTGTCCTCCCAAAGTGCTGGGATTACAGGCATGAGCCACTGTGCCCAGCCCAATATAATTTGTTTCTAAGCAGCATGCAGTTAGATGAAGAAAGGACATTAGAGTGTTGAAGACAAACTTTAATATCTAGTATATAATATATGTATAGTATATAAGTATGAATAAGATGTACTAGGTAAATGATGTAAATTATGATAAATAGTCAAATAAATGTAAATAAGTTTGCGTTTGGCAAAGCCTCTGTGATCCAATCAGTGATTCTTAATCCCTAAGGTCATTAAGTCTTGCCCATCCTGCCTCCACAGTCACTTCTTCCTTCATTCTCTTTTCCTTTCTTGGTTCCTCTATATTTGATCCTTGTTATCTTGGTGCAATGAGTGACAGCCATCTTCTCAGAAGGAATGATGCTTGGAGGACGAGTGAGAATTAACCAGGTAGAAAGGGGAGGGCATTGTAGGGAATATAAATGCATGTGCAAGGGTCTGGAGAAAGGGAGAGATCACGGTATGTATGAGGGACTGAAAGAAAGCAGGACAGTTAGAACAAGAGGCAACATGGGATGAGATAAGTAGGGGATGTGTGCGATGGGGACACAGGGTTTGTTCAGTGAGGCCATGCAGAACTTGTGGGTCATAGGAGATAATTTTGTTTTTATTTGAAGAGCTCTGGAGATCATGACAAATCATCACAGACTATCATAGTTTCTAACTAGAAGGAATCTTGAGTTTCTCTAGTCTAAACCTTGACTTTATATCTGTCACTGTGTCTATATTGAGTGAACTTCTGGCCTATGCTGAAGAAAACAACTTAATTGCTAGGGAACTTGGGAATCCTGTGACTACTCATTCAACTTTTTTGTTGTTATTTCTCCTCTCTTATTTCTAAATTAACCATTTGAAAGTGAACAATTCAGTGGTGTTTAGTCCATTCACAGCACTGTGCCACCACCACTGCTATCCAGTTCCAAAACATTTCCATCATTCCTAAAACCTTTACCCTTCAAGTGGGTTCTCCCCTTTTCCCCTCTGCCCAGCTCCTGGCAAAAACCAATCTGCATTCTGTCTCTATGGATGTATCCATTCCAGATCTTTTATGTAAATAGAATCATAGAGCATATGGCCTTTTGTACCTGGTTTCTTTCACTTCATAGTTTATCTGTGTTGTAGCATGCATTAGTCCTTCATTCCTTTTTATTGCTGAATAATATTCCATACTCATTCCATTTTGGAATAACTCTGATAAAAACTTATTTGCCATTCTCCTGCCTCAGCCTCCCGAGTAGCTGGGACTACAGGTGCCCGCCACCATGCCCGGCTAATTTTTTGTAATTTTAGTAGAGACAGAGTTTCACTGTGTTAGCCAGGATGGTCTCTATCTCCTGACCTTGTGATCTGCCCACCTCGGCCTCCCAAAGTGCTGGGATTACAGGTGTGAGCCACCGTGCCCGGCCTTGGTTTTTTTACACCTTCAGAGGAAGGCAAAGGAGTGACAGGTAATCACCATATAAGAAGAAATTTATACGTCTTTTGAGTCCCTGTTGGTTATCGTAACAAGGAATAAGGTAGTTTTTAACTTACAATAACTTATGGTTATACAGTTCCACCATGTAGGACAATTTTTGACAGTAATTTTGTGTTAAATATGTGGTATCTTTTAAGTTCCCAAACTTATAATTAGCATCTTATACTCATTTCCATGAAATATTCTTCGAATGCACATTCTTCTTGAAGTATTTTTAAAAATATACAAGTAAATTGTTATGGAAAGTAAATCCCTTATGTTTACTGCTTTGGCAAGGCAGTGATTACAGCTTTCCTACCTCCAATAAATCTCTCTGTAAAGTCAGCAGTTACCAAAGGCTACTATGTGAAGTGCCTTCTGGAAGAAAGTGACAATCTACTTAAATTTTGGATACAAGGAAGAAGAACATGTTTACTTGTTTAGTTCTGGTTTTCATTTTCTCAGATTATTCACT
Source organism: Homo sapiens (assembly GCF_000001405.40). NCBI lineage: Eukaryota > Metazoa > Chordata > Mammalia > Primates > Hominidae > Homo > Homo sapiens. The sequence continues at coordinate 219,473,320 of NC_000001.11, read as the reverse complement.
CATGGAATTTCTTTTTTGGGGCATGTGGATTTTTTGAATCCACTCACTTTATTCTCTACTATTTCAATTATTTGATTTTGTCAGACTTTAAGAAGCTTGTGCAAATAGCCATTTTTTAAGGTTCTTCAAAGAAAACTAACATTTGACTGTTAGAGACCTCTGTGTGGACTGAGGTGGATGGAGCATGAAGCTGTTATTGGAGCTCCATGACAATGCATGGGAGAAGGCAAGGGGAGGTGACCTCATGGAACAGGTCATCCAGACTTTGCCTCTGCCAGTGTGAAGTTCTTACTCTTGTGGATGATTGATTGGCCTATTAGAATCACTGAATCTGTGTGCCTAAATTTTCCAAAGTGAACTCAACCCACAATGCCTAGTTGGTTTCTGTCCATGGGCGTTCTATCTACACAATGTCTTTCTGTCCAAATACTAAAGGCCAGAGAATCCCTTTGGAACTTTGAAGAGTTTGAACCCCATCAGCCACTCCCAGGTGGAGTTGCACAACCTTAGAGGCCCTGTTTGTGGTCCACTATATAGTTTCACCGTGAACATCAGACTTGTTTCAGTTTTGATCAATGGTTTTCTATAAACAGAGCCTGCTTTTGTCCAGCTCCTGCAATGGGACTCTTCAAGTATATATAATAGGTTGTTGCCTTGGAATTTTTCTGTTATTTAAAGTTTCAGTTGAAGCCTCAAAGCTGAGAGCAGTGAGTTCTAAGTATGCACACTCCTAACATAAACTTTCAAGATTTACCATGTGATAGCAAAGCTAGTTCTGAGACCCATATCCTACTAGCTAATTCCAGAATATAGAATAGAAGGTAGAAGATAGAGATTTAATTAGAGGAGGCTGTATTTGGAGGTAATTCATAGAAGAAGAGAATGTTAATGTTGCTCCCTCCACCAAGTAAGTCAGAAAGGGCCCCAAGAGCAACAGATGGAGTCATGGGTCAGATACTATTGCGGTACAGGAGTGAAGCATGGTGAGAGATCACTCCATGGGTCAGATACTATTGCGGTACAGGAGTGAAGCATGGTGAGAGATCACTCCACCTGAGGTGGGTTCTGTTAGGCTTGGGGATATTTGAGAATTGAGGAAGTTATACCTGCCTTTGCCTGGAAAATTCTGAAGACAGAAGGCTAGCTAAAGTTGTCTGTGATGATAGGAAAGGAGGGCAGACATAGGCCAATGTAACCAGTACAGATATGATACTTTAATCTGCACTATTAATATTTTCCATATCACTTTATTAGGTCTAGACCAGGGTTTCTCAACCTTAGCACTACTGCCATTTGGGGCTGAATAATTCTTTGTTATGGGAGGTTGTTGATATGGTTTGTCTGTGTTCCCACCCAAATCACAACTTGAATTGTAATAATTCCCATGTGTCAAGGGCAGGGCCAGATGGAGATAATTGAATCATAAGGGCAGTTTCCCCCATACTGTGCTCATGGTAGGGAATAAGTCTCTTGAGATCTGATGGTTTTATAAATGGGAGTTCCCCTGCACACGCTGCCTTGCCTGCAGCCATGTAAGGTGTGACTTTGCTCCTCACTCACCTTCTTCCATGATTGTGAGTTCTCCCAGCCATGTGAAACGGTGAATCAATTAAGCCTCTTTCCTTTGTAAGTAACCCAGTCTCTGGTATGTCTTTATTAGCAATGTGAGGACAGATTAATACAGTTGTCCTGTGAATTATAGGGTATTTAGCAGCATCCATGGTCTCTACCCACTAGATACTAGTAGTAATCCCCCGTTGGAAGAACCAAAAATTTATCGAGACATTGCCAAATGTTAGGCATTGGAGGGGCAAACGTCACCTTGGTTGAGAACTAGTGGTGTAGACAGTCAACAAGACAAATGAAATCCTGATTTGTAGTGTTTGCCAATTTTTGTGATATGAATACCTCTACCTTAGCTGATCTCAAGCTACCAGTGTGATGCAACTAAGGGAAAAGTTGGAAAGTGAGCTGGACATATTGTTTCCATTATGCCCATAGAATAGATAAAAATATAACTTCAAGAGCATAGATGATAGTAAAATGATAATAATTAGGAAGTGTTGAGTTTTGAAAAAATATATTTTTGTTTTTGATAAAATTTATTTATTTGAAAGTTTATATACTTTAATTCTTAATGATGCCTGTGTTTAACAACTGGTTTACAAAATTTCTGAGAATTTAACAGTCTGCTCTCATGTGCCAATGTGACTTGCCTGCAGCACACCACATTTACAGCCAAATTAGGAACGTAGAGAGGTAAGAAGATTTCTTCTCCTTACAGCTTATCATATAATGTCAAACTGACCCCAGTTTGTAAACTAAGTAATTATACATGCCATCTATATTCCAAGCATCAGCCATTCCCCAAGGGAGGCTTTCCTTTGGCATATTTAGGAAATCGAGGGGTTGTCTTAGTTCTTTCTCATGTTCATCCATTGGACAGTTGGCTCTCAGCATTCTGCGTTCTTCACAGCCATTTCCAGTGTCACGGTGAGTCACTGGTTGTTTTCTGTTATTTCACTCCTGGAAGTCTGCATCTCTTGTCTTTGGTGATGTGCCTGCATCCTCAGCAGTAGAGAGATCAGCAAAGGCCACAATTTCATTTCTAAGCCACAGATATTAGTTTTGCTCCTCTCCCCTGATATATGCTTTTACTTTCTATCTCTTAAGAAATCATATCCTCTGAAATTTTCTCAATATTAATTTCTTCAGCCCCTTCCCAAGGTAGAAAAACCCAATTCTGTATTTGCTCCTTATCTTAGATACCTTTTTCCTCTCCATCAATCCTTCCAGTGCAATACAGATAATTCACAGAAGAATGTGTACAAATTCTGAGATAGTCATTTTAGAATAATACCAGCAATGGGTAGTATGGGTATACTTCACATCTATAGATAGATAGATAGATAGATAGATAGCAGATGAATATATAGGAACCCATATACATGAATTATATATATTTATTTACGTATCTTGTATGTTTTACACACACAAACACATGTCCTCTTTGTATAGGCATAGAATACCAATATTCTATAAATGTAGCTACTGTTATAGTGAACAGTAGTTATTTCTGTGAATGTGGCCTGGGGTTGTGGTGGAGGAAGACTCTTTTTTTTTTTTTTTTTTTTAATTTAACATTTTTACAAGTTTGTATCTAGTTAGCTAAAACAGGTGCCTACCAGCCTTAATTTCTCCAGTCTTTCTTGAGACCAAACCCAGAAAGTCCTTCAGCCTCCATGATGATTGGTCTAAGTGAATGAGAGTGTTTGCTGTTGATGTGCACTTTTCTCTTTGGTCCTCTTTCTCTAGCATGATTTTACTGCTTCAGTCATCACACTCTCCAATCCGCTCTCATGATCTTCCTACTTTATTCTCGGAGAACATTTTGGTAATTGTCCCAGAGAAGCCCTAGTGAGGATTATCGTGTTAAAAGTGACATGCTAATGTCATGCTTGTGTGGATTTCCTTCAGCAGATGAGCCAGCTCCCTTGTGAAGCTGTAAGAACATGGTACTTACAGGAGTAAGGCTCATGAAGTGGAGAGATGAGAAGACTTTCGGGACAGATTGTGTGGAGGCTGTCATTCTCCTCGTGACATTGCTGTGGGAGAAGAAGGAGGCATTCCATGTTGGCTTCAGTGAAGAACTTCAGGTTACTAAAATTTAACTTTATCTTCTTTTGGGTTAGGTGTATAAGGCTGTGTGTACATAAATGTTTCAAAATATAAAGCTTATTTAGAGTTTGTTTAAACACAGAAAAAATGAGTAAAGAAAATTGAGCTCCTTTGCAGCAGAAAAATACAAAGTTGTCAGTGAGAGAGACTGGTTATTCCATCTAGATTTTCCTAGCTTTAAATATAATGAAAGAAAAACAGACCAACTAATACTACGTTTATTTGAATAGGTGAGCTCAGTGATCAGATGTCAGCTCTCAAAAGTTATCATTCAGCCTAGAAACCCAATTTAATTATTTGCAATTTATTCTCTACTATGTTTTGGAAAAAGATGACTATATCAGTTTTACTTGTAGCCTCCTTTGAAAATGTAAGTTTTCCTTCTGTTGGTGATTCAAGAGTCCCTTTCTGCTATCGTTAATGTCTTTTTTGAGATTTTTTAAGAAAATTTTATTTCAATAGCTTTGGGGTACAAGTAGTTTTTTGTTAGGTGGATGAATTGAGTTTTTTTTTTAAATATAGATAAGAAAAATGTCAAAGACATGATTAAAAATAATTAGAAATTACAAGAGTTTAAAAAATATTTTTCTCAATCTTAATTTAAACCCAACTTTGAAGACTGAGTTGACGTTTTGGAAAAAACCTAAATCCTTTGAGAGAAATAAACCTATAAAGTATTTTAATGTGAATAATATAAAGTAAAACAGAAAAAAATGGATCTCTAAAATAATATTAGTTTCTATGTTAGTTTTTCTTTAAGATCAACCTCTTTTTTGACTGTTTTATTGAAAACTCTAAGACAGTAGCTTATTTTTCCACCGACCTAAGCACCTGAGACTTTTGGCTGATGGCTATAAGACCAGTAAAACTGCCTAGAAAGTGTAACTTTATAACATAACTTAAACCATGTTTATAGAATGTATTCCAACATTTACTTTTTTCCAAAAGCAAACAACTCAGTGTGTATTCATTATATTACAATGGAAAACAACATTCATGTTTTTGAACATTGATAACACTTGCTCTGTAGTTATATTGTTTACAGTGTTTTGTAGTATCAACGGATAAGTCTGAAAGGAGGGAACGCTGATCTCACTTAGCGTAAAATTTTTCTGAGCCTAACATGAAGGAAATAGAGTAATATTTTATTTGAACATGTTTTATTAGCTTGATTTTCAAGTGCTGTGGTAAAATCATGTTTCTGACTCTATACAGCCCAAGATAATATGGTCAGCCAGTGCACCTGGTATCATCTCATAACCATGTTCCACTTCAGGGTCTTTGCCTGTAGTAGTATTCCTTTCTATCCGTTTGGTTTGCTTTTTAACCTCTTTTAATTCTTTCCTCAATATCACCTTCTCAGATACCCATGATCATCCTGTATAAAATCATACTCTTGTCATCCAGCACCTTTCATCTCTGTTATCCTAAGTATTGTTCTCTGAAATATTATGTAATACAATTGTTTATTATGTTATGTATTTTGTCTCTCTCATCACAGAATATTTATCATAAAACTCATGATACAGAGGATATTGTCTTTTAATTTTTTTTCTTTTTCTTCATTGCTGTATCCCCACTGCCCATACAGTGCTCGTTACATAGTAGGAGCTAACTAAATATTGTTGTCTAAATGAATAAACGAATGAATGGATGTAGGTTACCTTCTCCACACATTTGATGTATTCAGTAGTTAATTTCCCAGAAGTTTTTAAAAAGAAATTTTAGCATTGGATAAAACTAATAGACCTATTGTACCCAACATTGAAACTGAGGGCAGTGAACATTGTGATAATTTTGAGAAAAATCCCAAAGAAATGGAGCCAGTGATAGAACAAGCAAATTTGCTGAAGATCACAGAATTCTTAACCAGAAAAAAAAACATGTAGTGTTACTCTGCCAAGTATGACAGAACTACAGTTGTGAGCATTTGACTCATCTAGCAAAAGGAAATCGATGTAGATATTTTTTAAAAAATGACTTGATAGAGATGTGACTTGTTGCTTATCTATCAATATTGCTCAGTAGGGTATCTCAACTCTTGGCATTTCCATGTCAGGCACTGAAATGTGTTTTGGGCACTGATCTCCTTCCCGTGCAATGGAAACCAGGTGGAAAGCACAACAGCCTCCCACAGTGAATTTGTAATTAGTCAGGAACTTGGAGGAGAAAATAGTATGTGGGCCAAGAAAAGGAGGGAAACAGAGACCATGCTTGCCTTGCTCTTTTCTTCCTCTGCACCTCTTCTGTCATCTACCAAGCTCTACCCCTTGTACGGCTCCTCTTCTTATTTGAGTCTAAAAGTGGGGAAAGATGCTATCTTTGTAGTTTAAAAGGGAGTGTGGTTTTTTTCTTTACTGAAGACAGCTAGTTATTGAGGAAGAAAAGCTGAAATAGGTATTAGGGAAAAAATATTACTAATGGTAAGAAGAAATAAGCAGTGGAAAAGATGGCTAAAGGAGGCGGGAGAGGGGAGTTGACTTTTGGAGATAATCACATCCAACCTGCTAACCCTGAACCACTGGGTTACCTAAGTTGGTCTCCTCATATTAGAGTCTCAAATTAATATCTGGAATATATTCATGAAGGGGAAAAATCATTGAAAATTATCACTAGTATGTGCCAAAATGTTACACACATTGCAAAACCATATTGCAATTCCCTCCAACAATTTCTCCAGAAGAATAAAGCTGCATCATTGTAAGTGATGCTTGGTATATCCAATGAGTGTTTTGTTTACATTTGACCAAATATCAGTAACCAAAGATATAATAAAACACATGTAAAAGATAAATATGTACTAGTTTTTACTGGAAGATAGGACATGAAATATGCATTTTCTTCTGAACTATATTCATTCTTTTTTGTCAGGTTTTGGCTGTCCACATACTTACACATCTTCTCCCTTCATTCCTTCATGCATCTTTAACTCCACCATCTCCTTAGAAAAAGACATTAATACGAAAACAATGAGTCTAATTCAATTCTAAGGATTTCATTCTTAGAATCTGAGATTCTAATGAATCTAATTTACCGTAAGTTTAAAATGTATTGTTGGTTTCTCTAATAATGAAAGAGCTGGGGGCTATTATACACCATGAGAGAGTACAGTACAAGTCTTCCCACTACATGTAGTTCTCCCTCTCTCTCATAAATTGCCCAATTTGTAGAAGATCTGTATGAGGTAATTTTACATATCTTACCTCTTCTACATTTATAAAGCTGGTTTTGGTTATTCTCTTTTATAACGTAGAAAATCAATTTAGAGACACTAATTTTCCCAGAGTCACACAGTTCATGCCTGACAGAGGTGGAATTCAAACTCAAATCTGTCTGACTTCAAAGTCAACGTTCATTCGGAAAAGAGGCTTCTGTGTGACATGGATCTCAGAGAAGCAAGAGTATGTTAGTCTTGGTGGGTAATGGCAAGAGAAAAAAACTTCCTGTTGTGTGTTTCTAGAACTTCAAATTTCACCCCTTTCACTGACATGGCGAACCCTGCCAAATACCACCAGCTCACATGCCATTTCTTCCTTTTTTATGTTTTTACATTTCTATTCTTTTATTCTGCTTTGTGTAAAAATTACTTGCTTTGATGGCTTTTCCCTCAAGACATGGTGTGTACATTGAGGGCAAAGATTGTTACCTTACGCATTTCTCATTCAGCGCAAAGCCTAGTTCTGTGCACAAAAGTAAGTGCATAATAAATGTTCATAATGAAACAGGAGCTCTGCGTGAGAGCGAGGACCCAGCACTGAAGCACCTCTCAGGTCCTGTGACATCTGTATTAGAATTAAAGCTAGAAGGAACCATTTTCTTGGCATTGCAGTTTAGTCTGCCCCAGCCAAACATAGAAAGCTGTCATGTGAATATTTTTGAACCTCAAAAACAATTTTGGTTTAAGTCTGGGTGGGGGAGGAGGAGAATGGTGGCTCTTATTTCTCCCACACCAGTCCACCCATCTCATATTAGAACATGTAATTCCAACAGTGCTGACTGTCATAAAATTTGTGAACGGAGTGTCCTCTGAACACTGTTTGGTACACACATGGCCTCTTTAAGAAGCTTACTTGTAACTTATAATTAAATTAAAGAACCAGCAGCTGCTGAAAAAAAAAGTATAGCCTAGAGGCCATGTTTATGAGTTTCTCAGGCAAGAGGTAGTCATGTCAGAACTACTATTGTTATGAGTCTGAATGTTTCCAGTGAAATCTTTGCACGAATCATTTGCTTAGTACTAGTCATCCAGTCATGCCTCTTGATTTCAGCCCACTATTTCCTCTTGGAACTGGCAAAAACAACTCTACAAAGGAAAACATTTTATAAGAAAAATCATAGCCTTCTGCTTTTTAAACCATAGATGACCTGGACTCTATGACCAGTTCACAGGGGTGCTGCCTCTGGTTCCAATGGCCGGGGAAGAAAGACTACAACAAACACCAAGCCCTGAAAGCAGAAACCCTGGATTCTCTTTTCTTTGTTTCCTTAATAAAGGATTTTAATACAGTGTAGGTAGGAGATAACTGCCCTGGTTTATACAGGACTGCCCTGCTTTTAGCACTGACAGTCTCACGTCATGGGAAACCCCTCATTCTTGGTCAAATTGGGACAGTTGGTCATCCCAGCATTAGGGGCCTTTCCATGCTGTTAACCAAGCATCAAACATTCTGGGATCAGTTTATGATTTAGAAAGTTTTGAACCATAATACCCAAATCACACATCGGTGGTCAAGTCCCAGTAAATTATACTATAAAGAAGTCATAGAATCTCCAAATAGTCCTTAAATATCTTTTACTACAGAGCTTCCAATCTGGTGTTCCCAGTGGTAGATGTGAACACATTGTGCTACTAATCCAGGTGTGTCAAGGTATTGATCCCCCAGCCCTATTTTGGCTGGGCAGAATCTGGGGTACCTCGAGCCCTCAGTCACTTTTCCCTAGCCATGAGCTACCTTATCTATCTCTTTAGACCAGTGAGCACTACTAAATAATATCATTTTCCATATGTGCCATAATAAGAAAAAAATTTGGAAAGTAGTGCTCAGATCTAAGACACTCATTTTATAGGCAAAACCTAACTTCATTTCTATTAAATACAGGCTGTATGAAGCTGAGGCAAGATTGCGTTCAATTTATCTTGTGTTCAACAGTCTTCAAGGTGATTTAGATCACTGCCTGGGAAAGCTAATGTAGTACAGCATGAGTGGTAAGTGACAAAACTCAGCAAGCTAAACTTGCATTGAAGGCACGTGGCTGGCTAAACGAGGAGAAGAAAATAGACATTTATCTGAATAATATCGATAGAAATTCCCATGTTGCTTCACTTATCTATGTTTTTAGTAAACATACCATTTAAATCTCAATTACCTTTGAGTTTGAGTTAACCTGATGTTTCATTTCTACTCTTAATTTTGACTTTGGACGTATGCAGAGTTATTATTTAAAAAATCAAGATATCCAGAAAGTAAAGGCAGCTAAGTAAGAATTATAGACTTAAAATCCAGGTTTCCAAGATAAACAAGCATTTACACCTCCTCTTAATTATTCCATAAAGATTTACTCAAGTTCAAAATGGAGAAAAGATACAGAGTGAAAGGCAACATGCAAATAAAAGTCTACAGGCTTGAAGGTATTAGAGTTCTAAATTCCCATTCCCCTTGCTAGTCTTCATAGGCAGTGAGTCGAGAAGGGACAGATTCTGTGTATAAAGCTGGGCCTTTACAGATCCGAACTTTACATTGTGCCAAATTTGAAGCCTGCCCAACTTCTGGCTCTTCGATTGCTTAATACATTAGTGGACTTGTTCCAGTTCCCAGTGGTCGGAGTTCCACATCACACAGTCCCTGTCCCATCTGGTGCTAATTGGCACCCTTGTTGGTAGTTTCCAAAAGCAGAACAGGAAAAATAAAAGGGACTATCTTTCTATCCTTAGAAGTTAGAAGCTTAGTACAGGCAGTCCTCAATTTAAAATGAGCTGTGTACTAAAATATTGTATGTAAATCAGCTGTTTAGAACCCAGAACAAATTTTTCCGATGAAACAAAGTCATGTTTGATGGTTACTTCCCCAGGTCAGCCCAGTTCACTAAAGCCTGTTGGACCCATAATGTACCCAATAAATAGTTTCCATCTTAATAGCATAGAACCATCATCAGTGAACCAAGAAGTAGGAAGAGGTGGTGAAAGCATCACTGCCTTTTGTAGTAGAAGGCCAGGCTGGTTCCTCACTAGTTGAATGATTTTAGAAAATTCTCAGAACCCTTTTTAGCTCTGAGTTTCTTTAACTGAATGGAGAAGGGCAGATTATAAAAGTTGCTTTTTGTCTTCACTGGGTTATTGTTGCAAGGCTCAGATAAGATAATGCCTATGAAATATCTTAAAAAACTACTTTCACCTTCTACTGAAAGAACAGAATCACAGATCCTCCCTCTGTTTCCTTCCTAAACCTTGTCAGCAAGAGGATCAGGGACTACTCAAAATCCAAATTCCATGTTGTGGTTCCCATTTTGGGAAAGTGGTTGGGAGGTTAGGAGGCAATGAAGCAGTAAGAAGAGAGACTACTGAGGGGTGGGATCAAAGGATGGCTCCTTTAGGACGGGAAGATCTTTTATTCTATATAAACCCTCAAAGACAATTTCTTGGTACAGGCTGCTCTTTATTATCTTTTTATTTTCTTCCTAGGACTCCAGGGATTGGCCTGTCATTTACACTGTCAACAGTTCTTGCTTCTGAACAGCATATCTTCCTTCCTAGTGTTATTGAAGACTCAACATCCTTTCTGAGGTTTCATAATGAATTTGATTACCTGATTATAAGAGAAGTGATATAGAAAGTCAAAAATCTCACCCCTGTATGTACATATGTACGTGTGTGTGTGTGTGTGTGTGTGTGTGTGTGTATATATATAAACATAGATGAAAAAGAAGACCATACATACATGTTAACTGTACACTTTTGTAATCTAAGGACAATCATGTTTTATTTACACCTGAAAGACGGAGCAGACTCAGGGAATTTAATCTCAGAATTCCTCTGGTGCTGGAGCTATGGAGAGAAGAATAGGCTTAAACCTCTGCATGAGGACTGGTGACAGAATAACGAGGTGTCACAGAGGCTGGTAAGCCTGGGGAACAAGGCATACTTCTGGAAGAAATGGGAAGGAGAGGTAGCCTGGGATGAGATGATTGCTCTTCCCTGCCGTCCTCACCTTCCTCCCCTTCCCACAAGGAAGGAACTACTGTCCACACCATTATGGCAGCATTTACTCCAACTGCAGCCCTTCACTGACTTCTGACCACTTTCTGTTCTGTCTTCATCTTAGTGATCCTCCTTCTGAGCTTCCCCTTGTCTTATCCTGCAAGCTCCTCCCACCACCCTGTACCCTCTTCCATGGTAATACCGAACAATCTTGTCTTTTCCTCTTTCTCCCTCTACATTCTTTTCAGCTACCAATAACCCCTCCCTCCTTTCCCCTTGCCTCATCCTCAGGCTTTTCCTATTAGCCTTCTGCCAGTTCATTTTGAGTTAACATTCATTACTCTATTAGAAACATGATGGTTAAAACATAATTACCAGCATCAGGGAGCTGACACATTTGTAGATGACATCAGCATGATACAAAGCAGGGAATGGAGAAGTGGAATCTAAGGACACAGAGAAGGGAAACACAAATCCAAAAAGTGTGGATTTTCAGATGGGGTGGGAAGAATCAAGGAGAACCTCATGGAGGTGGTGGCATCTAGTCTGGGCCTCAAAGGGTATATGAGAGTTCAGAGGAGACAACCTTTTAAGTAAAAGGAAGACACCTTAAGAAAATTTCTAACTTGATTATTACATGTGAAAAAGGACCAGAGACCTAGTAAGCCACTGCCACTTCCCAGGAATATGTCCATTATATTTTCACAGGATAAGTGAAAGCGAATCTTTTACTTTTCCTTTGTGGGGACTTCAGACTTCACGTGGAAAGCTCTGATAATATAGCAGAGAGGGTTGGAGTAGCAGAGACAGCTGGATCATGTAAAGGACATACTCATTTTTCTTTTCTCCTTCAATATACAGACACAGGCCCCTAGGAGAAACCCACTAAAGTGTAACTCTTGAGGAAAAATAGCAAATCGAGGGTGTACTCCAGCAACCAAAGCAGCCCTGCAGTCAAGGATACTGGCTCAGGCTAATAAATTCTCTGCTAACAACCCCCAGCGGCAAGGTTGCAATCATGTGGTTCTATTTAACGAAAATATAAACAGAGGCCATCCCATTCTAATTTAGAAGAAGAGAATAGTTAGAATCTGGGGTTCTCAGGGCAATGACTCAGACTTCTGAGCCATTAACTCAAGAGAGAGCCTGTGTTAACATGTACACATTGGGTTGTCTGTTTTGACTTGACTGGTCAAGGAAACAGGCAGGTTAGGTTAAAAAAAGAAAACAACATGCCGGACAGTCAAGAAACAGTGAAACAAATTGTTTGACAGATGATTATTATTTCTGTTTCGGGCTGTCACTTATGTCAAGTAAATCACACCAGTTAAAACAGATGAACTTCATGTTCAGTGTCCTCTGAATGGAGTTCTACCCATCCACCTCATTCACGTAGACACTCCAGGCTTCTCATGTGGCTCTTTCTCCTCTACTTACTTCCTCTTCTATTTTCGTTCCTCATTCTGGTTCTTGTTTTTGCTTGCGTGCCTCCGTTCTTCACTTCCCCCCTCAATGTTTGCTTCATCCATTCCTCAGAGAAAACAAAAAGTTGTGCAAACTTTTTCAGTTCTGAATCTAATTCTAATGGTGTTTCTAATTTTTAAGGCATTATTCCAGAAATCAATCCTGGCATTTACATTTCCAAATTAATAGAAATGTATATATAAACACATTCACATTCCAGGAAAGAGCATCTTAACCATTCTTGCACAAATTCACCACTTTGTTTTTATTTGTACAGAATGGCTGAAGATAAGTTATTTGCTAACACTTTCTAGAATCAAATGGTCAGGCTTATTGTTTCTCCTTAGGTCTCCCTGAGTCCTTATAGTGTCATGCAAAGATCCCTGGGCTGAAAGTCAGAAGATTTCTGTTCTTCTTCCTGTTCCACCACCAGTCAGTGCTTGGCTTTCTTTCTTCTGAGCCTCACTCTCATATTTGAACATCAGAGGGCTGGTCTACTTGAGTTCTATCATTGTAGCATCTTAGTATTGTGATTCTCTAAGGCTCCTTATATAACAGATAATCAACATGAGGCATAAAGACACTATTTCTGTACACATACCTAATGTTATTTTTGGCTTTGTTATAGACCTAATATTGAACACCAAAGCTAAAGGCTGTCTTTCCTACACTTGCATTGAGAAATGACTAATTGTATAGCCCAGATTTCTCAAGATCTCTCCTTCCTGCAGATATCTGTGAGGCATGCTAACATTAAAGACTCCAATGTCACTATTACATGTCCTCTTACGCTGACACAGGTCCCCTCAACCCCTGGAAGTTTTTACCCTACGGACAGTTTTTCCCTACATTCTCATATGGCCACAGATAAGTTGGAGCTTATGTTGTGGGACACAGCTGTTTCTAAGTTGGGGTTGTTGCTGCTCTACTGGGCATGGCTGGTACATTTCTGCTATTCCAGGCTTGACATTTGACTGGTTCAGCAGTCTCTCCGTGGCTGCTGCTAACGCTGTGTTGGGTTTAAAAGCCTGCTCCAGATGCTGCCTCTATTCCATTGTCAAGTATCTTGTCTCTGTGACTGATCCGTAAGGCATGGCATTTTCTCCTGACTGACCACCCTCAGGCAGTTGGCAAGGCATGGCAGACACAGTGCCAGCTCTGCCAGGCACCATGCTGTGACTTCAGGGCACCAAAGCTGTGTGATGATTTATACCCTATGGAAAAGTGGTCAGGGGAGACTTTTTCTTTCTGTTAAGTTCTGCTAGAGGGAATTCCAATGCAGAGTTGCTCATGTCACAAAGTAAAACCACTTCAGCATTTACTTAGAACTCTCTGCTTCCCATCATACTCAGACTAAGCTGAACTGGAGTTAAGGTAGGGATGAATCTCAGACTTGCTGTGTTCGGAATTATCTTCCTCATCCCATGACACAGACTTTTTTACTGAGTCAACCTAATCTTTCCTGGATCATTCCTCTCTCGGGACCAGTCCTCTTCCAGAAAATTTCTCAGTCTTTATGCAGACAAGATTCTGGGGGCTGACACTGCTTTTTTTGCCAGATGTCCCTAGACACATCTGAATCTCTTTTAGTCTCAAGCTGGAGCCTTTTTCACCATTGCACAAAAAGCTGGGTATAGTTCAAATTCCTGACTGTATATTCTGATTCCCCTGGGCATTTACACTCTGCCATCCCACACAGTTCCCCCTCCTGTGTGAGGGTCCTATTGCAATTCATTAGCGTGCTTTTTTTTTTTTTTTTTTTTTTTTTTTTGCTTTTTGTTTTGGAGACGGAGTCTTGCTCTGTCCCTCAGGCTGGAGTGCAGCGGCGCCATCTCAGCTGAATGCAACCTCTGCCTCCTGGGTTCAAGAGATTCTCCTGCCTCAGCCTCCCAAGTAGCTGGGATTACAGGTGCGTGCCACCACGCCTGGCTAATTTTTTGTATTTTTAGTAGAGACAGGGTTTCACCGTGTTAGCCAGGATGACCTTGATCTTCTGACCTCGTGATCCTCCCACCTCAGCCTCCCAAAGTGCTGGGATTACAGGCGTGAGCCACAGCGCCCGGCCTTCAGCGTGCTTTTTTTTTTAATGGTTTGCTATATTTACATCTGGTTTCTCCTTCTGAATGGTAAGCTTCTTAAAGATAGAATTTGTTTTCTTCTGTATGTCTTCTGTTGTGTCTTGCATAGTGCTATTCACATATTAAGATTTTGATTGGGACAGAGATATACAAGAATATCACTGGTGCTTTTGAAGCAGTAAATTAATTTAAAATTTAAAAAATCAGAATTCCAAAATGATAGAAAAATGTACCTCCTGGGGCCACAGTAATTCAATGAGTCCAGGGCAGTGGGACATGTCCTCTGCCGGATTCCCATGTAGCCAGATCCGATAGTGTTATTTTAAGTACAGAAAGAAGTTGGCTTTTTAAAGTACTTTTTTAATTATGGAAAGAAGTTCAGCTTTGAATGCCTGGGCTGTGTTTGGTTGTTTAATATATAGAATAACTCCCTAGGAAAAAAATCCTAGGGAGGTAAGTATGAAACAGTGGGAAGATTGTAATTATGCAGAACTTTGAAGGAACTGCAACATTTGGGTTAACTTAATGTTGTGGTTAATTGTAGGTTAGTCAGAAAATCATTATTTCAACACTTTTAAAATAATCCTTACAAAATGCCCTTAGCAAATTCCCATGTTGCAAGCATAGCTATATCTTTCTTTGTTGTCTGAGGATTTTTAGAGCCTTCATGTCAATATTGCAAACACAAACTTTCATTTAAGTGTTAGAGGGCAAGATGGTGCAGGGTATTGGTCTTTGCCTGAATTAACCATTTTATATTCCCTAGACATTGGCTTAGTTGAGTGTTTGATCTCAGGTTGATTTTTTATAATTGTCTCTTCTTTACTATCCCACTCTTTTTTTTATTATTATACTTTAAGTTTTAGGGTACATGTGCACATTGTGCAGGTTAGTTACATATGTATACATGTGCCATGCTGGTGCGCTGCACCCACTAACTCGTTATCTAGCATTAGGTATATCTCCCAATGCTATCCCTCCCCCCTCCCCCCACCCCACCACAGTCCCCAGAGTGTGATATTCCCCTTCCTGTGTCCATGTGATCTCATTGTTCAGTTCCCACCTATGAGTGAGAATATGCCGTGTTTGGTTTTTTGTTCTTGTGATAGTTTACTGAGAATGATGATTTCCAATTTCATCCATGTCCCTACAAAGGACACGAACTCATCATTTTTTATGGCTGCGTAGTATTCCATGGTGTATATGTGCCACATTTTCTTAATCCAGTCTATCATTGTTGGACATTTGGGTTGGTTCCAAGTTTTTGCTATTGTGAATAATGCCGCAATAAACATACGTGTGCATGTGTCTTTATAGCAGCATGATTTATAGTCCTTTGGGTATATACCCAGTAATAGGATGGCTGGGTCAAATGGTATTTCTAGTTCTAGATCCCTGAGGAATTGCCACACTGACTTCCACAATGGTTGAACTAGTTTACAGTCCCACCAACAGTGTAAAAGTGTTCCTATTTCTCCACATCCTCTCCAGCACCTGTTGTTTCCTGACTTTTTAATGATTGCCATTCTAACTGGTGTGAGATGGTATCTCATTGTGGTTTTGATTTGCATTTCTCTGATGGCCAGTGATGATGAGCATTTTTTCATGTGTTTCTTGGCTGCATAAATGTCTTCTTTTGAGAAGTGTCTGTTCATGTCCTTCACCCACTTTTTGATGGGGTTGTTTGTTTTTTTCTTGTAAATTTGTTTGAGTTCATTGTAGATTCTGGATATTAGCCCTTTGTCAGATGAGTAGGTTGCGAAAATTTTCTCCCATTTTGTAGGTTGCCTGTTCACTCTGATGGTAGTTTCTTTTGCTGTGCAGAAGCTCTTTAGTTTAATTAGATCCCATTTCTCAATTTTGGCTTTTGTTGCCATTGCTTTTGGTGTTTTGGACATGAAGTCCTTGCCCATGCCTATGTCCTGAATGGTAATGCCTAGGTTTTCTTCTAGGGTTTTTATGGTTTTAGGTCTAAGGTTTAAATCTTTAATCCATCTTGAATTGATTTTTGTATAAGGTGTAAGGAAGGGATCCAGTTTCAGCTTTCTACATATGGCTAGCCAGTTTTCCCAGCACCATTTATTAAATAGGGAATCCTTTCCCCATTGCTTGTTCTTCTCAGGTTTGTCAAAGATCAGATAGTTGTAGATATGCGGCGTTATTTCTGAGGGCTCTGTTCTGTTCCATTGATCTATATCTCTGTTTTGGTACCAGTACCATGCTGTTTTGGTTACTGTAGCCTTGTAGTATAGTTTGAAGTCAGGTAGTGTGACGCCTCCAGCTTTGTTCTTTTGGCTTAGGATTGACTTGGCGATGCGGGCTCTTTTTTGGTTCCATATGAACTTTAAAGTAGTTTTTTCCAATTCTGTGAGGAAAGTCATTGGTAGCTTTATGGGGATGGCATTGAATCTGTAAATTACCTTGGGCAGTATGGCCATTTTCACGATGTTGATTCTTCCTACCCATGAGCATGGAATGTTCTTCCATTTGTTTGTATCCTCTTTTATTTCCTTGAGCAGTGGTTTGTAGTTCTCCTTGAAGAGGTCCTTCACATCCCTTGTAAGTTGGATTCCTAGGTATTTTATTCTCTTTGAAGCAATTGTGAATGGGAGTTCACTCATGATTTGGCTCTCTGTTTGTCTGTTGTTGGTGTATAAGAATGCTTGTGATTTTTGTACATTGATTTTGTATCCTGAGACTTTGCTGAAGTTGTTTATCAGCTTAAGGAGATTTTGGGCTGAAACAATGGGGTTTTCTAGATATACAATCATGTCGTCTGCAAACAGGGACAATTTGATTTCCTCTTTTCCTAATTGAATACCCTTTATTTCCTTCTCCTGCCTAATTGCCCTGGCCAGAACTTCCAACACTATGTTGAATAGGAGTGGTGAGAGAGGGCATCCCTGTCTTGTGCCAGTTTTCAAAGGGAATGCTTCCAGTTTTTGCCCATTCAGTATGATATTGGCTGTGGGTTTGTCATAGATAGCTCTTATTATTTTGAAATACGTCCCATCAATACCTAATTTATTGAGAGTTTTTAGCATGAAGGGTTGTTGAATTTTGTCAAAGGCTTTTTCTGCATCTATTGAGATAATCATGTGGTTTTTGTCTTTGGCTCTGTTTATATGCTGGATTACATTTATTGATTTGCGTATATTGAACCAGCCTTGCATCCCAGGGATGAAGCCCACTTGATCATGGTGGATAAGCTTTTTGATGTGCTGCTGGATTCGTTTTGCCAGTATTTTATTGAGGATTTTTGCATCAATGTTCACCAAGGATATTGGTCTAAAATTCTCTTTTTTGGTTGTGTCTCTGCCTGGCTTTGCTATCCCACTCTTAAAATTAAATTTGTAACATTTTATGATTGAAAACTATGCATATAGAAAAATTTGGAAAACTATAGGAAAATATCACCCCAAGTTATTTGCTTCACTCAGACAAAACCACTTTTAACATATTTAGTTTTTTGGTTTTTGTTCCTATGCTTTCAAATTTTTTTCCTTAAATATTATCATTTTAAACTAGTTTGTATGAGTTTAAGCAACAATGTACAGACTAAAGTAATGTCAGTAAGTGACAAGAACATTGAAGCTTCACAGAAGTGTGAAAAATGTATAGTTAAAAAAAAAGTCTTTCTCTGCACACATCTTCAGCTTCCATGGCTTGAAATAATAATATTTTTAACAGATTCTATTTCAATGTTTTGTAGTTTAAGATGTAAACTTTACAGCATTTATGTAGGACTTCAGTTAATAATGGTAGGTTGAATATATCTGTTTAGTTCTAATTTCTCTAGAGACCCTCTAAAATGACTGTAAAAGAGATTGAATGTGAATGTCAAGGTTACAGTAACTTCTCAAGATCAAACAAAATGATAGCAACCAAAGTTTAGAATGTGGAATTAGTGGTTTCAACTTGTTTTATACTAAATCTTGGTATCTTTGAGACTAGCCAAGACACCAAGATTTAGTATAATACACGTTGAAACCACTAATTCCACCTTCTATATTCTGTCCTGTATACAATATGTACTCCTTAAATTGCACACCGTTTGCAAACTAACTAGTTAGCCTGAGGTAAATATCATGAATTCTGGTAGAAGATACAAGTTTCTCGGATCAGAGACAAAGAACTTTATTACACATGACACAGTTTCATATTTGTGTGATTCCCCTTGCCCCTGAAGTCCCCCTGAGAGATGCAGAACAGTCCAGGGAGATGCTGTCCACTTGAAGATTAGCTTGAGGGACTGAGCTTAGAAAATCCCAATCTTTTATAATAGGTGGCTAGTAAATCTTCCTAACTTTTGCCCTGGTGATAAGCATTCTCTTTATTATCTTGGACAGCAAACAAATCTGTATATTTCTCCAGAAGAAGACTATCTCTATTTTCCAAGGCTCTTCATTAGACAAATATCCTTGTGCATAAACATGAGATCCATGTAGAATTGTCTAACAACAATGATAAACCTCAATAATAATTATTTTAAAGCAACAGGATTCCAATGTTAAGAAGAGTAAACTTGTAGTTTGACTGTGTACCATGCAAAAAAAAAAAAAAAATTCAGGACTCTGCTTCAAGATAGCAGATTTATGTTACCCTTTTGTTCTTCTCCAGTAGCCAATAAAAAATATTACACATATATACATATATATACACACATGTACATAGACACACATATATAAAAATCTGTATATTGTATATATTCCTCATATATACTTTTACACATATAAAATATGCACTATATATATGCATATATATACTTGTGTGTGTTCACACAGGCACACACACAAACATATACTAGTATTTATATAAGAATAGACACAAAAAGCAAAGCAAGTAAGATAGATAAGGAGGTTAGAGACCAGCAGGTAATAAACATACCTATGAAAGCACATTAAGTAGAGCATGTTGAGGGAAGACAGTGCATGAGAGCCACTGCTCAGAATATGCTACAAGGGAGCTTCAGAGAAATGGCCGTACATATGTTTGAGAGATCAAACTGTTAGAAATAAGGAAAACACAAGAGGATTCCCTAAAGGAGTATTCATAAGGAATAGTTGCTCCCAATCTCCCCTACCTGGCACAGGCAGTGAGGCTGCCATTGCTAAGGAAATTGAATGAGATATTTGAAATATGCCTAGTGTAGATGTTGGCATCACAGGTTTAAGTCCTTCTCATCACATTCTTACAGAAGAAAGGGCAACAGTCTGAGAGCTTTGCCTTCTTCACTGAAGCAGAGGAAAGTTGACCAGCTGACATGTTCTGCTCTGTCTCCTGCTGGCAGCCAGGAATATTCTCATCCAAAAGAGAGACAGAAGGGAAAAGAGACATAGCAGCAGAGGAGATCCTTATTAGCTGAGCAGTTATTTCTTAAATATAAATAAACAAGTAAGGATTACTAGGTATATAAAAAAAATGGCATGAAAGAGATTTTTAAAAAATACATAAAAATTATAGAGGCAAAATCAGAAAAAGCAACATAAGAATAATGTAACTTGATTAATTTGAGGTTTCATTGCATTCACAAAACAAGAGCAAGATGTTCTAAAAAAAAAAAAAAAAATCGAAGAGCTTTCAAAGAGAAGTGATAGGGTCCCAAAGTTAAAAACAAAAGCTAAAAGTTCATGGAAAATAAAGCTAAGGAAATCACCCAGTAAATAAGCAAAAGAGACAGAAAAAGATTCACAGATGAAGTGATTAGAAATGTAGACAATTTTTAAACTGCCAAAAAAGCCACTAGGAATAATGAGTGAAGCTTGCCAGAACCCTGACTGCAAGGTCAATATACAAAATTCAAGTATTTCTATGCACTAGAGGTAAATAAATGGAAACAAAAAGAAATTTAAATTACCACTTACAATAGCTGTAAAATTATCAAATATCTAGAAAGAAACTTAATACAAATTTTGCAAGACTTAAAAATATACAATATTGCTAAGAGAAAATCAATGTGTCTAAAGTAATTGGAGATTAATAGAAAAATATGCCATATTTATGGATTAGGAATTCAGTTTTGTTAAGATCTCAAGTTTACCCTAACTGAACTGTAGATTCAATGCAATCCTGATCAAATACCAATAAATTTTTCTTTGTGGAAATTGACAAGCTTTTTCTAAAGTGTATATGGAAATATAAAAGTCGTAGAATTGCCAAGACAATTTTGAAAAAAAAAAAGATGAAATGGCAACACTTAATAAGATTTTAAGATTCACAGTAAAAACAGTAATTAAGGGAGTGTGGTATTGGTGCACGGCTAGACAAGTAGGTAAATTGAATAGTATAGAGAGTCCAGAAAAAGGCCCACACATATATAGTCAGTTGATTTTCAGCAACACTGGTACTGCAATTTAGTGGAGAAAGTGGCCTTTTCAATCAAAGTGATGCTAGTGACACCTGTCTCACATCATACACAAAAATTAATGTGCAATGGCTTGTAAATCTAAATATAAAACATTTTTTTAAATAAAGGCTTTAGATGAAATTATAGAAGAGTATCTTCATGAATTTGGGGGTAAGCAAATATTTCTTAAATAGGCACTAATCATAAATGAAAAGATTGGGAACATGGAGATATTTATTTATTTATTTATTTATTTTAGATGGTCTTGCTCTTTCACCTAGGCTGGAGTGCAATGGCATGATCTAGGTTCACTGAAACCTCTGCCTCCTGGGTTCAAGTGGTTTTCCTGCCTCAGCATCCTGAGTAGCTGGGACTTCAGGCATGCCTACCACCATACCTGGCTAATTTTTGTACTTTTAGTAGAGACAGGGTTTCATCATGTTGGCCAGGCTGGTCTCGAACTCCTGACCTCAGGTGATCCACCCATCTCTGCCTCCCAAAGTGCTGGGATAACAGGTGTGAGCCCTCACGCCTGGCTTCCTTATATTTAAACAATTCTATTAATGTAAAAATACCATTAAGAAAAAAGGCAAGCCACAGCATGCAAGAAGACAGTTATAATACATACGTCTAAAAACTACTTCTGTCCAGAATATACAGAATCTTCTACAAATCAATGAGAAAATGCATATAACTCAATTTTAAAATGCATAAAAAACTCCTGAGCAAAAATTTTATAAAAGAGGATATCCAAAGGGCCATACACATAGAAAAAAGGTTCAACATCATTACTCTTTAGAAAAATACAAAGCAAATCTATAATGAAATACCATTTACACCCATTGGAATGGCTAAAATTAAAAAGACTGAAGGACTGACAGTAACTCATATTGGTAAGGCGGTTGAACAACTGGAATTCTCATACAGTATCATAGCAGGAGTGTACGTTGGTACAGTTTGGAAAAAAGTTTGACAGTTTCTTATAAAGTTGAACATAGAGACCCAATAATTCCATTTTTAGATAGATACCTAAAAGAAATAAGTAATATATTCTTCAAAACTCATATATAAGAATGATCACATTTGCATTTTTCATAATAACTCCAAACTGGAAACATGTCCACCAACAGGAGGTCTAATAATTGTGGAAGATGGAAAATTATACTGCAATTTAAAAAATAACCAACTACTGATATTTTAAATCGCATAGATGAATCTCACAGACATTATGTTAAGTGAAAGAAGCCAGACAAATAAGAGTGTATACTGTATAATTCCATTTATAAAAAGTTCAAGAACAGGCAAAACCAATTGATGATACCTTGAAATATGAGGTTATTGACTTCTGAGATGCTGGAGGCATTCCATATCTTTATTTGGATAGCGGTTATGTGAATGTATAAATGTATATACACTTAAGATTAGCACATTTCATCTTTTGTATGGTTAAATATAATTTAGACAAAGCAAGAGACCAATTCAGGTGGTCCTGTCTTAGTCTGCTTTCTCCTGCTGTAAAAGAATACTACAGACTGGGTAATTTATAAAGAAAAGAAATTTATTTTGCTTATGGTTCTGGAGACTGGGATGTCCAAGGGCATGGCACTGGCATCTGCTCAGCCATCTGGTGGGGGCCTTATTGTTGTGTCATCTCATGAAGGAAAGTGGAAAGACAAGGGAGCATGGGAGACAGAAAAAAGGGGTGAACTCCTGAGATAACTGATCTACTACAGCAATAACAGCTTTAATCCTTTAATCCACTCTTACCCTATGACCTAATCACCTCTTAAAGGTCCCACCTATTAATGCTGCCACACTAGCAATCAAATTTCAATATAAATTTTGGAGGGGACATTTTAAATGAAAGCAGGTTCCAAACTCACCTATTTATGACACCTAAAACAGGAATGGTGAAAATAGGGGAAGGGGATTGGTTTTTAATGTCACAAGAAACTTCCTAGAATATTCAGATTGAAGGGGTTCACTGTTAAGCAAGATGAATTTTAAATCAGAAATATAAAATATTCTCATTAAATTATAATGCAGCTAGGATCAAGGCATGTTGATAAAGTCTTCTGGACAGGAAAAACAAGCCATATGTAAAGGAATAAGGATCAGATTAATGTCAGACTTCTCATGAACAATTGGATATTACAGGAAAATGAAGCAATGTTCTCTCAAATTTCTGAGCCAACATATCAATCAGGTGTGAGAACAAAATAATTTTTTTCTGACAGGCAAAGGAGGGTAACGTTTACCTTTTAATCGTGCCTTTTAAGGGAGTTAATTGAAGATACAATACAGTCAAGCAACAGGAGGAAAGAAACAACAAATGGGAGACATGAGGTTCCGAGGATCATGGTTCCAACACAGGACAGCAGAAAAGAGGAGTTGCAAAATGACTGCTACAAAACAGACTTAAAGAGAAAACATTCCAGTTTCACGTAGGAGGACAAAAGAAAAAACAAAACAACATGAAGTAGGTGTCCAAAAAATGAAATGTGTTGGAGAAAGTTATTATGCAAATAACACACAAATTAAAAGCATAATTGGAAAAATACAATAGAACAGGTTCTATTTAACCTTGCTGCAAAAGGACATTTTACTTGGAGTAGTGTAGGGGCCTGCTTTGAGTAATGCTGGACCCACAGGAAAGGAAATATTATGTTAGCACAAAACTTGAGCCCATGGTGAACAATTTTTGCAAACTTCAACTTGTAATATGTACAGAGCAGGAAAGTATTATTTACGGTTGAGGGACACACTATGAATGTTCACAATCGTGATAATGCAAAAGACAAAATGCACATGACAGAAAGAGGGAGTGAGTGAAGACTGGGTAGAGGAGATGGAAAAGCTAGCTAAAATTCTTCAGAGAAGAAACTTGAGATACTAATTAAAATAGATGGGAAAAGAAATACAAGTATATTATTTAAAGTCACAAAGGTAAACAATAAAATATTTTAAAATAACAGCATTACTATCAAACTTTGGAATGAGTGAGTTGTAAGGATGGAGAAGTAGAAGTGCATTGGCATGTATAAAGCTGAATTCAAAAAGAAATCAGGTCTAAATTGTTAAAGAGTTAGGACAGCAGTCCAGTGGGAGAGTCCAGTGCAGACTGGGTTAAAAATATTTTCCCCCTGGAGTAAGACCAGCGTTGGTGAGAGTGGCTGTTGCTTTTCTCCCTGTAAACTCTTCAGCACTACTTGATTTGTCACCATATACGTGTGTTCTTTTGTTCAAAATTAAAATTAAAATGTAACGTCCATTTGCTATGGGTGCTGCCCCCTATCCCCCAGCATCCATTCTCTGCTTCTTTTCAGAGAAGGATGGAGCAAATGCCCCAGATGAAGCCTACACGACATGAGTCAGAGAACTTTGGCCAGGATGTCTGGGGAAAAAGTTTCCTCTTTCTTCTCTGGGAACTATCTGGAGAGGGTTGTTTTAACGCTGGATGTGAACAGCGACTCGTGTAGCCCCAGAAGCCTCTGACAGCCGCGTTGGAATCATAAGTTCTCAAAATGAAGGTGACATTGCAGGAATCAGGGAAGAGGGAGGGAAAAATTATTTAAAGCCTCACCCAAGGCGGGCCCTACCACCTGAATATTTAAGTTACTTGGGCCATTAAATTGTATTTTTAAAGCCAGTGCAAGTCAGGTTTTTTGTTACTAATAACCAAAAGATTTCTGAAAGACAAAAAAAAAAAAAAAAAGAAGAAAGAAACACTTAGAAAATGTTTATGAAACAAACAACCTAAAATATTTCAAAGAATTTTATAGGTTAGAAAACTGTATCACAGATTTCCCTTTGTCTTCACAGCATTCTCATGAGGAAGGAAATTGTTATCCAAGTGTTATGAAAGAGAAAACTGAACAGAATGGTCAGGTGACCTACTAAAGTCCCTTTGGTTATAAATGACCAGTACTTTTGACTAAGTACCATGCTCTTACCAGAAGACCACACTGCAGGTGTAGACAGATGGACAATGGGATAGAATAGAGAGCCCAGAAATAAATCCATGCATATGTGGAACTTTAATGAGGGCAGAGGTGGCCTGGCATTTCAGTGGAGAAAAGAGGGATTATTCAATAAAAGGAGCTGGAAAAATTGGTTGTCCATTTGGAAAAAAAGTGAATTTGGATCCCACCCTTACACCATACCCATAAATCAACTCCAGATGGATTAGGGACTTAAATGTCAAAAGCAAATTTTAAATACTTAGTAGAAAAATATAGGTGGATATCTTTCCAATCTTGGGGTAGGGAAGGATTTCTTAAACAGGAGCAAAAAGTACAAACCATAAAAGAAAAGATTTATGATTTTTGAGTATTAAAATTAAGAAATTCTGTTCATCAGAAGAATTCTTAAGATGAAAAAGCAAGCTACAACCTGAGAAAAATTCATTTGGAACATATAATTGAGAAAGGTTTAGTATCAAGCATATGTAAAGACTCATAAAATAATAAGGAAAGGCCAAACCACTTGATAGACCAAAAAAAAAAAAAATCAACATTTTACAGAGGAGAAACAGAAGGAGAAACATACAGCTAAGAACATATGGAAGGATCTTGAGTCTTATAGCAATATTGATGAGCAAATCAATATATAGAATAGCAAATCAATATCATTATCAAAGAGATAATGGATATCTCTTTATGCTCAATTTATTGGCAATAATTAAGAATTTAAACTACAGCAAAATTGAAAAGTATATGGATCAACCAGATTTCTTATATAGTGCTGGTATAAATTGGTTAACCACTTGACATTATCTTTTAAAGTTTAATATTCACACACCTTATGACCCCACAATTTTCTAGGTGTACATATTAAAGGAAATTATCACATTTGTGCACCCAGATAAACACATAAAAGTGTTCAAAAAAG
Source organism: Homo sapiens (assembly GCF_000001405.40). NCBI lineage: Eukaryota > Metazoa > Chordata > Mammalia > Primates > Hominidae > Homo > Homo sapiens. The sequence goes on along the minus strand of NC_000001.11, from coordinate 219,447,669 downwards.
TAGTGTTTATAATAACAAGAGCAGATAGCAAATGCCTATCCAGAGGGAAACGAATTGTAGTATATCCAGAATAACTTATTGCAATGAAAATAAATGAACTACAGGTATATGTGATAATATGATGCTTAGTGATAGCAGGTTCTCAGATGATCACAGCATGATAGTCTTTATAAGCAATAACGTTTTTGAGCAAACATATATTTGCTAAAATTATCTTTTAAAAAATGCAAGAAAATAATATAAACACAAAATTCAGCATGTCAGAGTTATGCAGCAGGGTAACGGGATGGGGAGGATTCTATAGATAGGCGCAAACATTGCTCATGTTTAAATTCTTGGGTTGGGTAGTTGACTTTTATCACTAACAAAGTAATAAGCCAGGGAATACAACGGGTAAATGAAAAAATAAAATAGAGTCATGATGAGACCAGTGATGATAGTATATCATAAATCAATATAAATCAACTCTTCTCATCTTTAAAATGGAATTAATAACAGTACTTAGCCTCCTAGGGTTGTTATGAAGGTTGAAAATCTTAGAATAATGCCTGGTACATAGTAAGTTTTATATTAGTATTTGTGAAAGATGAAAGAGAGAGAGAGAGACCGAGAGACAGAGAGAGACAGGGGCGGGTGGGGGGCACGGTGGGGGGAAGAAGTAAAAGAAGGAAGAAATAAAAGAAGGAAAGAAAGAAATCATTATGAATAATCAAATTCCGTGCACTTGAAGTCCATTATTAAAGCATTAGCCCAATGCAAAGAGGTGTCAAAGAATGCAAGTAAGAGTGGGCTTCATCAGGGAAAATTCCCGAGAGTGGTACAGATTTGAAATAATTTTTTTAATGTAAAAAGTATTGCTAAAACATAAACACATCAGTAGATTGGTTTACTAGTTAACAGGTTAAAGTTCCAGCTTCTATTTTCAGAGTGGAACTTAGTTGCCATGATAATAGGAGGTGACATTTGTTTGATTTTCCTCCCTTGAGTTGTGGAAGAATCCTATAAACTCTTCTATAAATAACCAAGTAGAGGCCGAAAGGTTTCCTGTAACTTACAGTCTAGAGCCAGTAACCTCTGATGGCAGTCTGAGTGGCGGTTGAATCAGCAGGGTGGCAGCGATCACAGGGGGAATTCAGTCTCCTCCAAGGAAGCTTGACTGAGCATGAATGGCTTATAGTTTGTTTCCCTCAAGTCCTCAGTAGTAGTCCATTAAGAGCCAATAAACATGAAACATTCCACTGGGTACCTTGTAGTCCTTGAGCAAGTGAATACAGCTCAGCCCCTCTGGCCAAGGAAAACACTGTCCAGTTGTTACAGGAGAACATACAGAGGACATACTATATTAACTGAGCAACACACTCCAACTCCCAGCTAGGAGCAGCGGATAAGACCACAAACCCTTCATCTGAGCAAAGTGCAGACTCTAATAAATTCGAATGCTTAGTGAAATATATAGTAACTTGTCTGTCTTATTCTGTTTAAGGTGGGATGGCCAGGGAAATATGTGAGTTGGGGGCATGAGTTAAATTGGTAATAGGGTTTAGGCCACTTAAAGAAATGAGTCATTTCTATAAATGGCAGACACCACTTTCAACTTCTTTGCTGTATCGGCCCCAAAGCTACCAATTATCTTTCATGTATCTTCCAGCTTCAGTTCCTTTCTCTTCATTGTCAAAGGGCTTCTTGGCTGCCTATGGGGTTGGCACCAAAAGGATTGAGTGTCAGGGTGGATGTCTCTTTGCCCACCTTTTGGGTGTGTTATTATTTATATTATACCCTGATTCCACAGATTATAGAGACTGTCTGTTGCTTATAAAAATAAAACAAGGCCGGGCGTGGTACACTTTGGGAGGCCTAGGCAGGCGGATCACCTGAGGTTGAGAGTTTGAGACCAGCCTGACCAACATGGAGAAACTCCGTCTCTACTAAAAATACAAAATTAGCCGGGCGTGGTGGTGCATGCCTGTAATCCCAGCTACTCGGGAGGCTGAGGCAGGAGAATTGCTTGAACCAGGGAGGCGGAGGTTGTGGTGAGCCGAGATTGTGCCATTGCACTACAGCCTGGGCAACAAGAGCGAAACTCCATCTCAACAAATAAATAAATAAAAATAAAATAAACAAACAAACAAAAAATTATCTTAAATCTATATCCTACAATAAATAAAGTTCCAAGTAATAAAAAACACCAAAATAATTTATTTTCACCTTTTTTCTCTTACAACTGCAGTCTACTTGTTTGTTCCCCCCACCGCCCCCCCCCCAATTTGAATAAACTTACATTAGGAGCACCAAGAAAAACACACAAAATAATCTAGTTTTTTTTTGGTCAGACTATGAGAATTGACAATGCTTGGTCAAGTTCAAGGACTTCCACACTCATCAGTTCCATTGATCCAGGAATGCTCTTTCTCTTCTCAGTCCTTTCCAGCAAACCAATTTTGTGGAAAGACCAACTAATAGTTACAAATGGAAACTTATTATTAAAAAAAAATTACAGTATAGGAACAGGTCTTCCCAATCAAAAATAAAGTAGAACATGAGTCAGAGATAAAGTCATTTCAAATGCATGTAGAAAACTGAAAGTCCTTGTTTTTTTTTTTTATTCACAGGATTTTTTTCTTTCCTTTTTAGGTTGTGGTCTAGAAAGCATATTGTGATTTGTACAAGAAGCACATTCCCATTTTACAAAAGTACAAAAGCACATTTTGGACTTTTAACAAATTCAACTGTTTTGTGTTCTGTGTGAGTAAATTTTAGGTTGCCCATCATTGAAAACCAGTTTAAAAAAAAATAATGGGAGTAGATAATCCAGACAACATTTTCTACCGTATTTGTTGACTCCAGTTGTTGGAAAGTAAAATTCTGGAGGAAGAGCTGGGATATCTCCAGGGGCTTAGTTTAACATCATCAAAGACTCTCCTGCTCCCCCTTTGCATGTTACAGTATCTGCTTTACCAATCAGAGGGAAATTTATCATGTAGGATTTAAAGGAGATATTTATGGCGTCCGTAAGCACAATGACTTTGACTGGTAAGACGTCAGCTATTCCCTTTAGGAGATAAAAGGCCACAGCTGGTGAGGTAATAGAACAGGAACTGTTTCAATATTTCAAAACAGAAGACCTTGTTGAAGAAGAGAGATTTTATATGGCATTTGCTTTTATTTTTTTCCTTCTATGATGAACAGGTGTGGGAGTCAATTCAAGAAGGCAGCTTAGATGATTGTGAGACAAGGGAGGGAGGTAAATATTTTTGATGGTTGGGGAAGGACTGAGATTTTCAAACTTCAAACCAAACATGTAGTCCAAGCCTTTTCTACCTGTGTACACAAAGGAAAGAGGAAACTAAGTCAATGTAAAATAGGCAGTTGTTGTTTGGAAAAGTTATGAAATCCTCCTGGCTACACAAAACAGAAAGCCCAGCTATGTGACAAGTGTTTGATGTAAATATGCAAATGCAGTTTTAAATTCATTATACCTAAGGGAACAAGGTGTCTGGGTAAGGGGGGTTCTACTGTTTCTTAAGCTTACAAAGCAGGTCCTTGAATAATGTCATTTAAGTTCAATGTAATTTCCTTATAATGTTGATGAGAAAAAAAAAATGGATTCCTAGCTGAAGTCATTGTGTGTGTGGACTTTGCATGTCCTCCCCATGTCTGGTTTCCTCCCAAAACCCAAAGCTGTGTCCGTTAGATGAATCAGTGTGTCTCACTGGTCCCAGCGTGAGTGAGTGTTGCTATGTATGAGTGGGCCCTGCAATGGGAATGGTGACCTGTCTGGGGCTGGTTCCAGCCTGGTACCCTGAGCTACCAGAAGTGGCTCTGGCCCCTTGAGCTTCTGAACTTGAATAAGTGGGTAAATTATTATCTTACTTGTTTTTGTTAACCTTTCTTAAGTGTATGTGTAGCTCACCTTCCTTTCAAAGTTATTTTGATGTTTATTTCAATATTAGAAGTGTTTGGGTCTTTCTTTAGAAGTTTGGTGATTTTTTTTTTTGTGACCAAAATATGCTGTAGCAACTTAACTCTTGTTTAGATCGGTTAGCTTATAGCAAAGCTATTTTCGTTATGTGTTCTTTCACTTGAAGTTCCAGTTTCCAAGAACCTATTGTCCAAGATAAGTAAGGACTTACTGTACTTCTGGGCACACAATGGGCTAAGCATCTTATATTATCAAATGAGATGAAATAAAATATAATGCTAAAATGATGTTAAAAAGTTATCACATTATAACAAATTATAAGAATTATTAAAATGACAGGATATATTAAAGCACTGTAAAAAGTAAAGCTTAGTAGATGCATTAGAGGTTATGATTGGCATTGCTAACATTATTATTATTAAAATCCTTCAGTGCTGGGCACCACTTATTTCTACCCTTATAACCCCATGGACCTGTACTGTATCTTGTAATAAAACCCTCAATAAATATTTGATACATTGCTGAATAAAAGGTAGGTTGACTTCTTAAAGTACCTGCAAAATACCTCATCCACAAGAGAAAAAGGCAAGAGAATAACCTTGCTTCATGAAGAAAGTATCGATCATTCAGGCGTTAAATTTTCCATTTGTTCATTTTTTTTTTTTTCCAGCAGAAACTCTTGGAGAAATTGCATAGCATTATTTTAAACAATTCCCCTCAGAGGCCCATTAGATAGGCTTTTCTGCAGACAGGATAGATGTCTTTTACAGCTGGTCAGTGTTTAGTTCTCCCAATACTTGACTGAAGAAAGAAAATAACTGGGATGTAAGATATCTGACCTATAGATTGCTCATTCTCTGCATGAGTCAATCTTTGAAGTCGGAAGATAAAAATCACCATTAATCACAAAACTTTCTTACCATCATAAGGTCAGATATCCCAGGGCCCTTCCAAAATTACCACGTGGACTGGCATAGGGCGAGATTGGCTCAGCTGTGGTCACTTTTATGACACAGAGCTCCTTCCCTCTGGTTGATGATATTGAATGAGCAGGAAGGAAGAAAAGAAATAAAAGTCAGCTAACCATGGTTGAGTCAATCCAGCCCACGGCATTCAAAGGCTGAAGGGCCACCTGACACTCCAGAGGCTGCTGGAAATGCAGGGCTGTTTCATCCTGGGGTGAGTTTCCGTTAGAAGAAATACTGACTTGAATGAAACAAAGAGTCCGTCCCTTGCTTTATTGGACAATGAAAGTTCCCATCATACTGATCAAAGATCGAGGATTTGGGACATGTGGGAATGCATTAATATCTCACCTGTGGCTGAGGCAGATGTGTGTTTCCAAATGATAATTTCTTTTCCTGCAAAGCCAGGTGTGTAAGGAGAACTAAGGGAAAAGGAAACTTTTTTTTCCTGTGAAAATCTGGATCCACTTCAATCCAATTCAGTTTCAAAAACATTTATTTACTTTGTGTCCCTTAAGTAAATAGAATATTATCCTGAAAACACAAAGAACATAGAAACTGAAGTGAGATAGGAAATTAAATGGAAAGGAAGGGAAGAGGGGAGAAAAACAGGGAGGAAGGAAAGATTGCTGAGGGACCTTTTGTATTGTGCTGTTTAATAGACACATTATTGCTTTCAGTCCTCAAAGCAATCTTGGGAGAATGGTATTGTTTAATCATTTGCCAGATGAGGAAACTGAAACTCAGGGAGGTTCCTACTTGCCCAGGGAGGTAAATATTGTTCATTCAATTTTGCTTTTTGATTTCTGAATTATTTTCTGTATTTTTGGAATTGCTCTCATTTTGATTCTTTGCAGTGGGGATGGGACAGGAAACCTTGTAATTGGAACAGATAATACTAGATGATTACTTTCCCCTCTTTCCCAGACTCCCTTGAAGCTATGGCAAAGGCTCTGATAACCACAGGCATCTGCCGCAGATTTTTCCTCAAAAGTTCCTGAGAGGGAATGAGTGGAGAGTATGCTTGTGCTCTCTGGCAGTGGCTCTTTCTCTGTCTCTCGCTCTGCTATAAGAGCAGATGACTCCAATGATGGTTAGTGGTGGCTACAGCGTTTTCCTTACGAAAGTGTTTCTGAGACTTAATTTTGCATTATTGCTAGAAGCTGGGTCTTATGCTTTTGTTTTCTGGCCCTTCTAATACTCTATTAGCTATTCAATATCTTTTTCAAAAACACTTCATTGTAGATTATTTAGCACATTCAAAAATATAGAGAATAGCATAATAAGCCTCCATATACCAATTTCCTTCTTAAACAATTATCAACACATGGACAATCTTGCTTCATCTGCACCCCTATCCATTTCCACAATTACCTGGATTATTTCAAATGAATCTCGGGCCTCATCTTATTTCATCTGTAAAATGTTAATTCTTTATCTCTAAAATAGAAATATTGTTTTACGAATGAGCACAATATCATTATCCTACCTAATGATAGTTCCTTAATATTAAATGTCTGTATACAGATGTCTGATTATCTTATAATTTTGATACATTTATAAAATATCTTCAAATCAGCATCAAAATAAGTTCCATACACTAAAATTGGTTGATATGTCATTTAAATTTCCTTTAATGTATAGATTCAATTTTCCTCTTACTCTTTTGTTTTTTAAACACATTGTTTTCCTGTAGAATTTCCCCCGTAAGAATTTGCTAATTGGATCCTTGTGGTTTCACGTATCATGCTTTTCTGTCCCATGTGTTTTCTGCAAATTATTAGTTGGATCTAGAGGCTCAATCACATTCACCTTGGATTCATTTGGCAAGTCAACTTCATAAATGGTGCTGTGAGCCTCTATTAGGGCATATAAAATGTCTAATTGTCTCCTTTTTCGTGAAGTCAGCAGTGATTGATGACTACTATTTAGATACACTATATCATTAGGAGTAGCAGAAAGGTGATATTATAATTCTATCATACTCTTTAAATTTGTTACCTGGAATCCTTCCATAAAGAGAAAATTCTCATACATTACTTGGTTGACTTGAAGTATTGGTCATATAGAAAAGTCAGAATAAATGCTTAATCTTTTTTCTTTATTTACCAGTTTTCAACATAGTTAAATAACTCACTGGTCAAAAGTGGCCAATTGTTTTTATTTCTATAGCCATTATTAACTAAGAAATTTAAATATATCTGATGTCTTTCAATCTATTGCCATTATCTTTACTGATATTTAAATTGACCCATCTCTGGCCAGTAAGAGGCTCCTCAGGATGGCTCCTGAGTCCTTTCTACACACTTTCAGTGGTCTTTGATGTTATGTTTTCTCTATGGTACATGAAGATCCAGGCTCATTTTGTACATTTCCTTCCCAGACATGATGTTAGTCATTTCTTAGTGGCATTTAGGGAATACACATCGATCCTGGGTTGACCTTTGTTTTTAGACATGTTTCAGTGGGCAGAGGTAGTAAATAGGTTTTTTTAAAAGAAGAAATTATCATGAGGTCATACTAATACTTCAAAATCAAATTTAAGACTGTAGAATTTTTGCTTAATCTAATCTACGTTACATATTTTTTTCTTTTTGTAGGCTGAAAATAAGGAACTCCCAATGGAATAATCTTAAAATAACAATTCCAATAGCACTATCAATAATATGATTACTGAAAAGAGAGTGAGAGTGTGTGTGTGTGTGTTTGAATTTCTTAGTATCACTAGAGAAAATCCCACTGAGTGTATATATATATATATGTGTGTGTGTGTATATATATATATATATGTGTGTATATATATATATATATGTATATATATATATAGTCAGTTTTGTCTTCTTAAGACAATTAAAATAGTTTCTCTGTGTGTGATTATGCCATAAAGCAATGTCTAGTTGGGTTTACTTGTTTTAGTTTGCTTTTGTCCTTTAGGGATTGCTTTTTTCAAACTTAATTTTGTTATATAATCATAAAAAATATTTGATGATTCCATAAAAGCCAGAAGGCCATAAGTTATAATATATATGCTTTCCCAACAGCAAGGATGCTCTGCAAACAGTATATATCCACAATGCCAGACCCCACTATTTCGTCTTTCACACTAATTCCATTAAGCTGAGCAAGCACTTATGAAATAGCCACTATTTAGTGTGGCCCAATCCTAGGAGTGTCCATAGTATTCTAACTATTTTGATATATCTAATATTGTGGTTAAAAGATAAGGACTGTGTTTTGCACATTTCCTTGAAAAGAGCTGTTCACAAAGCAAAATATAAACAAGTGCTTTGGAAGTTTCATTTGTTTTGGAGAGTAGGAATGTAAGGGAGTATTCTAGGCTGCTGAGGTTGGATAACGTATCATGGAAGAGGCAGGATTTGAACTGGAGTGATTCATGAGGAGGTGTTGAACATCAGCACCCTGGTTATGAAAAGAGGAAGGCAACTCTGGTCCTCAAAAAACTTGTAATCTAGTGGGGGAGGTTACCAAGAGTTCCATGTTATCTGTGCTCTAATAGAGGTATATGGAAGGCATAAAGGAAGTGTGCAAGAAGGGGACTTCAGTAAACTCAAGGGAAGTCAGAAGAGTACCTATGAAGCAGTGAGGCCCAATCTGAGTCTTACAGGAGTATGAGTTTGTCAGGTGATGGACTGGGGATAGGTAGGAATGGAGTGTAGAGCAAGACAAGCACAGGAAATAGTTCAGAAATGAGTTTGAAGGTAAAATAGAGTTTGAGTGAGTCGGAGAGCAAAGAGAAATAAAGTTGAAGGAACGTGCAGGATGAAACATCTTATATATCAGGTAGGCAAGAAAGAGCATGAAAAAGATTTAATAGGGTTATCAAGTGCTTAGCTTTCTGTCTAAAGAAATAAAAATTGTAAAACATAAATTAACCATTGACATACTAATGTCCTTTGTCATTACAATTTCATTTTTGATGGATGGATATGTTATCAACAGTGGCCTAGAACACTCCCCATTTTAGTTTTTTCTCCTCTGAATTATTTAGTGATGTGGAAACAAAACTTGAATAAATGCCATAGTAAATGCCTTGTGATCTTTTGCTGTTGTGAAGCATCTTTCTGTAGTATGAATAATTTCACCCTCTAATTTATCTGTTTGCCAATAAAACATTTAAATGCAAAGTCAAAAATGTGTTTATAATTGTTGTGTGGGAATCCCCAAGAAACTTCCCAAATAGGTGCTGACGATAACCTGGCAACACTATGTGACTAATTTTCCTGTTTACTACAGAACAATGGAGAGTAATAGACTTCTCTTAGTCCTTCTTGTTAGTTATTTGCATGTTCAATAAGAGGAATAAAACAAGTGCAGGTACTTTGCACGAGGAACAAAATGCAAAATATTTTATAGACCTCTTTAATGGACAAATTTCGTGGATTCCATCCCTTCCCCAAAACCCTACCTTAAGAAATATAATGAAAAGAGTTCCCTCTGTTAACCTGAATGACAGCCTGGGAATTCCCAACAGATACCTAACTCTAGGCATGGGCTCCCTCTGGATGTCTACTATAGAGGTGTTACCACCACAGTCTCAAGTCTCCAGATGAGGACTGAACATAGTGCTGATGATATCTAAATAGTTTTTGTCATTGTATTTGATAGGAAGTAAAGGGTAATTAAATTCTTTGAGGGGCCTATGCCTCTTGCTATAAGAGGGGTCCTTTTTTCCTCACTGAAATTAAAAAAGACAAATAGGGCTGGGTGTGGTGGCTCACGTCTGTAATCCCAGCACTTTGGGAGGCCGAGGCGGTTGGATCACTTGAGGTCAGGAGTTCGAGACCAGCCTAGCCAACATGGTGAAACCCCATCTCTACTAAAAATACAAAAATTAGCCAGGCGTGGTGGTGGGCGCCTGTAATCCCAGCTACACGGGAGACTGAGGCAGGATAATCACTTGAACCGGGGAGGTGGAGGTTGCAGTGAGCTGAGATCACACCACTGCACTCTAGCTTGGGTGACAGACTGAGATTCCTTCATAAAATAAAATAAAATAAAATAAAATAAAATAAATACAATAAAATAATAAAATAAAATACAGAGTGTCTTTGGGACCAGGGAGAGAAGGGACTTAATTGTTGCACACCCTAAAAACAATAGAATAAAAGATTGTACCAAAGGGGGCAAGATAAAATATATATTTAATATCTACTGAAACATTTCCCTGAACTCCAGTTTGGGAGAGGTACCTGGCAGCACAGATCTATGTGAGATCCCTCCTATTGCAATTTAATATGGAAATGTAGGGAGGGAGGGGAAGGATCAGAGTCAGGGAAACCAGGAATGGGTGTATTGCAAGAGTTCGGGTAAGAGACAGTGAGGTCCTTAGCTGGGATACTGGCTTTGAGATGAAGAAGACGTGGAAGATTTGAGAGCTATTTAGGAGGGATGGAGTGGGGTGGGAAGAGAGAAAGAAAACAGGATGTCCTAGTTATTAATGCTTTACAGGTGGGATGATGGGCAGAACATGGAAAGATGGTGTGAGAAGGGGAGAGTCCCACAGGCTGATGGTGGCATTCCTGCTCCTGCTCTGAGCTCACCCAGCCCTGTGGCACTCCAACTTCTACTAACTGGTGGGGTCACACTCCCAGTATTTTCCAGAGAGAAGTACTGAGAAGCTTAAAGTATTTGAATGGGAGGAGGAGAAGCAAACTACAGCTACTTCAGAGGATAACACTAAACACCTAGTCCACTCTGTATACACTAGAGGTAAGAGAGGTGGTTCATAGAACTTCACAGGCACCCAGAGTTTTCTCCTAGCCTTCTTGGTTAATTCTGTGTTGTCTAATATATCAAGAAAAAATAGTGTAACAGAGTTCCCAATCTCAAACTAAACCCTGAGATTTATTTTTTTGAAACACTGAAGCAAAGAACCTGGAAAAATTGTTATTTAGAAGTTGCAAGATGTTGTTTTGACTCCCTAGAAGTTCTTTCATTTTTCAGAGCCAGCTGTTCTCTTATGGAGGAGAGCCACCAGAATGTGATCTTTACTAATACAAATGCAGAACAAGTATTAACTCAACGCTCTTCATAATAATAAAATTCACTGCCCACTTGAGTGCACATGTTTATTATGAAATGGTAACACACTTAGCCTTGTGGATGAGGAACCCCAAATCTGAGCCCTGTGACTTAAGGGTCCAGACTTAAGGGTCTGCTCTGGCTATGCCTCTTCCCATGGGGCAAGGAATCTCTAGGCCAAATTAGAGCACACACTCCTTCCCCCTTCAAGACTAAGCTCCGGGCAGGCAGATTTATCTTTTAGGTACAATAGGTGGAGTGCCAAGGGCCCCTATTACTGTTAGGGGCCACAAAAATGTTCAAATTTCTTTTAAAATCAGAAAAAAAAGAATGAACTTTTAGGTTGAAAACATATCTGACATCATATTAATATATTTATTTCTATACCAACACAGTCGTAAGACATAACTTGTGATTTATTTTATGGAAAAGGGGGCCCACAAATACAAAGGCACCTAGAGTTCTTTAAAGACATAAAGTGGCTATCCCTCTAGGAGGCTAGAACCCCAGACTTTTATGTCCAAGTGGCCAAAGCCTACTTCCAGGGCCTGCGAGGGCCTCTTGCCCAGGTGTCTTCTTTTAAGAGCAGGCAGCACACAGGTATGAGCACCCCAAAGCACACCAGTGACTATGGCTGATCTTGTACAGTCTGTGACTGGAGTGTGGGTGTACGGGCTAGTGTGTTCCTGTGTCTATGTGTGAAGCTTCTTGTAATAGGAGATGGCACTGGGGCAGAATGAAAAGGAGTATAGACAAGGATTGGGGCTAGTTCTCTTCAAAATTTTGCATTCTGGTGCAGACTGTGTAGACAGCATTACTTGAACAAACTGTATGAGAACAGACATTGCAAATGCTTTAAATGAATGTGGGATGTGTCACTGATCTTTCACTATTATTATTATTATTATTATCATTTTTGGGACGGAATCTCACTATGTCACCCAGGCTGGAGTGTAATGGTGTGGTCTCGGCTCACTGCAACCTCCACCTCCCGGGTTCAAGTGATTCTCCTGCCTCAGCCTCCCGAGTAGCTGGGACTACAGGCATGCACCACCACACCCAGCTTATTTTTTGTATTTTTAGTACAGACGGGGTTTCACTATGTTGGCCAGGCTGGTCTCAAACTCCTGACCTCGTGATCCGCCTGCCTCGGCCTCCCAAAGTACTGGGATTGATTACAGGCATGAGCCACCGCACCCAGCCTGATCTTTCACTATTATTAACATTAGGAAGATAACATTGTACACTAAGCCCATCAAAGAGATGCAAGTTAAGTGCAGGCTAATAACAACTTTCTGTAAATAATTTAATTTTGAATTTTATCTAACAGGTGCTGTTAATTTTCTTGTGGAGAAGGAACTGTCTTTAGAAAAATATCTCAAAAAGCCACTGAAGTAGAAAGTTTCAGCATGCTGAAGATGGAACTTGAGAAGATAGAAAGTTCTGGGTCCTTAGTGGCATGACTGAGTCGCTGGACCACTGTTGGAACCACCCTATGTCTTAGTTTTTAAATCTCTTTACTGTCTAAGACATTTTTAGTGGAAGTATTTATCTCTGGCATCCAATAAGACCTTTAAGGATTTGCAGTTTTATCTATGTGTTTGTTTATTGTCTGCTCCACCCTACTTGATTGTGATCACCATGACATCAATGACTGTGCATCTTTTGTTCACTCAGGAATATCCAGTGCCTGCCACGCAGAGTGTGCTGCATGTACATGCTCACTTGATATCTGTTGTAGCAAAGAGTGAAAGAGAGAAGGAATAAATGCTTTCTCCCATGATGAGGGGACATGGGGTCCAGACAAGCTGGACCATTATCCCAGGCCCAGCGCTCTGCTTTATTTTTTTTTTTCCAGTACAGCATCACATTCAGTTACAACAGAGTGAAATCTCCTAAGAACACGGCTGATTATTTCTTGATTGCAAAAAGGACTCACTAACCCTCCGATCTCCTGTAACGCAAGTCAATGCTCTTCTAATCTCCTTTTAGACAGCACCTGTACTTGTCAGTCAACGCATGGTAGTCTGGGCTAGCCAAGTGAATCCTTAACTAAACTGAAGTGGTGCTGATCATTCAGCCTTCAGAATTGAAAAAATCACAGCATTGCTGAAGGAAAAGGCATTTTTCAGGTAGAGAGGCATAAGTCTTGGGCC